>NC_000004.12:9947916-10572916 GCF_000001405.40 Homo sapiens
GTCCTGCATGGCGTGGTATGTCCCCTCCTCTAGGGAACTGTGAGTAATAAATTCTTCTTTCAGATAAGGTTGCCTCCATGTCCATCACCTCGCCATACAGGATTCATACAAATTCTGGGTACATTTTAGAACAGCTGGTTGCCCCTCCCACTCAGGCATGTATGTTCTTGCTGTAGGTGGCCACTTATTTCTTTCTAAACACCACCCCCCCACCCCTTACCTTCCATGACACACTCTCCCTGGTTCTCCTCCAGCTTCTCGGGATACTTATCCAAGGTTTTGAGGCAAGCCCTCCTCTCATTCATCTCACACACATCCCCCGGGTAGTGATTCTTGAACTTGGCTGCCCATTGGAATCACTTGGAGAGTTTTTACAAACTACTGATACTCATTCCTTACTCTCAGAGATTTGGGGTTAATTGGTCTGGGGGTGCGGCTTAGGTGCTGGGGTTGTTCAAGCTCTCCAGGTGACTCTAATGTAGAGCTATTTGACGGCCACTGTCCTAGGGCTTCCCCCACACCTGCGTCACCTGCAGTGAATGGTGGTGCATGGCCCAGAACTGACAAGCTTGACTTATAGCTGCTGGGAGCATTACTGGCTGTGGACCACAGCTGGGCCTGTCCTCTGGAATTGCCCTTGAAGGATGTTTCCTCCACCAAGGCTACCCAGCCCTCCCCAAGAACAAACTGCATCCAATGGCTGACTGATGTGGGGGCATAAAGTTCTGTTCCCCCACCTCCAAATTATCCCACTCTGATGGGCCATCCCAGCTCCAGAGCTCCCTGTGGGCTCAACTGAGACCTCTGTTGTGCTGAGGGTTGCTCACCTTTTCCCTCTGCTGAATCCTGGTCCCATCTCTTCCCCTGCAGGCACTGATCTGAGCTCATTCTCCAATCAGCTTCCTGCCCACATCTCCATCTCAGGGTCTCTTTTCTGGGGAACTCAACCTAAGACACATCTATGGGCCCATGATTCCAAATCTTCATGTCCATCCACACATCTGACAAAAATTATTTACTTGGCCAAACATTAGTCAGCCCATTGAAACTTCTCCTAGGCCCATCTGTGTACTTCCCTGTAAAATACAGCTTTAGCAAAGGACGCTCCTAGGCCATTTTAGCAAGAACCCCTTTCTGCAGCACATCTATCTACTCATCCTTTACCTTATAGCATTCCCTCCCGTGGATGACTTCTCTATCTGGTACCAATTTCCATTAAAGCACTTGTTATTCTGCATAGCAATGTGCTTTTTATGGGTGTGTTTCCCTATAGACGGAGCTCCTGAAGGGCCACCCATTGCCTTGTTCCTTTATTTATCTGCCCAGTGCCAGGTAAAAGGCAGGTGTTTAGTAAATGCCTGTTTACTGAATGCATGTTGGGGAGGATGAATGACAGCACAGATAAGAGATGCTCCAGCTAGATACAGAAATCCCTGAAACGACAGACACTCCTGCTCTTAAAATACTTTTTATAAAAATGCTAAAACTGTCCTATATGTTGTCCTATTAGAGGGCTGATGTTTTATAGTATTATAAATAATATTTTCCCACAAAGTATTATTATAATTTCTAGTCCATAGAAGAGAAAATGTAGACCTGTAAAGGTCAGGTAACTCATGCCAAGGCACATGAGAAATTAGGGGGTCTGGCAGAACAAGAGCCTGGCTCTTCTGATCCCTGTACGGGGCTCTTTCCTTGACATTATTCCTCAGATCTGCAGTTCCTGGAGCAAAGCACTGCTGCCTTGCCACCTTCCCTTCCCTCATGGTGGCAGCTGCTAGCTGAATAGGGAATTTATATGCAGATTCTATCAGGCTGAACCTGTCACACTCCTCTATGGCAGGTCCTATACAGAACTCATCAGTGATCACTCAAGCTCAACTCCAATAGCTCATGCTATTACAAAAACATCAAGATAGTGAAGCCTGCACTCACATTCCATAGGGTTGCTTTGTTACATCTTTGAATGCTTCCTGCTTGTTTAGCAGTGGGGCCTCACAGGGAAATAGTGACAGCCAGCAAATGTTCATGGAGCTTCTTTGACCTTACCGTCCCTCCCAACAACTGCCTCCTGGGAAGGACCCTGCTGGCCACAGCTTTACTGAATCCTGGGGTGGGGAGCATGTGGCTGGTCGTGTTTGCCTTACCAACCTTACCTGTTGGGCATGAGGGTCAATGTCACCCTCTCCACACCTGACCCCACAGAGTACAAGCCAGCTAGTAAGATGGCTCAATTCATTGCAGCAAATATGTTGTTCTAGAATTGCTATTTTTGGTGCGCATTCATGCTCTGATTCTATTTCAACACTAACAATAACAGGTATCTCAAGAACATGGGCTTTTGTGATTACCTCTCATTTTTCTCTGTTGGAAATAATAATGAGATGAACTTCCAAGGCTACAACACTCACCACACAAAAAGTGGTTTTGAGAATTGGATGTGAGAGAAGCACCCACATAGAGCCCCCCCATGGGTCATCTTTCAAGAAATGCTCCTTCCCCTATTCCTAAAACATTTTCTATTTTTCAAAGGGTTTGGATGTCCTCTGCCTTGCTTGGTTCTCAAGCAATCTTATGGGAAAAAATGCTCAATATCACTAATCATCAGAGAAATGGAAATCAAAACCGCAATGAGATATCATCTCACCCCTGTCAAAATGGCTATTATTAAATGACAGATGCTGGCAAGGATGCAGAGAAAAAGGAAAACTTAAACACTGTTCATGGGAACGTAAACTAGTATAGCTGTGAAAGAAAACAGTATGGAGAGATCGAGACCATCCTGGCTAACACGGTGAAACCCTGTCTCTACTAAAAATACAAAAAATTAGCCGGGCGTGGTAGCGGGCGCCTGTAGTCTCAGCTACTCGGGAGGCTGAGGCAGGAGAATGGCGTGAACCCGGGAGGCGGAGCTTGCAGTGAGCCGAGATCGCGCCACTGCACGCCAGCCTGGGCGACAGAGCGAGACTCCGTCTCAAAAAAAAAAAAAAAAAAAAAAAAAAAGAAAACAGTATGGAGATTTCTCAAAAAACTAAAAATACAATTACCATTCAATCCAGCAATCTCACCTCTGGGTACTACTCAAAGGAAAAGAAATTCATACGTCAAAGGGATACCTGTACTCACATGTTTATTGCAGTACTATTCACAATAGTAAAGATATGGAATCAACCTAAGTGTCCATCAATGGATGAATAAAGAAACTTTGGTATATATACATCATGGAATACTATTTAGCCATTAAAAAGAATGAAATCATGTCATTTACAGCAACGTGGATGGAATTGGGGGGCATTAACTAAAGTGAGATAAGCCAGGCACAAAAAGACAAATATTGCATGTTCTCTCTCACTTATATGTGGAAGCTAAAAAATTTGATCATATGGATGTGGAGAGTGTAAAGATAGATAACAGAGACAGAGAAGGGTGGTGGGGTGAGATAAAGAGAAGCACGCTGAAGGGTATAAAAAGGAATAAATCCAATGTTTGATAGCAGGGTAGGATAACTAAAGTTAACAAAAATGTATTTTATTCAGGTGATGGATACCTTAAATATTCTGACTCAATCACCACACAAATATGTGTAACAAAATTTCACACATACCCCATAAATTTGTACAGATAATAAAGAATTATAATTGCCATATCCCACTTAGGAAGGCTTGAGGAGTAAATGTCAAAATGTCAATATGGAATCAGAAAAGTTTATTTTTAAAAAAACAGTAATCATCTTTAGGAATTTGGCTTTTTGAGAACTGTCCTTTCTGTCTAAAGGAAATGTACTTCTTTCTAGAAGAATAAGCTAATAAAGATGTGAGAAATCAAATTTTATAAATGTTCCTCATTATTCTCAATGGAAAAAGGTGGTATGAAAGTTTTTGATATGGAATCTTTAAAAAGCTTGAAAAGTAAAATTGTCAGAAAAGGACAGGAAATTTACAAAAGATTCATTTAATGTTTGGATGAATGGTTGCAGAATTAGAGTAGGTATCAAAGCAGTGGGGTTAAGCTGACTGCCTGGAAGGCAGAGGCTAAAGCACTGTGGCTTCCATGTGCCACGGCTCAGCTCATAAGACTCCCAATGCCACAGAAGCCAAGAAAGAGAGTGCCCTCTGGAGTTGGCCCACCTCTGAGGTTGGGTCCTGAACCCTGGTCCTGCCACTTACTGATTGTGAGATAACAGATAAACCACTTCACCCCTCTACTCCTCAGTTTGCTCATCCGTAAAGTTTAGTCCACAGAGGAGGACCTCACATGCAGTAGGGGCTTTATAAGTGCTTGACATAATTCGAATATATGTCCCTGCCAAATATCATGTTGAATTATAATCGCCGATGTTGGAGGTGGGGCTTGGTGGAAGGTGTTTGGGTTATGGGGTTGGATCCCTCATGGCTTAGTGCTGTCCTCATGATGGTGAATGAGTTCTCCCAAGATTTGGTTGTTTAAAATTTGTGGCACCTTCCCTAGCCTTACTTCTGCTTTTGCCAGGTGATGTGCCTGCTCCTGGAGCCCTCCCCAGAAGCTGAGCAGGTGCCAGTGCCATGCATGTACAGTCTGCAGAACCATGAGCCAATTAAACCTCTTTTCTTTATAAATTACCCTGTCTCAGATCTGTCTGTCTTTTTTTTTTTTTTAAAGACAGGATCTCATTCAGTCTCCCAGGCTGTAGTGCAGTGACGCAATCTCAGCTCACTGCATCCCCAACCTCCTAGGCTCCTCCCACCTTAGCCTCCCGGTAGCTAGGACTACAGGCATGCACCACCAAGGCCAGCTAATTTCTGTATTTTTTGTAGAGATGGGATTTCACCATGTTGCCCAGGCTGGTCTCAAACCCCTGGGTTCAAGCGATCTGCCTGCCACAGCTTCCCAGAATGCTGGGATTACCGGCGTGAGTCAGGTGTTTACAGCCGTGCAAGAATGGCCAAATACAATGTTTGATAAATAATAGAAATAACAATGTCAGAGCTGTTTTGGAAGAGATTTCTGCATTCCAGAAGCGGTCGGGTCATTTTCTGCTATGGTCAATTTCTATTCACAGATTCTGTGATCTGAATGTCCTATAACTCTAACAAGCTGTAATTCTTGCATTGTAAGATGCTTTGCAAAAGTCCTAGAATCATACACTTGTGATTTTAATGTTCTATATCCAAGTTTCTCTGATTCACAAGTTCTGTGACTTTAATTCTTCAGATCCTAAAAGTCTTTTAGGAGGTTCGGATCGCATCTTGGTCATTCCTGACTGGAAACTGGGCAAAGTGGGGCAAGCTTAGCTTGTGCTGTTTTCCAAATACCCACTGAACCCGCTATGCCTCTTGGCCATGGGTAGGAGGTAGAGAACCAAAGCCCAGAGAGCCAGTGCTTCTCCTGAGGTAACATCATTGGGCAGTGACGAGAGGTCCCACACTGTATCATCTGCCTGTCTCAAATCTCAGCCACATGCTGTTGCTTAAAGAGCTGGAGCCACTGAGGGCCAGGTGGGCCCAGATGTGGGCACTGGTGCCTTGCCCATCTGAGTTTGAGTCCTCTCCTCACTGCACTGCCTGCTCCCTTGGTCATTTTGGACCTCAAATTTAAATTTAACCTCTATGAGCCTCACTTTCCTTATCAATAAAATAGAGATAATAAAACCTGCATTACTGGTTGTGCTGGGGATTCAACAGATTACATGCAAAGTGCTCAGCCTAATGCCCAGTTTAGGAGTTTTTTGTTTGTTGGTTGTTTTTTGAGACAGGGTCTCACTCTGTTACCCAGGCTGGAGTACAGGGGTGCAATCATGGCTCACTGCAGCCTTGACTTCCCAGGCTCAGGTGGTTCTCCCACCTCAGCTTCCTGAGCAGCTAAGATGGCAGGCATGCACTACCGTGCCCAGCTAAATTTTGTTTGTTTGTTTGTTTGTTTGCTTGTTTGTTTGAGATGGAGTTTTGCTTTTGTTGCCCAGGATGGAGTGCAACGGCAACATCTTGGCTCACTACAACCTCCACCTCCTGGGCTCAAGCAATTCTCCTGCCTCAGCCTCCCGAGTAGCTGGGATTACAGGCATGAGCCACCATGCCCGGCTGATTTTGTATTTTTGGTAGAGACAGGGTTTCTCCTTGTTGGTCAGGCTGGTCTCTGACTCCCGACCTCAGGTGATCCACCCACCTCAGCCTCCCAAAGTGCTGGGATTACAGGCTTGAGCCACTGCGCCCAGCCCTAATTTTTTGTAGAGATGAGGTTTTGCCATGTTGCCCAGGCCGGTCTCAAACTCCGGGGCTCAAGAGATCCACTTGCCTTGGCCTCCCAAAGTGCTGGGATTACAGGCATGAGCCAATGTGCCCAGCCAATGCCCAGTTCTTAGTAACACTCACTCAACAGCTGTCACTGTTACCATTTCACACAGCCCAAAGGGCCTGGCCACAGACATGGGGCTCCCCACTGGAAGACTTGTCTGCAACTATATTTGTTTGGACCTAGATTGGGCAGGAAGGGGCAACCCTTGCTCCCCACTCCTCTGGGCTACATAAAGAAGTCTTTGCCTACACACTACTGACCTCCTGCTCTGCCCTAACTTCACGACGGAGTTACTTATGGGGTTACTGGGTGACAGCCATTGGTCTATACTGGCTGGTGGCTGGCATGTGGAGCCATACATGCAGGGGGTGAGACCTTTTTCTCCCTCTTCCTCTGGATCTGGGTGTGGTAGCGGCCCTGGGTGAGTGGGTGTCTACAGACTCTACAGACCCAAATGTTCCCTTGGGTAGAGGGTGCAAGGCCCAGACAAGACCTGCTTCCTGCTCACCTAGCCAGGACCTACCATGACCCCTGATGAGTAAAAGAGGTAGTGTCTGACCCCTGCCTCTGTTATAGTGGGTAGTCAGGCATTCCCCACCAGGAATGTCAGGTGGCCATCAGGTGATGGTCAGGCAGTTGTTAAACTGTCTCTCTAAAATAATAGTTGGTCACAGCTGGCAATTATTGGGAAAGGCAGTCAGTCTCCCAATAGAAAAAAACCTAAAACTGGTGATCATAAGCTTCCCGACAAGATCTCAGGAGTTGGGCGAGTGGGCTCAAGCATATGCACGAAGAGGCAAAATGGCAGAGTTTACCTGGTATATGGCCTTCCTCTGGGAACTTTTGACTGGTGAGGGAAAAACGCCTCAAGTCAGCATGTGCACAACGTCAGTAAACACACGGCGTGTGCGGCCCCTCCTAAGTGCTGGCAGGCCACTGTGCATGCAAACAGCCCAATCCAAGGGGAAGAATCAGGGAGAGGAGACGCAACCCCCTGGAAGCATAACATATAAAACTCCAAGTCGGCCGGGCGCGGTGGCTCACGCTTGTAATCCCAGCACTTTGGGAGGCCGAGGCGGGTGGATCACGAGGTCAGGAGATCGAGACCATCCTGGCTAACACGGTGAAACCCCGTCTCTACTAAAAATACAAAAAAAAATTAGCCGGGCGTGATGGCGGGCGCCTGTAGTCCCAGCTACTGGGGAGGCTGAGGCAGGAGAATGGCGTGAACCCGGGAGGCGGAGCTTGCAGTGAGCCGAGATTGCGCCACTGCACTCCCGCCTGGGCCACAGAGCGAGACTCCGTCTCAAAAAAAAAAAAAAAAAAAAAAAAACTCCAAGTCAAAGTTCAAACCGTGCACTTGATCTCTCAAGTCGCTCCCTTGGTGCTCTCCAAGTGTACTTTACTTCCTTTCATTCCTGCTGTAACGCTTTTTAATAAGCTTTCACTCCTGCTCTAACTCTTGCCTCAGTCTCTCCCTCTGCCTTATGCCCCTCGTCAAATTTTTTCTTCTGAGGAGGCAAGAATTGAGGTTGCTGCAGACCTGTATGGATTTGCTGCCGCGGACACCTCTGTCTCTCAAAGATTCCAGATTTGGGTCAGTATTAACCTTTTGAGCCCCACTGGACATTCTCTAGGGATTCTTATTCAGAAAGTCTGAGGTAGGGCTCAAGCATCTGGATTTTTTTTTTTTTTTTTTTTTTTTTTTGAGATGGAGTTTCACTCTTGTTGCCCAGGCTGGAGTGTAGTGGTGCAAACTTGGCTCACTGCAACCTCTGCCTCCCATGTTCAAGCGATTCTCCTGCTCCAGCCTCCCGAGTAGCTGGGATTACAGGCACCCACCACCATGCCCGGCTAATTTTTCGTATTTTTAGTACAGATGGGGTTTCACCATGTTGGCCAAGCTTGTCTCAAACTCCTGACCTCAGGTGATCGACCTGCCTCGGCCTCCCAAAATGCTGGAATTACAGGCGTGATCCACCCAGTGAGCATCTGGATTTTTAAAAAGTATCATCGGCCGGGTGCAGTGGCTCACGCCTGTAATCCCAGCACTTTGGGAGGCCAAGGCAGGTGGATCACAAAGTCAGGAGATCGAGACCATCCTGGCTAACATGGTGAAACCCCATGTCTACTAAAAATACAAAAAAAAATTAGCCGGGCATGGTAGCCTGTAGCCCCAGCTACTCGGGAGGCTGAGGCAGGAGAATGGCGTGAATCTGGGAGGTAGAGCTTGCAGTGAGCCAAGATCGTGCCACTACACTCCAGCCTGGACAACAGAGCAAGACTCCATCTCAAAAAACAAAAAAACAAAAAAACAAAAAAAAGTATCTTCGGCCATTCTGATACACAGCCACCTCCACCTATGAGCCTCTTCTCTGGAGGAATTGAGAGCTTTGTTACCAGCGGCGTTCACATAGAGGCTGGGTGCTATTTGAGTCTCAGTCTCCCATTTATAATATGAATGTCTCAGGCTTTCCTTAAAGGGTTTTCTAGGGCTAGCATTTCAAATTGTGATCGTTCTAAAATTTATTCATTTGAAGTTTCCTGGGTGCCTTTTGTGTATTGGGTACCGAAAAATTTTTTTAAAACTTCTTGATAAACAAGGCAGATTGTCCATGCCGATTTATCTTATCCATTCCTTAAACGTGGCAGTACAGACATTTCAAAGGTATTAACCACAAGGACATGGGAATGCAAGAAATGGCAATGGTGAGCAAGAGGTTTTTAGCCCAGTTTTAGAAGATGGAATAGCAAAGTGGAGGAAGTGGCACTCGGAGCCTCTGTGGGGGCACTGAAGGGAAGTGAAGACATTTGCCCCAAAGACCCCTGGTGGCTCAGCATGGAGGACCCAGCAAAGACAGGGTGAGGGTGGGAATGAAAACAGAGTTTTGGTGGCAGGCCTTTAGCCTCATGCCCTTTATTCACTTCTTGATGGGAACCAGAAGATGGGGTTCATTCTCACAATCAATGGAACCACAGTCATTCCAGGCTTGGACATACCAGATACAGCAGCAAAACAGGAGGCCAAAAACATGAAAATAAATCTCAGAGCCCTCAGTAATCAGCAGTGAATCTTTTCCCAGAATAGGCATCTCCCATTCTTTGGAGGAGAATCCAAACCTCCAAAGAGAAAAGGCATTCACACACTGACTTGTGGGGCCTCCCAATACAAATCCTGCTCACGCTGTCATCACTCTTGAGTGAAGCCTTGTCCCTCACCCACAGCTTTTGCTCACCTTCTTTTTAAATATGAATGGGAGAACCACACTTTTGAAAAAGTGTCTAACACAAAGGAGAAAGGCAAAAAGAAACCAACAGAAAGATAAAGCAATCTGGAGCAAAGAGACAAAAATGTAGCAGCAGAACAAATGCAGGGGGCAATACACCCTATCAGTAATACCCTCTAAAATATAGTTGTAAATATTATATCTAAAAAACAAGAACAGGACTCCATGTAAAATGAACGGGGACAGGGGGAAAGCCCTTAGAAATTAAAAATATGATAAAATAATAAAAATACAGTGGACAAGTTGGAAGATGGATTTGAGAAAATGTTCCATAAAGAACAAAATGATAAAGAGATGAAGGAAAGGACAGAAAATACTAAAATCAAACTTAGAAGAGCAGCCTATTATCTGACTGCAAGGAGTTTCAGAGAAAGGAGCAAGAATAGAAAAATGGGAGGTTAGGAGAAAATTATCAAAGAAGTAACATAATGATCTAGAATGAAAGGAAATGAGTATTGAGAATTCTGCACAACTGAAGAGAAAGATTCTCACCTATGGAAGTAATCATACAATTTCAAAACTAGGGATAAATAAGAAGATTCTAAAAGTTAACACAGAAACAACAGTTCACATATAAGTGATCAAAAATAAGAAAGGCATCAGATTTCTCATCAGCAATGTCAGATGCTACAGGACACTGAAGCAATGCCTTCAAAATTCTGAGGAAAATTATATTCATACAAGAGTTCTATATCTAGCCTAACTATCTACTGGGTATAAGTATAGAATAAAGACATTTTTAGACATGGAAAGTCTCAAAAGCTTTGTCTTCATTGCATGTTTTCTTCTTAAGAAAGTACTGCAGGAAATGATTTAGCAAAACAAGAAAATAAACCAAGAAAAAAAGGATGAGTTCATGTACTTTGCAGGGACATGGATGAATCTGGAAACTATCATCCTCAGCAAACTAACAAAGGAACAGAAAACCAAACACCGCATGTCCTCAACTCATAAGTGGGAGTTGAACAATGAGAACACATGGACACAGGGAGGGGAACATCACACAATGGGGCCTGTTGGAGGTGAGGCCTAAGGGAGAAATAACATTAGGAGAAATACCTAATGTAGATCACGGGTTGATAGGTGCAACAAACCACTATGGCACATGTATACCTATGTAACAAACCTGCATGTTCTGCACATGTATCGCAGAACTTAAAGTACAATAATAATTTAAAAACAAAACAAAAAACAAGAAGAGGAGGACATAGGATCCAGGAACCAGTGGTTTCTACCCAGGAGAGAGGCAAGAATCC
The DNA here is from genome assembly GCF_000001405.40 of Homo sapiens. Lineage (NCBI taxonomy): Eukaryota > Metazoa > Chordata > Mammalia > Primates > Hominidae > Homo > Homo sapiens. The sequence continues at coordinate 9,958,730 of NC_000004.12, forward strand.
CAGGACTGTTCTGCACCAGGACCTGTCCAGAAAAGACCCATTTAGACGAAAGCAACAGGCTAGAGGGCTGAGGTACAAAAATAAAGTGGTAGAACATCTGTGATATACTTAAGAATTTTGTAAATTTATTACCAGGTGTTTAATGTTGGAGAATTTGAAAAAAATTAATTGTAGGTAGTTAGAAAACTAAGCAAATAAGAAAATAAAAACAATGATGGAATTAATAACTCCAGGAAAAACAAAAGGTTGTACGAGAAAGGAAAGTAATCGGTAAATAGTCATACCAATATAAATGTTAACCAGTGAACTAATAAAAAATTGTACTATATGTGTATTGGTAGGTTAGAGAAGGGGAAGGGAGGGATGGTGCTGGAAGAATGCTAAGGCAGGTGGATCACTTGAGGTTAGGAGTTGGAGATCAGCCTGGCCAATGTGGTTCGAGATCAGCTTGGCCAATCTCTTTAGTGAGATTTAGGCCAATCTCTACTAAAAAAAAAAAAAAAAATACAAAAATTAGCCAGGCGTGGTGGCGGGGGCATGTAATCCCAGCTACTCTGATGGCTAAGGCAGGAGAATCACCTGAACCTGGGAGGCAGAGGTTGCAGTGAGCTGAGATTGTGCCACTGCACTGCACTCTAGCCTCGGAGATACACGAAACTCTGTCTCAAAAAAAAAAAAAAAGAATACTGAGGCCTCAATCATCAGATTGATGTCTCAATCTTAGACATCAATGGATAATATCTAAAGAAAATGAATTTAAAAGTTCTATCATCAATTATTTTAAAATATGGTGGAATTATCAAATAACAGGTAAAAGAGTTGTAAGAGATTGCCTCTGGAGAGCAGACAGGGAGCTTGAGGGGGTGGGACGATGGACCTCTGTGTGTCACTATAAGCCTTTTAGCAGTATTGAATTTTTTCAATCATTTGCTTGCATTGTTTTGACTAAAATAATTTAAAATTTAAGACAAAGATTAGTTGAAATATGAATACTTTTCCTTTGGGGTTCCCTTTGTGGAGTTTCAAGTGCCCCTTTGAGATTTGTTTTTGGTAGTGAATCCCTGGTCTACACTCTCAGGCTCCATTTGCTGTGACTGAGCTGCACAACCAGACTGTATCCTGGGCCTAAGAAACGTGGATGTTCTGGCTTTCGGGGAGGGGCTGAGTCACATTCAGGGTCCGACTTGACTGCTAGATGAATTTGGTGGTAGGCAGGGAGATAATTTATTTCCAAGCATTGTCCCACTTCAACACCACGCCCTTCTGGGCAGGAACCAGGGCTAACTGGGTTATATTCTCCCCCAGTGTTTAAAGCATGGAAAGGAATCATTATCAGTGGGCATTACTTGGAAAAGCCGCAAGTCAAGAAGTTATACAGGAGAGGAGCCTTATTGTTCCAAATATTAGAATTTGAAATCTGCCAGAAGCAACATCTGTCTCATCCAGTTATTGAAGTGCAGCATTTGAATTTACATCTCTCCAGGGCCTTGAGCCTACCCAAGTCACTCAGGCTCCGCTAAAACTGCACAGACTGGCACTAAAGATGCAAAATAGGCCTTTCTGCCTGGAAAATAAGTTCCCCTTCACCAGCCCCAGGTATCACCCTCTATACAAGTAAGTTAATACAAAATGCTGCCTAACTCTCCCCATCAAATACCTAAGTTGGTGGACAATATTAATGATGCCTACTCTATGCTGGGCAGTGCCAGGGAAGAAAGGGGAATATGAACAGGAGTGGCCCAGCCCCTTAAGGGTTTACAGTGAAGGTGAAGTCAGAGGGAAGCAAGAAGACACAGCTCCTCCCCATGTACCCCTATCTGATCAAAGGCACCCACAGCATGTGAAAATTCAACAGAGGAAGAGAAAGCTTTTGTCAGGAGCCAAAGCTCACGTGGCATTCAGCATCTCTTCTCATTTCCATTTTCAGAAGGGCTGTGAAAATGCTATTTCTTTTTTGTTGTTGTTGTTTGAATTAGGCTTTTCTTGAAGGCTGAGTGACATGGATTGAGAGGGGTGATGAGAGAGGTGATTCCAGGCCCAGGGAGTGGCATGAGGATTATGGGATGATAGTCAGCAGAAGGGAAATGGGGGCAGTTGAATGGCACTAGAGGATAGAATGGGTTAAAATTGGAGACTGAACCCAAATTCGGGAGCCTTCAAGGCTAGACTGAGGGATTAGGGCTTCATTTGGTGGACACAGGATCTGTTGTTTGACTGGATGGCTCCCATTTGCAGAAACGGTACAAAGTCCTTTACATATAGTGTCTCTTTTAATCATTGCATTAACTCCATGGAGTATGTATTAATATTATTGTCCTCATTTTACAGAATCAGAAACTAAGCCTCAGAGAAGTGAAGTAACTTGTTCAAGTCATACAGCTAGAAAGCAGCAGAGGTAGAATTCAAACCTTTAACTTCCTAACTCCCAAGTCAGAGCAATTTCCGTCATGCTATGCCCCTTCCCACAGAGAGGCTTGGAGTGACCCAGCCAAAGCACAGTGCTAGAAAGATGTTTGGGCAGCATATAGCCAAGACAATCCTAAGCAAAAATAACAAAGCTGGAGGCTGGCTTCAAACTATACTACAAGGCTACAGTAACCAAAACAGCATGGTACTGATACAAAAACAGACATATAGACCAATGAACAGAATAGAGAACTCAGAAATAAGACTGAACACCTACAACCATCTGATCTTCAACAAACCTGACAAAAGCAATGGGGAAAGGATTCTGTATTTAATAAATTGTGCTGGGAGAACTGGTTAGCCATAGACAGAAAATGGAAACTGGACCCCTTCCTTACACCTTATACAAAAATTAACTCAAGATGGATTAAATGTAAAACCCAAACCTAAATGTAAAACCCAAAACTATAAAAACCCTAGAAGAAAATCTAGGGAATACCATTCAGGACATAGGCATGGGCAAAGATTTCATGACAAAAACATCAAAAGCAAAAATTGACAAATGGAATCTAACTAAACTAAAGAGCTTCTGCGCAGAAACAAAACCAAACAAAAAACTATCATCAGAGAAAACAGACAGCCTACAGAATGGAAGAAAATTTTTACAATCTATCCATCTGACAGAGGTCTAATATCCAGAGTCTAGAAGGAACTTAAACAAATTTATAAAAATCAAACAAACAAACAACATCATTAAAAAGTGGGCAAAGGACATGAACAGACACTTCTCGAAAGAAGACATTCATGTGGTCAAGAAACATATGAAAAAAAGCTCAACATCACTGATCATTAGAGAAATGCAAATCAAAACCACAGTGAGATACCAATCTCATGCCAGTCAGAATGGAGATTATTAAAAAGTCAAGAAACAACAGATGCTGATGGGGCTGTGGAGAGATACGAATGCTTTTACACTGTTAGTGGGAGTGTAAATTAGTTGAACCATTGTGGAAGACAGTGTGGCAATTCCTCAAAGACCTAGAACCAGAAATACCATTTGACCCAGCAATCCCATTACTGGGTATATACCCAAATGAATATAAATCATTCTATTATAAAGATGCATGCATGTGTAAGTTCATTACAACACTATTCACAATAGCAAAGACATGGAATTAACCGAAATGCCTGTCAGTGATAAACTGGATAAAGAAAATGTGGTACATATATACTATGGAATACTATGCAGCCATAAAAAAGAACAAAATCATATCCTTTGCAGGGACATGGATGGAGCTGGAAGCCATTATCCTCAGCAAACTAACACAGAAACAGAAAACCAAACACTGCATGTTCTCACTTATAAGTGGGAGCTGAAGAATGAGAACACACGGACACAGTGAGGGGAACAACACACACTGGGGCCTATCGGGGGACCTGGGCAGGGGGAGGGACAGTAAACAACCTAATGCATGCTGGGCTTACTACTTATGCAATGGGTCAATAGGTGCAGCAAACCACCATGACACATGTTTACCCGTGTAACAAACCTGCACACCCTGCGCATATACCCCAGAACTTAAAATAAAACTTAAAAAAGGAAGATGTTTGGGCAGGTGTGACTGAAACTGCAGATGTGTGCAGAGGCAGGGAGTGGATGAGTGTGGCCCCAGCTGACCATCCACCTCATCACTTGTTGTCACCTCTGGCACTCTTATTAAATCACTCTCAGTTTCTAAATGTGCAGAGCTCCCTCTTGTTCTTTTTTTGTTTTTGCACTGGCTATTCCCTGTGCCTGGAATGGTGTTTTCCTTCCCTTCATTTGGCTAATTGTCCTCCAGACCCCAAGGTGGATGCCACCTTCTCCAGAAAGCTTTCCGTGGCCCTCTCTCGCTGCATTAGGGCCATTAGGAAAGAGGTCTAACAGACTTCCACAGTTTAACATGGCTGGGAAGATCTCACAATCATGGCCAAAGGCAAAGAAGGAGCAAAGTCACATGTTGCAATGGTGGCAGGCAAGAGAGAGCATGTACAGGGGAGCTCCCATTTCTAAAACCATCAGATCTCATGAGGCTTATTCACTACCATGAGAACAGTATAGGGGAAAGCACCACCATGATCCAATTATCTCCAACTGGCCCTGCCCTTGACACGTGGGGATTATTACAATGCAAGGTGAGATTTGGGTAGGGATAAAGCCAAGCCATTTCAGGACCATTAAAAAATTCACTAATCAGGGTCTTCTTCATAATTCCAAGGTCAAGGGAAATGTGTACCTTCCCTCCACATTGAGGGGGTAGCTCAATGCTACAGACCCCACGGTCAGCTCTACGTTGATACAAAGATGAGAACTTGGACTTTGGTCCCAGGGAAAGGTGGACACGCGGATGACCACCTGACCACTATGTAGAACAAAGCAAGTCTGTGAGAGAGGAGTACTGTTTGTGGGAGGCAGAGATGGGGACAGCTGATTCTAGTGGCTGGCAGGAGAGAGGGCCTCTCAAGAGGCCCCTGCTCGCTGGGTTTTGCAGGATGACAACAGTCAGGGAATGTAGAAAAAGGAGGTTGGGAGGAAGAAACAGCAAAGGCAGAGGCTGGGAGGTGGGACCCGCATTGTGGGATCCTGGAATGGGATGTGGAGTCACAGTGGGATCCTCTACCTTTTGTGTGTGCAAGAATCACATCCAGCGAGTCTGATAAACAATGAAGATTCTTGGGGAACCACCTGCTTCAAGATTCAGATCTTGAGGTCTGGAATGGGGCTGAGAAGTCTCATTTAACAAACACCCAACACGCTTGTTAATTCCAATGTGCTGTCTATTGGGCTTAGCTGCTCTGTGAGGTGGAGGGGTGGATGGGTGGAGATAAAGAGCCTGGAGCCAGGTCATACGGACCTGGCACGTCACCATCCTGGGAGGTCTAAACCCTGCAGAGGGAAATCAGGGAGTCAACACTGAATATCGAGGGGGAGACATTCGAGAATTCTTACAAAAGAGTTGCTGAATGTTTATTAAAGCCAATTTTGTATGCACCCGGGTATACAAAAGAGTCTGAAATTATACATGTCGTGTAGGTTTCAGAATCTTGGTTCAACAGGGATTGGCCAGGGCAGGGATGAGAATTTGCATTTCTAACAAGTGCCTTCCCAGCTGGTGCCAGTTCTGCTGGTCCTGGGAACACGTTTTGAGAACTCTGGTTGTTATTTAAAGGAGTTCAGGCATTAACCTGTGAGGGACTCTGAAGTGGCAGGAAGAATGCAAAGGTGACAACCTCTAAACTTCTTTTCTCCTATTTCCCTTCAAAGGAAATTCATCATGCAATGGCCTTCAACCCATCTGAACATTTTCTCTGGCTACAGAAAATGCCTGGGTCGTGCCCCGAAATGAATCTTCTTTTCAAAGAGAAACGGTAGGATTTACAGGTCAGTGGAGGATAAGGACGATGTTGCTGGGTGGCTGGGGCTTAAAATCACTTTAAAATAGATGAGTACATTTCTTCTAATATTCTTGATAAAAATCAAAAGTTCTTCTCTTCCTGGACTTGAATGAAGTCCAGAGAGTTCTAAGTCAAAAAGTTCACAGAAAACAAGTGCTTTCAAACACTTAGGGTCTGGATGAGAAAAATATGAGGCTGCAAAGGACTGTTTTGCTCAAATTCCTATACCAGACTCTAACCTTTGGGGACAGCCCTCTTGCCTCTCCATCAACAAGTCAGGACGTTGGTCCTACCACAGAGAAATTATGGGCTGCAAAACCAGGAAGCTCAAGTCCCACTGCCTCCCTGCTGCAGACATTCGGAGTAATTATCACCCCGCTCTGAGACTGAGCTTTTCATCTGTAAAATAGAAATTTCATAACATCTTTTCTAAGTACTGCCACATGACATAAATGACGCGATGACTGACATCAATTTGGCACCAGTTCCAGGCACTGTTCCAAGTGCTGAACATGTATTCTCTTTCTTAAGCCTTACAAAATCCCCACGAAAGAGGTCCCATTATTAATGCTATTGTATAGGTAACAAATTAGGCTTGGAGAGGTTAGCAACTTGCCCAAAGTCCCACAGCAAGTGTGTGTGTGAGAGGTGTGGGGAGCTGTGATGCAGATCCAGGCAGTCGGGCACGAGGGCCCAGGTGCCCACTACACAGCCCTGCAGAGGCTGTTTTGGGCCTTTCCCTTTGAAGCTCATTTCTCTCTGATAGAATCACACATTATCACCCTTTTTTAATCTCATGGGAAATTTTTCTGTATTTTACGGATTAACCATAATTATTGTGATATAATAAAAATCACTTGTAATTTTGGATCTGTTTTTTACCATTATAAAATGGTAAGTGCTAAGAAAGAGCTGCCATCCTTAAGCAAACATGGAATATTAACAAAAGATGATCACAAACTGACCACAGAATAAACTATCATATGTTCCCCAAAGAAGAAACTTATGGATGACCTTTCTTTATGTAATAAAACAAAACTGGTAATGAATGAGGATAACAAAATCCCATCTACAAAATCCCAAAATCCCAATTGAAAACATTGTTCTAAATAATTAATCTGTATTCATTTGTGTGTTGTTTATGGTATCTGTTTTTACATTTGATTCTTAAAATCATTTCAGTTATTTTTTAAATGGTGTAAATTTATATAGTTGTATGCTAACAAATTTGAAAGTTTCGATGACATAAGTGACTTTATTGAAAAGACAGAAATTAATGACATCAACTCAAAAGAAAATAAAAATAGATTTTTACGAAAGTAGTTAAAAGATATTCAAAGCATTTTTTTCCCCAAAAGACTACAGGGTGAGATGGTTTTACTAGTGAGGTCTTTTAATACTTTGATTATCAACTAACGAAATGTGAGAAATTACATTTCTGTCTCTGCTGTGGTTACTTGTTACAGCATCAACAGGAAACAAATATACTTATAAGAAATTCTCATCTATTATTTTTGCCTATCAAATACCAAAGCCTCATTTAAATGCTTGTGGATGACATGGGCAGAGTGAGACTAATGCCCTTGTGCCCTGCCAGCGGGAATGGAAATTGAAGCAGACTATCCGAAAAAAAATTGCTCATATGTACGAAAGCCTTAAAAAAATTTACACTCTTTAACCTGTTATTTCTATTTCTGAAACACTAAACTACATGAATAATTACAGATTTGAATAATGATTAATGTAGAAGATTATTCATCTGAAGTTTACAAATCACACTTTTTCAGTAATAAACACACTGGAGGCTGGGTGAAGTGGCTCACATCTGTAATCCCAGCACTCTGATGGGCCAAGGTGGGTGGATCACCTGAGGTCAGGAGTTCGAGACCAGCCTGGCCAACATGGTGAAACTCCATCTCTACCAAAAATACAAAAATTAGCCAGGTGTGGTGGTGGATGCCTGTAGTCCCAGCTACTCGAGCGGCTGAGGCAGGAGAATTGCTAGAACCTGGGAGGCGGGGGTTGAGAGCCAAGGTCGAGCCCTGCACTCCAGCCTTGGCGATGGAGTAAGACTGTGTCGCTAAATAAACAAACAAACACTGGAAACAATCCAAATGTCCAGGAAATAAAAGAAAAATGAAACAAATTATAACTCATAAATAGAAACTAGTACAATTATTAAAACATGGTGTAATGTAAGCATTGCTTTAGTCTTTTTTCCTACCCTTTTCCCATTTTTTCCTAAGCTATTCATTAAACCAAACATTTCCTCTGTTGATTTTTGAGGTTTCCTTTTGCACACATTAAAATCATACATAGAAATGAATTTTCTGCTTCTGGCCATCCCTTAGTGCCTTTGATCTTTCCATTCTTGTGCCCATGCTGCATTGTTTTAATTGTTGTCACTTTATTACATGTTTAATGTACTCACTAGCGTCCATTTTCAAAACTATGTCAGAAACATACACTTGCTTATTCTCTTGTGGGAACTTTAGAACTCTTTCCTCATTTTCCATCACAAACAGAAATGTCATTGAACTTTTGATTGAAATTGTATTGAATGAATACATTAGTTTGAATACAATTGAGATTGTTTTTTAAAATTCATTATTATCATTATAAAATTAGTAAAACTATCACAGCAAATAATTTTAATGACTTGTTCACAACATCAGGTTGCAAAATAATCAGAATACAAAAAGTTATAAATGGAATGAACCAAATTATGTGCTTCTTAAATTTTATAAAAGACTAAATATCATTGGGCCTCTTAATACACACTAAAATTATGTTATGTTGAAACATGTTTATAAAACTAAAAAAGGATTTCATCTATAAAATATTTGTATGTGATAGTTTAAAATTTCTTTCTAGATTTTCACTAAAAATTAAGATTAATAAGAGTTGAGCATTCTGATTTCTGCATATAATTCTTTATGTAAAATGTACCAAAAAAGTAAGAACTGTTTTTAATTAAAAAATTATAAGACAAAATATGTACTTCATTTAAAAATAATTTTTTTAAATTAAAAGGTTATTAAAAGTTGTGTCAAAATATGGATTTAGAAAGAAAATATAAACAAAAAGAATCCAGTAAATAGAAAGAGATATAAAGAAAGTTATGGGAATAAAGATATATTTCTGGTAAGAAAGATTTAAGAAAAGAAAATAACTTTACATTAAAAAATCTTGCCTGGTAAATGTTTTTTCCTAAAATAAAGTGACTGGTTATTTAAAAATAAGAAAGTATAGAACAAAACAAAAGTTATAAGCATGCCATGAAAGTTACGAAAGTCTGTGTAAGTTGTAAAAGGTCTGAAAATGATAAATTTACAAAAGAAATTTTGTATGTGATCAAGTTGACTATATTTAAAAGGGAATTATTTATAAGCCTTTCTAAGGTTTGAGTTTTGATATTAAAAATACACCAATACAAAACTAAAAATTTGGTCCCTTATGTTAAAGCAACAAAGTTTTCTTGAAGTAATGATCTGCTTTTAGTAAAATTTACAAGAAGTTCTGATTTTTAATTGTAAAAATTTTCAGCCACTTTCTAAACTGTAGCTTATTTTTTTGTTTGTTTTATAGTCTCCATTTAATTTAACTAGTTTTTAGTTTAAAATGCTATCTTCTTCTTAAAAATGGTATCTTCATTTCTCAAGGTGGAGTTTTCGTCTTGAAGCTTCTCAGAGTCCTATCTCAGAAGTTCAATTTTAATGTGTCTCACAGCATAGCATGTGCAGTTCATACTACATTGCCTTCTGTTCTTTCACTTTCTTTCCTTGAGAAGGTACATCTTTTTGCTTGGCTGGAATGTTGACTTTCTCCTTCAACTTCTTTGTTAGCTCCTATAACTTCTTCCTCTCATTCTAACAGCTATTGAGGCCTGACACTAAAAATGTTTGTCTCAAAGACCTAGAAAAGCAATGTTTCTTTTTTTCCAGTATAACTTGATTCTGTACTTAGCTTTTCTTCATGTGTCTACATTGTTCCATGTAACCAGGGAATTTCTCATGCTTTTACTAAGAGCCATATATCCCCCTGCTTAAAGTAATACTTTTCTTGTTTATGTTCCACAGTGTACAGTCATAGCCTTGGATATACATTCTGAATACATACAAGTACTTTTTCATCAGGTTGTCTAAACAGGCTTCCCATGAGGTGAACCAATCACATAGAAGGAGGTTTTTCATTGCCTTTTTAGTAACTGGCCTAAGAAACAAATATTTTATATTTTATCAAGATAATTTCCTGTGTTGCCTTTACTAAATTTTTTTATTACTTTTAAAAAATGGAGACTTTAAGGGTTAAAGTTTTTTTAATATCTATATAACTTTCTGTATTGCTTTTAAGATCTATAATTATCACTCTAATTAAATAAATGACTATCACACAGTGCCCTGTGATACTGTTTTGATCAGGTATTTTAAAACTTTTGGCATCTTTGATGGACTTCCCCAGCATCAAAATGCTAAATTAAATCTTTTTGACATAAACTTAACTTTGAGATTTTCCAGTCAGGCCCCTAGAAAGCCTCAAAGGACTTCTCTCTCATCTTGTAGAGATATTAAATAATTAGGCTTATTTGGTAAATTATATGGGAAATATCAAATGCTAAGTGATACTAGATCTTCTTTCAGTTACATTTATGGATATGTTATTGGTATATATGTTCTAAAATGGTAATAAAACTCTTAAAATCTTCTATGTTATCAGTCATAATTTTGGTTATTATATTGTAGGCCACAAAATAACTAAATTTCCTTGCAAATTTCTGGTTATGGGGAACTTTTATCCTATTTTCAACTATGGTAGTTTTAAATTTTTGTCATTTACAGTTATTTTAAATTTTTCTCTAAAGTTATCTGCAATTAGATTCATTACAAAGACTTTGACAAATACTCTTAAATACAAGTTTCAAAAAACTTTAAGATCAATGTGGTTTTTTTCCCCCAAGATGGCAGATTAGAGGCATTGTTAGCATGCCTCTTGTATTAGTCCCTTTTGATGCTGCTGATAAAGACATACCTGAGACTGGGTAATTTATAAAGAAAAAGAGGTTTAATAGACTCACAGTTCCCCATGGCTGGGGAGGCTTCACAATCATGGCAGAAGATGAAGGCATGTCTTACATGGCGGCAGGCAAGAGACAGCATGTGCAGGGGAACTCTCCTTTGTAAAACCATCAGATCTCATAAGACTTATTCACTATCATGAGAACAGTATGGGAAAAATCCACCCCCATGATTCAATTATTTGCCACTGGGTTCTTCCCACAACACATGGGAATTATGGGAGCTACAATTCAAGATGAGATCTGGGTGGAGATGAAGCCAAACCATATCACCTCTCATACTTGGAAAGACAAAATAGTGTGTAGAGACTCACGCTATAATTTTTTTTCCAAGAAACACCACAGGCATTTAACCAGAAAACTGAAAGAAACCACAGACTCTTTGAAAGAAGTGGTGGCAGCAGCCTACACCATAAGCCAGGTGGAAAACTGTGAGTCCTCAGAGTGTGGCAGTGGGAGAGACTGCCTCTGTGACACACACTCCCGCTAGGGAACCTGATAATATAGGCCATGGGGGATGGCCTTGGCCCCACCCAGCACTGGAGCTGAGTGGTGGGGAATGTTGAGAAGGAGCAGCATCGGACATGCTTTGCGTGCACTCCTAGACTCCAGTGGGGATGGAGAGAAGACATTCCTGACTCTACTTCACAGGGAGCCTTGCAGAAGTCAGCCAGCCAACTCGGGTGGCAGTCACAGGTTGAGAGAAGGTCTCAACTGTGATTCACGACATAATCTTGAGTGGGGATGAGCTCCCTTGGCCAGAACTAAGGGGCAAGTGGGGGTACTGTAGTCACAAGTACAGAAGCTGGGCATCCCTGCTTTGGGGTGGACCAGGAGGGGCACAGCCTGAAAACCACAGTTTCTGTCTGGGTGGGGAAAGCTTATAGCCTGTGGCAGTTTTGAGTTCTCAGTGCAAGGTTCCTGGAACCCAGCTAGCTGGGTTAAACAAACAAAAAGAGTTTGTGCTGTTGCTAATACTACATGCTATACTTGGATAAATTCCCCTAGAAGAGTTAAGACTCAAAGACACAAAATTAAAAAAAAAAATGCAGGTTACAATGAGGGAAGAAAGAGACCTCTCATATTGTTTTATACTCAGTACCTGTTTTAAGAAAAAAACAAGGAAGTGAAACCAAAGGCAGGCAGCCCAGCGCCAGGCGCCAGACCCAAAACCGGACCCAAAACCAGGCCTGGGCCTGCCTGGCCTAAACCTAGTAGTTAAAATTCCACCCCTGACCTAGCAACTGATGTTATCTATAGATTCCAGACATTATATAGAAGGACATTGTGAAACCTCCCATTCTGTTCTGTTTCACTCTGACCACCGGTACATGCAGCCCCCGTCATGTACCGCCTGCTTGGTCAAATCAATCACGACCCTTTCATGTAAAATCTTTAGTGTTGTGAGCCCCTAAAAAGGACAGAAATTGTGCACTCAGGGAGCTCGGATTTTAAGACAGTAGCTTGCCGATGCTCCCAGCTGAATAAAGCCCTTCCTTCTACAATTCATTGTGTGAGAGGTTTTGTCTGTGGCTCATCCTGCTACAACAACAAGTTTCACCTAATTTGTCATGATCATTTAATTAATTTAATTTATTTAATTTATTTAATTGGTTGCTTTTAAACCTAAGTTCATGGATCACAACTAATATACAAGCTGAGATTGTCATATTACTATTAATTTTACTTTGTATTTTTCTTTTAAACCTTGTACCTATTACTTGTTAAATTTCTACAGAACAAATCTTCACAGAATAATACTGGCCCAACACTTTTAGATAATAGTAAATGCCTACAGAATAGACAAAAACTTAAACTTAACACTTGATTTTAGGTAGATGTAGCCTGAGAACCACTCTCTCCAAACCCCTCTTGTTGCTCAAATGTAGCTAAAAGAGTTTAGACACTAACTCCAATTACACCTTCCAATGTAGGACCAACCAACAACGTGAGACAGGTTGATCCCAGCTGCCTCACCTAGGGATAATCAAAACCTAACTACAAAATGGTTAACCAGTGATTTTTTTAAAAAATCTTGATCAAAAAAGGAAATGTGAAAGTTGTCAGAATAAAAATAAAGTCACCTGTGTTAAAAAGCAAAAATAAAAGCAAACCCCTGAAAAATAAAGCTAAGGAAGGTCATGAAAGGAAGATTCTCATATACAGATGCCTGCTGGCAAAAACTATTGCAAAAGACTGCAAAAACCTTGCACAAAGGCCACTACAACCTTACACGAGAAAATACTGCTGCGAGAACACCTGCCTAGCAACTGCCTGTCCAACCTTGGACTGATGCCACCCTTGTTACTGATCCTTCTATTCAAAGATAACTATCTCAAAAACAATTACATAATTCGTCTCATTTTTTCTTTAAAATCCTTTGTCTTCTTTCACCTCCCTGAATATGCACATGGTTTACTATGGCACACCTATGCCAATTGCAATGCCCATTCCTGAATAAACATTGTTTTCTTTCAGAAAGTCTCCCTGTTTGTTATTTAGATTGAAAAAATTTGCAACCATTAGTATATTTCTTTCCTTGAGAGGAAAGAAAAGTGGGAGCTCAAAGTTAATCATTCTTATCTGACATAAATGTTCTTCTGAGCATATAAAATCGTTCCTTTACGGCCTCACATCATTCCTAATCTCTCTTCTCATACTTTTGCCTATAATTTTCATCTAAGTCTATTTCTTCTTTATCTTTGCAAGAGAAATAGCTAATTGATTTGTTTTAAAAAAAATATATCATTTGGAGTCACATAAATGTTCAGCCATGACAATTGTTTTATGATGTATCTTTGATTAAATTCATGGAACCAGCATTAATTCCTACATTTATTTCCCTTTCTTGCCTTCTAGCAGCCTACTCTAAAAGCCACCTTCGTCTACCACAGGCTCAGCCATAAAGCAAGTCTCAGTAGATTCAAAAGAATTAAACTCATACCAACCATACTCTCAGACCACAGTGGACTAAAATTAGAAATCAACACCAAGAAGATCTCTCAAAACCACACAATTACATGGAAATTAAATGACCTGCTCCTGAATGACTTTTGGGTAAACAATGAAATTAAGGCAGAGATCACAAATTATTTGAAATAAGTGAAAACAGAGACATAACATACCAAAATCTCTGAGATGCAGCAAAAGCAGTGGTAAGAAGAATGTTTAGAGTGCTAAATGCCTACCTCAAAAAGTTAGAAAGATCTCATATTAATAATCTTATCACCACTCCTAGAGGAAGTAGAAAAACAAGATCAAACCAACTCCAAAGTTAGCAAAAGAAAAGAAACAGCTATAAAATCAGAACAGAACAGAACAAAATTGAGATCCAAAATCCATACAAAGAATCAATGAAACCAAAAGTTCATTATTTGAAAGGATAAATGAGATTAATAGACCACTAGCTAGATTAAAAAAGAAAGAGAGACGATCCAAATAAGCACAATCAGAAATGATGAAGGTGACATTATAACTGATTCCACAGAAATATAAAATATCTTCAGAGACTATTATGAACACTTCTAGGCACACAAACTAGAAAATCTAGAGGAAATGAATAAGTTCCTGGAAACTCACAATTTCCCAAGATTCAATTAGGAAGAAACTGAAACCCTGAACAGAACAATATCAAGATCTGAAATTGAAGGAGTAATAAAAAACCTACCAACCAATAAAAGCCCTGAAAAGATGGATTCACAGCCAAATTCTATTAGATGTACAAAGAAGAGCTGGTACCAATCCTGCTGAAACTATTCCAAAAAATTGAGGAGGGACTCCTCTCTAATTTGTTCTTTGAAATCAGCATAACACCAATACCAAAACCTGGCAAAGATACAATAAAAAGAAAATGTGGCACATATACACCATGGAATACTATGCAGCCATGAAAAATGAAGAGTTCATGTCCTTTGTAGGGACATGGATGAAGCTGGAAGCCATCATTCTCAGCAAACTATCGCAAGGACAAAAAACCAAACACCGCATGTTCTCACTCATAGGTGGGAATTGAACAATGAGAACACATGGACACAGGAAGGGGAACATCACACACTGGGGCCTGTTGTGGGGTGGGGGGAGGGGGGAGGGATAGCATTAGGAGGTATACTTAATGTTAAATGACAAGTTAATGGGTGCAACACACCAATATGGCACATGTATACATATGTAACTAACCTGCACGTTGTGCACATGTACCCTAAAACTTAAAGTATTAAAAAAAAAAAAAACAGAAAACTAGAAACCAATATCCCTGATGAACATAGATGAAAAAATCCTTTACAAATTACCAGCAAACCGAATCCAGTAGTATATCAAAAGTCAATTCACCATGATCAAGTAGGCTTCCTTCCTGGGATGCAAGGTTAGTTTAACATATGCAAATCAATATAGGTGATTCACCACAATAGATGCAGAAAAATGTTTTGATAAAATCCAACAAGCCTTAATGATAAAACCTCTCAAGAAACTAAGCATTAAACAATCATACCTCAAAATAATGAGAGCCAACTATGACAAACCCACAGCCAACATCATACTGAACAGGCAAAAGCTGAAAGCATTCCTCTTGAGAACTGAAACAAGACAAGGTGCCCACTCTCACCACTCCTATTCAGCATAGCAATAAAGTTCTAGCCAGAGCAATCAGGCAAGAGAAAGAAATAAAAGGTATTCAAATAGGAAAAGAAGTCAAACTATCTCTCTTCACTGATGATCTAGAAAAGACTCCACCAAAAGTCTCCTGGAACTGACAGGGGATTTCAGGAAAGTTTCAGGATACAAAATCAGTGTACAAAAATCAGTAGTATTTCTATACACCAATAATGTTCAAGCTGAGAGCCAAAGCAAGAATGCAATCCCATTTATAATAGCTGCCAAAAAAAAAAACTAGGAAATAATTAACCAAGGAGGTGAAAGATTTAAATAAAGAAAACTACAAAACATTACTGAAAGAAATCACAGATGACACAAATGGAAAAACATTCTATGTTCATGGATTAGAACAATCAATATCATTAAAATAGCAATACTGCCCAAAGCAATCTACAGATTCAACACTATTTCTATCAAGCTACCAATGTCATTTTCCACCAAACTAGAAAAAAAAATTCTAAAATTCATATAAAACCAAAAAAGAGCCCAAATAGCCCAAGCCATCCTAAGCAAAAAGAACAAAAGCCAGAGGCATCATATTACCTGACCTCAAGCCATACTGTAAACCTACAGTAACCAAAACAGTATGGTACTGGTACAAAAACAGACACATAGACAAATGAAACAGAATGGAGAACACAGAAGTAAAGCTGTACACCTACAGCCATCTGATCTTTGACAAAGTTGACAGAAATAAGCAATGGGGAAAGGACTTCCTATTCAATAAATGGTGCTGGGATAGTTGGTTTGCCATATGCAGAAGAATGTAACTGGACCCCTACATTTTACCATATACAAAAATTAACTCAAGATGGATTAAAGATTTAAATGAAAGACCTCAAACTATAAGAATCCTACGAGAAAACCTAGGAAATATCATTCTGGACATTGGCCTTGGGAAAGAAAATTGCAAAAGAAATTGTAACAAAAACAAAAATTGACAAGTGGAATCTAATTAAACTGAAGAGCTTCTGTAGAGCTCTTCAATTCAAGCAACTATCAATGGAGTAAACAGACAACCTATGGAATGGGACAAAATAATTGTAAACTATCATCTGACAAAGGGCTAAAATCCATAATCTATAAGGAACTTAAACAATTGAACAAGCAAAAAACAAATAACCCCATTAAAAAATGGGAAAAGGACATGAACAGACACTTCTCAAAAGAAGACATACAAGTGGCCAACAAACATATTAAAAAATGCTCAACATCACTAATCATCAGAGAGACGCCAATCCAAACCACAATGAGATACCATCTCACACCAGTCAGAAGGGCTGTGATTAAAAAGTCAGAAAACAACAGATGCTAATGAGGCTGCAGAGAAAAGGGAACACTTATGCACTGTTGGTGGGAATGTAAATTAGTTCAGCCACTATGGAAAGCAGTATGGAAATTTCTCAAAGAACTTAGAACTACCATTTGACCCAGCAATCCCATTATTGGGTATATATCCAAAGAAAATAAATTATTCTACCAAAAAGAGTGATGCACTCATATGTTCATGGCACCACTATTCACAATAGCAAAGACATGAAATTAACTTAAGTGTCCATCAATGGTGGACTGGATAAAGAAAATGTGATACACATACACCGTAGAATACTATGCAGCCATGAGAAGAAGCAAAATCATGTTGTTCGCAGCAACATAGATGGAGCTGGAGGCCATTATCCTAAGTGAAATAACACAGGAACAGAAAACCAAACACTGCATGTTCTCACTTATAAGTGGGAATTAAACAATGGGTTCTCATGGACATAAAGATGGCAACACTAGACACTGGAGACAGTGGGATAGATGGAGGGGAGGGATAGAGGGGAGAAAAGTTGAAAAACTATTGGGTAGTATGTTCAGTACTTGTGTGATGGGATAAATTATACCCCAAACTTGAGTATCTCTCAATATACCCAGGAAATAAGTACGCACACGTACCCTCTTAATTTAAAATAAAAGTTGAAGTCATAAAATAAATAAATAGCTACCTTCTTGCTAACCCTCCTTCACCCTCTGTGTTTCAAAGCAATTGCCTTCATTGAAGCCCAGTTTTTCTCTCTCTTTTTTCAAAGCTTCGTTGTCTCAGTCTTTGAAGGTAAATGGGAAATATGATTAAAATAGTGAAAATGAAATTCTGACACTTAGTGAAATAACTGTGAATTTCACTTGGCTGGAACACTGCAAATCCCCAGAGACATGAATAAAAATTTCCCATTTGATGTTCTTTCCTGGACCAGAAGCCCTAGATCCACATTCCCAGAGCATACATTTGAAAACAGAAGGATATTTACAGGGTTCCTCACCCATCTTCCTGGCCAGGGCCAAGACTGTCTGGAAACTCCCATCTGATGGGAAGAGACAGCCTATAGGAACCAATGGTACACCTTTTGGCTAGCTCAAAGCCAGAAGGTGGGCATGGGCAGCTGTGCCCCTTGGCTGGCATCATGTTCATGAGCCCTGTTCCTGGGAGAGAGTGTCCCAGCCTCAGAATCTAGGTACCCAGGTCCTCGAATCAGCTCTTCCTTCCAGTTGCTCTGAGACATGCACAGTTCACATCAGTGAACTTGTCACCTTTTCCCCTGCAGAGCTACTCCTTCTCTTTCATAGCTCCCTGTCTTAGCATCTGGTACCACCATTCTATCTGGCTGATGTGCCAGACGCCTGAGAGTTATTTTTGACTCCTCCTCTCTGGGACACCACATCCCATCACCACTAACCTCACTCAACCTCATCTGCCTCTCTCCATCCACACTGCCATTACTCTGACCCAACTCATAACTGGACCAGTCAACCCCTTCAGTCCTGGCTGGGATCCAATCCTTTCTCCATGCTGCAGGCCAAAAGCCTTCTTGAAGCACTCATCATGTCCTCAATGATGTCCCATTGCTTTGGGGTACAAATAAGCCTTCACAGTTACACAGTCCCCATCAAGGTGTGTGAAAGGTGGCCCTAAGGCTAGACCCAGCCCACAGGTGGGACGTTTTTTGTTTTTTAAAGGTCAGTTTCCAATATTTACAAATTATGAAATATGACAAATCTGGATTTGTAATGTCTCTTGAAAATCAGAAAATCTGTCATCTCTAGGCCAGTGTCTGTGATGGAAACAGTAGGAGATGCCCTTGTCCCTCAAGCAGCCACAGGTCCTGGGAACCTCTCACCTTGCCCATCCTTCCCTGTGCTCATTTACAGCATAGGTGTGGCCCTCTCTGCTGCCTGCCTTGCCAGCGGTCTCTCCCTCTCCCTCTCCCCCTCCCCCTCCCCCTCCCCCTGCTCCTGACACCTGAGTTTTTCTGCCTCTGAACAAATGCCAGGGCCTTCCCCCATACTCTTACCTCTGGCTAGAACTCCCCGCCCCCATTGCCTCTCTCTTCCTACAGACCCGCCCAGATAAATCCTACTCATCCTCAAGCCATGAGTTTAGATGTCACTGCTGCAGGAAAACCACCCCCGATGCCCTACCAGAGGTCAGTGCCTATTTTCCTATTACCTGTGGCCATTGGTCAATTGCCCTCCTGTGACCTCCGAAGGGCAGGGCTAGCCTGATGATCTCACCACTCTACCACCAGCAGCCAACCCAATACCTGGCACAATACCTAGCACACAATAGAAGCTTTCTACACATTTGTTGAATGACTGGATAAACTTGACGCCTCTGGGTTAGTGTGCACGCAAGTAAGATGCCATCGACTGGCGGGACAAGATGCGGAAGCAAACGGAAATCAGTGTGGGAGAGGCACAGGTGCACGGTGTCCTAGGATATGCTGAACAGTCACTATTTGCCAGCGATGTTTTCCCAGAGGAAGTCAAGCTTGAGTGGGGCTTGGGAATTTGGGACTTGCAACCATTCCTGTTACTGAAGAGGACACTGGGTCAGAGAGGTGAGTCGACCTTCCCAAGGTCACAAAGTCCTTGCAGTCTGAGTAAGAAAGACGTGGGCTGTACCTGATGTGCTCAAAGCTGTAGCTCCAGAATCAACTCAATGTTTTAACAAATGTGGTGAATGAATAAATAAAGGGTGAAGACAGAGGTTGAAGACAGACCTTACGGACTCAAGCAGGAGAAAGAACTTGATATTGATTTATAAACAAAGTGGAATTTGGAAATGATCCCCAAAGAGAAAAGTTTAGCTCTACTGAGGTAAATATTTATTTACTTTTTTTACTCCTAAAGGACAATAGCACTCTTCATTGACTTTTAAATGTATTTTTGTTTAGGGAGCTGAGGCTGTTATCTTGTTTTTATTATCAACATGTGGTGGTTATTTTGAGAATTTTAAAATATCTTTAGAAACAAAAAGCAAAAGAGTCTCTTTAGTTTGGAACCTCACTTAGGTTGAGAGACTGTTTCTAACACACTCGCAATTAATTATAGAAATCGTCATGCATATGACAACCACAAATGTAAAATGTGAGTTGTTTCTGTTTTTGCAAAAGAAGAAACTAAAGTCATAGCCGTAATAACCCAGAATGGTCATAATAAAAGATCAGAAGCAGATGCCTCTGAGGTGACCTCGATTGGCTGAAATATAAAAAGTCACTTATAATATCACAGAAAAGTACACTTAAGAATGGTCAAAATGGTAAACTTTATGTGGATTTTACCACAATAAAAAATGTTCAAAACATTTAAAATTTGCTTTAAAAATGGAATACAGTGATTCCTCCACTTATAAAACCTTCCACTGAATGAGAAAGGAGCTGGCCCTAGAGTCAGTGAGGCTCAGTAGCTGGGACAGAAAGGACCCTGTGGGCAGAATTAGCCCCTTCTCTCCAGAGCGCCCACATTCCCAGAAACACCAGTGTGATCCATCCTTGGATGTGTAAGACACAACCCATACGTGGCTTTGAAAGCACACAGACCCGGGTTCTGGTTTCAGCACCAATATGCCCTTGTTTGTGAGAGCTCTGTCCCTTACCTCTCTCTGCTTGCGTCCAAGGCTGCATATCTGAGCTACTCACAAAGTAGCTGTTAGGATTTGAGCAGCATAACAAATGAGTCTTTTACATAACTGCTCTAGGACGTGCGAATTTGTTATGTTTGCCCCCTGCTGCTAGAATTCAGCTCCACAGGGAGCTGTTTGTCTGTTGTGCACTGTTCGTGCCTAGAACAGTCTGGCATGAAGTGGGCATTCGACCATCATTAGTGGTTTAATCTCTGCCTACCCTCCTGCCCTGCCTGTGTGAGTGGGAAGGCAGCGCCCCTGCATCCCTGGGAGGCATCCCCTGGGAGGAATCCTAGCAAGTCCAGTGGCCTCTTTATCCCCATGTCTACCACCTCAGTCGCAGCTGCATCCTTCCCTTACCATGTGTACCAATAGCAGCAGCCCTCTGCCTCTCTCCTCCCCACCCTTCCCACTCTAGTCTACACCCACCGCCTCCACCCCAGAGCCACCTTCTAACACTGATCTGGCCATGTCACCCTCCAGCTCCAGTGCCATCCAGGGCTTCCTATTCCCCCAGGGTGAAGTCTGTGGTGGCTCAGTGAACAGACGCTTCATCTCTCACCCTCCCCATGCCTGCTTTCTCCTCAGCCCCACAGCCATCTGAGTTCTTTCCCAGGGCTGTGCCCCATCTTGAGCCTTTTCTTTACTGATTTCCTTTCTCTGGTATATCCTCTGTCCCAATCCCCATCATCACCTGCCTAACTCCTGCTTACCCTTCAGGAGTCCATTTAGAGGCCACCTCTTCTAAAAAGCCTTCCTTGAGTTTACCCCACCCCATTCGACCTGAGTGAAATGTTTCTTTTCTCCCTGCTAAGGCCACACAGCAAGTAAATCATCGAACTGGGATTCAAATTCAGGCCCACCTGCTCCCAAAACAGCAAGCCAAAACCGGAAGACTCTACTTACTTATCTATTCAGGAAAAAAGAGACTAAAGAATGAGGTAGAGCTAAGCTAACGTCTTGAAAAGATGCCCAAAATATATTAAATGAAAACACCAGGTTGTAGAACAATGTGTATGGCATAATTCCATCAAAGCCACAATAAACTATATATGTTTATATAGGTTTTTAAAGCACAGAAGATGCCTAAACAAACACAAATTGAGCTATTAATGATAATTACTGGGTGGGTGGACTTAAACATTCTATAAGGTTTCAATTTGTTATGTATTCTTTATGTACTTAAAAAAAATAAACTCAAAGGAACTCCACAACTTTTCTCCAATAATAAGTAAGAGGCTTGAATACCAGAAATTGCAAAATACAGGGACCAGCTTTTGGAGAAAAGGCTCCTTCCTGCAGTGGTAACATGAGATGAGAGCAGATGCGGTTGACCAGGGAGCCACACTCACCTTTCCCAGCAGCTCGGGCAGGCCCAGAAGCTGCCCAGTGAACACGCCAATGCAGATAAAGATGGCAGTCACCTGCCCCAGAGAGCCACGGATCTCCTTGGGTGAGATCTCACTAAGGTACATGGGGAGCACACTGAGGGCGACGCCTGTAGAGAGAAAGCATAGCAGCAGTTAGAGAGGTGTCTTCCCGGGGGAGCTGCACTCTGGTTACAATGCCTCTCTTGGCTCTGCTTTGCCCTGGACATTAAATAGCACTGTAGCCACGGCATTTTTCCCAGCACTTAGCACAAATTGCCAAAGCTTTCCCATGAACTTTATAATTTAATCCTAAAGTATGACTGGAGGTGCATTTCAGAGGACAGGACACAGCTGATGGTGTTGGTGGAGGTGATGGTATTGATGGTGATAATGACGGTGATGGTGATAACGGTGGTCGTGATGGTAGTGATGGTGGTGGTGATAGTGATGGTCATGATGGTGATGATGATGGTAGTAGTGATGGTAGTAATGGTGATGGTGGTAGTGGTAGTGATGGTAATGATGGCGATGGTGACGGTGATGATGGTGGTGGTAATGGTAGTGATGGTGGTGGTGGTAGTGATGGTCATGATGGTGATGATGATGATGGTGGTGGTGATGACTGTGATGATGGTTGTGGCAATGATGATGATGGTGATAGTGGTGGTGGTAGTAGTAATGGTTATGATAGTGATGGTGGCGATGGTGGTGATAGTGATGGTGTGGTGGTGGTGGTGATGGTGATGGTGGTGATGGTGGTCACAATGATAATAGCCAATACACATAGTGGCTACCAAGTAACAGGAATCCTTCTCATCTCTTTATATGTATTAACGTTATTTACTTTTAACAATAGTCTTCTGAATTAAATATACTATTACCATTTCTCTTCTAAAGATTAGTAAACTGAGGCACAGAAAAGTTGAGTAACTTGCCTAAATCACCAAGTAATGTCCAGAGATGTTTAAAAAAATTATTTTGCCCAATAGAGCCCCAGTGGGTCTCTGATCTTAGAACTTGCACTTTTCCCACCAGCTAACATTGCCTCTTGTCATAAATTATGGGACTCCGTTATGGCAGATGCTATTATACTCATTTTATAAAAATATAATAGTTTTTTTCTCTAAACCTTCTAGATGAAGAACACTCCAGGAAGATGCCCTGTTGTCCTATTATGGTTTCAAATACTCCGGGAGAACCTGGCTGGATTAGCAAGTCTTAGAGCCTTCTATCATCTCAAAATCCTTCAGGTTTATCATTTGGCTTTAAATTCTTTTTTTTTTTTTTCCAAGATGGGGTTTCACTCTTGTTGCCCAGGCTGGAGCACAATGGCTTGATCTCGGCTCACCACAACTTCCACCTCCCGGGTTCAAGTGATTCTCCTGCCTCAGCCTCCTGAGTAGCTGGGATTATAGGCATGCGCCACCACGCCCAGCTAATTTTTGTATTTTTAGTAGAGACGGGTTTCTCCATGTTGGTCAGCTGGTCTCGAACTCCCGACCTCAGATGATCCGCCTGCCTTGGCCTCCCAAAGTGTTAGGATTACAGGCGTGAGCCACTGCGCCCGGACCGGCTTTAAATTCTTTATTACAAACAGATCGGCCAGTTCAGGTAATAGCAGCAATATTCCTTTCTTTCTGACCAATTGTCTCACCTTAAGTGCCCTCGAGTTCTTCTCTCTGCTTTGAGAGGGTTGGTGAGAATACATGACATGAAGTCTCCAAGTCCTGGCGTGACTCCAACAGGCCACGTGCCACAAGTCGGAAAGACCGAAGTTTTTTCTTTCCTTCTTGTTCTTCTTTCTTTCCTGCTTCTTTTTGAAAGCTCATAGGAAAAAGGGTCTAAAAGACATTTGTTCTATCTCTGTGGTTTTGTAAAAGGTCCATCTTGGAATGCAGCTTATTTTTAGTTAAGGAAATTCAGAGATCAATTAGTTATATGTTCGAAGGGTCAACTCCCCAGATTAGTCAAAGCAACAAGAAAGGGGATAATGGATAAAATATAAAACTGCCAAACAGAGAATCTCAGTTGCCTCCACTAGGAAAGGACTTCCCAGAAGATCCACTGCAACCTCATCCAGGCTTTCTCCAAAGCAGGCAGGGCCTCTGAAACCCAAATCCTAGATCTGTACTTTATTAATTAAGAACACAAATAACAACAATGACAATAATACCATCAGCATTCCTGGAGTGGGGCACTAAGTGCCTGGAACTACACTAAGTACTTCAATACGTAGAACATCGTTTATTTTATTTATTTATTTATGTATTTACTTTTGAGATCGAGTTTTGCTAACGTTGCCCAGACGGGAGTGCAATGGGTGATCTCGGCTCACCGCAACCTCCATCTCCTGGGTTCAAGTGGTTCTCCCACCTCAGCCTCCCGAGTAGCTGGGATTACAGGTATATGCCACCATGCCCAGCTAATTTTGTATTTTCAGTAGAGACAGGGTTTCTCCATGTTGGTCAGGCTGCTCTCAAACTCCTGACCTCAGGTGATCCGCCCGCCTCGGCCTCCCAAAGTGCTGGGATTACAGGTGTGAGCCACCGTGCCCGGCCCATTTAATTTTCACATCACCCAACAAGGGAGGCCTTACTGCTAAGTTGCCACGCCAGGTGGGAAAGAGGCCAAGACTGTGAGGTCAATGGTTGCTGCAGTGGTCCCTGATTTGTACCCCCTCCCTGGATCGACATCCTTGGGGAGTTAGTCCTCTCTGACATTTATTCTGCACGTGGCCATGGGACTTGCTTGGGCCAAAGGGACACCAGCAAACGTGCATGCAAAGTGCTTGCACATTGTGCACATTGGGACTTTCTCCTTTGGCTGCTGTTGGAAGCCCAAGAACTTTATGCAAGGCAGCCCAGGCCCCCCTGGCCCAGGGTGGGAAGCCAAGAAATGAGCTGGCCCACTGACAGCCCGTGAGACCAGGCCACCTGCTAACACCCAAACACAGGCGTGAGACCATCCCAGGTCATCCAGCCACTGACCAACCTGAAGCCACCGCAGACACATGAGAAGGCCCAGCAGAGATTGGCAGAGCTGGCCCAGAGCAGAACTGCCCAGCCGACCCACAGAAGTGAAAGCACAGGAAAATGGTTACTATTTGAAGCCATTAAGTTTTGTTTTGTTTTTTAAGAGACAGGGTTTCGCTCTGTAGCCAAGGCTAAAATGCAGTGGTGCCATCATGGCTTAAGTTTCGGGGTTTTTAAATACATCAAACCTAACCTATACAGATAAATTAATGAAATTAATGGAAGCAAGTGAGAGCATTCAGGCAGTCTGACTCCATAGTCTTCACCCTTAACCACTTTCCTGCTCCAGCTTTCTGAGCATTAGGGCCCCCATTTGTAAAATGAACATGAGAAAACAGTCTTTCATTACAGGAGGAGATCAAAAAAAATGAAAAGCATGAACACAGTTGGTCAGTTATAAAACATTACATAGACACCAGCCATTATTCTTATGGATAAACTCTCAATAGCCATCAATAGAAGGAGTCTATTCAAGTAGTATAGACAAATGAATAGACAAATGATTGAGGAGTCATTTCATCTTGAGTTTGGACTATTAGAGAGGCCTAGATTATTCCCCTCCAGCAGGGCAACAAAAGTAAGTGAAGCCTCCTCTTCTCAACCTTACTTCCAGGCCCCCACTCTCCTGCTCACCTCTCCCTGAGACATTTTTATTGTTCATCTCACTCAGCTGAACAACCTGGTACCCTCAGCTTTTAAGACATCGACAAGGAAGGGAATTAGCCTTTAAGAAGCTCATGCTAGGTTCCAGGCAGTACATATGTGTATATGTGTGTGTGTGAGAGAGACAGAGAGAGAGAGAGAGACAGAGTGTGTGTTTCCGTTCAGCCTTATTATAGCCTTTTGAAGTAGGTATTATTACCACCATTTTACAAATGGGAAAACCAAGGCTCAGAGCCATTAAGTAACTTGCAGCAGAACTGAGATCCAAACTCAGGGATTTCTAATCCTAAGGCTTGCAATCTTTCCACAAATGCCTAAAAGTGATACTTTATGGATTTGCCTATTTAGAAAGAGAGCAGCGTTTGTCTGACAATATATCTTGAGTCTCCTACTCTCACTCCCATAGCCAGCATCTGTCCCCTTCTCTGCAGCTCCCCACCTAGCCCAGTCCCTTCCCCTGAACAGCTGGCTCCTCTGATTCCACTCCTGGCTTCCCCTCATACTCCATTACTGGAACAAACCAGTCCATGTCACATTCATCTCAACCCTCCCTGCATACTCGGCACAGGCACACAGTCCTCGCCGTGGCCTACAAGGTCTTATGTGATCTGGCCCCAGCTCCTCTTTGGCGTCATCAGCACCCACACATCTCCTTGCTCTTTCCCAGACGTGCCATGCCTCCTTCCGCCTCTGAGACATAATACTCTTCTCTCTGCTGGGAACAGTTCTCACCCTTGGCTCCTCTGGTCTCTGCTCAGGTTTCCTTCTCTGAGCAGTCTTCCCTGATTGGCCTTTCTAAAACAGCCCTCACCACCCTCCTGTCCTGCTTTGTTTTCTTCCTAGGACATGCTACTGTCTACCTTATGTATCTGTCTGCCCACTAGAATGTAAGCTCCAGGGACAGGGTCTTGTTAATCATTGTGTCTCCATCCTATAGTGTGCCAGCCCTCGCAGGTGCTCTACAAATGCCTGGCGAGTAAATGAAATAACGAATGAGTCAGAGGCCCAGAGAAGAAACCCCATCCTCATAAAAGCCCCATGAAAACCACAAATAACCTTGGAATATTAACATTATGATGAAGGTGACCAAACAGAAGGCATGACATGCTGAAGACCATCCAGGTCTTTGGGGTAGACTGCGGACCCTGCCCAGCATTCCTCAATTAGGGGCTAGAGCATCATGAATGGGATGGTTCATCCCACAGGACTGTCCCACTTTATGCAGAGTTCCAGCATCCTTGGTCCCTGCCAAGTCAATGCCAGCAGAGAGCCCCAGTCATGTGACAGCCCCAAACACTTCTCACATTTTGGGACACCCCCAAGGAGTATGTTACTGTTCCCTCCCCGTCATGGTGAACTCTCACCTCCATCTATGCCCATGATGAAGCGTCCCACGATGAGCATTTCAAAGGCTCCTGCCTGGAGCGAGCAGGCCATCAGCAATGCAGCAGAAATTGCAAACCCATTATTGGCCAGCAAAGTGTGCTTCCTGGAAAGAAAGGAAAGATTTGATGAAGATGTCTAACCATGAGGCATGTCACTGAACTGTCCATCCCAGGAGCAGGAGCCAGGCCCTTCTGAAGGGTGAGTAGAGCAAGACTCAGGCACAGTGCAGGGAGCACTGGCCTTGCCACCTCTGGCTGTGTGACTGGGTTCAGCCCTGGGGTCTACTAGGTCACTTACAAAGGCACCATCAGCCTTGACATCTATGAATTCTCTGTGGTAGTATTTTATTGCTTTAATTCTAAGACTATCATTTAACATTTCTGAAGTCAGTGGTCATCTTACAATTCGTGAGTCAGGGTCCAGGCAGGAAAATGGAAACCACTCTAGGTATTTTAATGGAGAGAATTTAACATAGGGAATTGGTTAAGTGGATATTGAAGAACCGAGATGTCAAAAAGGAAGACCTCTGAAGAAGGGGTGTTTCCCATGTGGTGCTGACACCTCAGGGGCATGGAGGAGGGCCCCGAAGACCTTTGAGAGTGGGCACTGTCCACTGGACTGTTTCCTCTGAGGAGCAATATGATTCTGGTTCTGGAAATGGACAAAAGTTGGAAGCTGGAATCAACTGCCAATGTCATCACTGGGACTGGCAGGAAACTCAGACAAACATGAAAAAGCTAGTCTTTTCTCTCTCCTCTAGTGCCCCTATTGGCAAAGGACAAATGGGGGTGCAGGCCCCAGCCCCAGCATCAGAGAGAGAGAGCCCAGAAGGGTAAGTGTGGAGCTAGGAGACAACAGCTTGACAACCAGCATAGCGTTCTACAACTTTTGTTGGCTCCTTCCCTCCCTCCCTCCCTTTCTTCCTTATTTCCTTTCCTTTCCAGTGGCTCATAAAATAACAATACTCCTCAGACCCAATGGCATCTTAGATTTGATGAACTACAGTACTAAGTGAATGGCTGGACTAATCCTCTCAAACAAGATTAGGGAAATTTCCATGGCAATAATTATTATTAACAGCTCTGTGTCAGGACTGCCATCACTTTTATAAACACATGCCTAAGACCTCATGGTTCAAATACCTGACTTGTTTGGAGGCCTGGGGACCTGGATTCCTGCACCAGCTCTATCCTTCAGGAGCTAGGAGACTTTGAACTTCATTTCTCTGTGTTTTCTTTTCCTCACTTTTGCAAAATGATCCTAAAAGCCCACATTTATTGAACTCTTGCTATAGGATAGACCCTGCTTTAAGTACTTTGCATTAGTAGCTCATTTAATCCTCAGAATGACCCAAAGAGATAGGTACTCTTATAATCTCTATTTTATAAACAAGTTAACTAGGTTGCTGGCAAGCTAGAAACTTGTTTTATTTTTAATTTTTATTTTTGAGACAGAGTCTTGCTCTATCACCCAGGCTGGAGTGGATTGGCACAATCTCTGCTCACTGCAGTTTCCACTTCCCAGGTTCAAGTGATTCTCCTCCCTCAGCTTCCTGGGTAGCTGGGATTACAGGCATGCACCACCACACCCAGCTAATTTTTGTATTTTTAGTAGAGACGGGGTTTCACCATGTTGGCCAGGATGGTCTCAAACTTCTGACCTCAGGTGATCTGCCTGCCTCAGCCTCCCAAAGTGCTGGGATTACAGGCGTGAGCCACTGCGTCCGGCCTAGAAACTTGTTTTAGGTCATATAGTCAGTGAGTCAAGGAGTTGGGGAAACATCTTAGCCCTTTACGGCTTATTTTTTTTCCTATAGACTCAATGAGTTAACAGATATTAAATTGTTTTGTAAATTGTGGTTAAAAAATTATTTTGCCCAATAGAGCCCCAGTGGGTCTCTGATCTTAGAACTTGCGCTCTTCCCACCAGCTAACATTGCCTCTTGTCATAAATTATGGGACTCAGTTATGGCAGATGCTATTATACTCATTATATAAAAATATAAGTTTTTTTCTCTAAACCAGCCTCTCGGGAGACTGGGGCAGGAGAACTGCTTGAACCCAGGAGGCAGAGATTGCAGTGAGCCAAGATCATGCCACCGCACTCCAACCTGGGTGACAGAGCGAGACTCCGTCTTGAAAAAAAAAGAAAAGAAAAAGAAAGAAAGAAACATCAGTGAGGCCAGCCTGGCTGGAGGCAGTAGGGAGCCAGGGAGCAAGCAGTAGAAAGTGAAAGTTGAGAAGAGAAAAGAAGAACTCAGAGAGTCTTCTATGCCACCATAAGAACTAGCGTTTCCCCCCTGGGGGAGATAGCAGCCACTGGGAGATTCCAAGGAGAGGAATGACACCGGCTAATACTTGAACAAGATCACTACATCTTGTCTTCTCTGTTGCTCCTGGACTGCAGGGGACAAGTGTGAAAGCAGGGAGACCAGCTGGGGAGCTACCACAACAGGTGAGTCAACCACTGGTAATGATTTGGACCAGGCTGGGAGCAGTGCACTTAGTGAGAAGTGGTCAGATCCTAGCATATTTTGAAGAGTGAGTTGGTGGGATTTGCTGATGGACTGGACAGAGGTGGAGAGGCATAGAGGAGCCAAGGATGCCTCCAAAAGCTTTGGTCTGAACCCTTACTTTGGACATGATGGTGTATTTTGTGCTAATTTTAAAACTGCATGAAAGGTTTGTGAGAATGTTAAAATTATATGAAAGTCTGACTTGAAACATGTGCAAACGGGAGTGCACACTCTCTGGGCAAGTTTATCATATTAATATATTCCTTCCCAAAATAACCCTCAGCCTGACAGCATTGCAGTGAGGATGGAAATGTGTGCAAATCCTTTGCAAAGCTGACTCACTGGGCTTCAGAGCAGGACTTTAATCATTGTTTCCATTTGTTTCCTGTGGATGAACAGCAACATAAACAAGGGAGATCAATTCTGAAAGCAGAACTCCAGTGTCCCCAGAACTCCACCTAGGATGCCTGATTCATTGTTTTTAGCTTCTCCAATAGTGTAGAATCTTCCCCATGAAACCCAGAAAGTCATCAGCTCTCAAGGGGAAAAAAAGACCAAATACAAGGAAGCATGGTAGGGTGATGAGGAGATTGGAGGGCATGTCCCTTCAGAAGTGTCAAAGGGGCTGGAGACATTTCGCCTGGACAAGAGGTCAGAGAAAGCAGGAGAGCCACCTTCCTTCATGCCATGCTTTAACTTGGTGCAGAGCACCAGGACGGATTGGGGGAAGACATAGGGAATTCTATTTCAGTTTGAATTTGGAAAGTACTTTTCATTAAACCCTAGTAGACCAGAGAACCTATGGAAATAATGTATCTCTCCACAGACCTTTCCAGTAAATCTTCAGCCTGACTGGGCCTATAAGCCAAGATCATGCCTTGTTTCCACATCCCTCACCCTCCTCGTGTTCATCCGTTCCTGCATACCCAGCTTGAATTCCTTGGCTCATCCCTTTAAATATTTATATGCCCATCCACCCCCTTTCATTACATATGCCTGGCAAAACCCCAGCTGGTTAAATCTCTGTCTACTGGGCATCTACAAAGCTCAGCTTGGCTGGAGAAAAACATATGGCTGTGTTGTCCTTTCTCACCTGAAATTCATGACCACCAACCTCAAGAAGGGTTAAGGCTCCCCTGCACTGAGTCTACAGATTCCTGGTCCATCCAACACCCTTCTCTCCTAGAGGACTATTTCATATGTTTTCTCTCTCTCTTCAAATCCCCTTTTTATCATTCTCAGCTGATGACCATGCTTTCTTTTTCACTGAGAACACAGAGGCAATCCCAAGAGACCCTTCCCACATGCCCTCTGCTTGTATTTCTGCACCTGCATCTGTGCCCAGACACCTGCCTTCCCTTGTTTTCCAACCCTGGTGCAAACCATGTCCTCTCTCACCTGCGCTATTGCAAGGTTCTCCCAACCAGGCTCTGAGACCCCCTGATAACAGCACACCTTTCCAAATGCAAGTCAGATCAGTTCTTAAAACGTTCCACTGACTTCCCATTTTGCTCAGAGGAAGAGTCTCAACCCTCGCCTGCAAAGTCCTCAGGATCTGACTCCAAATATCCCATCTAGCTTCCTATGATTATCTCTACACTGACCTCCACTCTCATCTTCAAAGAAGTGGAGCCTCTTCTTGCCCCTGGGCTTTTGCACCTGCTGCCTCCTCTGCTTGGAGAGCTATTTCCCAGGGATGAGCGTGCTCACTCCCTTGCTTCCTTCAGTGCTCCCTGCACAAGTCACCATTTTAGAGAATCCTCTGAACAAAGTGGTGAGCTCTTCACCCTCCCCAGCATCTTCTGACCTCCTTGAGCTGCTCTGTTTTCTACATTGGTCCTTGTCACAGGCCGAATGGCACAGTCTGCATGCTTGTTACTTGGCTGTGCTCCCCGCTTGGCTGCATGCTTCAGGAGGACAGGGACTTTGGCAGCTTTGCTCATGCCTGAGTGCTTGGCACATAGAAAGTACTCAACAGATATGTGGTGAGTAAATAATCGGATGAGGGAACGGAAAGTGTGCAAGCATACAAGGATGCTTAGATGCAAGCAAGGATGGCCACACTGGGGAGATGTGATAGAAAAATTCAAGCATCGAGCATTTTCCACCCATCCTTCCATTTATCCAACAAATGTCTACTGCTTGCCTGCTGTGTACAAGCTGCTGTGTTGGGTGCTAGGGGCCATAAATACATATGGTTCTTACGTTGAAGGGCTCCCTTATCAGGGAAGAGACGGGAACATAATGAAATGAGTACAACCCAAAATGCCAAGTGACGTAACACAGGGAACTGAAAGTCCTGTGTGAGCTCAGAGAAGGCCAATATTTAGTTCTGGTAGATATGTCCTAGGCAGTGGGGGATGGGGTTGAAGATTTCTTATGATTTCTAACCCTGCTTTCCCGGCTCATGCGTCTGTAATACCAAAGGGGTTGTGTCCATAATAAAACAAACCAGTGATGCAGGGACAGCTTGTACCATTGAAGCCTCTTGTTTTGGATGTGTTGACTCTTTGTTTTACACTTTGGAACCCTGCCGTCCCGAAGTCTTCTGGTCTTATCTACCATGCCCAGGCTTTCTCCTTATGTCCCATCATGAACCCAAGTTTCCTTCTTCCAGAGTTCTTGCCATTCTCACTATGCTTAGAAGACTAGTCAAGTCTTCTAAGGCTGGGAGAAGCAGGGTTGAGGATCAGGTTTCCTGGCTGGCTGGTTATCTCCCTATCCCCTCAGGGATTCCCCCAGCTCAATGAATGCTGGCTTCTAAAGGCTCAGGGTTGACTCTTCTCCAGAAGATTGACATTGGCTCTGAAGGTGGATCCCCCTTTCCCAGTGCTGCCTGCAGCGAGTGACAGATGAGTGGTAGGGGTGGATGCAGCCCCCTTACTTCAAGTTGGGTGACTCTGTGGTGTGATTATGCCCCAGAGCTCCCCCAAGTGAGGCTAAACTTGACCAGGGAGTGCAGCCTTGCCTGGCTCCTTCCCCTGCTGCTTTCTGCTTTCCCCACCTTAAAGATTACTCCTGAAGAGCCCTTCCTCCACAAGCCATGTGTGCATCCCAATCCCTGCCTCAGGCTCTGCTTCTGGGCAATTGACTTTCTGAGACAATTCCAGCCTGAAAGAAGAGGTTGTCAGCAGCACGGTGTGTTGCTCAGTCATGGACTAAACTATGTTCCTGCCCCCTGGTTGAGAACCCTTGAACGCATGTAACCTCGCTCGGGCCAAGGAGATTCATGCCTGGGACTTTAACTACAATGATTGGAAGGAGAATTTCCATCAAGCTGGGGCCATCTTGCACCTCCACAGAAGAAACTGCCTGACAATGAAGCCAACAAAAAACAAGCTGAGCTGAGAGGTGGAGAAAGAGAGAGATTTGGATTTTTTTAAGGCTCACCTGTTAAAGCCCTAACCCCTAATGTGACTGCATTTGGGGACAGGGCCTTTAAAGAGATAATTAAACTAAAATGAGGTCACAAGGAAGCGGCCCTAATGTGGGATGATTGGTGTCCTTGTAAGAAGAGGAAGGGACACCAGGGATGCACACACACAGGGAGCACACAGCGAGAAAGCAGCCATCTGCAAGCCATGGAGAGAAGCCTCGGGAGGAAAAGACCTGCCGACACTTTGATCTTGGCCTTCCAGCCTCCAGAACTGTGAGAAAATGAATGTCTGTTTGCTGAAGCCACTCCATCTGTGGTATTCTGATATGGCAGCCTGGGCTAACCAATGCATGCTTGCCACATACACTGAAGGCTCCTCCAGCAGGCACCTAGAGAGACACAGTTATTTTCTACTACTATAAAATACAGATGCCTTTTAAAGGGTTGAAGTAGA
Source organism: Homo sapiens (assembly GCF_000001405.40). NCBI lineage: Eukaryota > Metazoa > Chordata > Mammalia > Primates > Hominidae > Homo > Homo sapiens. The sequence continues at coordinate 9,992,036 of NC_000004.12, forward strand.
AAATGATGAAAGCAAAAATAGTCCTTTTGACAACCTGCTATTTCCCTGGAGTGATGTATGGGATGCCTGTTGTTTGTGCTCACCGAACCTCCATCCTTCTTCTGGGAGGAGTTCCTCAAATTTCCACCAAGAAACCTTCCTGCCTGTCTCCACCTAACCATGGCTTCAGGAGTGGATGCGTGGTACAGGCCTGGCCAGTCAACATAAAATCACTCATCATTCTCAAGGCATTTAAGATGTGCTTTTTTAAAAGCACTTAATCCAGAGTGTTAGAATGTTATTTGCCAGGATTTTCTAACCTTGGCACTATTCACATTTGGAACTGGAAAATTCTTTGCTGTGGGGGTTGTCCCGTGCATTGTAGGATATTTAGAGGCATCCCTGGCTTCTCCTAGATGCTAGTAGCACCCTTGAGTTATGAAAACCAGAAACATCTCCTGGCATTGTCAAATGTCCCCTGATGAGGCAACATTGCCCTCTGGTTGAGAACCCTTGAACGCATGCAACCTCGCTCAAGTCAAAGAGATTCATGCCTGGGACTTTAATCACAACTATCGGAAGGAGAATTTCCACCAAGCTGGGCCCATCTTATACCTCCATGGGAGAGATTGCCTGACAATGGAGCCAACACAAAGCAAGGTGAGCTGAGAGGTGGAGACAGATTTGGATTTTTTAAAAGCTATCATCTGAGCCACTGGATTCAACCAAGTTATATTTTAGTTATTGTGAGCCAAGTAATTCCCTTTTGGGCTTCAGCCAGTTTGCTTTGGGTTCCTGTCACAGGCATTCAAAAAGCCTCCTTAGTGACATGAGACACTGTAAATTTGATCTCGTTCCACCCTCATAGCTGCTCCCTCAGGTGGGTTTGTTTATCTGCACTTTACAGATTTAAAAATTAAAGGGCATAGCAGCTGCCTCTTGTATCTCTACCATCCATGCACAGCACTGCTCAGAATCATAAAGACTTACATAATGAATTACTCAGGGGCTGCCTCCTTTGCCCAAGCATCACCTTAAGCCCCAGATGTTGTGTCTTTCTTGTTCACTGAAGCCCCAGTGCCAAAAACAGTACCTTACTCCTTGTAGGTGCTCAAAAATGTTTGTTTGGATAGATGAATATGGTTACGTGGCTTGTCCAAGAGTCTGGCCCAGGATCAGATTTCAAAGCCCATGTGTGTTTTCCTATAGTTTCTTATATGTTTTTTCTGCTTTGCTCCAGACGGAAGAACCAGATCCAATGATATGTGTAAGAAGAATAATTTCAGTGCAATTGAAAGAACAGATGCACAATTGACTCTGTCAAGTGATGGAATGACCCGTCTCAAATAAAGCCAATGAGGTTGGTGATGGTGAAGATGATGATGATGTTGATGATGATGACACTAGTGAACAAAGGCTGGGCGAAGAGTCTGGGTCAATTGTAGGGATGAACACTTCACATCCACCATTTCATTTAATCTTCACAACAACCCTCTGACATGGCCATTCTTTATCTTCATGTCATCGTGAACTAAGTAAAGATGAAAGAGTTTAAGAAACACATAGCTGTGTGTATCGGAGCCCAGACTTGAAGCTGGGCCCGTAGCTAGTGTTTGTACACCAAACATAGTCACTGTCCTGTCTCATGAGGGAAGGAGGGTCCTGTCACTATGGTCATGCAAGCAGAGGACAGAGGATGCTAAATGGGTCACTGAGCTTCAACCAGAATTCTTGATCGCTGAGAATTCCCTCAGCCAGAGACTCCAAGAGGTGAGGAACCTGCATCTGTGTGAGGCCCAGGTCATGTGGTATGGCCCATCTCCAGAGACTCTTCCTGGCCCCCTTTGCTTCCCTGCCCTCCTTTGTCACCGAAATCACAAACGAGCTCAACATTCCCTAGCTAGGAACAGCCCCACTGCTGGAGCAGCCAGTGACCAGCCCCATCGGAACTCTTCCCCACTTCCCTGGAATGTCTCCCCCAGCTATACCTTTGAGCACCTTCCACTGGGCCTCCCAGGCTGCCATTGCAGTTTCCTCTCCCTCCCTGAGAATCCCCATGGGAGAGGAATAACAGAGCATCAGGAAGGCGTTTCAAATAGCATCATGTCACAGGAAGAGTGTTGGCCTGTGGTCAAACACATGCAGATCTGAACTTCAGTTCAACTCCATTTTGAAACCTTGGTCCAATTGACCACTGGGTCTTGGACTCATCATTTGAAAAGTGCAGGTAATGATGCAAACATGGAGTTTTAAGAAGTAAATGATATATGGGATGTCAAGGACAAGGCAGGAGGTCAATAGATGGTAGCTTTCTTTTTCAATTTTTGCTCCTTTTCTCCCCAGCAGAGTTGCTCTTCAAGCTGAAACTTCAGCCCAAATCAACTTTTACTCTCATAATGATGAAAAGGAAACTGGCAGCTGCTTGGGGCATAACAACCAACACATCCTTTGATCTGATCTTTTTCTGCATCCTCACTTCTTTATGACTCCTCCATTACTTAGAGATTGAAGGTATTTTCAAAGTTGTTTTCTCTTTTGCTTTCCTTTTCCTTTTTTTTTTTTTTTTTTGTTGCCATGCCAGTGAGGGTAGTAAAGCTACTTTCATTGCCCTCATTTTATAGGTAAGAATAATGCTGGCTGAGAAGTGAGGTGTCAAAGTCCCTTGTAACACACCTGATACACAGCAGAGTCAGGACTTGCTGAGCCACGGCATTCTGACCCGATTCTAGTGTTCCTTTTCCTATTCCATCTGCATGGGTTCAGAGCCTCCTTGAGGAGCAGCCTTGGGGTATAAATGCCACGGTCAGGTATAAAGCAAGGAGACATCACAGGCCAGATCCTGGGGCATGGGGAGTGACTCCATCCCACTAGGACAAGCAAGAGGACCATGGGCAGGGTCTGGCTTGGGCAGGAGGCTTAGTGACCATGCCTCAGGGACCCTGGCCAGTGATGCCAATCTGAGTGCCAGCCTGTTGTCAAACAGTCATGGTTTTACAGTACATTCCCAGCATTGGGAATTGGCCCCTAACTAAGATCTGCTTGGCATAGTGGAAAGATCATGATTCCAGCCTAAGCTCAGCCACAGTGCAAGCTAGCTAAGCTTGTGCAGATGCCCTCACCTCTCTAACCTCCCATTCCCCATCTACAGACCCCACAGCAGATAGAAAATTAAACAAGAGAATGTGTGAGTGGCTGGAACCTTGAAGGACCTCAGACAATGGCATCTCTCACTACATCATGCAGTAGTTGTATTTCCAGGCCCTGAATTCCCATTAATTACTGCTCTGAAAGTGGGCTTGGGGACAAGGAAAATGTCAGCACCTCCCCTACCTCACAGGTATCACAGACCCTCATAAGCACCACTTGGATGTTTTCAGGGTGGCTTCCTGTCCCATCTTTTAGAAATCTTGCTTTGAAACATCGTCAACTCTAGTTTTCTCCTTGTTGGGCTGTGAGGAAGAATGTAAAGGATTCGGTCATTTCAGATTGTGAAATGGGCTCCTTCTTAATCGGGTTTCTGTAATCCCATGGTCTGAGGAGATTTTCTGGAGTCTGATAAATCTCCTCTTCAACTCACGTCAATGCAATAAGGAGGTTAGTCGAGTACTTACTAGGTAGTGATGTCAAGGTGATGATGAGGGAAATGCCAAATAATGTGGTCAATGACAAGAATTTTTATTTATTCAGCTACAACTCATGGCCATTCTCCTTCCATTCATTTGGTCTAACTCTTGTAACATTCCCTGCAGGTAGAAACTATCATCCCTATTTTACAGATAAGAAAATTGAGGCTCAAATAAATTAAATGATTTGGCCAAGGGCACACAGCTAGTAAGTGGAAGACACATGATTCAAGTTAAGACACGAATGTTCTGGCCCCATCAGATTGATGTGACGACTCCTCCATCACTTGGAGAAGCTCTACTCTTTCCACACACTGCTCACTGGCTCCCAGGATGCTGTTGTTATGAACAAGAATACAGAGAAAGCATTGTTTGTGGGGATTCATTGATAAGTCAATCTGCTCTGAGAGAAGGATTCCTGTCTAAAATAAGTGAGGAATGAGGCTCACAAGGTCAAGTGAGCTGATTGGAGAGGGCCTGGGTAGGAAAGGCTGATATGAAGTTTTTGATTCTCACTGCTTCCTTATTTGTAATGTAAATGATCTGAAATGACCTAAATGTCTCTCAGTCAGGGAGTGTGGCTAAATAAATGATGAGACAGCCATATAGTGGAAGACTGTCTAAGCAGTCAATTTTCTGGAAAAGCAGATCTGTATGTACTTACGTGGAACAATTTCCAAGGCACTGCACTGTGTTTTCCATTTGCCCCAACACCCAGATCAATTCCCCTCCCCTCCCTGCTCTGCTCTATGCCCCGGGAGCATCTCCTGGATGGCAACATGACTTCCTGGTTTACTGGCTTTCACATGGGTGTGACCAGTGTGCACCTCTGCAGCAGGATGGAGGGTGGGAGGAGGGAGGGGTCAGGGCATTTCTTCCCTGCTCCTCCCCCATGTGGGTGCTGTGGCTCTGACACAGCCCAGTCCCTATACGCTTCTGCTGCTGCTCATCAGCCTGCAGTCCATGGCTTCAGTTATCTTTGGACCTTGGTCTCTGATTTCTTCCCCTTTCCCCTTTGGGCATTTGAATCTCTCCAGTTGAACTGCCTGAGTGGAGTTCTGTTGCCTGTCAGGACCCTGACAATGACACAGATATATTATGAACATGGAGGGCACCCCCAGATAGAGACAGCCTCCTACTGACCTCCCAAGAACCTTTCCAATCATCTTCACAATTAACGTCCCCACAAGTCCACCGATGGCGAATATGGACACAGTCACAGACCAGAGCAAAGTCAGAGTGTCTGGGTCTATTGGACGTCCATGCCTTCTTTCCCATGACTCATTGTAAAAGGCCTTGATGTACTGAAAATAAACAACAAACCATGTTATTTCCTTCTGTTCTCTCCTGCTGCTTGAAGCAAGCCAGTGTACAAAACAAAACAGCTTGTACAGAGCATTTTCATGCATAGCACTTTGCTAATTTGTTTGAGCTTTATCTCATTGGCCTCTTCTAACAAATTTTGGGAAGAGCAGAAGATGTTAATCTTTATTATATTCAAATGAGCATTTTTTTTCTTTTATGGCTAGTTTTTTTGTGTTTCTTGCATCTTTGCCTATCCCAAGGTACTTTTTTTGTAACAAAATGTTTCCTCTTTTTACCTCATTTTGGAGATAGGGAAACTGAGGCTCAGGGAGACAAAGTGACTTGCTAGGTAAGTGCTAAACCTGGGAGCTGGACTCAGATCTGACCCCAAGCTTATGATGAGCTTCATAGCTGGGCTTCTCCAATTCTAGTGCACCGCAGCATTGCTGTGGAGGTGTGTTAAAGGGCACATACCGGGTGGGCGCAGAGGCCCACACCTGTAATCCCAGCACTCTGGGAGGCTGAGATGGGTGGGTCACTTGAGGCCAGGAGTTCGAGATCAGTCTGGCCAAGATGGTGAAACCCTGTCTCTACTAAAAATACAAAAATTTGCCAGGTGTGGTGGCATGCACCTGTAATCCCAGCTACTCAGGAGGCTGAGGCATGAGAATCTCTTGGACCCAGGAGACGGAGGTTGCAGTGAGCCAAGATTGCGCCATTGCACTCCAGCCTGGGTGACAGAGTGACACCCTGTCTCAAAAGAAAAGTGGGGGGGCACATACCTAACAAAAAAAAAATAGGCAAAAATGCAACACACACAAAAAAACTAGCCATAAAAGAAAAAAAAATGCTCATTTGAATATAATCAAGATTAACATCTTCTGCTCTTCCAAAGACGTCATTCAGAAATGAAAAGACAACCCATAGACTGAGATAACATATTTGCAACACATAGAACTACAAATAAATCCTATCTACGATATACAAAGAACTCTAACATGTCAAAAAGGAGGCAAATGATACAATTAAAAATGAGCAAAAATTTGAACAGACTCCAGAGAAAATACAAATGACTGGTATGCTAATGACAGAATGCCTGACATCATTAGTCAACAGAGAAATGAGACCACAAGGAAATACAACTTCACATTCACTAGAGTCTCATCGCTGCCAATTCTGATTCAGTGTGTTTGGGACAGGGACTAGGTGATTCTGATGTACACCAAAGACTGAGGTCCATGGCACTAAGCTCCAAACAGAGTTCAGTCCCCAAGGTACTTAGAGTTCCCTGTTGCTACCCAACGTGAGCCCGCAAACCTCAGCTGAGCCAGTATATGACACTGCAGAAAAAGCTTAGGTTCAGGTCGCTCAGACCTGGGCTCAAATCCCAGCACAACTTGGTAATGATTTAAATCAGCTGAACCTTGGTTTTCTTATCTGCAAAATGGGAATGATGACATTGACCTCTCAGGGCTGTTGTGAGGGTCAAATGAGAGCTTGAAGCAGTGGCCAGTACTTGAATGGAGCTTACACAATCCCACATAGACTAAAAATTAAAAGATCTGGTAAGACTGAGGAGTGACAAGCAGTGTGTTGTCTGCTGGTAGGAGTTTGACTTGTACAGCCATCTTGGAAAACAGCTTTGGCATCAGCTAGTCAAATGGAAGATGCCTGTAGCCTACAACTCAGCAAATCTACTTCTAGAAAACTCCCCTGAAAAACTGTTTCTGGGGAGCCCTAGGATATATGTACTCAGATGTCCATGGCAGCATTGCACATAATAACTCCAGACGAGAAACAGCCCAGGTGCCCATGGTCGATAGCAGGAATAAACAAATTGCAGAATCATCATCATATGAAACATCACAGCCACAAACATGAATGAATACAGCTCTGTCCAAACACACATGGGAAAACCTGGCAAAAATAACACCAACCAAAAGCAGCCAAAAACAAAACATACACAGTCTGATTCCATGTGTAAAACCCAAAAGTATGCCAAATTAAAATTTTTTGGAGAATTATATATAGACGGTAAAACTACAAAGAAAGAATTATTTCAAATGTCAGGTCAGGGGTCATCTCGGGGGATGACAGAAGAAATAACTGGGGAGGGACACTTGGTAGGTCCTTCTTTTTTTTTTTTTCAGGCTGGAGTGCAGTGGCATGATCACAGCTCACTGCAGATTTGATCCCCTGGGGTCAGGAGGTCCTGGTACTTCAGCCTCCCGAGTAGCTGAGACAGACGACTACAGGTATGTGCCACTATGCCTGGATAAATTTTTTTTGTTTGTTTCTTGTACAAAGGAGGTCTCGCCATGTTCCCCAAGGCTGGTCTCAAACTCCTGGGCTCATGCGATCCTCCCGCTGCAGCCTCCCCAGACCTTTTATTCTTAACCTGGATTGTGACATGAGTGTTAGATTTATACTCAGTCTTTAAAGTGTGTGTGTGTGTGTACGGGCACACAAGCATAATGCATATGTGTGTATTTTATATACTCTTTTGTATGCATAATACATGCTGCCATTTAACATGGAAAAGAAAAATGGTAGGAAAGTGTTCCAGGCAGAGGGAGAATTATGCCAAGACAGCAGGACAGAAGAAAGCTTGGGTGGCCATGGAATTGCAAGGAGGCCAATAGGGGAGGAACAGGACCAGAAAGGGAAGGAGTGGGCTGGATGAAGTTGGAGGGGCAAGAAAGGGCAGGTCATGTGGGCCTGATAGGTCATGGAAGTTAGCCTGGTTTTTACTTGGATTCTACTCTAGATGAAGTGGGAAAGTATTGGAGGGTTTTTGGCAGGGGGAGGACATGGTGTGGCTTGCATTTTCAGAGGATCCCTCTGGCAAGTGGATGAAAGAGGAGCTAGACAGGAAGCCAGGCACACTTGGGGGGCACTGCAGTGGTCCAAAGATCATGGTGGACTTCACTAAGCAATGGAAATGGACAGAAGTGGATGGATTTAAGATATATTTTGAGAGTAGAATAGGTAGGACTTCCTGGGTGATTGGCTCCAGGTTTGAGAACAGATGGTGTTGCAGAAAGTGAAAGAAGATCACAGAAAACTCCCAGATTTCAGACATAAGCAAATGGTCTGATGGAAGGAAATGAGGTGAGGAGGGGAGACACCCTCTGCTTGCGAGGTATTTATCTTCTTTCTGTTTTCTCTTTCTTTCTGGATTCACAACTATCTTACTCATAGCACGGAGTGAGGATAGAATATATTATCAATAGCTACAGCTATTTCTATCGATGATGAAGTTTCCAGACCTCAGTGCACAAGATACTGATCTACGTCATCCACTGACTCATTCAACAAACATGTGCTGAGTACTGGGCCCTGAGCTAGACACAGAGATAAATGGAACATAACCCTGGATCTCAAAGATCTTCCATCCACTGGAGCTGATAATGCATTGTATCATTTAAGGATGCTCTTGGCTGCAAGTAACAGGAAACCTCAACTCAAAATAGCTGAACAATGAGGACACCTACAGAAATGCAAATTTACAGGAGTGGTGAGCTTCAAGGATGGCCCATCTGGTGACTCAGTAATGGCCAAGAATCCAGGTGCCATCTGGTTGCTTCACTCTGCTTTCCATAATTTTGACCTCATCCTAAGACAGCATGCACTCACAATTGCAGGATGGCTCCTAGTAGCAGTTTTGGCTACATGCTTTTCTATTCATGCATGACTGGAGAGAGTAAGCTTGGCCTCTCATAGGTCTCTTGGTGCTAAGAGGAACTTTCCCGGAAGCTTCTAACAAACTTCTCTTTATGTCCTGCTGGACATAGTTGGGGCACAGATCCCTTACTAAACCAGTGTGGAATGGGACCCATCAGCCTGTACCTCTGCCCCTGAATTCCTTTCCTTTATCTGTTCCTCCCTACGTGAGTGAATGGGACCACCATTCTCCAGTTGCTCAGCCAAAAACCACGAAGTCATTCTTAACTCCTGCCCTTGATCCAATCTCCTCAACTAATCCACCCTCACTCATCCCTGACTGTTAGGGTTGAATTGTATCTAACCTCACACCTCCAGATTTATATACTAAAGTCCTAACTCCCCAAACCTCAGAATGGGTCCTTATTTGAAATGTGGTCATTGCAGATATAATTAATTAAGAAGAGGTCATATTGGAGTAAGGCCCACTCTACTCCAATATGACTGGTGTCCTTTATAGAAAGAGGACACAAAGACAGACACGGGTACAGAGTGAATTTTGTTCCCCTCCAAACTTCATATGTTGAAGTCCTAACCCCTAGTACCTCAGAATGTGACCTTATTTGGAGACAATCTTTACAAAGCAAATAACATTAAAATGAGGTCACTAGAGTGGGCCCTAATCCAACGTGACTGGTACCCTGATAAAAAGGGGAAATGTGGAGATAGACAGGCACAGGAGGAAGATGATGTAAACAGGCATGGGGAGAAGATGGCCATCTGTGAGCCAGAGAGAGAAGGCTGGAACTGAGCCTTCCTTCAAAGCCCTCAGAAGGAATCCACTCTGCCAACACCTTGATCTTGGACTTCTGACCTCTAGAACTATGGAATAACACATTTCAGTTCTTTCAGTCACTCAGTCCGTGGTACTTTGTTACAGCAGCTCTAGAAAAGTAATATATTGCCTAGCTTCCAAAAGGCTTCTCACCACTTCCACCATTCCACCACTCAACCGGTCCAAACTGCCATCCCCTCACTGGGGCTACCAGGACACTGATTCCTGAGCCTTCATCAGGGTGCTACCAGCAGCCTTCAGAATGGCCACTATGTTCTTTCTTAGTGGCTGGACATTTACCTGACATTGACCATTTAGTCAATGTCAAGGCTTTATGTCCTCTATTGGACATTTATCTGCCTTTTAGGCTCCCCAGCATCAGAAGCCCTCTTCCCGCCTGGGAGACTTTCCTGCCTCAGAATCCTGAGTGGGGAAACAAAGGACACATAACTACAGAAGCCAAACATGCCAGACACCCGCTCTCCCAGCATCCTCTGCAGCTGGAAGTGGACATGTGACCAAGGCTCAGCCAATCAGATGCTGGAACTTTGATCAAGGTGTTACTGGGGCTAAGACATGGGGCTGAGGAGGATTCTCCAGCAGCAGAGGGAGCTCTGGTGGGATTGGGTTTGGGGGCAGCAGCAGGGGAGCTGCAATGTCCTGTGCCAGCGGTGCAGTCAATGGCAGTGGTGGCTGCAGCGGAGCCCATAGGACCAGCTCTGGGAGTGATTTAGGGTAGTATCTCCAGCTACAGAGCTTCCAGGCCTGGCTCTCCAGCCCTCCCACTGATCCTGTGAGCAACCCACTCTTTTCAACAACTTTTTTGGCTTTAGTTGTTCCTTACAACTATGGAAATACAGAAACTCTAGCAAAGCACATAAATAATCTCACTTCACCCTCACGACAACCCTAGTGGTAAAAGCCCTCATTTACAAACAAGGGGCCTGAGAGTTATATAACCTGCCCACAGTCACGGCTTATATGCACTGGGAGGCTTTTGTGGTGGAGCTGCCAAACTTCAGGGCACAAATACAACTGCTCCACAAACTGAACTCTTGAACTTATGATTAAGATGTGAAAGTTAAGCAGATAAACCTAATGGTGCATTTATTGATTTAAGAGTAAATATTGGCTGGGTGCAGTGGCTCATGCCTGTAATTCCAACACTTTGGGAGGCCAAGGCAGGCAGATCACCTGAGGTTAGGAGTTTGAGACTAGCCTGGCCAACATGGTGAAACCCCATCTCTACTAAAAATAGAAAAATTAGCTGGGTGTGGTGGTGCACGCCTCTAGTCCCAGCTACTCTGGAGGCTGAGGCTGGGGAATATCTTGAACCCTGGAGGCAGAGGTTGCAGGGAGCCAAGATTGCGCCACTGCACTCCAGCCTGGGGGACTGAGCGAGACTCCATCTAAAACAAAAAAAAAGAGTAAATATCAACTATATCAACTAAGCCTTTGCTTGGGCTGGATACTCCGTCAGACCGTGGTGAATACAGCAGCAACCACCCCCAAGGAGCACAGAGTCTAGTGGGAGAAACAGTGATGATTGCTAAGCGCAAGGATTAGAGGGGCCACAGCAAGACAGGGGGTAGAGGCTGCCCCAGGAACTACTGCAAGTATGTACAGAGTAAAGACCCTTCAGAGAAGCTGGCATAAGTAATGAGTATCCAGGACTTCACAGACACCCCTCCTGCCACCTGATAAACAGGAGACCTCCACATGTGCAAGGTCACTCTTGCACGTGAACTTGCTCCCTATGGCACTCTTATAGTAATTCAAGCAATTGCAGCTGTCTTGCAAGGAGTCAGGCTAATACCCACCCTGGAAGGCCTCAGTAATGACTGGCTTCCTGGAATTAATGTAAGGAAATGAAAAGGATGCTGATTGGGAGGAAATTTTGTCTTTTCCTTTGTGTTGCACTGCATTCAGGAGCCTGGTGGGAAAAGAGAGGGTTTTCAGCTCACCCACTACCAAGCATTGCTTTGGGAGTCTGTGGAAGTTTCTTACTGTGACGTTGGGAAATGGCTGACAGAAGCCTCTATAGACTCTGGAGGGGCCAGAAGACTTGCTGCATAGCCTAGGCCCCCTGCAGGAACACTTTTCTCAAAAGTTCCCCGAAAGCTGTTTGCCCCAATGCTTTTGGCAACTGAACGTTTGTCTTCCAGGTCTGAATTCAGCAATAGCCCAGGTGAAAGGCCTTGTTACCACAAGGCTGAAGCCAGTGATGAAGTTTGCTCAGAGAATTCACTGCACTAACATTCCCCAAGCTTGAGATTTGTGAACCTCACCTATGGCAAAACATGACTGGTCATGCATGATACAGAATGGGTGCTTAAATAAGAATTCGTTTTGAGTTTCTGCTGTGTGGCAGTAACCATATAATAATAAAACAGGTAACCCACACATCATAGTTACAATATGCTCTGTACTATTCTAAGAACTGGAGGCATACTGACTCACTTCTTACCCTCCACAAGGGTACTATTTGTTACCTCTGTTTTGGGCAGATGTGGTATCTGAGCCACAGAGCCACAAGGGGCCCTCCCAAGCTCACACCATTGGCATGCGATGTCACCAGGACTCAGCCCCAGTGAGCAGGGATCCAGAGTCCATCTCTTAACCATTACTTTTTTCCAACTCTAAGTGTAGAAAATATAAAGATGATGATATCAATACCTCTGTTTTAGGGGAGAAGAGGAGACATGGAATGAAGATTGGTTGACTGCTAAGTATGTATCAGACATTTGGATATCTCATCTCATTCAACCCTTGTAGCCATCCTGAGAAGTTTCATTCACAACAGAGAAGTCTGGAGTGGAGAAACACATCCCACAGCCATGCCAAAGATGGTAGAACTGCAGGGCCTGCTAGACCTCACAGTGCTCTCCTCTTCCTGGACATACTGCCAGGCCACCTTACCCAGTTCCTTGCATCTAGGTGGGGCCATATGACTACTTCTCAAGCAAGGAGTGTAAGTACAAGGGACATGTGTGACCTCCACCAAGACGCTGAGAATGTGTTTGCCTGCTCCACGCTTGCTCCTGTCAGCTGGCCAGCCACAGAGGATCTAGCAGAGGACTCCAAAGTCCTAGAGAATGGTGGAACCACTTCACTTAAGGAACCTGGGTCCCTGAATGGCTTCATGGAGCAGAGTGTTCCTGCTCATCTCCTTCAAATGAGGTGATATAAATGGGAATTTTCACTGTGTTAAGCCACTGAGATACAGGGCTTGTTTATTACAGCAGCAAGTTTGCCCTGCTGACACAATCAACGTAACTACAGAGCCCATGCCATCACAATTGCACTGTGACCTGAGGCTTCAAGAAGGAGGAGAGATTTAGGCCAAGTCATGAAGGCTTGGAGATATAAACCTTTACCTAGAGCTTTCCTTTTATGTGTTGGGAGAACTCGATCCTGTTTGAAGAAAACAATCTGCAATAAAAATTTGCTTTAAGATCACTGTGGTAGGTAACCTCTAGGCCTGCTTTGGGACATCTCACTCATTCCTATCTTACTTGGGATTCCTTGTTTTACTTTTTCATTCAGCCAACAGCCACGAGGCACATTCTTGTATCTTTCTATCTGACTTTACAGGTCTGCTTCCTCACTACCAGGGGCCCAGCTTCCCATCCTTTCTTCTAGATACAAATTCTGCTGTTTCTTGCCTTCAAGGAGTTCAAGATCTAGTGGAGACAGTAGTCAAGTAAACATACAATTATAACATGGAATAAAAATGCCATGACAATAGGAAGCCAAGAAAGGCTGTGGAATCCAAGTCAAGCAAGCAAGAAGGGCAGACGGAGTGGGCTCAGTTACAGGACGACAGGCAGAGTTAACAGAATTCTTGAAGGTGCAGAAACCGGAGACCACAGGTTGCCACACAGGAGGTATAAAAGACGCAGTGGGTTGAAAGGTGGCCCAGTAGAAGGTTGGAGGCTGCCTGTACCTGGCTTTGCCTGCCAGCCTCAGGAGTCTACACAAAATTCCATGGGCACTGGGGAGCCATTGGAGGGTTTTAGCACGGAATTGATAGCTCTAATTTGTGGTTAAGAATGTTCTTCATAGGTGCAGTGTGAAGGACATTTCAGGGATTAGACTAGAGGATGCTAGGCCTGTTAGGAAGCTCCTGCAATTGGTATGAGATGATGAGTCTGATCAAAATTGTTATGAGTTGCTCCAGAAGCATTGATGTTACGGCTAGTACTAACTACAGCCTAAACTGCAAACAACTGAATAAAAGGCTACATGGTTAAAGCAAAGGAAGCTTAAGAAAGAGCCAAGAGTTCTGGATTTAACACTTGCTTGCATCACTGAGTCTTTCTGTGGCCTTGGGTGATCTTAAGCAATCTGTGTGCCTCTCTGGAAGTGCTGTCAATGTTAAAGGTAGTTGGAATTGGCTTTTTTCCACTCTCAGCTCTGCCACTTCTTTGCTGGGTGACCTTGAGTAAGTTACTTAACCTCTCTGCGCCTCAGGTTCCTCATCTGTTAAATCATTGCCCTCCTTGAAGAGTTACTGTGAAGATTTAATGAGAGAATGAAGATACAGCACAGTGCTGGGTCGATATGAAGTACACAATAAAAACCGGAAATTGGGGTGGTTGGTGGTAGTGTTGTTGATATTTTTACTGCTATATTTGTAAAATAAGGGGCCTAGGCTCATTTATTTGTCAGATTCAAGAATCCATGAATCACTTACCATTATCTCCCAGGCCAGGAACCTGGGGACCAAGCCTCTGGACATAAAATTGAACTCTGCAATTCCCAGCCAAGACTGGCTTAGAGCATCTCCAAATAATAAAAGAAATTGCCAGACAATGGGAGGCAAATTACCTCGTAGCCCGTTTAACAATATTAATGTGCCTTACTGATTCACACAGAGCCTCCCGTGAACTCACTTGGAACGATTCTCAGGAGTCCTGTAAAAATACACGGAAGTAACACTTGGTAGCTGGGCCAGAGTACACACACCATTGCATAAGAGAGGAAGTCATGCCACAATGCCTTAGGGCTTTATAAAGACAGTCTGCACCACTGAACACACTGGCACAGGGAAGAACGCAGTCCAGAAGTCCTTAAAAAAGTACCCATTGTTGAACCAGGCCCTCTGAAGTTAGGGCCCCACAAGAACAAAATTCCACAATCCCAGCAGTGCTACCTAATGTCGCCTGGCTCCCCGAGGTAAGGCCTCCTGTGTAGAAAAGAGCTCTCACAGCACGCCTGAGACTTCTCTTCCTAGAAAAGCCTGCTGCAGGGTAAGTCCCGGGCTTGCATCTGGGAACTTGGATGTTGGAAGGGTTGCCACCGTTCCCAGATCTGGTAAGAGTGACTCAGTGTACCTAAACTGTGCAAACAGTGTGGTTTATGCTGTCTCAGTGTGGTTTATATCTGCTTTCTTTCTGGGAATCTGGAATTTTCTGCTTGCCAAGCAGAGAGTGCCTATGTGACCACCCCCCGAGAAAAACCCTGGACTCCAAGTCTCTAATGAGTTTCCTTGTTAGACAAATTTCACAAGAGTTGTCACAACTCGTTGCTGTGGGGATGAAGCGCGTCCCGTGAGGCTCTGCTAGAAGAGTTCTTTGGAGCTTGCCCCTGGTTTCCTCTGGACTTCACCCCTGCACCTTTTTCCTTTGCTGACTTAGCATTGTGTTCCACCACTGTGATCAGTCATAGCTGTGAGTACTACCGCATTCCTGTGCCAACGCCTGTGACTCATGCCAGTGAATTATCCTACCTGAAGGTGGTGTTGGGTGACCCCAGTACACCTCCCTTGTCCTAAGGAAAAAACTCAGCTCCCATTTTGGCTTGACTTGAGCATTAGGTTTGCAGGTTTGTGGTGTTTTTTCCTCCTCCCCAAGTGATTCTCCCAGAGGAGCCTGGCTGACTCACTGGGAAAGAGGCTCCTGTGCCTCCAGACACCTGAGACTATTTTGTTCCCACAGTTAGCTTTCAGAATGAAATGAAACATGATGAAAGAGGAAACATCAATTACAAGCAACAGCCAGGCAAGTAAGGCTTTCAGAGCCTCCTGGGTTTCCCCTCAGCCACCTTTGCAGTGAGGGGGCAGCCAAATGCTTGGGTTTAATTAGTTGAAACATAAAGAAGGTAAGTTTCATTGTCTATTTGGCCCCAGGCAGAAGCAGAGAAGTGAATGCACTCCCAATATTATTCTTATTCAATCACAGTCCTGAGCCTTCCTCCTGCTGGAACATTCTTTTGAGAGGTTGCATAGCTGTGTTTACAGGGAACAGTGCATTTTCGCAGACTTGAGATGATATTTTGCTCTCCTTTTTGCATATCCTCCGGTTGGCCGGAATGAAAAGGGCAAATTGTTTTCATTACCAGTCAATTCACTTCTGGATGCTTGAGGTAGCAGGGGCCCCGTCTGCAACATCAATTCTGGAATAACTCATTTATAGAATGGGAATAAGAACCCCTAGCTTGTAGATGAGGCCGCCAGAAGGATGAAATGAGGTGTGTGAAGTCCCGAGCATGATGTCAGCATACAGCAGGTGCTCAATAAATTTCAGGGTCTTCCCCTATGGGTCAGAAATAGGGTGCTTCTAGTTTCACTTGTCTGGTTTGTTCACACCAGCTGTGCAACTCCAACACAGCCCTCCAAGTTTCCCTACCTCCCATCTTGCTGGATCAGCTATCCCCAGCTCTCTGGCTGCAGCAACCACTGCCCCCACTGCACTAAGCTGAGCTTCCTGGAGATTTGATGGGACCGAGTTCCTTTCCCCATTTGGCTCAACAAAGGCATTTTTCTTGGAGAAACTTTATGAAATGAGAAAATTCTATATCAAAGAGGCAGGCTGTCCAGCTCTAATCGCTGGGACCTCCAGGGCATGGTGCGGGGGGAGTTGGCACTCACAGCCTGGGACACCTGGACACCAACGCCCCAGGCTGGAAAAGGTCCCTGGGCCCTCATCAGTCAGCAGCTGTGCTGGCTCTGATCAAATCAAACCAAACCAAACAATGACTCACAGATCCCAATTTAAACAATGCAGCAGCATCTCATATTAGAGAAAAATTGGAAACAACCTCAGAGGCCCACATTAGGAAGATAGGACATCACAGGAGGCAGCTCCACACTGCTGTTAAACATCCTGGTGATGCAGAACTTCCAATAGCATAGAAAGGTGCTTACAAATAAATAGTAAGCCAAAAAAGAGAGTATTAAACAGTATATATGATGATCTTCAGAAAAAAGAGTGGATTTAGATGACACATTAAAAGCGGCCTCTGGATGGAGTCTGGGTTTTGACTGTGTTCAGGCCCAAGTGTACCATCTATTAGCTAGGTAGCCTTAGGCCAGTCACTCAATCTCTCCCTTATTTGTAATACAGGGTTATCAGCATAAATCTGCCATGTGGGGCTGGTATACAAATGAGAGAGATCATCTCTCACTCACAGAAGAATGTTTGTATGTGTAGCTTCATTATCAAATTTCTGTGCGGTGGTTTTTTTTTTTTTTTTTCCTAATGGAAGTCTGTTGCTTTTATAGTTACTGAGATAAAGTGAGACAAAAGCAAGAGTAAAACTGAAAAGAGCGGGGGGTGAGGGGACAAAACTCTGGGATTCAGAGATACCCATTTCATAGACATAATTGCCCGTTGTTTCTGCAGTGACACAATGCACAGGGTCCTCCTGTAATCTCAGCCCTCTTCCACCAAAGTCTTGAGCCCTGCTATGCCTCCCCCTCACCCCAACCAGAACTTATGTCGTTTGACACAGTCTCTGCTCATCATTCCCTCCTGGTTTCCTTGAGAATGGGTCTCAGGCCACACCAGAGGCACCTGCCAGGCGACATGCTTCTTTCTCTAAGAGCGCCTGGGTTCCCAGAGCAGCCTGCTAAGATGGCATTATGGGGTGGGATTAACTGAAAGCACCAGAACTTGCTTTTGGGTTCTCTCTCTGTTGGTTCACTTGAATCTTGTTTGATCAGGTTCTAACATCTGTGGCTAACTGGGCAGCTCTACCCTTATAGAGGGAAATGTTGATTTTGCTTTTTATTATCATTTGTTTATCTGCCTTTAGGGAAGGAGCAGACAGGAGAAAATAATAGAATATACCATTTATGCTGGGAAATGCATTGAGTCAACTTAATTGCTCTACAGAAACCCTGGGCTTAAATACTAACACCATGAAGGACAAGAGTCTGTGTCTCCCCTCCCAAGAAGACAAAACATGGCTAACTCAAAAACCACTGGAAAAGTGAGTAATTTCTTATCAAAGCCAAGCCATTCAGTATTATTTCTGTGGCTGCCAGTGTTGTTTCAAATAAGTCCTAATTTATATTGGATGGTGTGGGGCCAATGAGTTAGACTCCTAAAGTTAAGTTCTCATTCATTCTTTCTCACTCCTTCCTTCTCTCACTCACTAATTCATTTTACAAACATTTTTTGAGTATTTTCTGTTTATAATATGCATTTGTGTAATGTAAATCTTATATACACAGTAGACAACTGTATAATAAAGTTTGGCTGGCCTTTGTCCCTGGTTCTTGGGATGTAGCCTGTGAATTCTTGGGATTTCTTGAGTTATTCATGGCAGACCTCTCAGAATCCCTTGATAGTGTATGTTAACAAGATAACTCAGGATGGGGGTTGGCCATGCAAGAAAGACCAGCCATGTGATAGAGGGTTGGGGCTTTGAGCCAAGTGACATCAGCCCTACCTCCAGGGAAGAGAGGAGGACCAAAGATTGAGTTCAACCTTATGGCCAATGATTTGATCAATCACATCTACATGATGAAACCCCAATAAAAATTTGGAACACTGAAGCTTGGGTGAGCTTCCCTGGTAGACAACACTCTGTGGGAGGAGAGAGAACACCAGAGCTGGAATCCTTCCAGACCTTGCCCTGTGATCTCTTCTTGTGGCTTATTCTGATTCGTATCCTTTTTGCTATAATAAAGCTGTAATTCTAAGCATAGCACTTCCTGAGTTCTGTGAGTCATTTGAGCAAATTATCAAACCAGAAGGGGTAGTGAGAACCCCCAAATGTGTTACCATATGTTCACGGAACCCCTGAGCCTGTCGCTGGTGTCTGAAGTAAGGCCAGTCTTGTGAACGGCTGTGCTCTTAACCTGTGAAGTTTGGCCTAAATGGCTAGTTAGCATCAGGAGTCATGGCGAAGCTGTGTGCGAGGTACTTTGATAGACGCCAGGGAAACAAATGAACAGTATTGTTTTAGGTGACACTTTGATCTGTACAATCCTGACTGCTATACTTTTGCCAAGCCTCCAAGCATTTCCCCCAAGCTACAGGCCAGAAACTGCACAAACAGGCACCAAGTTCACTGTCTACCCTTTTGATTAGCCCTGAACTGTCCCGCCCACCTCACCTTCTGTTCCCCCAACCACTGCATTCCCTGTTTGCTTTCTAATTTTTATTTTCATTCATAACTCCTATTCAACACATTCATTATCTCAACTTTGGTCCTTTTTTCTTGGCGACTTTTCTTAATGTCCATCCCCCAGTGGTCGTTCTGCCTAGGCTGACTGTTCTCTTGGGCTCATTGCAATGTGGGATCCTCCTACAATCATAGGAAGTGCGTGAGTCCCAGGTCAGGAATCCATCCAGGTCCATCACCTCAATAGTTGCTTCTCATGGATCAGCTACTCTTGAACCCCTCACCCTTTGGCTTGTTTTTTGTCTTGGTTGGGCCCTTTTGGACTGAAGTCTGGGCTCCATACTGTCGGCCCTGCCACAGACCTTGCATTTCTTTAGAACATTGCTTCCAGAATCTTCCTGTAGGCTCTGTGGACAACACCCATGAGCAAGAGGAGCTTTGACTCATGCTTTGCCCAGGCACCACCATCCCACCCAGGCCTGTATCAGCCCTGTCTGCCCATTTCAGTCCCCAGAGAATGTCCCTTGGGGCTCAGAACCCCCCACTCCAGTCTGTGGGTCTCCATCCAGCCCTTAACAACCTCTCAGGTGGATTCTAGACACTGGGTGCTCACAGGTACCAAGAGGACATCTTTCAGCACAACTCTGGCAATCATCCCAGATGATTCTAGCAGTATAATGAAGCAGGTTCCAGGCACTGCAACATTTTCCTACTAAAGGTCAACGATTACAATGGCATAAATCTGAAGCCATTTTCAAGGATTCAGATTAGCACATTTGCATGCATGACTGTCTGAAAATTCAGGCTACATTTGATTGGTATGCAAATTAGCCCTAAATTTGGCAGTCTTTTACAATAACTTCAGGATGTTTTAGACAGACAGGTAAGTAAGTAGATGGATAGACAGAAAGATACAACTATGCCAATTGGAGCTAGTCACTGGAAACAGAAAGGACAAAGCCTAGACAATCAGCAATACATGAACAAAAGAAAGGAGATTAGAAAGCAAACATCTTCAGGAAGATTTAGGTGCTCCTATTTAGATGCTATGCAGCATAGGCTGTGGATTAATTATTCAGCCAGCCAGCCCTCTGCCCAGAGGTACTAATGACACAAGGAATCTACAAGAGCCTCCTCCCTTTTCTAAAACCTCTAGCACAGGGGTTAGCCAACAATTGGCCAGCAAGGGAAACCCTAGACCACCATCTGTTTCGTAAATAAAATGTTATTGGCACATACCCTCACCCATTCATTTACATATCATCTATAACTGCTTTATCTCTACATAGCAGAGTTCAGTAGTTGCAACAGAGACCATATGGCCAACAAAGAAAAACCACGCACTATCTGGACCTCCACAGAACATTTGCTGGACCTTCACAGAACGTTTGCTGATTCACAGAATGCAGCAGATCAGCCTAGTGGAACAGAAAGAAGGGATACTCAGGAATTAGACAGACCAGTGTCCAAGTCCCCATCTGTGAACATGGTGGAGGTGGTCCCAGAAGTTTTCCATAGGACAGACTCACAGCTGGCAATTTGTTTGAGAGTGAAGAGACCTAAGGACTTGCCTTGGACTCACTTTAAATTTAAATTTATCCATTTGCTCATTTAGCAAATATTTTTTATAAATGCTTACAATGTGTCAGACATTGTTCTAGGTGCTGGCACTGCAGAAGCAAGGACCTTTCTAAAGTGAAGGGAAGGAGGACAAGAAGTAAAGGAATATGTCATATCTCAGGTAGTGTTAAATACCATGAGGAGAAATAAATTCGGTGAGGGCTAAAGCGTGATGGAGGGGTGCCATTTTGGATAGGCTGGTCAGGGAAGACATTTCTGAGGAGGGGACGTCTGAGCAGAGGCAAGAAGTAATCAAAGGAGAGTGCACAGGAAAATCAAGGGAAGAGCACTGCAGCCAGCAGGAGCAGCACGCACAAAGGCTCTGAGGTTCCAGCGTGCGGTGTGTTTGAGGGGCAGCAAGTGGGGAGAAGTTTGTGTAAATGGAGAAGAGGGAGTGAGGGGGGAAATGATGATGACAGAGTGGTCACATCTGTCATGTGTCATGTGTCACGGCCCCAGGTACCGTGTAAGTCACCACAGTCTGGCTTGCTTTCTAGATATAGTGGGTTTTGAGCGGAGGGACAATATGATCTTGCTTCATTTGTCAAGGATCCCTTTGGCCTTTGGGTGGAGACTAAACTGTAGGAACCAGAGTGGAAACAGAGAAACCAGTTAGGGTTTAGTGTAGAGAATGAATAGAGCCTAGCTACTGTGGTGTTCATCTTGGTGATCAACGCACCAGCACAGCACAGATAACCCTGATTTTCAACAGCTAAGGACAATAAGAACCTCTTGCCAGTTCATGCAAAGTCCAGTGTGCGTTTAATAGTTCTCTGCCATCTGGGGGAAGAAAGGACTGAAGATCTTTCTTCAGTGCTGCCATAACCAGGGATGCTGCCATAAACCAGGCCTCATGTGGCCTATCAGCACCTCTGTTCACATCCCATCCACCAAGCTGGCCAAGGACCCTTGTGGATGCACGAGGTGCAGGTGTTCTCTTCCAAATGAGGCATGAAAAGTAGTCAGATCCTGGGGATTCTTGGAAAGTTGGGTGGCCAGGAGGCACATCCAGGTGACTGTGTTGAGGAGAAGCCAGTGGGAATGTTTAGGAAGTGTCCCACCCCTGAAACTTGGATGTATTGGGTTCCCTCAGCCTCAGTTTCCTCGCCTTTAAAAGGGGGTTAGTGATAGCTGCCTTGCAATATTATAACAAGGATCCAGTGTGCACACAATTCTGAACCTGGGTCAAGTGCAGAGCTGGTGCCCAGAGGCGAGTTATTTTCATTTTCGGCATTACAGAAAGTTTCCAAATATCTGAGGAGAGAGGAGCACTGAGCGTTTTTAAGGTTGAGGCTGGGTGGCAGCAGGGCCAACGGCAGCTACTGCATGGATTGTTCTAACAGTGCAAGCTGCCTGCCCTGAAGGTAAATGCCCACTGCCTGGAGTCTGTGCCCCGATCACCTGGGCCCCCAGTTATCTAACAGCTGGAAAGGCGAAGCTGGCTGGGCCGAGGACTTACAAGCCTGGGCCAGTGCTAAAGGCAGCACACCTTCCCATGGGGCAGCATCCACACACCACCCCCTGGTGGCAGCCTTTGTTCATCATCTCTGTGAGCAGATACCCTCCCCGCACTCCAAAGCAGCACTAATATCTGCACCTCTTCTGTTCCAAGGGTTTCTTTCTCCTTCTCGAGAGCCCAGCACCCCAGGTGAAGCCTAGCTCTCACACCCTAAACCCCTGCCAGGCTTGGGTCCTTCCAGCCTGTGTTAGATTCCATTCCTTAGAGGCTCTGCTCTGTTCCTGGTCTCCCTGGTTCTGGGGCTGCCTCACTCACCCGTTTCTAAGCCCACTGCAAGGAGAAGAGAGAATTCGAGGTGATCGCTGGACGCTGGGCTGAGCTCCTCCAGCATCACATCTCCTTTCATTTCGCAGCGACCTCACAAGGGGCTCGACACCAGCCCTTTACAGAGGCACCTACATGGTGCCTGGGATTCTCTGCAGGATTCTGAGCTGGGATTCTGTGCAGGCCTGCTCAGCTCACACTCAGGGCAGTTTCCACCTCGGAAGGGCCTCCCAGGGCGAGCCTTGGCCCTCAGCCTGCTCATAGCCTGGGTGGTGCTGGATCATGCTCCTGTTCTGGCCTCTGCAACCTTTCTGATCTGGCTTCAGCTCCCCTTTCCAGCCTCTACCTCTCCACCCCACTGGACCCCACATCCAGCTACCCTTAGGTCTCCACCATTCCCAGAAAGCCTTGAGCTCTCTCTTTCAAGCCCCAGTGAGGCCCCACTGACCTCCCCAGGTAGAATACAGTCCTTCAGCTGTCCTGTGGCTCCATGCAGCCTGTCTCACTGGTGATTATTTATTGAGCCTCTGTCACTGCTGCTGGTCTTGGGGCACCTCGAGGACATGGATGTGTGTCGTTTTCATCTTTCTACCCCAGATACAGCAAGGTCAACACCCAGGGAAGGGCACTGAAGGATTGCCTGAACAGCTACCCCTCTCTTCTCACAAAGCAGCACAAGTAAACATAAAACATCAGGACCTTTAGGCAGAGCAGGAAGAGGTTACATGACCCCAAACCCCATAGGGAGGGGAAGAGTTTGGGGAATGATTCTAGCTAATAATAAAGCTGTCTTCGGTTTCTCAGTTAGATCAGGTCCTTTATGAGAATTGCTCTATGAGAACCCCGAGGGAGGGAGGGGTTGGGACAGGATTCAGACAATCACAGGTGCCTGCTTGTAACACGATGGCAGCATCATCCACCTTATGCTTGAGCCCCTAGGGTTGTTGCAGTGAAACCTTGCTCTGTCTTTTGGTTGGTAGATGGACAGGTAAGTAGCCCTGGGCTTGCTGTGGCTCCTCCCATCTCCCCTTGTTCCTCTTTGCCTTTATTGATCATGCCAAACTCCCCCCATGGCTGGACTGTTGGCGCCTGCCATTAGTGGTCAGGGGCAGGAAGGAGGGGCAGAGAGCATGGCACGGATCTTGGATTCAGACAGACCTGGGTTTGAATTCCAACACTGCCACCTCCTGGCTGTGTGAACCTGGGCAAGTTGCTTAAACTGAGCTTCTGTTTCTTTGTTCATGAAATGAAGGTAACATCAGTAATTAACTACCTTGACCTGAATTGTGTCCCCTCCAAAAATGTTGCATGACATTTTTGTTGCAAGGATAGGGCATGTTGAAGCCCTAACCCCGATGTGATGGTATTTGGAGATGAGGCCTTTGGGAGGTTACTGGGGTTAGCAGAGGTCATGGGGGCGGCCTCATGGTGGGATGAGTATCTTGCTCCCTTGCACTCTTCCTCCCTCTGCCATGTACAGGCAGTGAGAAAGAGGCCGTCTGCAAGCCAGAAGGAAGGTCCTTGCCAGACAACGAATCCACCGGCACTTTGATTTTGGATTTCCAGGTTGGAGAAGTATGGGAAAATAAATGTCTTGCTGAAGACCCCAGGCTGTGCTGTTTTGTTACAGCCAAAGACACTGACGTCTCTGTATTTCTGAGAATGGAATGCGCCTGGCATGCAGTACATTTTGGCAGAGTTGATGAGCTGGCCATCACAGTCTCTGCTCCTCTTCAAAGGCAGAGAGCACATGCTGGGAAGTAGCTACCCAACTGGGGATGACACTTCCCAGGCCGTGGATCTGGGCAGATGGCTCAGTCCTGGACTCAAGGCCTCCTCGGGGTGCTTGCTCTGGGCTCCTCTAAAGTATGCATGACGAGCCGTGGTCTCGAGGTTCAAAGGACACCAGGCTAAAAAGCGCCTTGTGATGTCTCAAGACTGAACACCTTGCTGCGCATACTGGCCACAGAGGTAGAGCTCCGATATCCCAAACAAGAAGTCCCATGGCCTAACACTGCCTGGCACAGAAAGGATCTGTTTTAAAAATGACTGAAAATGTGTCTGATGCCTGGGAAACCAGAAGCCCGCCCAGGGCCAAACTCTGGCTCCACTCATTATGTGACTGTGGGAAAGTCAGTGAACAGTGTGCCTCAGTTTCGTCATCTGTAAAATGGGGATAATGATGATCCATACCTCACAGGGCTGTCATGAGGGTGCACTGAGCTGATTAACGCATGAAAAGTACATGGAGGAGGGCCGGCACCTCATGAGGGCTTTTTCCATCTGTGCTCTTACTGATGCTGCCATAATATGTGTCACTCATCTTAAGAACGGTAAAGGCCACCCTGGCTGTGTAGATCTTCAGAAATCTCCTTTCCCGAAACGGAGGGAGGGCACGTTAAACTCTCTCTGTTTGGCTTACCATGGTCTTTCCCATTAAATACCTCTAAGCTCTGGCCCCTCCTGTCCTTCTCACTGACACCAAAGTTGTTTTTCTAAAAAACAGTGAGCATATTAAATAAGTAAATAAATAAGGAGGCACGTGTTCTCAGGACCTCCTGAGGGTGTGTCATGGTTAAAGAAAAATAAATTTTAATTAAAAAAATGTGAGTTGCAAACCCCCACCCCCATGAATCTGCCATGGCTCCCTACTGCCCAAGACTAAAATCCTACTCCTCAGCCTAAGATCTTAGGCCCTCTTCTTTTGACTCCATCCTGCTTTTCCACCTCTTCTTTCATCCCAGCTCTGCATTCCCCCTAGGTACTGGCACATCACACGCTACTAACTTCCTAATATGCCACCATGTGGGCACAGCCAGGCCTCTGTGTGTGTGCTTCAGCTCCCCACCTCCCTTTGACACCTGTGGAAATTCTACACATCCCTCATGACTCAGCTCAAATACCACCTCCTCCAGGCTGTCTTCCCTGATCCCCAGAGTTGGATACATTATAAACTCTCAACAATGCTTGCTGAATGAATAAGTGAGTAATGGGATTCCTCCGTCCTCATGTTCCCATAGTCAGTGCTTGAACCCATATCATTCTATCCCAGGTGTAAGTTTCACATAACTCTGCTCCACAAGCCATGAGTGCAAAGGTTCTCCCCCACCTCTCACCTGGATGTTTTGATGAACTTTCAAGATGAAGCAAGAGTCCAAATTCCTAGCCCTCTTTCAAAGACAAATATCGACAAGCCAGATCCCCATCTTGGAATGACGTCACAATGACAAAATCAAAGATCACTGACTGTTGGCAGTGCTTACTGAAGCCATCTAGGCCCCCTGGTTTTCAAACAGTTTTTAGCAACAGAAATGAACAATGTCAAATAATTAACAGACTTTTTAAACATAGAACTGACCTGCGCAAATAGTGCTTAGATCCGTGAGGCACCTCTGCAAAATTCCAGGGCTCATGGGAACCTTTGAAACTCACTGACCCAGGCTTCCCCTATGTTTTGTACACAAGGATGCTGGACTCCCAAGCAAGGAAAAGCCTGGAAGGCACCCAGGGCTGTCCTCAGCCTGCTTCCTGTCTGCCCCCAAAACAGCTTGTGCTCCAAGAACCTGGAGCTCCCCGCATTTCCCCAGATGTGTCCTACATCCGTGTCCCCAAAACGGCCTGTGCTCCAAGAACCTGGAGCTCCCCGCATTTCCCCAGATGTGTCCTATATCCGTGTCTCCAAAACGGCCTGTGCTCCAAGAACCTGGAGCTCCCCGCATTTCCCCAGATGTGTCCTACATCCCGGCCCCCCATCCATCACTCCACCTTCCAAACTTAGTCAGGCATCACTTCCTGCAGGAAAGCTTCCCTCAAGCCTCCAACCTGCCCTTGCCTGTGGGTGGTGGTAGGTCAAAGCCAAAGCCAGCACCCACAGGATAGCATCTAAACCTTACAGCCTAGGTAGGCAGTACCCAACCTTTAACTGCAAACCAGAGGCACAATGTGAAGAGGGCCTGGGAGAATTGCACCTGGATCTGATTTCAGAGTAAAACACAAGCCAAAGATGGGTCTTATCCAGCAGATACCTGAGTGGCCTCTGGTTGTAATTTAAAGTCAACAACACCAGGCCGGGCACAGTGGCTCAAGCCTATAATCCCAGCACTTTGGGAGGCCAAGGTGGGCGGATCGCTTGAGGCTGGGAGTTCCAGACCAGCCTAGCCAATATGGCGGAACACCACCTCTACAAATACAAAAATTAGTCGGGTGTGGTGGTGCATGCCTGTAGCCCCAGTTACTCGGGAGGCTGAGGCAGAAGAATCACTTGAACGTGGGAGGCGGCGGTTGCAGTGAGCCGAGATCGCACCACTGCACTCCAGCCTGGTGACAGAGTGAGACTCCATCTCAAAGATGATAGATAGATAGATAGATAGATAGATAGATAGATAGATAGATAACAACAACAACAAAACAAATCAAGAAAATGTCCAAGTTTCCATGCATAAGGCCCCTCCTGGTTCTTTCCCCGGCATTAGGGGCCAGAGGATCGCCCCCCACCCCACCCCGGGACTTCCGAAGCCCCCTCTCATCTAGTCTCCCAACGTTCTCCCAGGACACCCGCCCTCCAGCCGCAAGAACTGTCATCCCCCGCCCCTGTCCCCGTGTCATCATTGTCTGTCTCTGTGCCTCCCCTCTCCCCCGAGTGGGGGCTAATCTCTGTCCCCGCGGTGTCCCGCGCCGCGAGCGCAACAGGAGGGGGCGCTGGAGCCCAGGGCCCTTGCGCACCCGAAGGTTTCCGCAGGGCCGCAGCGCCCTCTGCCGGGCCTTGGCGCGCACTCACCGGGGTGGGGGCATTCACCACCGACAGGTTGTAGCCGTAGAGGAAGGAGGAGCCGAAGGCGCCCGCGAGGGAGGCCACGAGGAGCGAGCAGGACCAGTCCTGAGGGGAGAGGAAACCACGTCAGAGCCGGCACCGGGCGCGCAGCCAGGGCCGAGGGAAGACCTGGAACGTTCCCTCAGCTGGGGGAGGCCTTCCGGAGGAGAAGTCTTTGTCCTTGGCTGGGGTAGAGACAGAGAGAAGAGACGCAAGTTGGGGACCTGCAAGTAGGGTTCCAGTCCAGGTCCGCGTGCGCAGGCCGGGCGCCCTCAGGTTTAGCGGCCACGCCCTTGCGTTCCTTCCGGGTTGCGTGAGGATTCCTGAAACGCAGTTTTCAGCAGCTGCTCTGGGCAGCTCCACACGATCCTTTCAGCGAAGTTGGCGAGTGTCCGACCCAGACAGAAAAAAGCAAAGCCAGACTCCAAGCGCTATCAGCCAGGCGTGATTCTAAGCACTTTTCTGCGCATTGTCTCTGAGTCCTTAGATCAGTGCTGTTATGTCCTGTATTACAGGTGAGGAAAGAGGGGCAGGGAGCGTGGCTGGTGCTGTCTAGGATGGGGACTGAAGTCCAGGTGGCCTGGCTGCAGTGCCCCTCTAGTCACCACTGCACTGTCCCCTGCTGACCCGTCACCTGAGTGCCGTTGTCCAAGGGCCTGAGACTGCCGACAGCCAGACAGATGTGCACACACGCTTACATGCACATACTGTTCCAGTCTGAGGCGTCAAACTACAGGGGCTGGTCCAAGCCTCAGGACAAGGACCTGCAGACGTAGAGATGCAAGGTTTGGCACAGAGAACAGGGCGCCTGCCTTGGTGTTGTCCTGCCCTGCAGCCCCATCTAAGGACAGCCACCACCAGTACAGGGCCATAGGGCAGAAACACCTGGATCCCTGGCAAAGGCTGACAAGCTGGCATGAGCCAGGGCAGGAGGGATGGCTGTCCTCAGCTGGTCAGGGAATACAGGCCAAGTGGACAGGGGCCAGGTGCTCCGGAAGGCACCTTCTTTGCCATCATTTGACATATTTGTGAGTGTGTGTGTGTGTGTGTGTGTGTGTGTGTGTGTTGTAGGCGCCAGGCCCTGACAAAGCTGTGGGGGTGCAACAGTGAAGAAGACATATGGATCCATGGTTCAGGGACCCATATCAGTCAAATCCCGTCTGGAAGGGAATGCGGGTCTCTTGATGGCCACTTACCTGCTCTGCCAGTCTCGTTTGTCTCCTCTAGTGCCACCAGCCACGAGATAGAGCTTTGGGGCTTTGAGCCAAGTGATATCAGCTTTACCTCCAGGGCCAGTCCCCTCAGCTGTAGGAGTCTGAGCAAGTGACTTGACTTTTCTGGGGCTCAGCTTGCCCACCTGTGAAATGGGATCTTAATAGCAGCACTGGCCACATATGTTGTTGAGGAGCCTGCTGCAGAGGAGGTGCTCCGTAGAGGCTGCTGATCACATGCGGGGGCAAGAGGGAACATTTATAAGCCTTGGGGATGGGTGCTGCCAATTGAAATGTAGTACCAGAATATTTTTCTGCAGTGAGAGGAGCTTGAGCTGAATGGGGATCCCTGATGGAACAGAATCACATTTCAGATGAAACGCCTGTTCTCTATCACTCTTTCTCTTTAAACCTATCCTCTGAGTCTCGGCACAGATACCACTTCTTCTGAGCCCCTGGGCTGTGCTGGGCATCGTTTCTGTGCTCTGTGCCTTCTTTGCTCCCAGCCCCGATGACCTTAGAGGACACAAACTCCTCCCTGGTCTGCACCCCATCAGATTGGGAGCACCTGGTGTGAAGTGCCCCTGCCAGAGGCTGGTGAAGGGCAGGTGGGGGCCATCTTCTCCTGCCTCAGCTGTGCTCCCCGGAGCCCCCTGCCTGTGTGGCCCGCCTGTGCCCTCCACCCGCTCCCCACTCACTGCACGGGCAGAGGGTGCCCACTGACCGACGGTGCTGCTGCCCGTGCCATGCCCTGGGGAGGGTGAGAAGAGGGACACCACCATGCAAGTGCGGGGCAGGGCAGCCTGCCACCATAGCCTCATTCCATGTACACACCCAGTCTACCAGAGACGCTGTTGGCCCAGTCAGCTGGGGCTTGGAGAGAGCATGCCAAAGTCACACAGATGGAGAAGTGCAACTCAAACTGAGGCCTCCCTGCCTCAAAGCCCCAGATCCCCCAGCTACACGCTGCCAGGCTGGGGCTGAGCACTGTCACACGGCTGCCACCCAGGCCTGCCTTCCCCACAGCCCGCCAGCCATGCAGAAAAGCTGTCCGTAGTTACCTTTCTTCTCCTTCCACCTGGCACCCCACTCCTCAGGTGGTCACACTCCAGCAGTGCCCTCCCTGGCCCTGGAGGCCCGGCGTGGCTGGTGTCATCTGTGAGGGGAACTAGGCCCAGTTCCTTGGAATTCCTATTTTGTTTCCTTGCCATGGGTCTCAGTGACCCAGCTGATGGCTCAGTCCAGGGACCCCAGACTCTGCCAAGGCATTTCCGTGAGTGAGGAGGCAGAGTCCACTGGAAGGAGGGCGGGAGTTCCTGACAGGAAGTGTGGCAATTTGATCATGCCTGAACAGGCAACGGGGCAACATTTTTTTCTCTGCTCCTAAGTTATTACAGCAATGAAACAGTCCAAAAAGGGAAATCTGTCCTCTCCAGGATTGCCACCCAGGGGGTGGAATTTTTTTTTTTTTTCTTAGCATCTTTTTATTTTTCTCTGGTAACAAAGCCTGGAGCAGGGTGACTGCCATTAACCTAGGATACCTCCCTAATGCTTGGAACAGAATGGAGAGGTGGCTGACTTTGACTCAGAAGCCTGCATACAGCTCTGCCCCTGACTCTTCCACTTTTTTTTTTTTTTTTTGACCGAATCTTGCTCTGTTGCCCGGGCTGGAGTGCACTGATGCAATCTCTGCTCACTGCAACCTCCGCACCTGGGTTCAAGCAATTCTCCTGCCTCAGCCTCCCAAGTAGCTGGAACTATAGGCGTGTGCCACCACGCCTGGCTGATTTTTGTATTTTTAGTAGAGACTGTGTTTCACCATGTTGGCCAGGCTGGTCTTGACCTCCTTACCTCAGGTGATCTGCCCACCTCAGCCTCCCAAAGTGCTGGAATTAGAGGCGTAAGCCACCATGTCTGGCCAACTCCTCCACTTTTTAACTGTGTGTCCTCAGGCAAGTCACTTTATTCTCTGAGCTGCAACTTCTACCACTGCAAAATGGAATATTGACCCCACTCTGACTGTCCTGCAGACTTATTCTGAAGCTCAAATAGAAAACAGCCAGCCCCAAGTGGCGTGCTGTAAATGAGTGTGGGCTCTCCTGTAGCCTAGAACAAAGGCGAGGGCTGTGGGTTTGGAAGAAAAAGAATTTGCCTCTTAGTCGTTACTCTGTCCTGCTCATTCAGCACTGGCTGAGGGGACATGTCCTGTATTCCAGCCCCAGGCTGGCTCAAGGACAGTACTGAGAAGGCAAGGGCCTCATGCACACCAGGAGGTTGTGGGAATCAGTTCATCACATGGCCATGTTGCCTCAGACGCCAGAGAAGCACCTTCAATTTTGGCTAGAACAGTTTGCTCCCAGAAGCAGAGAGCAGTGCAGAGTCTGGGCCAGAGCCAGGGACAGGCTTGGTGAATGCAGAACGTCCAGGAGGCAAGGTAGGGCTCAGTCCACAAAAGAGAGATCGAAAAGTTAGCAAAGTACGTTTAGTAAAAAGCACACAATAAAATAAAAGGTGTGGAGTACGGCAGACATTCCAGGAACCTGGAATGTGAAACGCACGTGGAAACGTCCGGCCCTGACATGCACGGTGGTGGGAATGTGGCTGCTCAAAGCAAGTGGGGAATCAAGACTTCCAAAGAGGAAAACCACCCTCAGGAGTTAGGTTGGGGATGTATTGAGCACGCCAGTCATTCAGTGCAATCGTCCTTCTGTGTGTTAATCAGTCAGGCATGCCCCGGGAGAAGTGGCTGTTTCTTGAACTGGATTTCAGCTATGCAGCCTGGTTTCCTCATTGAGTGGTGGGCCTAGAGCAGCATTCTGATGTGCAAATCCTTAATTATAACATGACCTAAAAAGGCGGAGGATTCCCCAGGACAGTGTGGAGGAGGCACCACATCAATCTCAGCTGGATCTTGGAGACCCCGCTGGAAGAGGCGGCTTCTGAGCGGACAGAGAAGGATACGGGGTGAGAGGACAAGGAGCCAAGGCCTGCAGGCACAGATGCCTGCAGTGTGTGGGAGGAAGTGAAATTGTCAGTGAAGCATGGTTGGGGCCTGAAGTACAGGAGATGGGCAGAGGAGGGGCAGGGACAGCTGCATCCCTGTGCATGGAGGGCCCCTCTGCCCCTATGCTGTCCTGATAGGGACTGCATTTTCATCATCTCATTTACCCCTCCTCATCCCATTGCTGTGACTCCCCTCTCTATACCCTCCCTGTTTCCTCATCTGTAACAGTGGGGACCTCACCAGATTTTGCTAAAGCTCAAATTGGATCAGGTGTCCCCTCATCCCGTTAAAAATTGCTTCGTAGTCCTCTGTTGGGTTTGAAAACTCAAAAGGAACCAGAAATTAGGCAGTGGACATGAATGTGCAGCTACAGCTGGACAGAAAGTAAAAGAGCGGAGATGGGTCCCTCCCGGATCCAGATGGTAGCTAACCAGGGTTCCTGGTAGCCACAGCACTTGCCTCACCTTCAGCTCCTACTACATGTGCACAGCTCATGTTACATGTGCACAGGGCTTTCCCAAGTGTGTTCACCTTCATGATATCGTTTAGTCCTCAGAGGAACTATCAGACCTACATTTCGGGGCAACTGAAGTTCAGGGGGAGCATGGAGGAGCCTGCCTCCAAAGCGAGGGCTGGTTCCCCATTCCACAGGGCCATCGGCCCTGCACTGCAGGCAACTGCTAAGGAAGCGACTCCTATCACAGATGAAGTCATAAGACAAACATCCCCAGATGTTCTGGGCTGGGGCACGTTCTGCCTGCTCTGACACTCACTGGTTCCTTCATTCAGTCATTACTTGCCTGTCTTTATGAAGCTCCTACTCATTCAGGTTCTCCTGACCTTGCTCAGGCCCTCACTTCTGACTGCCCTGAACTGTGCTCACCCTTCAGCACTTAACTCTCTCGCCACCTCCTCCCAGCAGCCTCCCCAACCTCTCGCTGCCTCTGTGCTCCATGTGTGCCTTCCCCTCTGCACGTGTGCTGCTGCTCACGTGTGCCTTCCCCTCTGCACGGGAGCTCACTGTGGGCAGGGATGGTGTGCGTCTCAATGGGCTGATTGTGTCCCCTCAGATTCACATGTTGAAGTCCTCACCCCAAGTACCTGACAATGTGACTGTATTTGGAGATAGGGTTTTTGAAGAGGTAATTAAGGTTAAATGAAGTCATATGCATGGGGCTGTATTCCAGTATGCCTGGTGTCCTTATAGGAAGAGGAAATGAGGACACAGACACACACAGAGGGATGACCACGTGAGGACGCAGGGAGAAGGCAGCCACTTCTGCCAAGAAGGGAGGCTTCAGAAGGAACTAACCTGCTGACACTCTGAGCTTGGACTTCTGGTTTCTAAGACTGTGAGACAATACATTTCTGTTGTTTAAGCTGCCCAGTCTATGGGACTTTGTCTTGGCAGCCCCAGCAAACCCACAGTGTCCTAAGCCTCTTTGTATTCCTAGACTTCCTTCAGCCTGGCTCAGGGACAGGGTCCAGTAGATAGGCATCACTTCTGGAACTGACCTTAAACTGTCCTCCGGATGATTTCCTAAGGCTAAAAAGTTGTCTTGGACAAGGTGGAAGTTTTCTAGCAGGGAAGAGTTGGAAAAGAAGGGGGGTTTTCTATTGAGTATCATTTAAGCAGAATGTTTGAAATGACTACATCCCTTCCTTCATTACACCAAATACTTAGACAGTAGATCCTTGACTCACCTAATGTAAGCACCAAGAAAAGATATAGCGTCCACTTAGAGGGAACTGCTGTCTATTTGACATTATTCTTGCGTGGGGTCTTGGGTAACCTCAAACAGGTGACTGCACCCTTATCCTCCATTTCACACCTCTGTGGGGACAATGATGTTCAGCTTGCCAATTTCACACCTTCTTGACAACTTGGTAAATGGACTTGTGTTGATCTCTGTCCTACCAAATACAGGTTTATTATAAATACAAATAAATTTTCCCTGGAGTCACAGTAGCTTCCACACCCATCACAGGAGGTGAGGCACAGATAATCCAAGGTTTAAGAAGGGCTCAAACCTGTACTAGCCACATAGCCTTGGACAAGTGGCTTCATCCCTTTCTGAGCCTCAGTTCATCGCCTGTAAAATAGGGCCAGTGATGCCTTCAGCATGGTTTGATCCAGAGAGAACCATGTAAAGAGTCTCTCTTTAAATGAGAGCCCTATGTAAAGGTCCAGCACAGAGTAGGCACTCTCTGGCTGTTGGTTCTTGAATCAGGTTTAAAAAGAGCATCTGATGAGTCCCAAGAAGAAAGAAAGTCATTCTATTAATAGGAGCTGAGGACTTCCTGGAGGAAGGGGCAGGTCGACTAAGCTTTGTGATGGATTAAGGGGTGGGTTTTAGTGTATCTTTAACGATGATGACATAATCATTGTCAACATCAATGTCCCCTTGTTGAGAAATGACCTTTGTAATGGAGACTTTTGCCCCAAGCCCAGAAAGTCACCAGCAGATCAGGACTGTCAATTTCACTCTTCTGAGCCTCATCCCAGACACTCTACAATCCCCATGGCTCCTTCCCATAGAACTTGGCTTTCAGCTGCTGCTCACTCTTTTCTCTGCCCAGCTTCACCTTAACAGCCTCCCACTGACCCAGGGGAAAGGGGTACTACCCCCTGGGTGACCGGAATAATCATGTAAGGGAGACAGAAAAAAAAAAGGACTGACCAATTTCTTTTTCGCTGAATCACTTTCTTCATCTTCTCCTCGGTCCTTTTTACTGAGCTTCATGGTTCACTTTTCAGGTTTTGAACTTTTGTTGTTATTGTTTCTGAGAAAGAGAAAAAGAAAGAAGCCATTAGACAGCTGCTTTCTCAGATGTGCAAGTCAGGGGAGGTGGCCTGGAGCAGTCTTCGAAAGGTTTGCTGTGAGGAGCTCTGGCTGGGATGCCAGGATAGGACACAGCAGCATCCTCGCTTGGGCATCTCCCTGCTCTCCTCTGTCCTCAGTTTCTCTATTTTTGAGTGCAGGGCTTCCCACACTTGCCTTGTTGATTATTAAATACAGGCAATGATCCCATTCCTCTTCTGCATCATCAATTTATCTCTCTGTGTTGGATCTCCCCGGGCTATGTACAAAAATGTCCTAGTGTCACCCATATTTTTTTTTTAAAAATCAACTAAAAGTTTTTGGCAAGGATGTGGAGAAATTGGAACCCTTGTATAGGATTGTCTTTGCTAGTGGAAATGTGAAATGGTTTAGCTACTGTGGGAAAAAGTTTGCTTGTTTCTCTAAACATAAAATCACCACATGACCCAGCAATTCCACCACCACATCGATGCCCAAGAGGACTGAAAGCAGCTGCTCAAAGAAAAACTTGTGCACGAATGTTCACAGCAATGATATTCCAATGGCCGAGAGGTGGAAACAGCCCAAGTGTCCTCCAATGAATGAATGAATAAGCAAAATGTGGTCTATCCATATAGCGGAAAATTACTCAGCAATAAACAGAAGTGAAGCGCTGATACAGGCTACAACATGAATGCACCTTGAAAACATTCTGCCAAGTGAAAGAACCCAGACACAGGCCGGGCATGGTGGCTCATGCCTGTAATCCCAGCACGTGGGGAGGCCGAGGCGGGTGGATCACCTGAGGTTGGGAGTTCAAGACCAGCCTGGCCAACATGGTGAAACCCTGTCTCTACTAAAAATAGAAAAATTAGCCGGGTGTGCTAGCAGGCACCTGTAATCCCAGCTACTCGGGAGGCTGAGGCAGGAGAATTGCTTGAACCCAGGAGGCAGAGGTTGCAGTGGGCTGAGATCTCGCCACTGCACTCCAGCCTGGTCAACAGAGTGAAACTCTGTCTCAAAAAAACAAAAAAAAAAAGAACCCAGACACAAAAAGCGACATCTTTTATGATTTCATTTATATGAAATGTCCAGAATTGGCAAATCCGTGGAGACAGAAGGCAGATCAGCGGTGGCCCAGGACTGGGGGAAGGGGCAGTGGCTGCAGCAGCCTCACAGATAAGCAGCAGTTGCCCTTGGGAGTGATGGAAATGTTTTGGAACTGGATGGAAATGGTGGCTGTACAAGAATGTGAATGTAGGAAATGCTGCTGAATTGTTTACTTTAAAATGGTTAATTTTTCCCTATGTGATTTTACCTCATTTTAGAAAAAAACGTGTCTTTGATCCCGTCGCCTCCTGTTTACCACCCCATTTTCCTGCTCCCTGTTACAGCAAAACGATCCCAAAGAGAACTCACTTCCCCAGCTTCCATTCTCCCCTCAGCACCGCACCATTAAAATTGATCTGAATGAGCTCATCAACAAGCCACATCTTGCCAGAACCAACAGTCAATTTCCTACAACCTCCCGGCATCTTCAGTGAGGTTGACCTCTCCTCTTGGTGGTGCGGTGGTGCCATGGAGCTTCTGTCACAGTGGTGGCAGCTTCTGTTGCAGTGGTGGCAGCCTCCTGAGTCTGGAGCATTGGGGCCGAGTGTCCTTTGGTAATGGGGGTAGAACTGCCTACCCAGGCATTTTTTTTTTATTGATACATATTAGATGTACACATTTGGGAGGTACATGTGACAAGTTGATACATTTGTATAATGAAAATCAGGGTAATTAGGACAGCCATCACCTTACATCTTTATCTTTACACTAGAAGCATTCAAATTCTCCTCTTGTAGGTATTTTGAAATGTGCGGTTGATTAATAACTATAGTTACCCTGCTGATCTACGGAACACCAGGCTTTATTTCTTCCATCTGTTGTATCCATGAATCCACCTCTCTTCCAGGCTGTTTTCTGCACACTTCCAGAGCCTGGATCTGCAGCCTCCCCATTGATTTGCTCACGAGCCTCCCATTAAATTCCCTTTCTGCCTGGGCCCCTCCAGGAGGGTTTCTGCTGCTTTGACCAGGAACCCAGCTGCCCAAGCAGCCCCTTCGAGCTGCCACACCAGGCCACTCTGCCCTCAGCTCCCTCATCTGGTTGATCGGGGGTCCCACAGGACCAAGCAATTTCATGGTGGGTCAGTCCTGATATGGATTTGACAACTTGGGTAAAGAAATGACTGGGAGTAATGTGACTCCCTTTTCATGAGAAAAGCCCATAAATGCGAATGCAGCACTCGAGGTCCCCTCAGAATTTCAGTGGTTGAAAAGTGGAGCTGGATGTTCTAAGACTCAGACCCTCATCCTGGCTCCTCGTTTGATTTAAGAAGGAAGACAAGGCCTTGACATCCACACTGGCTGAGGTTCCAACCCTGGGTCTGCCCCCAGCCAGCTGTGTGAGCTCAGGCGACTGAGTTAACCTCTCTGAGCTCAGCTTCCCTACCTGCATCACAGGAAGGACAACATTATCCCTGCATAGAGACCAATAATAATGCATGGACATCATACACAGCACCTAGCAGAGACTTGTAAATTGTAGACTTTTAATATCCTAAGTCATGGTGCCTTCTAGGAAGGGGGGCGGTTACTTACCATTCTGCAATCTGTCTAAACTGAACCTTCCTGCAAGATGCTGCCCAGGGAACATTCCTGCCAAAGGCACCCTGGCATTAGGTCAGAGTGCTGCCTCTGCCTCCTTCCTGTCCTAGGGAACCTGCTGGATGGGCTCAGAGAAGCGGTGCCTCCCAAGCACTAATCACAGAACTTCCCCCACAGCATATCCAGCACTCCCAGCATTGCAGCCTCTGTGCCCCTCACCGCCCTGGGGTGAAGCTTCAGCCCAATCCCTTCCAGCCTTCAAAGTCTGAAGCACTAATCACAGAGCTTCCCCCACAGCACACCCAGTGCTCCCAGCACTGCAGTCTCTGTGCTTCTCACTGACCTGGGGTGAAGCTTCAGCTCAATCCCTTCCAGTCATCCAAGTCCAAATGCCTGATGACATCCTCAGAGGGCTGACATCTGCCCAGTCTCCTCTATTGGACAGATCCACAGGGTGTCTCTGTTTTTAACTGGGTGTGGCCTTGACCTTTGTAAGATGAGCGGCTCCTGAATGCCTTCCAGACGACTAGGACGAGGTTGGCTGACGAGGACATAGATTTTCTAGGCTCAACTCTTGGAATTCTCATTTAATGGATCTGAGATGGGGCAGGGCATCTGAATTTCACCAAGCACCAATCTGCCCTATCCCCGATGCACAGTCTCCAACCAAACCATTGGCTTCTCAGTGCCTCCCAGACTCTAGCCTTGGCTTGCCACCTTGATGATGGGATGCTTTAGGTAGCCTTAGCTATCCTTTTTACTTGGTTGTGTCCTAAGCCAGGGGTTCTTACCCTGGCTGTTCATTAATGTATAAATGTACAATGTATAAAATCCCAAAGCCAGGCTCCTTGTTGGACAAGAGGAATTTTTTAAATATTTTATTTTATTTTATTTATTTTATATTTTTATTTTATTTTATATTATTTTATTTTATTTTATTTTAATTATTTTATTTTATTTGAGATGGAGTTTGGTCTTGTTGCCCAGGCTGGAGTGCAATGGCACAATCTCATCTAACTGCAACCTCTGCCTCCCGGGTTCAAGCGATTCTGCTGCCTCAGCTTCCCGAGTAGCTGGGTTTATAGGCACCCGCCACCATGCCTGGCTAATTTTTGTTTTTGTTTTTGTTTTTGTTTTTTTTAGTAGAGATGGGGTTTCGCCATGTTGGCCAGGATGGTCTGGAACTCCTGACCTCAGGTGATCTACCTGCCTCAGCCTCCCAAAGTGCTGGGATTACAGGTGTGAGCCACCATGGCTGGCAGAGATAAATTTTTTTTTTAAAGCTCCTTGGGCTGTTGCAAGGTGTGGTGCTGTTTAAAGTAATCACTATCTTAAGTAATGATATGCATGAAATCTAATGGTAAAATATATACATAAAAAGACATGCATATATATGAATACCCAAAACATGTTCATGTCTATCAAAGGGAACAAAGTTTCCATTAGACAGGAGGATAAGTTTTCCTAATCTATTGTACAGTATGATGAGCATAGTTAATAATAATGTATATTTCAAAATTGCTGCAAGACTAGATTTTAAATGTTCTTACCACAGAAAACTGGTAAGTAGGTGAGGGGATGAGTTAGCTTGATGGAATCATTCTATGTTGCATCTATATACCAAAAGATCACATTGTACCACACACATATGTACAATTATTTGTCAATCAAAAATAAATAAATAAATAAAATACTCTGTATGATACTATAATGGTAAATACAAGTAATTATGCCTTTGTCCAAACCCACAGAATGTACAATACCAAGAGTGAACCCTAATGTACAAAATGACCTTTGGGTAATTTGGATGTGTCAATATAGGTCCCTTTTACATTGTAATAAATGCAGCATCCTAAGGGGATGTTGCTCAGGGTGGGGGTGATAGGCCATTCAAGTGTGTGGGTGTAGGGGGGCAGGTGGGAAATCTCTGTACCTTCCTCATAATTTTTCTGTGAACCTATCGTAAAGCTCCTCTAAATACAAAAACAAAAACGTGCTCATCCACAACCAACCAAAAGTCATCCTGGCTTTCGTGTTTTGAGAAACTCTAAACTAGATGCTAAAAGGCCTTTCCCATCTTTCTGGTCCAAATCTAGGAAATGACAGGATTCTTCTTATCGAGCCCCTCTTATGTAGTAGACCCCACCAGGCCGCTTTGCATGTGTGATGGCATGGCGCATAGCAGCAGCCCTCAGCAGAGGTCATGATCAGCCCCATTTCATAGACCTGGAAACTGGGGCTTAGGGGCTCCCAAAGCTGAGTCTTCTAAAACTAAGAAGTTAGCTGCAGAGAACTCAACCCCAGCTGCACGCCTCTGCTTTCTATCATGTCAGGAGCAGAAAAGTGAGTGGCCCTGCCTTTCAGGGGGCTTAGATTGAGGAGCTGGGATTCCATTTGTGTTACTGGTTTGTAATATCAGCTAAGCAGAGGCCTTCCAAAGGACTGGCACCAGGGACCAGGAATGCTCAGATGAGCACGTCACTCTGCAGACAGTCCAGATTTAGCACTGTCACCCATGCCATTTCCTCCCTTTGATTTCTTCCAACATGAGACACAAAAGGATAGAGTTTCACTCATATAAGAGAGGTCCAGCTTTAATAATCAGCACTGTAATGATCAGAGTTTTCATTATTCAATTGTTTGCATGGCCAACAGGCTGGCCCATGACCTTTCATTCCCAGCAAAGCCTAATTGCATGAAAGTGCCACACAGTTTGAAAACAGGCTGCATTATTTACGGATCCAATCGAATTAGCTTGCAATTCCCAGACCAGCTTTAGATCAATGAGATGCATTGTGTGTTCTCCCACGTGGGTAAGGAGGCCTCTCTGCTCCTGGGCAGCCCAAGACAGCTCTGTAGTCAGAAGATGAGTCTTTGACGGCTTCCAAAGCATCGTCTTAATGGGCACAGTAGGATGCTAGAGGGGATCCCCCAAATCTATTTCATTTTTAAACAAAAAAGAGTGAATGTTTCTGCTTATGAAATTCTGGAAAGTTAGTCCTAGCCAGGAAGGGGCCGGAGGACTCCGTTGCAGAACTCCTGCCTTGTGGAAATCAGGAAACCGAGACTGAGTGAAGCAGCCAGTTAGCGGAGCTGGAGAAGGATGTCCCATGTCCTGAGACTGACCCCATTCTTGATCCCAAGCACTGTAAATACTGTGCTGATTAAGATTTAGCCACTGTCCCCTGGGAATGCACTGGGAATGAGGGTCACCAAGAGGTCACAGGCATAAAAAGAACCTTCCTGCATATTGTTATCTGTGCTCTGACAGAGGCAAAACAGGGCGCTGGAAAGGAGGCAGCGTGTTTGTTTTAGCTTCACTCATTCATGCGTTCACTTATTCATCCGATGGTGTATATTGAGCACCTACCTTGTGTCAGGCCCACCCTATTCTAGGCATTATGGACCCAGAGCCAACAAGGTGGGAAAAGTCCCATCTCCAGCTCCTCACACCAAGTGGGGCATCAGACTAATTAACCAACACACTTAAATTGACGTTCAGGTACCATTATAGCAAACTCTAGAAAGCAGTGTAAGGTGATGAGAGAGGCAATATCAGGAAATTCTGATGTGATGGGAGGAGTGGGAATTAACTGAACATCTGTAGATGTGGGGTTGTGGGTTGGGTGGGGGTCCAGGCAGAAGGAGCAGCAAGGGCCAGGGCTGGAAAGAGCTTGTGTGTGAGGGTTTCAGGGACTGGTGTGGTGGGGTTGTCAAGGCCTGTCTTGTGACGTGGTTAGGGATGTGGGACTGCAGCCTAAGAGCCATGGGAAATCTAGATGGTTTCTATATTTGGGCAAGGGGGTTGGAGGATGATCAGGGGAGCTCTTTACAAAGAGCTGCTGGCTGCTGGGCTGTCAGGGTTGGGGAGAATGGGGGGATGGTGACAAGGTGGAAGCAGAGACCAAATTTGGCCCACATAAAAGATGATGCTCATACCAAGTCAAGTCTACTAATAGTAAACTAATCCAAGGATCACAGGAGACAAGCCCTGCCAAGTCCTCCATGCACACAGTCCCTGGCCATGGTCAACAGGAGACCTGTGTAGCTACTGTCATTACCCAGCCCGTGCAGCTCTCACACCCTGCTGGACAGGTGACGTTTATCCTCTTTCAAAACTCTCCAGGAAGTATCTTGTGGGAAGGTAGTGAAATTTGGCTTCAATGGCATAGTGAGGTTGCAGTTCTGATGACCTAACCGTGACCATGGGCAAGTTATGTAACCAAGCTGAGTCACCAATTCTTTGTTCATAAAGAAAAATTTGAGTCTCTCTTTGCAGGTCGAGTGCTGCAATTAAAAAGATGCATGTAAAGCCGGGCACTGCCGAGCTGTTCACTAAACCTTAGTCCTCCCCAAAACCCCACCTATGTGCAGACTCCTCCCTCATCCCTTTCACGTGCTGAGGAGTCTCTGAGGGTCTAACTCAGTTTCCTCCTTTTGTCCAGGGCTCCATGAAAATCAAATTTCTGCTCTTAATGGCTTATTATCACTTGCTCGAGTGTGTTATGTGGGATTGTGTTACAGGAAAGAGCTAAGGTTGTTTGTCTTGCAACAGATGGGATAAGTAAGTTAGAGCTTCGGTATGTCACCCCCACTGTCTATCAGCCCGGCTGCTTCCCACCTTCCTGTCTCCATTGGAGGCTCATCTATCTACTCCCAGGCGGCTTCCTTCTGACTCAGATGGCTTCCCGGCAGCCGAAGCATGATTCTAGAACACCCTCTTCCCCCCGGCTCTGCTTCTGTGAACACACTCAACCCTCAAAACTTAGCCTCAGTCTTGCCTTTTCCAAGAAATCTTCAGTATCTACCCAGAAATCATCTGGATGAGGAACAGTGTTTTATAAACACTGGACTAAGATATCCCAGCCTGGCTTCCTCTGAGCATCTGGCCCGCTTAAAATATGTATGTGGGACAAGCAGCTGTGTGGCTGAAGCCTTGGTCCATGTCTAAGGGGCAGACTTCCGTGTTAGTTACCCCAATACGCCCACTCTCTGCTTCAGTGAGCAAGCTCTCTGCACTCGCCTGCTTACCCACTCACTCAGCAACACCTGCAGCTGCCTGGCCGACCTGGGTGGGGCTGGGGACGCTGAGGTGGGAAACGGGTGTCGCTGTGCTCGTGGGTTGTCATCCCGGTGGTGGTGTCCGAAATCCAGGGCGAGGGCCACCCAAACTGTTCCCTTAAAGAACCACATGGGCCCTGTGTCCTTAAGCCCCAGGGCTAATGTCATCCCAAGCCCTTCTGCCCTGCAGAGCTTTCCGCCCTTTTCAAGGGCTTCCCCCGCCAGCCCCTTTTCTCCTACTCTGTCCCCGGGGATGTTTTTCTCTTACTGACTCTCTCCCCTCAGCAGCACCCCCAGCACCCACCAATCTTCCCTGATCTGAGCCAGTCCTGACATATACACCACAGAACGTCCCGTGCTGGATCGGCTTCCTAAATCCCCTTGGGGGAATCAAAAGAAGAAAAGTAACAAATCTGGAGAACTATTACTATTTCATGACTCAAAAGAAACAAGAAAAGTATGGAGTCAAACTGAAGCATACATTCAATACACATTTTTCCAGGTTTTAATCA
Organism: Homo sapiens; assembly: GCF_000001405.40. Lineage (NCBI taxonomy): Eukaryota > Metazoa > Chordata > Mammalia > Primates > Hominidae > Homo > Homo sapiens. The sequence goes on from NC_000004.12 coordinate 10,034,248, forward strand.
TTTCATTCATTAAACCCCGTACATGAGCGCACCCACGCAAGGAGCTGATGGACACAGAGGCACGCCGTCCAGCCCTCCTGCGACCCCGCACTTGTCAGCCAGGAATGTCCTGGCACACCTGCAGTTTCGAGGTCCCCTGGGGGAGCAGCATGGAATCAGTTTCTGGCAAAGCCAAGGCCACAGCCGCAGGGTTTGCCTTGGGAGATGGTGAGAGGGACTGTAGCCAGAGCTCTCACTTGGCATTTTGTGTGCCTTCATCCTTACAGCTCTTGTCTTCATACGAGGGCAGCTGGAGCCTGTTGTGAGCAGTGCAGGACTCGCGGCCAGGCTCCCTGAGTTCTGATCCTGCCTCTTCCCCTTGTTCACTGTGGCGTGAGGCAAATCCCTTCCACTCATGGGGCTTCTGTGTCCTCATCTGTAAACAGGTGTGCAGACAATGATGCCAGCCTCACAGGAGTGTTATGAGGATTGAAACAGTAGGTACACAGCTCCTAGAACAGCACCTGGCACTAGAAATGTTTGATCATCAGTGGGGGAATCAAAGCTCAGAGAGGTGAAGCTACTAGCCCAAAGTCACACAGCAAGAAAGAAGCAGGATGACACGTGAGCCAAGCCCCCTCTGCCACACTAGCTCTGGAGGCCATTGGCTCTCAGGTGATGGGTTTTCTTTGTACCTGGACATGGGGGTCAGGAAAGCTCCAGTGTAGCTGCTGACCTTTGACCTGAAGGAATCTGGGATCTCTCAGATGGGGAGTCCACCATCAGTCTCAGCAAAAACACTACCAATCAACCAGTCCATCGCTGATGTCTGAAACTCTCTGGTGCAGGACGTTTCACCCTTTCTGGTTTTGTCGAGTTGGCCCCCTCCTGGTAGAGCACTGCCACCCCGCAGGTTTCCAAGGGCCAAGTCCTGGTAGTACTGACAGTTGACCAGCTAAGCTGCATCCTAGGCACCCAGGCTGGGCTCGGGCTGCTGTGTCACCAAAATCCCTGGTCTTTGTACCATTGGGTACAAAGAACACTTCTCAACAGAAGTGGAGCGAAGTCCTCTTTGCCTCGACCCTTGGCCTGGTGCCAGGCCTTCTGTTCACTCTCAGATCAGGGATGCTCTGGCCTCCTGGGGGACTAAGATGTTCAGGAGCTCATCCTGGGCCACCCACAGGCATCCCAGCTCCTCTCAATGCTGGTTGCTTGGCACTGAGCCATAATTGAACGATTCCAGACTTCACCTTCTGCATCTCGAAGGTGGAATAAGGGCAATGAACCCCACCTCATGGGCTGGCTGAAGGGATACCTGCATGGATCCTGGGTGTGATGCTTAATTTCAGGTGCCTGAATTAAAGAATCCCTAGAAAGCTGGTCAAGCCTCACTTTGGGGTGTGTCTGTGACGGCGTTTCTGGAGGAGACTGGTGTGGGAGTCTGTGGACTGAAGGGAGCAGATCTGCCCTCCAGTGGGGGGCAGGCACCATCCATTGACTGGTGGTCTAGATCAAACAAAATGGGCAGAAAAAAAGGCATTTCTTTTGTTTGTTTGTTTTGTTTTGTTTTGTTTCTCTGTCTGTCTCTCTCCTGGAGCTGGGATACTCTTCTTCTCCTGCTCTTGAAGGTCAGAACTCCGAGCTCCCTGACCTTTGGACTTTAGGACTTGCACCAGCGTCCCATCCACTGCTCTGGTTCTCAGGCCTTTGGCGTCAGACTGAGAATTACCATTGGCTTTCCTGGTGCTGAAGCTTCTGGATTTGGACTGAGCCGTGCTGCCAGAATCCCAGGGTCTCCAGCTTGCAGATGGCCTGTCAAGGGACTTCTCAGCCTCCATAATCATGTGAGCCAATTCCATAATAAATCCCATCCATCCATCCATCCATCCATCTAGCTAGTTAGCTGTCCACGTCCTGTGTATATAAACAGATTATAACACGTTTTCTGTCTCCCTGGAGAACCCTGAGTAAACTACACTTGAGAAGGCCCAGTTCCACCCCTTTGGGCTTCGGTTCCATCACTTGCAAATTGTGTGACCCCATACACATTTCCGTAAACCTGAGCCTCAGTTTCCTCATTTGTGAAATTGACCAAAAAAAAAGAATAACTAAGTCCCAGACTTTGGGTCAAGATGAAAAGAGATAGTGTACGAAATGTCTGATCACAGTGCTGAAAGCGCATATCACAGAGTAAAATTCAACCAATCCATAAGGCCATCGCTCTTCCATAACATTGTGGCTGTGCTGCTATTGGGTGTTTACGCTACACACACAATTCCATGTGGTGGTTTCAATATTCTCTTTACCCTTTGTTGTCCTGCTTTTTCCAGTTTCCATTCCAGTGTATTTTTCCTCAACATTAGCATCATTTTACATGGCTGTTTAACATTCTATCTTTTACTCGGCCATATTTCATTTAACCAGTCGGTCATTTGGGTTTTCTCCCTTTTTCCAATACTACACACAGCTCTGTAGTGAGCACGTATGGGTAAATCATTCCTCCATCATCCAGATTCTATCCTTAGCACAGATTTCAAGAAATGGAATTATTGTATCAAAAGGCAATGCACAGAAACAACAGGCGGTGCATGCTTTTAAATCTCTTGATGCGTATTGATCTTTCATGTTCCAAAAAGGATTCTAGTCCGGGATTTCCACCCTGGTAAGTATCAGGAGGCTGTGTGGCCCACCGCTCCTCCTTGGGCTTGCTAAGGAGCAAGCGGGGCCTCTAGACTTAATTGTTAAGCATTCTCAAATCCTGCTGCACAACCTTGTTCAGAAATACTGCCTTTGAGTCATTCACTCATTTATTTAGTCATTCAATGCTTAATTCCCAATCCTCAGCCTACTCAGCCATCTTTCTTTTTAATAGCCTTGTTGAAGTGTGATTTATGTACCATAAAATGCACTCATTTTAAGAGTACAATTTAACGGTTTTTAGTACCCTCACAGCAGTATGCAACCATGATGACAATCTAATTTTGGAGCATTGTCATCATCTCAAAATGAGACCTCAGCCCCTGGCCACCACTGAACTGTGTTCTGCCTCTCTAGATTACGGACTTGCCTTTTCGGAACATTTCATAAAAATGGGATCATACGGTACGGTATATGACCTTTTGTATCTGGCTTCTCTCACTTAGTGTCATGTTTTTGATGTTCATCCTGTCGCATTAGCCTTCTTCTGGGCAAACCTTTTTCTCCTGGCCTCCTCGACACAGTGCTCTTTACATTTTCTCTACTTCCTCAGTTGCTCCTCCCAGAGCTGAGACTGGGGTGAAGTGACTGAGGCAGTTGTCTGGGAATCAAAATTAAAGAGAATACTGAAAACTCAGTCATCAAGGTAAATAATAATTAATCCAACAGTTTAAAAAATAAAATGAATGAAAAAAACCTAACTTTATCACAAACAAAATGTCAACATTTTAAATAAAGGCAGGGGCTGGGCACAGTGGCTCACACCTGTAATCCCAGCACTATGGAAGGCCAAGGTGGGCAGATCACTTGAGGTCAGGAGTTCAAGACCAGCCTGAGCGACATGGTGAAACCCTGTCTCCACTAAAAACACACAAAAAATTAGCCAGGCGGGTAGCGCATGCCTGTAATCTCAGCTACTCGGGAGGCTGAGGCACGAGAATCGCTAGAACCTGGGAGGTGAAGGTTGCAGTGAGCTGAGACGGCACCACTGCACTCCAGCCTGGGTGACAGAATGAGACTCTGTCTCAAAAATAAATAAATAATAAATAAATAAATAAAGGCAGGACCCACGGTAGCTGTGATAAGGAGGAGGTGAGTGAGGTGAGTCTGGCAGGAAGAGAGTTGGCCTTGAGACAAGGTGTCCCCATCACACTGTCTGGAAAATGGTCCTGAGCACTCTGGGCCTCTTTCTTGCTTTGATTTTTCTCCCTAAGACTTTCTGCATTTGTGAGTCCCTTACATAGTATGTGTATATTTGTGAAGTGTGTGTGAGGGGTGATGCCTTTAAAAAAATTAGTCCAGGCCAGGTGCAGTGGCTCACGCCTGTAATCCCAGTGCTTTGAGAGGCCGAGGCGGGCGGATCACTTGAGGTCAAGGAGTTCAAGACCAGCCTGGCCAACATGGTGAAACCCAGTCTCTACTAAAAATGCAAAAATTAGTGGATATGGTGGCAGGCACCTGTAATCCAAGCTACTAGCGAGGCTGAGGCAGGAGAATCACTTAAACCCAGGAGATGGAAGTTGCAGTGAGCCGAGATAGCACCACTGCACTCCAGCCTGGGTGACAGAGTAAGACTCTGTCTCAAAAAAAAAAAAAAAAAAAAAAAAAAATTAGTTCAGACAAGTGGGTACAGCCAGGCCACGGAACAAAGTGTTCCTCTATCACTTGGATTCTTCCATTAAAATAGATTTCAATCAATGGAACTACTGTGTCAAATTCAAGGCAAAAGAACTAAATGCAATGGACATTTTAAAGTCGCTTGATGGATCTTGATGTTTTACACCAAGGTTTTACGCAATGACATGGAGCATGTCTGCTTCACATCCCGGGAGAGCCTCGGACGGCAAGCTAAGGATCCCGAACTTGATTCTTAGGCATGGAGGGCTTTTAGGCAAAGAGCACCAAGGTCCCTCAGTCACTGTCAAACACTCATTCACACAAAACAGAGATGGCAGCACACTAGAGCAGGATCAACATTTTTCTTAAAGGGCTAGGTGGCTAAATAGTCTCATCTAAGCTAGCCATGGAATTTCTGTTGCTCTCACAACTCTGCCGTTCTAGTGTAGAAGCAGCCGTAGACAATGGTTAAACAGATGTGCATGATTGTGTTCCAGTAAAGCTTTATTTTAAAAAGCAAGGAGCTGGCCCAGTTGGCATGTGAGTCAAAGTTTGCTACCCTGCTCTAGAGTGTTCATGTGAGCTCAATGAATCTCCGACTTCATGCTTGTTGCAGAAATGGACCTGGAATGTCCCTTAACAGTTTTCAGTAGAACTGCCTTACTCAGAACTTTTCTCTGACAGTGTAAGTGCCGCACACACTTAACAGTGCCCAGTGGAGCACCCTCATGCACATGCAGTGTGAGCCTTTTGGAAGCTGGTGGAGGGCCAGTGCATGGAGGAGGGAATGAATGAATGTCCATCTGTGCTCAACAGCAGATAGTGCAAGATGGGACGTGAAGGGCCAGAGGAAACTGGAAGGTATGCAAAAGCCATTTCCAACAAAACCTGTAGTTTCCCATGAAGTGAACACTTCTTTTCCCCCACCTCCTCGTCCTCCGCTATTCTCTATCTTCATGAACAATAACATCAAACACCTCCCTCCTGCTTATGCTAGGTGACGCCTAAATAACTTGCCTCATCCTCCTCGCTGCCTTCCTTCTCCTGGATCCCCACATTCAGGGGGTTCTATCTCTGAAGATGGTTCTAACTTGGTCCCCTCCATCCCCACTGTCATCCTCCTGGTCCAAGCCCTTGTCTTCTCCAGCAGGCTGGACATCAGCCTGCTGACTGGTCTCACCATGGCCCATCTCCACTCTCCAGTCCAATTCTCTACAGCATCCCTGGAGTCATCTTTCTCAAAAGCAGGCAGTGTCATTGCTTCTCTGCTCCAAACCCTTAGATGGCTTTTAGTTGCTCAGTTCTAGATTAAGCCTTCACTTAAAGAAAGAAAGAAGAAAGGAAGGGAGGAGGGAATTGCAAGCATCTGCAATGAGCGCCAGTTCCAGGGCAGCACTGTGCCAGTGACATCTCCTCTGCACCCACCTGCCCCTGGCACATGACCTGCAGAGACACCACCGGCTCCCAGCATAGAGAGCTCCACTTTGCCCACACACCTTGCCCTGCTCCCGTCGTTGCCTTGGCATTCAACATTCCCCCAACCAGGAGCACCCTTGCCTGTTTTCTTGGCCTGACCAATTCCTACTCACATTTTAGGGTTTTCCTCCAGTTCGAATCTTCCTCTGCATCTCCTTCAGGAAGAGTTTTCATGCCCCTCTGGAGTCCAGAATGTTTAATTCCAGTGCCTGGTGCCAGCCCTAGAGCCAACACTCAGCCAACAGGAACTGAGTGAATAAATGACAGTCAGCTTCTATTTGTGAGAACTGATGTTGACCAAGTTGAATTGTAATTGTTTGAGTAACTTTTCAAAATTAATCATCGGGTAATGCCAAGCAAAGAAACAGAAAGGGAGATTCACACTGCGCTATGCCATTAAGTAACCCTCTTTCCAGGTGGCTGCTCACATCCCCAGGGAGAAAACTGACTTTTGATTACCTGTTAGTGTAAGTGCTTTCTACGTGTTGTCTTGTGTACTCCTGTGATACAGAAGCTCTACCATTCCCATTTTATACATTCAGAGAGGTCAAATAACTCGCCTGAGGTCACACAGCCAGGACCTGGAACTGAAGTTCGGCAGCCCCCATACCCTTGATCTTTCCCCATGCTTAGCTATCCACCAGACACAAGAGAAACTGCTGTGCAGTTGCTCTGTGCTCTCTGCATCAACCCAGTAGCAACCGCAGAGCCACACTCCTTTTCTGAAGCTTAGGGGATTTTATCTGTGAGAGCTGGGAAGTAGCTCTGGGGAACATTGGAGGGTCAGCTTCCTGATCATTTAAAGATTCGAATGTCCAAAGAATCCAGAGAAAAAGAACATAATCTCTAGTATCAGAAGCCTGGAGATTAGTTCCACTGTGTTGGTGAGCAGCCTTCTAGAGTCTTTTTTAAGCTATAGGCATCTTGCCTGACATACAGTATCTGATGACTGCTGGCCTAGCCACAGACAAATCTCAGCTCAAAAATCTTCCATCCCACAGTGAAGTAGATTTCAGTCATTACCCCTTTGTGCCTTGAGTGGGAGGTGGCGGAAGTTCCTACTGCAAACAACACTCAGGGAGTGTCACCTTAACTTCATGGCATCTGGGACCCAGGTTTCAAGCCAGGCTCTTTTCTCTGTGTGCTGAAGAATGAAGTACTGCCAATCACTTCTCCCTTTGGGGGTGTCAGCCCCTGGAGCCGCTGCTCCTTACCATAGCTATTGGTGGTTGGCTTTCCTATGCCAAGGCAAAAATCAACAAACCCCACGTTTCTGACCCCGGTTTTTGGTGAAACACCTGCTGGGTCTTCTCATTACAACCAAATACCAGACCGATCGTTCCAAACACAGGAATTGACCTTTCCTTCACTTGGTTCCCAAGAAGGCCAAAATTGAAAAAGGAAAATGCAATGAGACCTGGTTTTTCAGGCAGAAGGGGGAATGGGGCAAGGCAGGCCAGAAGGCCATAGAATTTGCAGACAACTGAACAATTTGAGTAAAAGCTATTAGTGACATGCCATTTTCTTCTTGCCAAGAACAGTCTTCCCTTCATAAATATCTGCAGGGTCATGACTGAAGTAAACAGGTGGTTTGTAATAATTGTATCCCTTTTACTCTCTGGTGCAGCCAAAGTGCTTGATAAATAAATGAGTGATTATAAGCCACACACTTAAGAAGTTAGAAAGAAAATAAGAAAAATGTTCACAGTATTTTCTAGGAATGTGTTTGGTTTTGATTCCATATAAATTTTCATGGTTTTTTTCTAATTGTTTTTCTAATCATGGAAACATTATTTTGAAGTGAAAATTAAACTATTTTAAAATAAGGTGCTTACAATGATTTGCAGCATTCAAATTGCCTTTAATTCTATTCAAAGCAGGTTACACTCTATTTCCTTCAACAATCCTTTTGAAACCATTATGATAATTATATTTGGCATAAAATGTTCATATATGCCTTGATAATACATGACTTTAAAGACTTAAAAATACCAAAAAATGGCCGGGCGTGGTGCCTCACACCTGTAATCCCAGCACTTTGGGAGGCCGAGGTGGGTGGGTCACAAGGTCAGGAGATCGAGACCATCCTGGCTAATATGGTGAAACCCCGTCTCTACTAAAAAATACAAAAAAATTAGCTGGGTGGTGGTGGGTGCCTGTAGTCCCAGCTACTCAGGAGGCTGAGGCAGGAGAATGGCGTGAACCTGGGAGGCAGAGCTTGCAGTGAGCTGAGATCGTGCCACTGAACTCCAGCCTGGGTGACAGAGCGAGACTCCATCAAAAACAAAAAGAAAACAAAGCAAAAAACCAAAAAATTGGATAACCTAGAAGAAATTAATAAATTCATAGAAACATATAGCCAACTAAGATTAAGTCATAATCAAACAGGAAATCTGAGCAGATCTATAACTAGTGAGGAGATTGAAGCTGTAATCAAACAGCTCTCAACAAAGAAAAGCCCAGGACTAGAAGGATTCACTACAGAATTCTACCAAACATTTAAAGAACTAACATCAGTTCTTCTGAAACTCTTCCAAAGAACTGAAGAGGAGAGAACACTCTCAAACTTATTCTATGAGGACAGAATTACCTTGATACCAAAACCAGACAAAGACACAGCAAGAAAAAAACACTATAGATAAACCCCTGATTAATATTGATGCAAAAATCCTAAACAAAATACTACCAAACCAAATTCAACAGCATGTTAAAGGGATCATATATCATGACCAGGTGGGATTTATGCCTAGAATGCAAGGATGGTTCAACATATGAAAATCAATCAATGTAACAAAATGGAGGACTAAAACTGCCTGATCATCTCAATGGATGCAGAAAAAAATATTTGACAACATTCAGCCCCCTTTCATGATAAAAAAAACACTGAACAAACTAAGAATAGAAAGAAACTACCACAACATAGTAAAAGTCATACATGGAAAACCCACAACAGACATCATACCCAATGGAGAAACACTGAAAGCTTTTCCTCTAAGATCAGGAACCAAGCAAGGATGCCCACTCTCACCATTATTATTTGACATAATACTGGAAGTTCTAGCCAGAACAATCAGAAAAGAAAAAGAAATTATTAAAGACATACAAACCAGAAAAGAAGACTTAAAATTATTTCTATTTGGAAATGACACAGTCTTATATGTGGAAAACCCTAAAGATCCTACCAAAAAACTGCTAGAATGAATAAACAAATTTAGCAAAATTTCAGGATACAAAATCAACACTCAAAAATCAATTGTGTTCCTATACACTATCCATGATCAATTGAAAAAGGAAATTTTTAAGAAAACAAGTTCATTTACTATAGTATCAAAAAGTATAAAATACTTGGGAATAAACTTAACCACCAAGGTAAAAGACTTGTACATGGAAAACTACCAAACATTGGTGAAAGAAATCAAAGAGGATACAAATAAATGGAAAAACATCCAATGTGCTTTAATTGGAAGGATTAATATTGTTAAAACGTCCATATTACCCAAAGCAGTCTACACATTCAATGCAATCCCTGTCAAAATCCCAACTGCATTTGTTGCAGAAATTGGAAAAAAATACTAAAATACATATGGAATTACAAGGACCCCAAATAGCCAAAATGATCTTTAAAAAGAACAAAGCTGGAGGACTCACACTCCCTGATTTCAAGACATAATACAAAGCAACAGTAGTGGTACTGGCATAAAGATGAATATATAGATCAATGGCAGGAGCAGACAGCCAAGAGACGAACCCCTGCATTTATGGCCAAATAATCTACAAGAGTTCCAAGACCACAGAGTGAAAAAAGGATAGTCTGTTTAAAAAATGGTGTCAGAAAACCTGGATATCCACCTGCAAAAGAATGAAGTTGGACTTTTCCCTTGCAGCAGATATGAAAATCAACTGAAAATGAATCAAAGACCCAAATGTAAGGCCTAAAACTATTACACCCCTAGAAGAAAACATAGGAGAAAAGCTTCAGGACATTGGATTTGGCAATGATTTATATATGACACCCAAAGCACAGGAAACAGAAACAAAAATTGGCAAATAAGACTACACCAAACTCAAAAACGTTTGTGCATCAAAAGAAACAATCAACATAGTGGAAAGGCAACCTATGGGAGGAAATAATTGCAAATTATGTATCTGATAAGGGATTGCTATGCAGAATATATAAGAAATTTCTACTACTCAACAACAACAACAACAAACAAATAAGACAATTTTTAAATGGGGAAAGGACTTAAATAGACATTTCTCCAAAGAAGATATGAGTGGCCAATAAGCACATAAAAAGATGCTCAATATCACTAATCATTAGGGAAATGCAAATCAAGACCATAATGTATTGTCACCTCATCCATCAGGATGGCCACTATCAAAAGAATGGAAAATAATAAGTGTCAGCAAGGATGTGAAGAAGTTGGAGCCCTTGTGCACTGTTAGTGGAAATACAAGACAGAAAACAAAATACAGAAGTTCCTCATAAAATTGAAAATTGAGTTACCATATGATCCAGCAATCCCACTTCTGGGTTTATATCTAGATGAATTCAAAGCAGAGTATCAGAAAGATATTTGTACATACATGTTTTCAGTACAGCATTATTCACAATAGCCAACAGGTGGAAGCAACCTAGATTCCCATCAACAGATGAATGGATAAAGAAAATATAGTATATACATAACATAGACTACTATGCAGCCTTAAAAAGAAGAAAATCCTGTCACATGCTACAACATGCAACAATTTCAAAGACATTATGCTAAACACAAAAAGCCATCTGCAGAAGAACAGATACTGTAGGGATCTATTTTAACTCTATAGTATCTAACATAGTCAAAATTATGGAAACAGAAAGCAGAAGGGTGGTTAACAACAGCCAGAGGGAAGAGAGAAGGGGAAGTAGCGTCTAGTGGATATAGTTTCATGGTTGCAAGATGAAAACATTATAAAGATCTGTTGCACAATAATGTGAATATACTCAACACTACTGAACTGTACACATAAAAGTGGTTAAGAAAGTTTATTTTATTTTTTATTTTATTTATTTTGTATTTATTTATTTATTTATTTATTTTATTTATTTATTTTTTTTTGAGACGGAGTCTCGCTCTGTTGCCCAGGCTGGAGTTCAGTGGCGTGATCACGGCTCACTGCAGGCTCCGCCTCCTGGGTTCTAGCGATTCTCTCCCCTCCAGCCTCCCGAGTAGCTGGGACTACAGGTATGCGCTGCCATGCCTGTCTAATTTTTTGTGTTTTTAGTAGAGATGGGGTTTCACCATGTTGACCAGGCTTGTCTTGAACTCCTGACCTCAGGTGATCTGCCCGCCTTGGCCTCCCAAAGTGCTGGGATTACAGGCGTGAGCCACGGCACCCGGCCAGAAGGTTAATTTTAATTTTCTGTATTTTTACCATAAAAAAGAGCAAAAAAAGTAAACACACCTTTTTATGAGATAGTCATATAAAAAGACTAAATCTCTGGGTTGGAATATCACAAAGTCCAAGTGAGGAGGTTTGAATGAATAAAGCTCACTGTCAATGCTGTGACATATTTCCACATCTCAGTAATAATTAACACATTCCATGTTGCTGACTCCAAGAATGGTATTTCATTTATGGCTCAGAAGACCCTTGAGTTTGTGGTTTCTGTAATCATTTGTCTTTGGAACTATTTCAAATGGAGAAATGCCGATAGGTCAGAATCTTCCAGTTCAAAGTGTCTCTACCTTGAGCCTGACTAATCATCTCCATCTGAATGACTATCCATTCCAAGACAAGCAAGAGACTGTTACTAGTGACCTAACTAGTACAGGAAACAATAATTTGCTGTGCTTTTTTCCTTTCAAAAATATCTTATCATTCATCACCTCATTTAATTTTCACAGCAATATGGTATATTACTCTGTTTTCACACTACTGTAAAGAACTGCCTGAGATTGGGTAATTTATAAAGAAAAGAAGTTTAACTGATTCACAGTTCAGCATGGCTGAGGAGGCCTCAGGAAATTTACTTTTTTTTTTTCTTTCTTTCTTTTTTTTTTTTGAGGCTGAGTCTCGCTCTGTCACCCAGGCTGGGGTGCAGTGGTGCAATCTCAGCTCACTGCAACCTGCGCCTCCTGGGTTCAAGTGATTCTCCTCCCTCAGCCTCCTGAGTAGATAGGACTACAGGTGAGCACCACCACGACCAGCTAATTTTTGTATTTTTAGTAGAGACGGGGTTTCACCATGTTAGCCAGGCTGGTTTCAAACTCTTGACCTCAGGTGATCCAACCGCCTCAGCCGCCCAAAGTGCTGGGATTACAGGTGTGAGCCACCGCACCTGGCCGAAATTTACTTTCATAGAGGAAGGCAAAGGGGAAGCAAGGCACATCTTACGTGGTGGCAGGAGAGAGGGCAGAAGTGCCACACACTTTCGAACCATCAGATCTCATGAGAACTCACTCACCATCACAAGAACAGCATAGGAGAACTGCCCCCATGATCCAATCACCTCTCACCAGGCCCCTCCCACTATGTGTGGGGATTACAATTCAAGATGAGATGTAGGTGGGGACACAGAGCCAAATCATATCACATGGTAAGCCATGACGTTTAGAGTTTATGCCTGTTATGGGTTGAACTGTGTCTCCTTGAAAAGATATGTTAAAGTCCTAACCTCCGGGACCTATGTATGTGCCCTTATTTGGAAATAGACTATTTACAGAGGTAATCAAGTTAAGATGAAGTCACTTGGGGTGGGCCCTAATCCAGTATGACTGGTATCCTTATAAAAAGGAGACTGTGACACACAGGGAGCTCTCCTTGTGTCGTCCATATGATGACAGAGGAAGAGCTTGGAGTGATGCAGCTGCCAGCCACAGGATGCCAAGGGCCCATGGGCACCACCAGAAGCTGCTAGAGGGAAGGAAGGATTCCACCCAGAGGCTGCATGACCCTGCTAACACCTTGATTTTGGACTTCTGGCCTCCAGCACTGTGGGAGAATACATTTCCGCTATTTGAAGCCACCTGGTTTGTGAGACTTTATTACAGCAACCCTAGTGACCTCATCCAATACTGCTTCTGTTTGCTCCATCTGTGACTGTGATGAGCCACTGACACTTTAGCTTCTCCCAAGTTCACCAGCCCTCTCTGTTCTCCTCTTTTAAGCCAGATCCCAGATTTTACCTTAATATCCACCCTTACTCTAAAGTCTTCTGCCTCCCTTCCTTCTTCACAGTTTTACGTCAGCATTCCAAGCCGAGATGGCTCCAACTCTCCACTTTCTCTTCTGCCTTGTGGACAGGCCAGCCAGGAAGATGGATTCTGTGATGGTTTAATGTGATGGTTCTGTATGCATCAATATGCTTGGACTACAAGGTGCCCAGACATTTGGTCAAACACTACTCTCAGCATTTCTGTGAAGGTCTTTTTGGATGAAATTAGCATTTGAAGTAGCCGACTGAGTTAAAGCAGGCTGCCCTTCCCCTGTGAGTGGGCCTTGTCCAATCAGCTGAAGGTCTGACTGGAAGAAAAGGGCTGACCCTCTCCCAGATAAGAGGGGATGCCTCCTGCCTGACTGCTTTTGAGCTGGATCATTGGTCTTTTTCTTACCTTTGGATTTGAACAAAAATGTTAGCCCTTCCTGGGTCTTGCACCTACTGGTCTTCCGAAGAGAACTACACCATTGGCTCTCTTAGGTCTCAGGCCTTCAGATGTAGACTAGAACTACACTGTCAGCAATCTTGGGTCTTCAGCTTGCCAACTGCAGACCTTGGGACTTATCAGCCCACCATCATTTCATGAGCCAATTCTTTATAGTAAATTTATGTACCTCTCTCTATCTTTTTATTGGTTCTGTTTCTCTAGAGAACACTGGCTAATGCAGATTCCATCACAACACATGTTGCCATGCTCAGATGGGTGGCATGCTATCCAAAATCTCATTCTCTAAAAAGTGTTTCTTGAGCCTCCTTTGTTTTCTGTAATTCTCTAACCTCCCCATCTATCTCTTGCCCTCAGCAGATGACTGGCGAATGCTACTGATATTCCAACTGCAGCCCCTCTGTTAGTCCATATCCTAGTCCCTTCCTGCTAGAAATGGTGCTGATAGAATCTCACAGCTGCTCCCTTTTCCGCAGAACAGCCCCCAGCCAACAGGAAGCCTTACTGGGCAGGCCACCAACCTCAGGCTTGGCCAATGACTTCCTGATACAAGGGCGTAAATGGCAGGTTCCCTTGCCTCAAGGTAGAACTTGAAGTAGAGACAGTAGCGACTCCCTCATTTAATACCCCTAAAGACCCTGTGGCCACTTACTCAAGTAACCATGCACTAGGGGAAAGTAAGAGATGTTTCTGGTGCTGTTCGATACAGGGTCTGGGTTGATGCTGGTATCCAGGAATCCAAAACATCACCCAGGCTCCCCTGTTATCATTGGCCATATGGGAGTCAGGTAGCAAATAGAGCTCTGGCCCAGGTGTGTCTCATGGTAGTGCACTGAGTCCCCACACCCACCCCACGCTCATTTCCCTGGGCCCTAAATGTTTGTAGGAAGGACACTCTTAGCCATCGGGAGGACCCTCACTCTGCCCCTGACCTGCAGTGTAAAAGTTATTACAGTAGAAAAGACCAACTGGAGCCCTGGAATTTCAACTTCCTGCCAAGATAGGGAATGATTTTCTCTTCTCTTCTCTTACGTGGCTAAGAGAAGGAGGAACGATATTGCATCCCAGGAAAATGGCAAGGGCTAGGGCCATCCTCAGAGTCTTGAAGCATCCAGGAGCAGTGGTGCCTCTCACATGCTATTTGATTCACTAGCCCGATCCTATAAAAATTATATGGATCATAGCAGAAGACCCTGGAACTTTAGAAACATAGCCAAGTGGTAGCCCCACCTGCAGTTGCTGCCTGATGTGGTGTCTGTTCTAGTGCAGATTAACAAAGCCTGAGGCATATTGAGTGCAGCCACTGATTGGCAAGTGGAATTTTAAATTCCATGCCTCTCAGAAAAGGAGATCAGAAGTAGTTTACATTACAGGGGACAAAAACTGGACCAGAATGTCTAGTCCAGACAGCTCAACTAAGGTCCAGACCTGCATATTCAGCTGTGTACCTGACATAACCATGTGGTGACTCACAGACTCTTGAGTTTCTCCCCCAAAGTCTTCTCTTATCACTGGCCCTGTGATTGCCTCAATATCTCAGTAGATAACCCCACCAGCTTCCTTGTTTAGCTCAGCATCACCTTTGATTCCTTTTGCTTCCTTTTTAACCTCATCCATCCATCAATCTGGTATTGAATCTGATCCAAGCTGTATCTCAGCTCTATCTCTCTTCCTGCTTGGCTGCCACTCCCAGCCCAGCCTTCATCACTCTCCTGCCAGATCGTCCCTCAGTGCTTCTCATTGAACTTGGAGGACAATCTGCATTTCCACCATGTCCTCCCTTCATGCTCCAGCCAGCGCATGGTGTATTTGTCACTCTTGACAATCATTTTGTCTGTTGACAAAAGCTCAGCATGAGGCAGAACTGTGTCTGTCCTATTCACTGTTGTATCCCCAGTGGTGTCCAGCTCTTAGAAAGTACTCAATAAAACCTCAATGCCTTAGGACTTAACATATAACGAAAGGATGGCTGAATTACTACCAAAGTACGTTCTTGTGCAACACTCAGATCTGGACAGTACCAGCCACTGTCATGTGATTGAAGCCCTTTTATTCCATGTTTCCAAAATAGTGGGTTGTGAAGTTTAATGCAACCAGAAGTGCAGTGCAAGAGGCCAGAGGGAGGAGAGGCAAACAGCCTAGTGAGGTGCCCCCCTTGAGAACACCTTTTTTCCAGGGTCCACCACGGTGCCAACCTGGACTTTCTGCAGAGGAGCCGCGGCCCTTGGTCAGCCGCAGCCCCCAAGGATCATCACCATTGGGGAAAAACATTCCAGCTGTGGTCTGAGGGCTATAGAGTGAGTTTGTGTGATTGAATCTAGAATCTAAAGGAAGAACTGTCTTGCCTTTTATCCACTTTATATGCCAACGTGTTCGCTTCCAGCCACAATTCCAGACTTTGAGAGCATGCTGAATTTTGATCCTGAAACTAAATAGCATTGTGTCATCACAAAACAGTTAATAATGGCACATGCCGTGTTTTGACTGATGTGTTTGATAGGTGGAGGTGAAGGACAGGCAGTCTGTATCTTGTAGAGATGATTGTATGATGTATGATGACGGTGCCCTATACTCGCTGTGTGACCTTAAGCAAATAACTCAACTTCCTTGTGCCTTCTTTCTAAAATGGCAATGATAGGAGCACCTGTGTCCTCAGGCTGCTGTGAGGAATGAGTTTCCACACACACAGCTGTTAGAACTGTGTTTCACATGTTAAAAGCGCTATTGTGAGAGACAGGAAGAACCAGTCTCTCCTAGTTTCCCACACACACCACTCACCTCTGGTCACCAAAAATGCATGAGGATTTATCCTCACTAGCAACTAATTCTCCAGCAGACACCAGCTGGGCATCCTCTAATTCAATTCAATTCTGACATTGTCTGCCTAGAGAGCGTCAGATCCCACAAGTTAAGGGCTCAGTCCCACAAGACCGCCCCCCTTTCAGATGCAAGTCACAAGCCCTAGGTTGTGACCTGTACTTTTAACCAACTGGCTATAAATTGGGGTTTCCTGTGACCCATTCCTCAGGTTTGATTAATTTGCTTGAGCGGCTCACAGAACTCAGGGAGATACTTGTCTTACGATGACCCATTTATTATAAAGGATGTTACAAAGGATAGAGATGAGCAGCCAGATGGGAGAGATGCGTGGGAAAAGGTGTGGGGAGGCGACAGGGAGCTTCCATGCCCTTACTGATGGCACCTCCCCACCTCCAGGCATCCCCACATGTTCAGCTGCCTGCAAGCTCGCCAAACCCTGTCCCTTTGGGTTTTTATGGAGACTTCATTACATAGGCATGGTTGATGACATCACTGGCCATTGGTAATCAACTCAACCTCCAGCCCATCTCCTCTCCTCAAAGGGTGGGGATCAAAGTTCCAGCCCTTTACTCACATGCTTGGTTACCCTGGCAACCAGCCCCCCACCCTGGGGCTATCGAGGAGCCCACCAAGAGTCACATCATTAGAAGAGGAAATGCCCCTATCACCCTGGAAATGCCAAGGGATTCAGGAGCTGTGTGTCAGGAACCAAGAGGAAAAGACTAAATCGATTAGAACAAAAGATTCTCCTAGCACCCCTATCTACCAGGGTTTTAGGATTCTTATCTCAGGAACTGAGAGCAGAGATCAAAATATACTTCTTGTCACATCACAAATCACAGATATGTAAGCATGTGCTGTTGTTTTTAGTATTATAGTAACATTACCTCTATCACGTTAGAGATTGTGAAATGTCATGTCAGAGACTTCAGATAACCTGTCCCAATCCCAGCACTGGAACAGCAGAGTCAGGGTTGCATGCTGTTTCCTCTGGCCCCGCAGCTCATGCCACTTCCAATATGAGATGTCTAGGTTAGCTGATATCTCCCTCTCTTTATCTGTCCTTCATTTGGGCTTTGTTTTCACATCTAAGGGCGGAGAGAATCAAGAGAATCTGTTCCCCCATGACAGGCATTCAGGCATTTCAAGGGAGTGTTCATGAATCCCTGATCCAGATGGTCTCTGCTCCAGGCTAACCAGCCCCTCCCTTTAAGGAGACTTTGTTGGCTCAGGCAGAGTCTAATCCTCCCTGATCCCTCCATATTTCTCTCACCTGACATGTACTCTGTCTGCAGCGCTATGGGTTCCACCACAAAACAGATCCCGCGGCTGCCTGTTTTCATTACTCTACTCTCAGCCAGCCAAGATGCCTTCCCACCAGCTCTCACAGCCTCCACCCTTGTCCCCCGCAAACCGATCGCACTCAGCAACAAAGGTGATCATTTTCAGTGTCAATCAGAGCATGCTGCCACCCTTCCTAAAGCCCTCCAGTGGCTTCCCATTTTCCTCAGAATTAAAACCCAGGGACCGGGAGTGGTGGCTCAAGTCTGTAATCCCAGCACTTTGGAAAGGTGAGGCGGGTGGATCACCTGAGGTCAGGAGCTCGAGACCAGTTTGGCCAACATGGCAAAACCCCGTCTCTACTAAAAATACAAAACTTAGCCAGGCGTGGTGGTGCGTGCCTGTAACCCCAGCTACTCGGGAGGCTGAGACAGGCGAATTGCTTGAGCCCAGGAGGTGGAGGCTGCAGTGAGCCGAGATCGCACCACTGCACTCCAGCCTGGATGACACAGTGAGACTCTGTCTCCAAAAATAAAAACAAAACAAAAAACAAAATAAAACAAAAAAACAAAACAAAACAACAACAACAACAAATCCCAAACCACTTGGCCCATAACATCCCAGTAATCTGATCCCTGCTTTGATCACCATCATCTCCCTTCTCTGACCCCCTTTTCACCTTGCCCCGGCAACACGGCTGGCTTTCTGACAATTCCTTGTGCATGCCTCAGGGCCTTTGCTCTTGCTTTCCCCTATGCCTGGATTATTCTGCCCCAGATCAGAGGCTCCTTCTCAACATCCAGGTCTCTGCTCTGTTATCACCTTTACAGAAAGGCTTTCCATGACCATGCTCTCAAAAACAATCACACTACACCCCTTAACTCTCTATCCCTGGACCATAAGATGTCTTCTTGTATCACTTAGTACTACTTGATATATATAACTACTCTTGGAGAGCTGTCCTCCTCTCTAGAATGCATACTCCCTGTGGGAGGAGAGATCACCTCTGATCTGCCCCATGTATAATCAGCACAATATTGGCACAGCCTAGGAACTGGTGGGGCAGGCATATTAGTGCTTCCCACCTGCTCCCAAAAATATCCACATCTGAATCCTAGGAGGCTGTGAATATGTCACCATACCTGGCAAAGGGAAATTAAGGTGGCAGAGAGAATGAGTGTTGTAAATTGGCTAACCTTAAAACAGGGAAATCATCATCACTTTGGGAGGCTGAGGCGGGTGGATCAAGAGGTCAGGAGATCGAGACCATCCTGGCTAACATGGTGAAACCCTGTCTCTACTAAAAAATACAAAAAAAATTAGCCAGGCATGGTGGCAGGCACCTATAGTCCCAGCTATTCGGGAGGCTGAGGCAGGAGAATGGCGTGAACCCGGGAGGTGGAGCTTGCAGCGAGCCTAGATCGCACAACTGCACTCCAGCCTGGGCGACAGAGCAAGACTCCGTCTCAAAAAACCAACCAACCAACCAACAAACAACAAACAGGGAGATCATCCTGGTTTATTTGGGTGGATCCACTGTCATCACAAGGGCCCTTAAAAGCAAGAGAGGAGCTCAGCCTGGTGGTCATGCCTGTAACTCCAGCATTTAGGAGGTGGAGTATTGCTTGAGGCCAGGAGTTCGAGACCAGCCTGGGTAACATACAGAGATCCCGCCCCTAAAAAATTTTAAAAATTATCTCGGCATGGTGGTGCATGCCTGTAGTCCTAGATACTCTAGAGGCTGAGGTGAGAGGATCACTTGAGCCTGGGAGATCAAGGCAGCAGTGAGCCGTGATGGCTGAGCACTCCAGCCTGGGTGACAGAGTGAGACCGTGTCTCAAAAAAAAAAAAAAAAAAAAAAGGTGGGAGAGGAGACAAAAGAGAGTCAGAGAGATGTGTCAGAAAGATGTGACATGGAAAGGACCCAGCTCACCCTTGCTGGTTTTGAAGATAGAAGAAGCCATAGGCCAAGAAACCCAGACAGCCCCTAGAAGCTCTAAAAAAATCAAACAAACAGACCCCACCCAGAGCCTCCAGAAAGGAACAGCCCTGCTGACATCCTGTTTAGTCCAGTGAGACACAGTTCTAATTTCTCCAGGGCTGTAGGATAATGAACCTGTGCTGTCTAAGCCACCAAGTTTGTCGGAATCTGTTACAGCAGCCACAGGAAACTACTTCAGCACTAACAATGATTTGCTGAAGGAATGAATAAGTGAATGAATGGAGACAATAGCGAGGGACCCTGCCACATCAGCCAGGGCCCCTGTAACCTCTGTGTCTGTCCTAGTGTGCGGTGTCCAAGGGGCCCAAGCCCATCCATGCCGTTGATTGGAGCCACATCTGCCCTCTCCTTTCTAGTGCCCCTACTAGGATAGCCAGAGGACTCACTAGTTTGATTCAAGGTAGCCACATTGCACTTGCCTCGTATGGAATCGGTCATACATTAAGATGCTCAACTGGAAATTCATGTGCCCCTGGAGCCACGTGTTGCCCAACCCGCTTCTGTGCCTCTGGTTGTGTGTGTGTTTGCTTTCCTGAGGTTAAGGTACATTCATCTCAATGCAGCTCTACTTTTCAATTTTTCTTTGTTTTTTAACATCATCCAAAGACAAGAGAGAAGAAAAGCAAGAGAGAGGAACATCAAAGGAAACTTAACCTTTTTCAATCACTTGAATATGTCATTCCCATGGATTCGTACAACTTTGTTGTAATCTCTCCACTTACAAATGAAGAAACCAAAATATTATTTATTTGTTTAGTACCTAATTCATTTTTCCCACTTACTCATGAACTCTTTTAGTAAACCTTTACTGAGGAAACGAGGCATTGTGTTCTGAACATCACACATGACTGCTACTGCCTGGATGTGTCCCAATTTTCAAAAGGTTAAAATGTGAAGTCATGCACATCTTATAGTCAGAACAATAGGATAATTCTTAGCAGAGAGACAGCCAGTCTGGCATCCTAGTTCTCTGTACTGGGCTCCTCTAGAAAGTTTATCAGATTGCTCCTGATATTTAAAACAACAACAACAACAGCTGCAGCAAGAAAACACAGATGGCCACTCACCACCTCGGGTCTTGCACTGACTTGGTGCTAGAACTCTTCATGGGCAGAGCGTCTGATTCATGCCCACACAGCAATGTAATTTAAGCCACACATTCATGTCCATGAAGCTCCCATTGGCTAGACTCCTGGTCCTACCTCCAAGGTAAAGCTGGTTTCTAAAGAATTTCTCCAACGTGTTCTGGCCTTGCCAGTAATATTTTCCCCCAAGCTCTTTTTCCAGTTCATCAAAAAGGTTCCTGTTGGCCAGGCACGGTGTTTCATACCTGTAACCCCAGCACTTTGGGAGGCTGAGGTGGGAGGATCGCTTGAGCCCAGGAATTTGAGATCAGCCTCGGCAACATAATGGGGCCCCATCTCTACAAAAAACACAAAAAGGTTCCTGTTGCCTCTTTAGGGCTCCCTCCAAATCACCTTTTGTGAGATCCCAATCACCTTTTGTGAGATGAGAAGTTAGTTTCCACAATGATGAAGTGTTTCCTCCTCCTAACACAAGAGTTTCTCAGCCTTGGCACCATGACATTTTTGACTGGATACTTCTGTTGCAGGGCCTGTCCTATGCACTCTAGGATGCTGAGCAGTGTCCCTCACCTGTGCCCACCAGATGCCAGCAGCACCCCCATTCAGTTGTGACAACCAAAAATGTCTCCAGACATTGCCAAATGTCCCCTGGGGGGCATAATAGCCCCAGGGTTATTTCTAACTCTAGTGTTCTATTTTAGTTAGACCAGGTGCTCTGTATTGCCCCTGGCAAGGTTGAATATCCTGTGCTTCTGTGACACTCATTGTCTGCTCAGGGTTTTCAAAACAAGCCAGAGTGGTGATATGGTTTGTTCGTGTCCCCACCCAAATCTCAACTTGCACTGTCTCTCTCAGAATTCCCACATGTTGTGGGAGGGACCCAGGGGGAGGTAATTTAATTATGGGGGCCAGTCTTTCCTGTGCTACTCTAGTGATAGTAAGTCTCATGAAATCTGATGTGTTTATCACGGGTTTCTGCTTTTGCTCCTTCTTCATTCTCTCTTGCAGCTGCCATGTAAGAAGTCCTTTTCACCTCCCGCCATGATTCTGAGACCTCCCCAGCCATGTGGAACTGTAAGTCCAGTTAAACCTATTTTTCTTCCCAGTCTCAGGTATGTCTTTATGAGCAGCGTGAAAACAGACTAATACAAGTGGGATGCTTTGTTTATGACTGTGCTGAGTAAGAGGCCAGTTTTTATCATGGTAGTGTTTCATCAGGGTTCTCCAGAGAATTGGAGCAGGGTGTGTGTGTGTGTGTGTGTGTGTATGTACACAGAGAGAGATTTTTTAAGAAATTGACACACACGACCAGGTGCAGCAGCGCATACCTGTAATCCCAGCATTTTGGGAGGCCAAGCAGGGAGTATCAGTTGAGCACAGGAGTTCTAGACCAGCCTGGGCAACATAGTGAGATCTCATCTCTACAAAAAATACAAAAAATTAGCCAGGTGTGATTGAGTGTACCTATAGTCCCAACTGCTGGGGAGGTGGAGGTGGGAGACTCATCTGAGCCCAGGAAGTGGAGGCTGCAGTGAGCCATGATTGTGCCACTGCACTCCAGCCTGGGCAACAGGAGTAAGACGCTGTCTCAAAAAAGAAAAATTTGTGCACATGATTGTGGAAGCATGGTAAATCCAAAACCTGTAAGACAGGCTGGAGTTCCAGGGAAGAGCCATAGCCCAAGTTCAAAGGTTATCTGCTGGCAGAATTCCTTCTTGCTTAGGATAGGGTCAGTCTTTGTTCTAGTAAGGCCTTCAAATGATTGGATGACGCCAGCTCATGTTATAGAGGGCAATCCGCTGTATTCAAAATCCACAGATTTAAATGTGAGTTTCATTTAAAAAAAAAAAAAAAAACCTTCACAGAAACATCCAGATTAATGTTTGACCACATATCTGAACACTGTGGCCCAGCCAAGTTGATACATTAAAAATAACCATCATAGGCAGCAATGGACAAATTCATTTATTAACAAGAGACGGGTGTGTGTGAGTTCATCTAGAATTTGGGCCAGGTTTCCATAGTTACTGCCTGAAACGTCAGTGTTATAGATGCCGGAGTGAGGCCACCTGTGGTTCTCATCCCTGGTCATGACAACCACATGGAGAGCTGTGAAAAGATGCTGAGGTCAAGGTACCCTCAGAGCGTCAAAGTCATTTAGTCGAGGGTGGGGTCAGGCATCGATAGAGATTGTTAGAGAACCTGCAACGTTCCTCCATGCAGCCAGGGTTCAGAACCTCTGAGCCGAGCAAATCCTCCCTCCAGGATGGTGACTTGGGGAGGTGAGCATGGGCTTTGCAGGGAGGTGGGCTGGATTTGAGTCTCACTTCAAGTTAGTAATGGGATGCTGGTACTGCCATTTCACCTCCCTGAAACTCTTGATAAATAAGATGCTGCCTAGAATGCATGCAGCCCCATCCCCCAAGGAGGAAGGAGGCCTGGTAGGTGTCATTGTCCCCTGCTGCCTGCTCCTGCCACCCCGCATGGTGTTAACAACTTGGGGTCTCCTCCCTTTCATTTTTAAGTTCCTGTTAAAATATAACAATGATGATGCTTTATCAATAAACGTATTGAGCTTTGAATTGGACACTGTGCTAAAGCAGGTATTGTCTTATTTAACCCTCACAATAACTCAACGAGGAAGATTCCATGATGGCTCCACGTTCCAAATGAGGAAACTGAGGCACAGAGAGGTTAAGCGACTGGCCTGGAGTAGATGCTGACAGTCTGAGATGTATGACTCTGACCGCTAAAGCTTTTTATGGAACTTGGGTCCCTGAGACGTAAATCAAGGTTATGGCCACTGAAAAGGAGGAAACAAGAACTGGCATAGGTTCCAGATCTTGCCATTGTGTTCGTAGAAACCCTAAAAAAAAAAAAAACAAAAAACAAAAAACAAACTCTTGGAAAATTAATGGTAGTTTAGCACAGTGGCAAGAGACTTGGTGCATATCCAAAACTCAGTCATGTTCCTGGTTAATAGCCCCAGTCCACAGAAATCTAAAAATAAAGAGCCCATTCACAATAGGAACAAAAATAAAATATAGGAAAAATTTGGCATGAAAGGTGTAGTACGTGAATGAATAAAACTACTAAACTTTATTAAGGGGTCAAAGAAGATTCAACCTTTGGAGATACGGTCTGTGTACATCATAAGTATTATAAAAATTGTATTTCTTTTTAAATTACCTATAGATTAAACGAATTCCTCTTTTTTTTCCAAATCAAAGTTGGGCATGGTAGTAATTTCTAAACAATTTGAAAATTTCCAAGTACAATATAAAGAGTGCCTTCTGAGTTCATGGCAACTGCCAATATCTCAGAAATGAGGAGTCAGTCATCCTGGGCACCTGAGTCAGTTCTAGATTTTATTTCAGACTCAGCCATCAATGGCAGTGAGATCCTTTTTGCTTGGATGTATGTGGGTGCACTCAGATCTAAATTAATCAGTTACAATAATTGTGTCACAGTTTTAAAATATTTAAATTGTGAAACCTATCATAGGTTTAGAAATACGTATCAAATGTATATGTACAATTACCAAACAAACACATGTAAATGAACACAGAGCCCCTGAAATCTGAAACTCTTGTGTTCTGGGATCCCCTGCCTGTGAGTGTGGGCAGAACATGTGACCTGCCTCTAGTCATACGGGGGATGGTAAAGGTGAGGGGATGTATGTGTTCCACATATGTGATTATGTGTTTCGTTACATAAGATTGTAACATGAGTCTTGGCTGGGTGCGGTGGCTCACATCTGTAATCCCATCACCACGGAAGGCTGAGGTGGGTGGATCACTTGAGGTCAGGAGTTCAAGATCAGCCTGGCCAACATGGTGAAACCCCGACTCTACTAAAAATATACAAAAATTAGCCGAGTGTGGTGGTGCGCATCTGTAGTCCCAGCTAATTGGGAGGCTGAGGCAGGAGATTTGCTTGAACCTGGGAGGTGGAGGCTGAAGTGAGCCAAGATCACGCCACTGCACTCCAGCCTGGGAGACAGAGACTCAGTCAAAAAAAAAAAAAAAAGATTGTAGCATGAGTCTTGCTGGAGACTCTCTGTCCCTTGCTGGCTATAAAGAAGCAAGATGCCATGTTGTAAGCCACCTTATATGGTAGCCACGTAGCAGGAAACTGAGGAGCAGCCTCCAGTCCTCAGCAGGCAAGAGACCAAATGGTGCTGACAACCACATGAGCTTGGAGGCTGATCCTTCCCCAGTTAAGCCTCAGATAAAACTGCAGCCCAACCAACCAACATCTTGATTATAGCCTTGCAGAGAGCTGTGCCCAGAGTCCTGACCCACAGAAAATGTGAGATTATAAACATCTATTGCTTCATTTGCTAAATTATTTGTTATCTTATTATTCACCAAAGATCAATAATATGGCCACTACTCAAGTTAAGCAATAGACTTTTACCAACACTTTAGACTCTCTCATGTACCCTTCCTAATCACAGCTCCTTCTCTCCTCCCCAGAAGCAAGCACTATCCTGATTTTTGTTTTGATCGTTCCTTTGCTTTTCTTTATAGATTTAATACCTATATAAGTATCACTAAATAGAATATGCTTTGCTTTGAAAATATGAGTATCAAGCACAAACGTAACCGTAGCAATTTTTTAAAAGGTCAGTGGGGTAATTTTTAACTTGAAAATGTGACTTTGAAATTGACCTTGAAAATAGTAATGACAAAATATCTTGAAAAATTACTATAAATTATTTGTGACATCATAGTTTTTATAAAAAAGACTTTTTAATGAAGTAGCAAGTTAAAAATATCTAGTTGAATCTTCACCTCACAGTGTGCTTGTGGCTGCACACACACACACACACACTTATACACACAGTGTCACACATCCACACACTTCCACATTCATGGCTGATTGATGGATAAGGACAAAGTAAAATCACAACACAAAAGAAAATAAACGTGAATATTCTTCTGACTTGGTAATTAATTTTCTAAGATTTCTAAGTTTAAAAGAAATAAAAAGTCATGAAGAAATTTACTGATAGATTTGACTACACAAAGATTGAAGTCATTTTACCAGTCAGCAACGTAAACATTATTAGAAAACAAAATTTAATCCATGAGGCATATTTATGACAAATATAAAATAGTACCAGCTCCTGAATACACATATGAAGAGTTCACACTTCAAAGTCTAAGACATTTACGTAAGGAAAAACATAGCCGAATAATAAATACATTAAAAATGATCAAACTTGGCCGAGTGCGGTGGCTCATGCCTGTAATCCCAGCACTTTGGGAGGCTGAGGCGGGTGGATCACCTGAGGTCAGGAGTTCAAGACCATCCTGGCCAACATGGTGAAACCTCATCTCTACCAAAAATACAGAAATTAGCCAAGCATGGTGGCGGGCGCCTGTAATCCCAGCTACTTGGAAGGCTGAGGCCGGAGAATCACTTGTATCTGGGAGGCAGAAGTTGCAGTGAGCTGAGATTGTGCCATCGTACTCCAGCCTAGGGGACAAGAGTGAGACTCTGTCTCAAAAAAAATAAAAAACAAAAAATAAAAAAAAAAAAAACGACCAAACTCGCCCATGCAAATTGAATTGCAGTGCCATACTAGCAAAGTTTGTTTCAAGTTATGATGCCTTAAGTTGATGAGGGTGGGATGAGACAGGCTGACCATTGAAAGGAACACAAATTAATAGAATATTTTTGGAGAGCAGTTCAGTAAAATTATTCCTGTCTTTCAAATGTGCATAGTCTTTGTCCTGGTTATTCCATTTGTAATAATCTCTCCTAATCTATTAATCCTAAATACAAGGTTTATGTTAAAACACATTTACCAAGACATTTGATTGGCAAACATGGAGATAATGTCGAAATTAGGGGAATAATTAAATAATGGTTTACTAGTTGGGTAAGATGCAGATATTTTAAGATGAGGTTTACTCATAGTTTGTAATGACAGAGGTAACTCATGGCCACAAGTTAAAACAAAATAAAGTTGGAATCCTGTAGTAGACTGTTAGCACCAGAGAGTTTTTTGTGGTGTTAGATCAGGATCAAATCCCCACTATGCACCTACTTGCTGTGTACCTTTGCGGTAGTTGCTTAATCCTTATGAGCCTAGTATTTTTGCTCATAGGTTTGTTTTAAGGCTCCAATGAGATGACTAAATACAGGAGGTCTTGCCTATTCCAGACACTTGACAAACGTGTCCTGCCTCCTCTTGCTAATAACGCTGAACATGGGATGATGTGACACAGAGAAAGGGACAGGATCAAACATTACATATAGACTGATTCTAAATTTAAAATACATGTTTGTCCACAAAAAGTTTGAAGGATAGAAGTAATTGTTTTAAACTTTCAATTGAAAGGAAGTGAAAGTGTTGGCTAACTATATTTCCATAACAGTGTGGCTTCTGTCTTGGTAGGGACTGTGACAATCTTGTTCACAGGGTCCTTGTCCATAATCTTAACCGGTGGGAAATCTCACACCAATCTTATTCCCTTAGGGACTGACGTATGAAAATCTTGTGATGTTCCACCCCAGATGGGAAATAGGGTTTGGTGTGATTTGGGGGTTGACAAAATGACCCCCTCACAATCGCACCACCTGCAACCCTGGTAGTCAATGTGCATTGGCACCACCAGGGATGCAAAATGCAGATTCGCAGAGAGATTTGGGTTTGGTAGGTCTGGAATAAGGCTGGGAAGTGCGTGGTGCGCGCGTGTGTGTGTGTTACAGATAGTAAAGTTTATAGATCTTAAGTATAGAGCTCAGTGCATTTTTACATAAGTACGTGTATAACCACCATTCAGGTCAAGATATTGACCATTTCCAATAACCCAAAAGCCTCCTTGATGCCCCTTCCCAGTCAATAACTCCCAGCCCCACTCCAGGTAACATTATTCTAATTTCTGGCCCTACAGAGTAGTTGAGCCTGTTCTTGAGCTTCCTATAAATGGAATCACACAGCCGATACTCTTATGTCTGGATTCTCCTGCTCAATGTCATGTTTATGAGATGAATCATGTTGACTGTATTGGTAGTTCCTTCACTTTTATTGCCCAATATGGATAAATCACAATCTGTTTGCTCCTCCATTCTCCTGTTGATGGACGTCTAGGTTGATTCCAGTTTGGGGCTATTGAACAGTGCCGCTCAAATGTTCCTAACCATATCTTTGGCTGGGCATAAATGCTCCATTCTCCTGTATATTCTTAGCCATGGAATTGATGGGTGCAGGATAGGCATATGTCTAATTCTAGTAGATGCTGCCAAACAGTGGAAATCCATATTTTTAAAATTGAAAATTATTTGTAATTGACACATAATAATTGTACATATTTATGGGACACATATTATATTTTGATACATGTAAACAAAGGTATAATGTTCAAATCAGGGTAGTCAGCATATTCATCACCTCAAATATTTATTATGTCTTTATGCTGGAAACATTCAAAATTCTCTCATATTTGAAACCATTATGAAAACAAATTATCAACTACAGGGCCATAGAATGCTATAGCTTATTCCTCCCATGTAGATGTAATTTAGTAACAATTAACCAACCTCTCCCTATCCTCCTCTCCCCATCATCCTTCCCAGCTTCTAGTAGCTACAGTTCTACTCTTTACTTTTCTTTCTTTTTTCTTTTTTTTTTTTTTTGAGATGGAGTCTCATTCTGTCACCCAGGCTGGAGTTCAGTGACGTGATCTCAGCCACTGCAACCTCTGCCTCCCAGGTTCAAACGATTCTCCTGCCTCAGCATTCTAAGTAGCTGGGACTACGGGTGCGTGCCACCACGCCTGGCTAATTTTTTGTATTTTTAGTAGAGACGCGGTTTCATTGTTAGCCAGGATGGTCTCGATTTCCTGACCTCGTGATCTGCCAGCCTTGGCCTCCCAAAGTGCTGGGATTACAGGCATGAGCCACTGCACCCAACCTATTCCTTACTTTTATAGGCTCAACGTTTTTAGCTTCCACATACAAGTGAGAACATGTGGTATTTACCTTTCTGTGCCTGGCTTATTTCACTTACCATATGATCCAGTAATCCCACTACTGGGTATATATCCAAAGGAAAGGCAGGGAAATCCATTTCCCAAAGAGTTGTCTGCACTCCCATGTGTATTGCAGCACTATTCACAATAGCCAAGATATGGAATCAACCTGTGTCCATCAACAAATGAGTGGATGAAGAAAGTGTACATACACCTCGGAATACAAATTTGACCACGAGAAAGAATACAATCCTGTCATTTGTGGCAATGTAGCTGAGCTGAAGGAAATCCGTATTTTTATAAGTCGTTACAGATAGGGGTGGTCTTGGACCACACTTTGAGAAATGCTTCTTGGATAAAAGCCCCATTATATGGACAAATATATTTCCTTTAGTCCTCAGTTCAAGTAGAGAAGGGCTTGTTTATACGGAGATACCAGCTAAGTGATTTGGGGAAGTGGGGAGAATGAGAAATCAACTGAGTGCCACCCATTAGCACCCCTTCGGAACAAATTATTGCAATTTACCTCTTTTGCCCAAGAGAAAGAAGCTGAGAACAGAGAAGCTTTGATAGGATTTGATAGGGAGAGTGAGGCGCCAGGCCACCGTGTCCAGTTAACCAAGCCTCCTCCCACCCTGGCCATGAGCTAGAATAATGCTCATGTATTTGCTGGTTAAAGGAGATGGCTTGGGGACCTGGGTTATCCCTGCAGGGAGCAACTATCTCCTCTGCTCATCTTAAACAAGATAATTGCAAAGCGGTTCCCTGCCAGCCCATCCTCTTAACAAAGAAGGTGAGATAAAAGAGATGGCATTCCTCCTGCTGGGCCCAGCAGGCTTGACAACCAGTGCCAGTCATGGGGAAAATGTCCCTTTCAGCCAACTCGAGATCTTTCAAAACAGACCCAGGCAGTTTCTTTGAGGGCTGAAAGCCAGGAAACGGGTTCCTGTTGGCCGAGGCTTGGAAGGAGGGCCTGCCTGGTCCGTTGGCCCATACCAGGCTTCCTTAGCGCCTCTGCTAGGAGCCAGTTATCCTGCAGGCTGACTCAGCCTCTGCCCAGCCATGATCTGAAGCTGCTCTCTGCTGTTTTAAGCTGAGCACTGCAACCAGGGACCTCAGACACCAGAGACAATGCAGGCCTCCAGAAAGCAGGAGAAGGACTTCTAAATCAAGGCTGGCAGGAGGAATGGGAAATGGGCATTCAAGGACATGGCAGTATGCTATGCTCTGTACATCAGGACCTCATGGAAACCAGAAAGGTAGGATGATAATTCCTATCCATGCCAGGCTGGACCTCATGTCCCTCATCGGGCTCCCACAGCTGTGTGAGCATTCTTTACCAACGTGGCACTTCTGGAATCCCTTGTTTACCTTCTTCTCCACTGCTCTATAAATGTAGTGAAATTTCCAGGTGTGGTGGCTCATGTCTGTAGTCCCAGCACTTTGGGAGGCCGAGGTGGAAGGATCACTTGAGCCCAGGAGTTTGAGGCTGCAGTGAGCTATGATGGCACCACTGCACTTCAGCCCAGGTGACAGAGTGAGACCCTGTCTTTAAAAAATAAAATAAATGCAGTGACACAAGACAACCTATGTCTGTTTTATTCTCAAAGCTGCGTGTGTCCCCAAAGCCAAGTGAGGTGTCTGGGCCTAGTTAATGACCAATGAACATTGGCTCTGAAGGAGTGAAATTACACCACTCGGGCATATTGACACTAAGTTAAAGCCACTTGAAAAACAGCAGGTGTGGCCGGGCGCGGTGGCTCATACCTGTAATTCCAGCACTTTGGGAGGCCGAGGCGGGAGGATCACGAGGTCAGGAGATCGAGACCATCCTGGCTAATATGGTGAAACCCTGTCTCTACTAAAGATACAAAAAAAAAAAAAAAAAAATTAGCCTGGCGGGGTGGTGGGCGCCTATAGTCCTAGCTACTCGGGAGGCTGAGGCAGGAGAATGGCGTGAACCCGGAAGGCAGAGCTTGCAGTGAGCGGAGATCGCTTTACTGCACTCCAGCCTGGGTGACAGAGCAAGACTCCGTCTCGAAAAAAAAAACAAGAAAAAGAAAAATAGCAGATGCAAGAAGATCACTCTGACCTTCATGCCATTTGTTAAAAGCAAAAGATGAGATCCCTATGTGAAAGATGCAACAGTCTTATTCTCAAAGATGAGAAGCTAAGATGGAAAGAATTCTGTACCAACCTTGTGCAAATAACTCTTACCTTTTAAGCCTCCCCACATCATTTAGTTGCTTCTTCACAACTTACTATTATTTGTCCAATTCAGTATATCTGACTACTTCTTCAGGACTTTATTTCCTTATGAGGGTACCTGTGCTACATAAAACTTGTATTTAAAAATGTGCATGCTTTCCTCCTGTTCATCTGTCTTATGTCAGTTAAATTCTCCAGCACAAGCAGGACCCTAAGAGTATGGAAGTGGAATTTTGCTGCCCCTACAGTTGATTACATGAGTGAATAAATGATTGAGTGAATTTTGAATTATAACGAAGAAGCTAAATATCTCAGTCATGGTTTTTCTTCCTAAGAAAATTAATCTGTTAAGATCACAGAGTTGTAACAACAGCAACAAAAACCTAGCTCTTTAAAAATAAAAAGGAACTCTTTTCTGAATTAGCAATGTCCGGAGAGATTTTTGGTTGTGACGACTGGGGCAGGGGGTACTACTGGCATCTAATGGGGGCCAGGGATGCCGCTGACACCCTGCAATGTACAGGACAGCCCCCACACAAAGAACTGTCCCACCTGAAATGTGAGTAGTTGGTTGTGCTGAGGTTGAGGAAGCCAACTCAAGGAAGTCACCTGCCGGAGGGATGCTGTTGACACTGCTTGCTACAGCAAAAGCTGCTGCTGAGAATGTGCTCCAGTTGAAAGCAAAGACTGAAAAACTGAAAAGAGCCAGGCGCGGTGGCTCACACCATAATCTCAACACTTTGGAAGGCTGAGGTGGGCGGATCACTTAAGGTTAGGAGTTTGAGACCAGCCTGGCCAACATGGTGAAACCTGTCTCTACTAAAAATACAAAAATTAGCTGGGCATGGCGGCATGTGCCTGTTAATCCGAGCTACTGGCGAGGCTGAGGCACAAGAATTGATTGAACCTGGGGGGCAAAGGTTGCAGTGACCTGAGATTGCGTCACTGCACTCCAGCCTGGGCAACAGAGCGAGACTCCATCTCAAAAAAAAAAAAAAAAAAACCAGAAAAGAAAGGAATAACTGAAAAGAGCAAGAGCCACTTAGAAGCCAGATATGGTGGTGCGTGCCTGTAGTCCCAACTACTCGACAGGCTGAGATGTGATGATCCCTTGAGCCCAGGAGTTTGAAGCTGCAGAGAGCCATGATCGCACCACTGCACTCCAGCCTAGGCAACAGAGTGGGACCCAAGAAGTTTTTTTAAGCCACTTAGAGAAGGTTTTACAAGTTACATGAGCAAAAGCTAAATAACTAGTACATCCATGTGCCATAAAGTGAAGAAACGGATGAGGTCTCTATGGGACATGTCAGCTAAACCCAAGAATGTGTTTGTTTCTTGTGGCTGAGACAGTGATCAAGGCAGCTTTCCTCCCAGGGCAAAGACTGTGGTTTGTTTGCGGCCATTTAATTTGGCAAAACCTGAGTTTTGATGAATACTTTGCAATCTTCAAATAATATTCATTTTGTTTCCAAATCCAATGAACTAGAGGCTGTAATTGAAAGAAGAAGAAAGGGAGGGAGGTAGGACAGAGAAAGGAATAGAAAGAGGGAGGGCAGGAAGGCAGCCATGAAAGAAGGCGTAATTGTCAAAAATCCAAGTTATTTGAGGCATACTGCTTGACCTGACTTTATGCAGTACAAACAAAATCAGGGTAAGCTAGAATTCAGAAGACAATGGTACCACTGTGTTTCTCTCTGGAGCGTTCTCAGAAGTGTGACCTTTTCTAATCCCAAACTGCTTAAAAAATGATGTCTCCTTGGGGTGCCATTTAGATTAATCTGTGATGGGACCAGAAGCGAGCTAAGCTGATGATTCTAATTCAATTGCCAGTGAAATGGTGTCTGTCTCCATCTGTAAACGTCCTCATCCTGCTCTCAATGGGGCCACATTGACGGCTGCAGCCAGCATTATCCCTTACAATCCTTTTAATTTTTTGGCTGCATGATGTGATCTTCTGTGAAGGCAGCACTAGTTCAAACGAAGTATTTCTTATACAAGAGCACGAGCCCTCAGTTACGTTCTTAAGAACTCATTCCTTGCCTGTGTGCCTAAACCACCCTAGCTAATAAACTCCCCTCAAATGTGGCTTTCCTCATCTCACCAGCCTGGTGGCATATGCTGGGGTGGGGGCGTGTCATGCCATTTTATGCATGGGGGTTCAGGGTCTGTGATTACCTTGTCCAAGGTTAATCAGTGGGTGAGAAGCAGGTGCAGGACCCCAGGCTATTCTGTTCACAAGGGTAGTGCTTTTTTCATCAGACAACACACATCTCTATGGCAGTGTCCAAATGGTGCCTAACGTAGAAGGTGGGCCCCGAAAGTGCACTTCAGTTTATACTGGCCACTCAGCCCGCATCTGCTTGCAGCAAGCTTAAATGTGTCTGACTGCGGCCATCTTGGCTCCCTCAAGGCCACCAAAGCAAGTCCTGTGGTTGCTTCCTTTTGCTATTGCGAAGCCCCTTCAGAGTCTACTTTGTCCTACTGCAGTAGCAGTGAGGCCCGTCCATCAGGGATGCTGGGCTATGAACCGGGCTTCTTGTCTTGCAGCCACTTCCATCATCCCAGGGATACAAGTTACTCCAAACCTAGCTTCCCTGCAATTCCATTTCCCACACCAAAACATGGAAAGGATAATGCTGACATCCCACCAGGGCCTGTGGGGACAACCGATTTTGTTGTGTGACTGAACAGCTTTGCCATCTTCAAGTCCCTATGAAGGCACAAACCCTGATAGCCATTTATATGTAAGACACTAGTATGATGAGCAAGGAGGTTTTTATCCTTCTTAAAAAAAATAAATAGGGGAGTGGAAGAGTGGAATGGTCATTGTACCAGATCAGGTTATAATCGCAAAATGCTGCAACAGAATCTAAGTGAAAAGACCCAGTTTAGGGTCCCTGGGGCTAGCCTGGCTCATGGGACAAGAAAACGTGCGTCCTTGGCATAGGGTATCTAATGTCTTGGGACGTCTCTGGAATGTTTCATCTAAGATTCTTTTTTCCTTTTAAAATTAATTAGCTGATTAAGAATTAATCACATGAACTATTAATTTGTATTGCTATTTATTAAAATATTAATATTTACATAATTTATTGATATAATATTCAATTGTTTGATAGGTAATTAATACATTCCGACTCACCCAGCAAGAACATTTTTGTGGTGACAAGGTAAAGAGTAGGATGACAATTGGATGACCCAAAACTTAGACCTCAGTAAGTGAAAAACGTGTTGTTATCAATGCTCCTAACTTGTATCATTATCTAACAAGATTTTCCAGGCAGTGGCAGCTTTAGAATCCTATCTTCTCTCAGTTTCCTTTTCCTAGTAGCTGCCAGTTAGGATGCCAACCATCCCTGATTTTATGTAGGATGATGATAGCCAGGGGCAAATGAGGAAGACTCACAGAAATCTAGGACTAAATATAAGAATTTTAAAAATGGGAGATTTTTATGGTAAAGAATGTGAGGTTTGTAGTTTTTTAATCTCCACAGGAGAAATGAACAAATGATTCCATGTAAGAACACTGGAAGATACTAAATTCCACCTTGATATTTTCCAGGAATGTCAGTCACATCCTCAGTCTTGGTTGACTTCCTGAAAGTGTCCTCTCCAGTCTTGAGGGACCTCCTGCTCCAGGAAGCCTGCCCTGATGTCCCAGCCAGAGATGGTCCTCTGAATTTCCCCTGGCCTTCACCTGGCTTCTCTGGGAGCACAGTCACAATTCATTGTATATTATCACTAATTGGATACTTATTTCATGTCCTGTGTTCACAGTGGTAACTAGCATGTATACATTACTTATAGTTTGATAACAGCCTTTCTTTCACATCTACTAAAACAATGATAATTCCTAATATTAATTATATTTGCTGTGGGTCAAGTATTCATTTAGGGCTTTACTTGGAGTATTTCATGTAATCCCCACGCAGCCCTGTATCTCTACTAAAAAGAGGAAAAATTAGCTAGGTATGGTGGCACCACCTGTAGTTCCAGCTACTCAGGAAGCTGAGGCAGGAGAATTGCTTGAACCTGGGAGGCGGAGGTTGCAGTGAGCCGAGATTGTGCCACCACACTCCAGCCTGGCTGACAGAGAGATTCCGTCTAAACAAACAAACAAAAAAAGCTTTGCTACTCTAAGCACTAACCGCTTCCTCCTCCACCTTCCCTTCTCAGCTTTCCTTCCCAGAATGCAGATGCTATCCTGGAGGGCGAGCTGCCCAAATGGGATGTGGAGGCAGCAGCATGACGACAAAAGATGCAATCTGAAGCTGGTGGAGCCACAGGACGGGAGCTGGACAGTGAGGGTTTCATGGAGGCCGTGCACAGGACTGCCCCCATCTGCAGGGACACTGTGGTTATTCAGTCTTGCTGTGCACCTAAGGGCAGTTGCCAAGCGGTGGCAGCTACAAAGCTGGGGAGGGGCTCTGTGAACCAGGGCCTCCTATGGCTCCTGTTGGGTTTGGGCCAATGGGAGGCTCCAAGATACACCTCAGCCTCGCACTCTTGGCTCCCATTCTTGGTGGGTACAGGTTCCCCCCGCCTTGTGTCTGCAGGCCTAGCACTGGGAACGACTTCCTTCTGAGCTACTTTCTGAGTGCTTCCACCCCTTCCTGGCTTCCTTAATCCTACCTGCGCCTCTCCAAAGGGTCCCTTCATTCAATTATCTTCAGTTTAACCCTTTGAGCTGCCATCCATTTGCTGCACACAGGGACAGGTGGCTCACTGCTTCACAGGCAGCAACCATACAACTGTGGCTTGTCTTCCTACGTCTTCTGCATCTGAAATAACAAAGAACTTCCATCAGGGCTCAGTGTCAGGCAGAATTAATTTCAAGTCTCTATTTTATTTACTTCCTGCAGGAGTTCAATCATTTGCCCAAAATTACCCAGCTGGTAATTGTCCGTTTCATTGTCTGCTACATGGGGATATAACGTCTACTCCTCATAGAACTATTGTGAGAATAAAGTGGAATAACAATGTATGCAACATGGACAGATTTTGTTAAAAAAAAAAAACACACACAGGATGCCCAGTTAAATTTAAATTTCAGATCAACAATGCTTTTAGTATGTCTGTGCAATATTTGGGATATACTTGTACTAAAAAATTATTTATCTGATATTGATATGTAACTGGATGGCCTGTATTTTATTACTTTATTTACTTATTTATTTTTGAGATGGAGGATCTCACTCATGTTGCCCAGGCTGGTCTCAAACTCCTGGGCTCAAGCGATCCTCCCACGTAGTTGAGATTACAGGTGTGTGCCGCTGTGTGCCGCTGCACCCAGCCTATCCTGTATTTTATCAGGTGAACCTAAATATCTGTGAAGTGCATAGCACATCGTCTGCACATTACTTAGCCTCTAGTGAATAGTAGAAGCTAATATTATTATAATTTGTAATTCCCATATTACTAACCCCTAACCTAAAACAATACCTGACATAATGCTCAAAAAAACAGCAAAAATGAATAAAGAAATGAACAAATGGAGAAACTGAAAACCACAGAGGCATTTTGTCTGCAGCGAAAGATGCCCAGCTGACAATGGCAGAGGAGAGTCTGGAATTTAAATGTCCTTGATTCGAGCCCAGTGTTCCTTCCTCCAAATCGCATTGGGAACAAAGTGAAAGGAACTGCCAGAAGAGGCAGGTGACCAAGACATGGCAGCGAGTAGATCCCCAAAGTTGCTGAAAAAACCTTTTATCTTTTACCCATCAAAATAATTATGTCCTTATTTTTAAATCAGTTTAGATTACAGACTGGGACTGAAGCTTCCTATCAAAGACATTTGCAGTTTTGTATCAGTCTCAGCAATTTCATGTCCATCTCAGCAATCAAACATTTCTCCATTTTGTTTTTGCTGCAGTGTAACTGCATTGAGAAAATCTTGGTTTGGGCAGATGAGCACTTGCAATTGATAAAGTATTTTTAAAAATTCACCTTGCAATCCAAGGATACTGTTAATAGAGATGTCAGGAAAAATTATATTCCCAGATCTTTTCCAAAGCAACTCAAGCTTAGCAAGGCAAATTAACGTGTCAAGGATGTATTATATTAGAATTTGGTTCTTGAAGAGTGGGCTGGCTCTCTTCTCTTCCCTGGAGCAATGGAGTCATGGCTGGGCCTGGGGCCACCTAACCAGGGGCTGCCAGCCTCCTATTCCAGCCACCTGCCCCTCCAAGGTAGATATGCTCACCTGACTAACAGTTCCTCCTAAAATGGGAGTGGACATGGCGGGGGTGTGGCCCTGAAGACTGCACGTGTGCCTCTGCCACACTTTCTGCCTCTTCTCAAACCAAAATGTAGATGCAACTCAGCCTCAGCCTGGCAAACAAGACAGATGATGGGAAAGCATGAGGACAGACACACCCCAGGACCTGGAATATTCATTTGGAACTGCAAGTTCCGTGAGCCTAGTGGGTTCTTAACAGTTAAATGATGTCTCTGTCGAGATTGGTGGTAACCTGTAGAAATGTGATTTTTAAAAATACTTTCCAAAATTTGTCCACATTTGAAAGATTAGCATAACTCAATGAATCACTTTTTTTCAAATAATCAAATAATGGCACAAAATTGTGCACAGATAAAAGTTGTGTTCCAAGTGGATTTTGACAGGGGGGCTAAAGATTCATTGATAGGGTTTCAGATTTCACACTGCATGAACCTTTAAGAAATTTTCACTTGTTGGATTTTGGTATAGTGCCAAGGATAAAAATCCAGTTCTCTGAAAACGCTATTCAAGTTCTTATTCCTTTTCCAACTGTGAATCTGTGGGAGACCATTTTCTTTATGTATTTCCAAAAAAAAAAAAAATGTATTTCACACATTGAATGGAGAAGGCAGACGTGATTTTCCAAAATGTAAAACAATGTTACTCTTCTACTAGTGTTTTGAAAAAGATTTTTCTTTAAAGTTTGCTATGATAACATGTAATGGGTTTGTAATTGGTAGAGACATTAATAAATGTTTAAAATTTTTTGTCTTTCCATTTTTGGAAAGATACATAACCAAAAGCTCTTTGGGGGTCTTCAATAATTTCCTAGTGTCAAGAGCACCACATTGTACTGGTTTACAGCACAAAGGGGCCCCCAGCTCTCAGAGGTCCAGATACGACACATGAGGTTCTAACAGGCTCAGGGTCAAACACTGGCCTAAGGTTGAACCCAAGAGATCCTTTTGCTAACACAGTAATCATTTGAAGAAAAATTGTTATGCTAAACAATGTCAGTTTGGTGATCAATACATTTTTGTTAATGCAGTGATCAGCTGTAAATGTGAAAACTCTGCAGCAGGGATTCGATTCCACCATATCCTGTCAGTCTGCACAGGCATACACACACACACACACACATTCACTTCTCAAAAACTGATCCAATTGTTCAAATGCATGTTATCTACATGATCATTTCAAAAGGGCAGTGCCCTAATGGAAGCAGACTTTGTTCTACATCCCCAAGAAGCTCTTAGGATCTAAGTCTTCTAGTTGAGCTTCTTCTAACCAAAAGGTCGGTGTGTCAGAGCTGGAAACAGAAGCCAACATCCCTTAAGTCTGGCTTTCTTCTCACTACACTGCTTCCTCTAGGGCGAGTGCCAGGTCTGCAAGTCTCTAAGCTGACCAATGAGCATGACAGGAGATGCCTGCACCCTCCCCTCCCCTCTCCATCCACAGGTGTTGATCCTTGCTGGTCATAATTAATCTCAGATCAATGTCTTGTTCCACTGCAGCCCGAGGTCTTGGAATCCTGAACAGTGTTCCAGGTAGCCAAAGCTGGTCTGCAGAATGAAGCTGATGTGCACAAAGATATTCTGCCTTCAACGGAGGTGTGAGGATCAGCTCCGTCTGGGTCATGCCTGGAGTCCAGCTTCTCTCCTCTCCCAAAATGACTCCGATTTGGTGCTCAACCTTGTGATCACAGATTGCCAATAAACGATTAGCTTGAAAATGCTGCCTGCATTCTTCTCTCTCCAGGGATAAAAGGTGGCTTGAGTTTTCTCCTTTAAAGTGTACTTGTGAATATAAAGATCTTCCTCCCTGAAACTGATGCAGATCCTGGGTAGAGATTTTTTTAAGCCTTTAATTTCATTGCATGAAGGAACAAGAGGTACCTCCCTTCTGCCATGGATCTTCTAAGCCTCAGGGCCTTGTTTGTACCTTGAGTCTGTGGCTTTTTTTCAAAAATGGAGCCACACTATCTGCATTATTCTGTAACTTAGTTTTTAATCACATATTTTGAAAACTTTCCCATGTATGGACATAATATCCATGAAAAAAATTTAACCTGTACTAAAGATAAAAAAATTTAACCTGTATTAAAGACAAATTATGTCAGGTGTTAAACAAACACACCCTTTGGTCTAGTACATGTTGAAAGTTTTTGTGCCATTTGTCTTTTTTGATTTTGGGACTGGTGGTTTTTCCCTCTTCAACAGATTTTAAAAATACATAGTCAAATATATCACTTCTATTCTCTACCATTTTTGTCATTCTTAGAAACACTAGCGTTTGTGTGGCTAAATTCAGTATTTTCTTGCCCTCTTACGGTTTTTGCTGCAAAGACAAGGTAAGCAAGACTATTTTTGTCACCCAGTTTTATCATCACCATTTACTGAATGGTTCACCATTCCCATTGATGTGAAAAGTACCTTCTTCCTAACCCAAAATACACATAGGAACAAAGTCATTTGTGGACTTTTAATTATTAAGAGGCAGCCCCAGCTTCAGATGTTAGAGACTAACATTTTATCCCCTGACTTTTCTAAGAAGCAGTATCCTTAGACTCTTCGAAGACTTTTTTTTTAATTGGGATTGCACATTTAGACAACTTTACAATTGTTACAAAAGTACAAAAGGCAGTTTCAAAGAACAGTGCCTTTCACTTTGCAATGAATTTGGATGTTTGGGAATTTGATTTTTAACATCTAAATGCATGCTATTCCTTACCTGAAAGCTATACAGGCTGCTAAGAATTTGAGAAGTAGATGGGATGCAGACATCATCTGGTCCAGTGTTTTCAGTTGACAAAGAAACTTAGGCTCAGAGAAGGGCAGGGATGTGACCCAGGTCAGAGGGTGATCTGGCGGTATGGTTGGGAGCAGGAACCGAGGGTTCCAGCCCCTTCTCTGGGGCTTCCCTTCCACCACATGATGGATCTGACAATCCTGTGTTCCAAACATTTCCTGCCTGAGGCTGCAGACTGGTAAGACCTCTAAAGCCATGAAAATCCCACAAACGTTCCTCCCCACCCAGCCGCCCCACACACCCCCATCACACAAAGTCAGTGACCCACAGTGAAGAGAAAAGATATTTAATTATTTCTCAGGCTAATCTCTTAAAGCGCTCAAAGTGTTTTCACAAGTGCAAGGGGAGGGATTGTTCTCAGCCAACATTTACCAGTGATTCCGACACACGCAAAAACACTCCCAATCACGGTGCTTTATACTTACTTTTAATTTCTGCACTGAAAAAGAAAAGGAAGGTAAAAACAATGACAGATTAGTTTACAGTGACTTCATCTTTGTCCTTAAATTAACCTTTGCTCTTGAGAGCAGAAGAGGGAAAGACAGGGGAACATCAAAGCATGATGGTGAAACGGTGACCAGGACACCTCGGTCTGGCTAACAAGGGTTCTAAAAACTTGGACACGGTGCCGTCAACGCACTAGTTTGTAAACACTGACAGGCAACAGTTAAGATACATTAAAAAAAAAGGAAAGATACCCACAATTCCATTCTTAAAATCAAGCACAAAATCTGACAATGAAACATATCCAGGGGTTGTGTGTCCCCATCTGATCTGGAGGTGGCGCTCTGAAGGCAGCCACAAGGTGTGAGTCACACACTAGGGAGACAGACATCTGTTCAACACAGAATTCCGGCTTTGCTGAACTGCAATGCATATTCCCTCTTCTCACTAGTACAGAAATGTTCTGCAGGCAGGAACATGAGCCCCCCGGCTCATTCACCTGTACAACCTCCCCTGACAGATAGTGAGAGCCGCGGCGGGGCCAGGGGCTCTGTGTGCTTTGGAGGCTACTGCCTCTGGAATGTTTCGCATTCTCAAGGTTTGGTTGGGCTGTGGGTTTTAGTTATGCTCCACACATTGTTTAGGTGCTCGCTTTATTTTTCATGTGCAAACTGTTACTGTCTAAAGCTTTCAGAAGAACGTGTACAGACACCCTGCAGAGACGAGGGTCATGACTGGGCCCTCCTGCCTCTTGTGGTGGGGTGGGGGCATGGGGGCGCGTCACAGAAATAGAGAAATGACATGTTCCGCTGCAGTTAAACTCTAGTCCCTGATTCGGTCCATCCAGAGGCGGGGGTGGGGCTCCTCAGTAGGTGATTGTCCACTCCTTGACAGAGGCATCATGGGAGGTCGTGACCAGCGTGTGCTCGTCCAGCCAGGCCAGGCTGCTGACATGGTGCAGCCGGTGTGCATCTGGGAAGAAAGGGTGCAATTTAACGAAAAGCCAAACTTCTCTGCAACTATGTACATCTTGGACTAGGAAGATGGAACAACCTGTGCCTAAATCATCTCCAGGGCCAAGAAAATGGCCACGAATCGTTGTAACTCAGGAGCCTGGCACGGTGGCAGTGTGGCTGAATTCTCCACGTGACACTCCTGAACCCCGGGGCCGGGTACCTCTTTTTTGTGTGCTGCAGGGTAATTAGCAGCATCCCTGGCTCCACCTACAGATGCCAGTGGCTCCCTCTCTCCAAGTCTTGACAACCAAGTTCCACAGGAGTGAAATAACAATGTCTTCTTATGTATAAAAGCGATGACATGCAGACACCACACAAACAGCTACACTGTATCCATGCCCTATTAAAATGGGGCAGGCATGACAACCAGTAAGAGGCTGGAACACACAGGACTGGGGGGGCCACTGACTTTCCCCTCTGTGACAGTCACACCGTGGGTGAACAGATTCGATTCCCCATAATCTTGCCTCCACCCAACCGAGATGCCAATAGTGAGACGGTGCCTGTGCGCTTATGGCTCCTCTGTGGCTAGCTCTGCCCATGAAGCCCAGGGAGGCTCCCAGCTGCAGGCAAGGGGGTTCCCACCAGCTCTCTGCTCCCCAGGTCCGGGTGGCCCCCAGCCTCTAGATCTGCAGCCCCACCTAGACAGGGTGAGATTCAGCCCCCACCCCTGCCTGGCACGGCATACATCCTGATGAAGGAAGCCTTGGCCTGCGGGTGGCACAGGTGCCCAGGAGCGCCTTCAACCACCAAGCATGACTTGGCTGTGAGGCCAGGCTTTAGCACTCTGTCCACATCACCAGGCTGGCTCTTTTCCAGATGCAGAACTCAACTATCTGCACGAGAACCCGATGCTGAGGTCACTTCATGTTTGGTGGCCTGTGACCTCACAGTGAAGACACAGACCCCGACCTCCTAATCTCTATCTGACTAGCTCTTGCTGTATTTTTTTCTGGATCCATTTCATTCATGAACTTGTTTGATTCTCACTACCAGACTGGCGATTGCCTTATAAACCAGGACGGACGTTGAAACCTGCTTTGTCTCTCCTCCCTTCCAGACCGGGCTGCCTTCCCTCTTTGCCTGTCCTGCACCTGAAGCCTGCAGCTGGGGAATGGGCTCTGGGGGTGGGCTCAGACATTTTTAAATA
Organism: Homo sapiens; assembly: GCF_000001405.40. NCBI lineage: Eukaryota > Metazoa > Chordata > Mammalia > Primates > Hominidae > Homo > Homo sapiens. Next base: position 10,076,679 of record NC_000004.12, read on the forward strand.
GGAAAGGGCCCCATTAATGTTTAACACAAAAGGATGTCTTCAAGGAGAATGGATGAGGGGACTTGACTACACACTAGGAGGAGAGTGGTAGGGGGGCACTCGGGGAGGGGAGGGTTTGGACAACACAGAGCTGCCTTACAATACGTGCATGGCCACGCGGGGACATCACAACCCCCTCAGGGAGAAATGATGACATGCGGGGCTAAATAAAACCTACTGTTACAAATCATTTCACCTGTTTCTTTTTTAAATGTGGCTACCAGGAAATTTCAACGCCACATGAGGCTCACATTATACACTGGACGTGGCTGTCTTAGGGAGGGGGAGACCCTGGTCCCAGGTGGGATTTAAGGGGTGAGTGGGGGAAGTGAAGATGTCAAAAGTGAGGCCTTCACTCAGCTCAGCAGGTGTCCTGTGCATGGGGCCCCCGTGGTCCCTCAGTACGGCCAGCAGCGCAGCTGGTGTTTGCTGGATGGAAGGAGACCCACAACTCTTCCGGGCCACCTGTCTAGAAGCACAGAGGCTACTTAGCCCTGGGGACTGAAGCCAGGGGACAGCCTGTGAGGTGGCCCATGGAGCCCCGAACCATGGGTGGTCCCTGCCAAGGCCTGGGGGCGGAAGTCACCTTGGATCTTGACTCTGGTTTCCGGGTCACTCAGGGTCCAAACATACACCATCATGTCCATGCCACCGGAGGCAAAGTGTTCATTGTCTGGGGACCAGGCCAGGCAGACGATTTTTGCATGGTGTCCATAAAAAACATTGTTCTCCTAGTTGCAGGTTGAAAACAAGAGAGGTGGCAGGTCAGGTTCAGGCCGCAGTTGCCCATATCACCTCGCTTATCCCTCATGGCGACAATAAGGACCGAGGTTTCTCACGCGCTAACTCTATGCCAGCGACCCCTGCAAACCCACTGACTCCTCAGAAGCATGGCACGAGGCACCTGCTACTTGTAGAGGCAAGAAAACTACAGCTCAGACAGGCTCAGCTCAAGGTCACCAAGTCACAGATAACCTCCCACTGCCACCTGCACCGCCCAGCACGGGGACAGAGGAGGAGCCCGCCGCCACTCACCGAGTAGCCGTCAGCAACGCTGAACACTGTGACCACCTTGCTGGCGTCGCACACCGCGAGGAAGGCGCCGTCGTGGGAGTAGGCCACGTCGGTCACGGGGCCCTTGGCCTCTAGGAGCTTGCCCTCATCCTTCAGCGTGGTGCCCAGGATGGAATACAGGCGGACGTTGCCGTCCTACGGCAGGGACAGAGAGGAAGTGAGCCACCCCTGAACACACACACCACACCCATCCTTTGTGAAGGGGGGGTCGAGGGCTTAAGAAACTGTGCCGTTCCCACTGACTGCTGCTCTGCTGGGCCCATGCCAGGAGCTGGGCATGGCTCTTCCCGTGGATGGGCCTGAAACCTACGCAGCTCTATGAAAACAGCTGTTGGTACCTCGGGGCACCGCTGGTCTCATGAGGCCCTCAAGCTGGCTGGTGGAGGAAGCCACTCCATGCCCTGGTCACATCCGGCACCTGAAGGACCTGGCAGCACATAGACCCACCCAGCCCCTAGCATGGAGGGCACTGCCACGCCTGCTGCAGGACTGGGTTATCAGAGGGCTGCCCTCCTGGGCTGGAGAGGGGAAATGAGCTCTTCTACAGAGCACTCAGGACTTGGCCAGGCACACTGTGACCAGACCACACACACAAATTCAAGGGCATGAGAATTATGCCGAGGCAGAACTCAAGGGAAACTGTAAAATGTCTGGTTAGTACCGCACCTTGAAGATGCTGGGAAACTTCTGTCACTCTTCCTTCAACCTGTGAGCCGAGCCCAGCCCCAGGGGATGCCATTCCTTGATTTCCTGACCTGCTACCCTCTTGCGCTCCCCTCCTGCCGCCACTCATGGGGCTGGCTCTGAGGCACAGCTGTGCCCTCCTCGGCACTCCCTCTACCTCACTGTCCACAGTCTTGTGGGCACCCGGGCAGTGAGGTGGGGGAAGTGCCGAGGAGGGGAGGGGAAGGCTCCAGCCCTGGGTGGCAGGAGATGGCGTGGCTGGGCCCCAGAGCAGGTCCCACGCCCCGACTGCCCCCATCCTTCCCCTGACCCCTCGCCTTCCCTGAGACAGCCCCGGTACTCACACAGCTCACACTGTCCCCAAATCACCCAGATACCAAGGACAGAGAGCACGGGGGAGAGGAAAGCGACTTACCACACCCCCAATTGCCACCGTGTCCCCGCCGGGGTGCACTGCCACAACTTCGGGCTCGTAGCCGGGGTTGTCGATGCTGAAGCACTTCCTCTGATCCTTCAGCAGGACAATCTGTGGCACACACAGGCAGCTGGTCAGGCGGTCCAGCCCTTCGGGACAAAACCCTCAGTGGTAGGAGGGGCGCGTCCCTGTCGGGGCTCACTGGAGCTGGGTTTGGCTCCATACCCAACCTCTTTGCAGGGCCACCTGGGGCTCTGAGCCACACCACCTGGACTCATGTCCCGTTTGACAGTTGCTCTAGCCAGTCAGGTGGGGCAGGAAACACAACTAACTGTGACCATTACTGTCATCACTACATTACTTCCAAGGCAGTCACCACAGCACCACCTCTTGGAAAGTCACTTGGCCTCGATGGGAATCAACGTTCAGGGTAAGAAAGGTACTAACAACAGTAAACAAAAACAGCGACAGCCCCTAGGCACGTGCCAGCGCTCTGCTGTGAGTGTTCCAGCCCCACAAGGCAGGGATCGGGTTCCCCGTTTCAGAGAAGAAAATGGGGTACGGTGCTTATGCTGCACGCCCAAGGCTCCAGTTCCCACAGGCTGAGCCGGGACTCGCCCAGAATCCAAGCCTCGGCACCCGCACTGGGCCTTTGCCTCTGGTACATGCAGCAGAGGCTCTGCAGCGGGGGCCTTCCTTCCATCTCCCTTCCTTGTCAATTCTTCCGGTTCTAACTTACTCAACTGCTCCCAGACAGTGGCCTTCATCTCTGAGTTTTGCCTTTATCCCAGTGTGCCCCTACCCAAGCCACCAGCTGTCATGAGGGAAGGCAGCCTCTGCCCCTACCGTCTGGGCTTCTGTTTCTGCGTGGATTGTGGGTGGATCGCGATGAATGGTAGCAGCACCCTGACTAAAACCTACTACTGAAGAGGCACCTCTGTCATCTGCCCGGCTCTGGAGGTGGCCTTACCTACTCACAGGTGAAGAATGAGGGCCTAAGCATTTGCCTGAAGCTTCGTCCGACATGAGACTTGAACCTGGTTGTTTCCTGATCTAAAATCCCAGGCCCCTCCTAGCACCCTCCTAACTCTTTGACTGGTGACAGGGAGCTCTGCAGAAAATTCTGACCCAGAGCAGGGGTTCCAGATGCCCTGGGAGGATCAGGTAACAGCAGATCACAGAGAAATGCCACATGAGGAGGTGCAGAGACCTGGAGCCTGTCCCCTGCACACCACAACCCTACCGGGGTCCTTTCTAACCTCCTGGGCAGCAGGCGCCAGCTGGGCCAGTCTGAACATCCTCTCAGCCTCAGGGGAAAGGGTGGCCTATGATGACCACAACTTTACAGATGAGGAAACCTGGGTCTGGAGACACAGGGCACGCTGCCCTAGGCCTCATCCCCTCACCCACAAAGCCCCATGTGCAGACCCCTTGGCTGGGAAGAGCCCTGCTGTGCAGAGATAGGCCACCTGCCAGCCTTCTAGAACTCCGCTTTGTAGCGTTTCCCCCAGGCCCCGAGGCGCTCCATGTGTGGATTCCCTTTGCACCTCCCCACCCCCACTGGCTGTCCAGGCTGTTTGCAATAATTACTTGGCAGGGATTTCTTATTATCTAGGACACAGAGAAATCCACTGTCCCTAACGCAATTAAGTTCACAAGGCAAAGGAGGGCCAGAGGGTGCTGAAAGCAGCTTTCTTTAGCAGGGCTCGCCACTCGTGCCAACAGGTGCCCCTTGACTTCCCCGGTCTACATGCCAGCAAGCCTAGGCCCGCCAACAGATAATATCTTCTGCAGGGCAGAATTCTGTATAAAGTGGGTCAGGCTTGGGTCTCAGGTGGCTTTGGTCCAGATATTCCAAAGGTGTGCAGGTGGCCCCACTGTCTGGGGTTAGAAGCCAGGCCGGGAAGTCAGGTGCCACCCTTCTGCATGTGGGAAAGTACCAAGCTGCTCTAGGCCTCAGCCTCCTCATCTGTAAGAGGAACCAAGATGGTGTAAGGAGACTTACATGTACTTCCTCATAATCACCTGGATCTGTGAGTGCTGGGGATGGGAAACTAAGGCTCAGAGAGGGTGAGGTAAATGCCGGAGGTCACACAGCTACAATGCAGCAGGGCTGGGATGTGAACAGGAGCAAAGGCAGGCCCACCCCACAGGGTATCTCATAGACTTTACAGGCTGACAGGCAGGCAGCGTGGTCTGAGGCTTAGAGACAAATCCCAGCTCTGCCCTCCGACCAGCTGCGGCCTTGGACAACCAATTTATCCATTCCGTGCCTCCATTTCTTCATCTGTACAACTGATGTGATGGTGGTGAGGATTAAATATGTGAGATCCCTTAGTGCAGTGCAAATGAGCACTCAACCAAAACACTGGCTAGAGCAACTGTCAAACGGGACATGAGTCAAATTCAGCAAGCAGGCACCACACAGCTGCAGGCTCCCACCCAAACACTAAGCCAGGTCCCTACCTGTCCAATGCACACGACCACGGCGTATCCCCCGGGGCCGACGGCTACGCACTTTGGCTGAACGTCCAGTTTCACAACTCCTTGTCCGCTGTTAGAGAGAAAGGAAGCACATTACTTCGACAATGCAGCAGCTCAGGGTAGGTATGCATACATATTTACTGTTAAACCACAGTTTTGCTCCTTAGAAGGCAATTCTATTGCCACCTATACTGGAGAGACTTGCTAAAATATGGGATGGTAGCGAAAAAACGATCCATGACTCTGGTGCAAAGAGATTATAAGTCATAATGGGGGCCCGGGGAGGGGTGGGGGGGGGGGAAGGAGGGGCGGGAGGCGGTGAAAGGCGTTGATTATGCTCCTATTTATCTGTGGTAAGCCCTCATTACACCCAGATGTGGCTTTTGTCCCCCTGTCTGTTGGCTAAAGACTGGAGTTTACTGAGCACAGACAGAATTGAGCTCTGCTCCCCAAAATGGATGGGTAACTTTTAAGAATCCGTTACCTTTAATGGGTGAAAATCATGTTATTTTTAGCCTTGGCCAATGCTATCAAAACTTGTTCTAGAAAGACTCATACACACAAACTTCTTGAAAACTGAGATAATCAAGGAAATTTCTGTGTCACTCGGCCAAGTGTGGCATCCCCAAAGGCTCTGCAGCAAGGTCACCAGGCCAAGGCTGGCTCTGTAAGGGCCTTGCCTTGGGTTATCTGGCCCAGGGAAGACCCTTTTATGGGACGTGTTAAGAGTGGGGTCACCACAGGGCAGTAGAAAGAGGACCAGGGCCCAGATGCCTGGGCTCTGGGGCCGCTTCTGCCACTCATCGGGAGGCCCAATTTACCTACAGATGCCCAGTCTGCCAGGCAGGCAGGGCCTGTGTTACCTACAAGGACGGCACACCTGCTAGGAGTTGCGTGCTGCACCCTGTGCCAGGCTCCCATCAACAGGCCCCAGGAGTCCCCATCTCCCAGGCAACACGACTTAGGCAGGACTACCGGGTGACAAAGGGGTCTACACAAGAAATGTAGGGCCAGAGGAGGGGTCAGACCTGGGCATGGGGACACTGGATGTGCAGTGGCCTCGTCAGGTCCTGGAACATTTCTCTTTCAAGTCCCTCCAACTGCATTTAGGACTTCAGATCACTTGCAAACTGCTACTCTCCTAGCTCCACTGACTGCCAATCAAAGGCCCAAGACCAAAAACAAACAAGACATTGTCTTTTAACCAGATCACTGTGTGCCCATCTCACCCTTGAGCAGAAGGGGAATGCTGTCTTGTACTCAGCACCTGCCCTGTGCCAGGCTCACCTAATCCACAACAGCCTGAGGCAGGCTCCACTGTACCCGCCTTTACTGATGAGGAAAGGGACACAGGGAGAGACCGCAGCAGGTTCCTGGAGAACAGGGCTGTGATCTGCTGCCCCTGCTTCCAGGGCAGAGTCCACACCTGGTCGTTGTCTGTGGGCAAGAGCATTACCCAGACCACCTGGATCTGTAACACAGTGCTGGGCTCAGGGCCCAACAACAGGAGAACAATGCTGGGGACGGGGTGGGAGAGATGAAAGGAGCAAGTGAGGCGTCCTCCAGAACAGTAACTGCTGGAGGGCACAAGCCCTCCGAGGGGAGCTGAGGCTCATCCGGAACCCCCGCAGACCCGAGTGCTCTCACCTGTAGTCCCGCAGCATGAGGCTGGTGTACCGCACGGTGTCGTCCATGCTGCAGCTGATGAGCTGCCCCGACTCATCCACGGTCATCCTGGACACCTGGTTCGTGTGGCCTTTCCCAGCGAAGGAGTCGTTCTCCCCCGTCTCTGAATCCCAGTAATGTAGGGTGGGGTTAAGGAAAAGCCCGGCTCCCAGGACTGCTGGGTGTTCTCAGGTGTGGCTTCAGTCCTAAGATTCTCCATTTACATCAAGAATGAGAATCTCGCCGCAAACGGACATAACCATTCCCCCTGGGAAGCCTGCAGTGTCCACTGTTGACACGTTCTTAGGAAGGGGTATCTGAAGTGTGGGTGCACCACACAGGGATTGGGATGAGGCAGAAAGGGAGCCGTGCTGAAGGCCTACTGGGGACCAGCAAGCTGGGGAGGCTCCGGCGTCTCCTCTGCTACTAGTTATCGGGTAGGCGCAACCCTCTAACCCCACATTTCTTTATGTTTTGGGGGCAGAGGGTGGCATGTCTGCCCTCCTCTCCCAGCCTGGGGGGACCTCCTTGGGTCCCGGACAGTCCCTTTGGGAGGTACAGCACATGCGGACCAGAGCTGTCCACACAAAAGGCAGTCTCCAACACAGCACGGTGCTCAGGGAGGGCAGCAGAACAACGCACAGCAGGTGCCATCATCAGCAACGTGTGTGGGCATCCCTGCCCAGGCACTCTGCAGATGGTGGCTCCAAGGTTCAAGACACACCCGTGAGCAGGGTGTCACCAGCCCCAGGCCATGCAGGAAAAACACAACAGAAGCCCCCATCATCAGGGAGAAACCAGGACTCATTTAAAGAAACCCAGACAAGGACTTATAAGGGGGACACAAACACCTCCAGGGAACATCACCGAAGGGCCACAAGGCACCTCGCAGGAGCTCCAGCCCTGGCTCTGTGGACCACAGGCTGCATGACTCTGGGGCGGGCACATCAGCTCTCTGGGCTCTGGTTTTCCTATTTTTAAAACAAGGGGACCCAACGTAAGGGTGTCCAGGTGCTTGTGAATTCTAGGAATCAAGAAACCCACCATGTGGAGTAGGGCCAAGGCTGGCGCCAGGTGCCATTGGCAGAGGTAGTGGCAGCCCAAGCTCAGGGCCGTTAAGCCACACTCTCAGGGTTGCACGACAAGAAGGGACTGATCAGGTCGGAGCCGCCCATGGCTTTTCCTCAGCATAAGCCCTGGAGTTGCCAAGGACAACTCCAGGGGACAGTTGCCTGTCCCCATGTACAGACAGGCCACCCCTAGAAGCCACACGGGTCAGAAGAGCGTGTGGCTGTGGCTGCAGCTGGAGCCACCTGGCTGGCCTGGCCTCTGGCATCATGGGAACAGGAAATTCCCCCCTAGAGCCAGCGGCTCCGGAGCCAGCTCTTTGAGTCAAAGGATATTAATGTGTCCGTCGTGGCTCCCAGAGTAAATGTAGGACTTGCCGCCGTTTTTATGCACCGTCAGACACTGGATCGATTTACTGTGACCCTGTGAAGGAGACACACTGGGCGGGTAAGCTGATGACACACTGCCCTGCCCTCTGCCACCCGCTTTCCACCAACGAAGCTTCTGGGTAATGGAGGGGGCAGACGCCCCTCAATCCATGGCAGTGCAGGTGCTCTGAGGCCCCAGTAGCCCCAGCTGCCCGAATGCACGGCCCACGAGCCCTAAGAAACCTTTCCAAAGCTACCCAGTCACCTACAGACCCTGCCCTTCATTCCCCTCCCTCCAAGGTACCTAACCCAGACCTGGGCCCAGACCTGCGTCTAACCAAGGCCCAGCACGTCAGCACCTGAGCACCTAACGTGTGCAGACACGTGGCCTGCACCCCGCCGACCAGCACCCGTCGCGGGGAGCCACAAGGGGGTCGGTCCAGGAGGACTTCGCTGGCCACATTCGCTTCAGGCCCTGGTTTGTGAGGTTTCTTCTCTCTCCCTGCCCAGGAGTGCTGGCCCTGCTGAGGGCAGGGGTCTCTCTGATCACTGTAAAAGCCCAAGGCTGTCCGTGAACGCTGACGCTCCTACCCTAACCTCCCTGACTGCTGCAGTGGAGGGCACACAAGGCTGGTCCACAACCAGACAGCTGCTTCCAGAGGGCGGCGTTTAGCCCCCTCCATATCTGAGCCTGAGACAAAAATAACAGCTAGGGTGCAGGCTCCTCATGCCTTTCTCCTGCAAAGGGAGGCCAGCTCCTGGCTGGCCCCTCTCCTCTGAGCTCAGGGCTTTTCCGCAGGAATTCTTGATCTCTGTGGTATGCCACATGTTGCCACAATATGGCATAGATCTTTGGATGCAGGTCTCCTTGGAGACAGGTACACAGTTACCAGTGGGACTGGAGAATGGGCAACGAATGCAGCTACTTTCATCTTTTCCACAGAGACGTGGGGAAAAATCATCACATGCCCCAGTAAGAGACACTGAGCTGGGCGGCCTCCTTCCAATGTGGCATCCCACCAGTCCCTTACAGCGCGGACCTCAGACCAGCACAGCCCCCACCAGCAGGGCTCAGGCCCACCTTCCTGCCAAATCAGAACGTGCACTCGGCAAGAGGCCAAGAGACTTGTGTGCAGGCTCAATGCCTTGAACTTACCAGAAACACTCCTAGCCATGCCCAGATGCCCACGGGTGTTCCTTCTGGAGGCCTGCAAGCTCCTGCTGCCCTGAGACTTCCCTGTAAACTTAGTGCCTCTGGGGGCGTCAGCAGCCAGCGCTTTTTAGAGCTCCCAGGTGGTTCTAACACGCAGCCTGGGCTGATACCTGCTGCTCCATCCCACTGCAGCCCAGATCAGCACCGAACATCAGCATCTGCGTGACTCACACAGGTGTGGCATTTGAGAGTTGGGACATGGGGGTTTTGACAACTGGCCCTTGGGGTTTTGGTGGAAGGGTGGGATGCTGGTTGCTTTTTTGGGACATAAGTTTAGCCACGGTGGCAGGCCGGGTGCACTGGCCCCAGACAGTTGGCAGCAGTGGTATTAGGAAGAGCACTCTCAGGGCAGCCCTGCCAACAGAAACGGGACGGCAGACCTGAGGGCTGACACCTGGAGAACACTGTCGGGGATGGCTCATGGGAAACTGTTTTTCTGGGCAGTAGCGAAGCCTTACTCACCCGTGTACAATTTCTCACCATCCCACTTGGAGGCCCACTGGAGCATGGTCTCGACAAGAGCCCTCAGCTCCCCCAGGCAACAACCTCCTCGGCCCCATGCTGTGCGTGCCTTCCTTTTTATACTCATCACCCTGGGCTGTGAGCCCAGCAAGGAGGCGCTCCCGATTCCCCTCTATCCTCGAGGCCACGTCTAGTGAACCTTTATGGTTCAGCCTTCCCCCTCTCAGCAGTGCTGCTGCCCCCACTGCCCCGGCACAAAGGAACCGTGACTCTATGCATGAGCGTTGAGGTGACCTGGTCCGTAGGAGTCACACACACAACGTTAACGAGGCCCCTTCCTCGTGGGCAAACTCCCATGTAGAATGGATTTGGTGATTCTAGCAGCCCCTCCTAGAAGCCGTGGTGTGAAGGAGCCACTGACAGCACAGCACGGGCCGAGTGCACAGGCCCGGGGGCTGCTCCAGGCTGGCCCACACTAGCCCTGCAGGGTTCAGACCCTCTGCAGAGGCTGGTCCCCCAGAGCTCCACGGCAGCAGGATGCAATGGGTGAGGGAAGTGCTAGGGTTTGTCTCCCCGAGTGGCTTAAAGCAGGAGCCCGAGAAGGGCTGCTGGGATGAAGTGCATTGTCCACCTGCCTTGATATTACAGCTTAGAATAGCAGGAGGGGTCACCCACCCTGGGCCACCAGCGCTGGGGGAACCTGACTTGGAGTTCCCAGCAGATGCAGTGTGGGAAGCAGGCGAGGGCGCTGCTGTGAGAGGAGGACCTGAGGATACAGAAGGGACCCCTGCTCTGGCTCCTGTCCAGCTGCGAGATTCCCAGAGGCGTCAACTTGGCTGGTGTGGGTGGAGGGAGAAGGCAGGACCCCCCCAGCCAATGGAACACAGGGAGCCTTTGGCTCAAGTGAACCCTTCCGGGTTAGGGTTCAGAAGCAGGCACCTTGCTCCTCCCCAGGTTGGCATTTGGGGCCTTCACACCTGGGACCCATGGATGATTCTAACTCCGTTTCCTCCTGCTCCCATCGCTCCCTTATGGAACTCCAGTATCTCCTTCACACCCTGCCCACCACATTCAAACTCCAGGCAGCGCCAAGGCCCAGGCCCAAGGCCACCTGCTCTTGCTCCTCCCTCCTGCCCCTGGACCTCAGCGATGCCCCGTCACCTGCCCTGGTGCTCAGTGAGCTTCTGCTCTTGCCTGCAGTCGGGTAAAGCACAGGCTGTGCACTCCCAATTCAGGGAAGGCAGAGCCCTGCAGGAAGTAACCGCTCTCAACAGCTGGGGGTGATGGCCACTGCCCCGAATCACTAGGCCCTGACTCTCCAGTTCTCACAGTAGCTCAAGGGGAACTTGGCACCTGGCCTGCCACCATGGCTAAACTCATGTCCCAAGAAAGCAACCAGCATCCCAGCCTTCCACCAAAACCCCAAGGGCCAAGGAGGCCTGAGGACACCTCTCTAGCTTCCACCTGGCTTCCCCTCGGTTCCCCTTCCTTGCTGGCCACTCTGGTCTCTTCCCTGTCCACCCAGCGGGCAGAGCCTTCCCCAGGGCAGGCCTTACCTTGATGACGTGCAGGGGCTTGCTGGGGTTGTTTCTGTCCAGATAGTTGATGTACCCGGACAGGGAGACACTGAGCAGGTGGTCCTTCTGCCATAGGCAGCCCAGCTGCTGGTCCAGAACCGTGGAGCCCATGGGAAATGTGCTGACCACGGAGTTCACGCTGACGTCCCAAATCTTGGAAGTTTTGTCCCCAGAAGCAGAAAGCAAATGGGTGCTGTCGGGACTCCAACTAATCTATTCAGAAAAAAGCAGTGTGTCATGTGCCAGAGGACTACAGACTGGAGAGAGACCCCAAAAAGCAGCTTGTCCACTGCGACTGTTTGAGTAGGACAGAAGGAGCCCAGAGAGAGGGTGGGACATGAGTGAGGCCAAGGACAACACCCGCCTCCAGGTCTCCCGTTCCAGCCACTACCTTCTCCCATCACCTTATTGCGACCTTAAAGCTTTTCTGGGCAGATATAAAACCGCCCCGACTTATAGCCCCTCATTTCAAGTTTTTGTCTAACTCCGGAGTGAGTGTGGATGGACTGACACGTGGACTCGGCCAAATTCCCACCACTAGGCCGGGAAACACGCTCATACTCACTGCGTAAATCCCACCGTCGTGGGCCTTGCTTCCGCCCAGCGCGCACACCTTCTCCCCAGTCTTCCCGTCATAGATGTATATCTTCCAAGAAATAAAAACATGTGGGTCATGTGTGTGTGAACACCCTCTGGAGTAAGCAGTTTCTCCATGGACTGTGGCTGTAGAAAACCGGGGCTCACAGACTAAGCTCCCAGTGTGGTTTAAAAGCAGACATGCATTTACTGGGCTCTGACGACGAGTCTGCAGATGTGGGGAGGGCGATGTCTAAGTTCTGCATGTCAGGACTAGCATTAGGCAGCCTGCGGCTCTGAGCAGTCACGGGAGCAGGCAGACAAGCCATTCCCCACCCCAAAACCCATCCCAGTTCTTACCTGGCCGTCAGCACTGGCTGTGGCAAATCTGTTCCCATCAGGAGAGAATCGCACACAGTTGACAAAGCGGCTGTGGTCCTGCAGGAAAACAATTACCTGCCTGATGAGGGGCCGCAGGCCTGACTCTAGGTTCAAGAATGCTCTCTATGAAACACAGCTTGCAGCTCCAGCTGTTCATCAGTGTGAACTGTTAGTCCACTGGAAAATTTCAGAGCTTAAAAAAACATCCTGGGCAGTCCCTTAGTGGAGGGGCAGGAGTCTGCTCCAGCCTGCCTGCCATGCTGACCGCTCTACCTGCTGGGAAAGCTGATTAGCCCGAGCGAAGGCAGACCACCTCCAGTTATGCCCCCCCCAGTGAGGTGCCCCCAGCAGCTGCCCTCTTCCCTCTGGGCTCTGAAAGAGCTCAAGCCCCAATCCTTAAGCTTCACGATGGCTGAGACCAGGAGGCCTCTTCCTGGAGGCACCAGCCCTGTCTGGCTCTGTTGCCCAGGCTGGAGTGCAGTGGCACAATCTCTGCTCACTACAAGCTCCGCCTCCCGGGTTCACGCCATTCTCCTGCCTCAGCCTCCCGAGTAGCTGGGACGACAGGTGCCCGCCACCACGCCTGGCTAATTTCTGTATTTTTAGTAGAGATGGGGTTTCCCTTTGTTAGCCAGGATGGTCTCAGTATCCTGACCTCATGTTTCCCCGCTTTGGCCTCCCAAAGTGCTGGGATTACAGGAGTAAGTCACTGCGCCTGGCCAATAATTAACTTTTAAACAAAGTTAATGATTATGACCTTCATCAAGAACAAGAGCCTGAGCGACTAAAAGGAAATGACATGACTTCCAGGGGCGACTCTGTTACTCGAATAAGGAAATGAATGCATTCTTTCCGCAGTCAACAAGAGTTTGTATCAGAGACTGATCCTTAAATAAGCAGTTGTAAAGCTGCCAACACCTGCCCTGCCCTCTTGCTGCCCACCTGCAGGCGGCGCTAACCCGGCAAATGCACATCCAGTGCTAACAACTCTCTTGGCACAGGAAGGGCTCGCTGCTCAGCAGGTACGAACACTAACCTTCAGGAAAAGCAATTCAACCCCAAGGCGGATAAGCTGCCCCGCGCTCTAAGTAAATCACGGACTTAATTTTAAAGCATGAGCTACCTGTGTGGGGGACCTGCCTGTGTTTGATTGTGTAATGTTTTCAGTTGAATTGTGCCTCTCCAAAAGACATGCTGAAGTCCCAACCCTGGGACCCAATGAGACCTTATTCAGAAACAGGGTCTTTGCAGATGCAGTCCAGTTAAAATGAGGTCATTAGGGCAGGCTGTAAATCCAGCAGGACTTGGTGTCCTTTTAAGAGGGAAATCTGGACACAGATACAGAGTTGGGGTGAAGCTGGAGGCAGAGATGGGAGTTCTGCTCACAAAAAGTAACCCCCAGGGCTGTCAGTATCTGGGAAAGACAAGGAAGGACTCGGAGTGCGTCCCTGCCCACACCTTGACTACAGACTTCTGACTTCCAGAGAATAAATTTCCATTGTTTAAGGCACCCAATCTGTGGCTTAACAAACTTTGTTATGGCAGCTGCGGCACACTAACACATGTCATCAATGCTGCCTCTGACACTCATGTAATAACCCACCAAGGTGAGCTGTGCCCATTTCACCAATGAGGAAACATAGGCCCAGAAAGAGGAATCAGGTGCCTGGGGGTCCCAAGGGCCACACTCAAGGAAATCGATGTCCCCACAAAGTCCGTCAGAGTCAGCAGAAGATACAGACACCGTTCAGTCTGGCAATGTCCCCAGGGCAGGCAGTTCTCGTAGAGAGGCCACTCCCCGCCCCAGAAATCTCTCTAGGCCCAAGAGTGATGCGACCCCAGACCTGTGGCACAAAAGCAACCCTGGGCTTCCTGCACTTCAAAGATTAAACCATTTCCTCCAGCCAACAACCCAAACTTGCTTGCCTCAGGTAAGCCCTCCTCAGGGTGCTGCCAAGACCTGCTCACGGCTGGGGTCAGGCTGGACACAGGCCCAGCAGGCCCTGGCCCTGCACCTGAACCAGGATCTCCCACCTCATTGACCCGTGTTTTAACTTAGATGAAAGCCGGAGAAATCACACATTCTGACAAGGGGAGTCCCAGTGCTCCTCGGGAGCTACTGAGGGCGACGACAGTCACGTTTCCATCCCAGTGGATGAGCAGATTGTCCTCCCTGCCTCATTTCAGGGAGTGCTGTCATGGTGCTTGCATTCCGTTCTATGACTGAAGAGCTCGTCCTCTGTAGGTTGTGGTCACCGCCCAAGAGGACAGGGATGGAAGCACCAGGCTGGCTCAGTCTGAACTTGGGCTCAGGTCTGTGATCAGCTCATGAGCGATGGGGCTGGCGAGCCCTTTGCCTGCCCCCCGCACCTGGGTGCTGCAAGGCTTGGCCAGGCAAGGCAGTGCCAAACTACAAGGCGTGCAGTACCCAGGCGGGCCCAGGGCTCACTAGGAGATGGAACGGGGAACACAGGACTGGACGGTCGTCTCTGGCTATGGTGCTAGAGGTCACCCTTCCTTGTGTTTAAGCGCAGTTCTGCATCTTGCTTCTTTAGTTCCTTTTGTACCTTTTTCACTAGTTCTAAGGCTGGTCTTCTTTGCTTAAATGGTCTGTGTTCTAAGTTTTCTAGCACTTCTAGGTATGTGAAGTTGGGGAAAGCAGTTTCCCCAGAAGGCCCGATCCACTCAGCTGCTGAGAGTGAAAACCAACTTTCCAGATGGGGCTCCAGGGCCCTCCAGAGACGCTTTACCCCCCGAGGGGCCATGGAGAGCCTGCGGGCAAATTCTTCACAGGAGAACACCAGGCCTGGAGCAGCGGGTAACTCAAAGCCACATCACCTGCACGAATCTGGTCTCCAGTTTCCTGTCCAGAGCTCTCGTCTCAGCTGCGCTGGCTCCTGGGCCTTGGGCAGCTGCTCAGCAAGCCTGGGGGTGCTCCAGCCCAGAGTCATCCCAGAGGTCAGATCCCTAACTCCGCAGGCCCATTTGCATCCCCCCTTCTGCTGTTACCCACCATGAGGGAGCCGTCATGCACTGAGGGCCTGTTCCCGTCGGGGTTAGCCGATGGGGTCCACCTCCTATCTGTGTCAACATGGCCCACGGTCCCTTGTCCATGTCAGTCCATAGGGTCCACATTCCCTGTGTCAAAGGGCCTCACAGGGCAGTTCCCGAGAGAGCTGCAGGAAGGAGCCGGCTGCAGTGAAGGCAGTGGTGGGAGGGCCTGAGGCAAAGCACTTCTAGACCCCCTGTTGGGCGGGGGGTGGACAGGGGTGTATGCACCACTACTCCTTCCAGATGAGGCCACACAACCTTGACCATGACATAACCACAGCTCGAATCCTAGACCTCTGACCAGCACATCGAGTTCTCTCGCTGCCGAACTCCGCTTCCTTGGCCAGCACAGCCTCGCCTTGCCGCTGACTTCGCACTGGCTCCTCCAAGCCAGCCTGAGCTTCCTTGAAGTGCAGTGGGCCAGGGAGATGGCTGGGCCTGGCTGACCCCTGGGTCCTTCTGACGAATGAGTTAAGAACTAAGAGAAAAGAGCTCACCCCAAATGCCCGAATCACCCAAGCCCAGATGAGTGGGTGGGACAGTGGACGCTGATGGCTCTTGCTACAAAATGGAGGAAACTAATCAGCCACTGTTCAATTCCAACCTGTCACAAGTGCCCATTTCAGTGGCTCCCTGAGGTCAAAACATGGACATTCCTACTCCAGTTCCAGGTCCCAGAAGCGAGGACATTCCTGCTCGCGCAAACCCCAGGACCCCAAATCC
Source organism: Homo sapiens (assembly GCF_000001405.40). Classification (NCBI taxonomy): domain Eukaryota; kingdom Metazoa; phylum Chordata; class Mammalia; order Primates; family Hominidae; genus Homo; species Homo sapiens. Next base: position 10,092,459 of record NC_000004.12, read on the forward strand.
AAGTCTGTGGTTCACCTCTGCCGACGCCTCCCACAGGCTCTGGCAGGGTGGTGTCATGTGTCCCTCCCTGGCCCCAGAACCCAGCAGGGGCAAGGGAGGGGCCCGGCACAGTCCAGGGACACAGATGCCCCTCGAGTAGCTCATCCCCATCACCTTTTCCTGCACCTCGAGCCAAGGAGTCCAAATGCAGACACTGATGTCTGCTCCTGAAATAGCCCCTTCAAAGAGAGAAGCCGCGAAAAGCCCATTAACCAAAAAAAGCGAGGGCTAAAAATAGCCCTTTCCACACGGAGGCCCGGCCAGTGAACAAAGAGGGAGAGGGATTGGGGAACCTCCCGGGGAGTTCAGGGGCAGCAGCTTCCTGAGGCTGCCCTCACCGGCCCCCTGCCTCTGCCCCACCCCAGCCAACCAGCGGGGCTGCAGCAGTCTCAGTCCAGCCTCATCCCTGGTGGACAACTGACGGTGTCCGGTCCACACTCCTGCCTGTCCTCCCTTGCAGCCAACACATAGCCAAGACTGACCTGTATCAACGAGCCCCCCTCCCCACAGTCCTCACTCCCTCCCACCAATATGCTCCCTCTCACCACCGAGGAAACCGAGGCTTGAAGCACTGAGGTCATAATTAAGTACCACACCCATGTCAACATCACAGAGCGACAGAGCGCTGCAGGCCCCAGCTGGCCTGTCTCCAGCACACACATGCTCACTACCTACCTAGTCAGCTCAGGAACCCTCTGGGAGCCCACCCCATTCCCCCCAGCCTCAGCTGACCCTGTACACAAGAGGACCACAAGCCCACCCTTAGGCTGTTCACATGCCTATGAGCTGGTAGAAGGGGACAGGCTCTCGGTCCCCTGTGCCCAGTCCCACCCCACACAAGCCCAGCACGGGCCTCCACGACCCTTGGTCAATGGGTGTTCCCAAAACACCTTTACACCGTGACCTGCGAGGCTGGCTCTGGACCATCCTTCAGCCCACCCATCCCCCGCAGCAAACTTCCCTGCAAAGTGCCCTGGGGCAGCCCTGCAGCCCGGTCCACTTAGTTGGGCTGAGGGGCACGAAGGAGCTACCCACCCAACTGCCTCTCCCGTCACCCGGGACGGGTCAGCTCAGTCACCATGTTCCCTGGAGAACAAGGACCATATGAAGGGACAAGAGGCTCATCCTAACTAACCGTCCTTGGGGCACCTACTGGCCATGTGACCTGGGCCAGGTCACCCTCCCTGCTGTCAGCCCCCAGTTTTCAGGAGTCAGCCATCAGCCCAGTGAAGAGCAAGGCCAGTCGACAGGAGGGGTGGCGCGTGCTGAAGACAAGGGAGGCGGTCCTGCATGCCCATCACAGGGGCATGGCCCAGGCAGCCACCATACATGCCAGAAGGGCTGAAACATCTGCTCTCTGCCCTGTCTTGAGTGAGGAAATATGAAAAAGAAAAACCACCAGAAACCTTGCCTGTTTTGAGCTCAAATTTTCCTTATCTATCAGGAAGGCAGCACTTCCGGTAACAGCCACAGCTGAGGTTTCCAGCCCTGCTTGGCTCCAGCCTCAAGTGGGAGAACTATGTGAGGTATGAGGTCCCCGCAGGGCAGAGGCAATGGAACAGAGGGAGCAGTGGCACCCCAGTGAGGGAAGCCAGAAGTCTTCCGTGCTGAACATTTTTCCACCTACAATCACAGCTTGTTAGATCTGGCAGTGAGTTCTCAGTTCTGCATCATAAGGCTGAGCCCCCAGGACGACATGCTGCTCTAAGTAACCATTTCATTAGACACAAACTATCCAGTGCACCACCAACTCCTGGGACCTAGGACATGCACACAGCTGTGAGCCACACTCCAGAGGGGGCGTGTGGTCATCCTAGACCACCAAACCAACTGCTCACCCGACCGGAGGAAGCGGATGGCCAGAGAGGCAAAGAACCTGGCCCAAGTAATGCGCATGGCGAAGGCAGACAACAGAGAGAAACTCAGTGGGGCCTTTAAACCCATCCAGGAGTACCTATCCCAGGAGCCTGCCTGGCATGAAGACATCCCCATGGGTGAGATGGGGGAAGGCAGGGAGATGGTCTCGCCACCCTCCCTTTTTCAGGCCACGGTCAGACCCTCTGAGGGGAACCTACCCCTGGGTTCGCAAAATGCCAGTGCTGGAGACCCGAGACCACGGTGCCCAGGGTCTCCTTTCAGAACCGTTCTCCTGTAACCCCGGAAGTTACTTCCGCAGGTCACCTACCGCGTCTTCAATGTCACTGGGTAGGAATGAGCCGGCACCCAGGCTTATTCCAGGCCAAATGTTCCTCCACTCCCATCTTCCTGGAGCCTCATTCAGGCAAATGAAGACCAAAGCTGGGCTACGGTCCCTCAGGACGAGGGGCACACAGGGAATGCTGCTTGCATTTCAGCTCAGGCACAGCATCATGGAGTTCTGCTTCAGCTTGTACTGAAACGCCTTCAGAACATGCCTTGTTCCTTTTCAAGGCAGCAGCTCCAACACGACCCAGCTGGTCCCTCCGCAGTCATACGCCAGTCCCTCTCCCACCTGGGTAACTAGGGAAGCACCTGCCACCCCAGCGCTGCACCCCCAAGCTCAGGGCAGCTTCCTGGTCCCGGCCACAGGGGGCCTCTGCAGGGAGTGGGTGCAGAAGGCGCAGATGAAGACAGGCCCGAGTTGCCACCACAGCTGCTCATTCTCAGGAGGCGAGGGGCGGCAGGCAAGGCCACCAAGGCCTGAGCGCTGGTGCGGAGGCAAAGGCAGCCCAGACTCAGCCGTCATGTGCTGCAGAATGAAAGATCTGGGGAAAAAAGACCACTGCTATGTGGATTTCACAGCAAGTGGAACTTAATTCCCTCTAAAATAAAAAATGCCCACATATGGTTTTAAAATCTTTTACTATAACAGGCTCAATTAATTCCTGAGAACTTCCACATCCCAGGCTTTCCGACCACATCAGAAGAGCCCACATACGGGAGGAAGCCCAGCGATGCTCAGCCCACCATGTCCTCAAAGCTGACTGTGGCTGGGCCTCATGTTAGCACTCACACCTCCTCTCACTTCCCCCAGCCTGCACGCGCTCCCTTTGTCTTGGGGTTGGTCATGGAGAGCACGACCGCAGCTTTCCTCTGGGGTCCGGAGGGCTTAAGTGCAGATACACACCAAAGTGTATCTGCAACTCAGAAGGTATTTGGGGGCAGGTGTGGGGTCCCTGAGCACCCTTCCTGTCCTTCCTATGCGTGGGCAGTTGAGTCCGCACATGTCTCCTGAGCATGTGGATGGTCACTGCTGCCTCTCACACCCTCCCTGTGGCTGAGGGTGCAGCACGCAAGGGTCACTGTCACCCTGTTTCCGGGAGGGCCCAGAGGCATGACTCACCCGAGGGGGGCACAGCCACCTAGCTCTGTGCCAGGCCACAGCCCTTTCTATTTCTCCCAGGTCCTCAGGCAGGGCCCATGGTTGTGGGTTCCACAAAAGACTTCAAGACACATGGTGGTACCCACCCTGGAGCTGGGCTAGCTGGGCAGACATTTGTACCCAACACTCCTGGGCCAGGGCAGTGGGGTGAAGTCCTTTCTGAAGTTAGAAAGGACAACTAAAGAGAAAGAATGTTCTGGACAAGTCCCCAAGCAAGCACACAGGGGCACAGCAGCCTGGTGAAGAAGACAGGCTCCAGCCCACCCCTGGAACAAACTGGTGCCCCTGACCCTGCTGAGCACCCTGTGCTGGGTTTAATGCACAGCTGCAGAGTGGAAATGATCCCTCCCAGGGCAGGCCAAGGAGCCCCCACCCACAGCCGGCTTCTAGCTACCACAGAAGTCTCTGAGCTGCTTCCTCCTGCCCTGGGCTGAGATGGGGTGTGCAGCTGACTCAGCATTACTCACCCTGCTCTGCAGTGCCTCCACCCTAGCGAAGAAACATGGCCTGAAGCCACAGCCTTCAATACAGCTCCCAAAATAGCCAGGTCTCCACTACCTACCCATTAGGTGGTAGCCACAAGAGCAGAGTCTGAGAGCTGCCGCGTGTTCAGCTGCATACAGGGAGCCTCCCTATGCTTTCACCTGCCCAGCCAGGCCCAGCTCAGCCTGCGGTTCCGTGACAAAATGAAGCCTGTTTCACTACGAACGGGGCATCCTTGGAAAGCCCCCTCCTGTACCCTAAGCCAAGAACAGTCTCTGGAAATTCTGCTCACTTTGTGGGTCCCGTCCTCGCCCTTTCCAGCTGCACTGCGCAGGCTATTTATGATTCATGGCATGATGTCACTAAAATGGACAGTGCTCCTCACTGAGCCACTTTAAGGACATGATCTCATTAATCCTCCATGAGGCAGACAGTGAAACCACTGACGGTTCCAAGAGGAGTCCCGAGAACTTGGTCCAATCTGCAAACACAACCTCCTCCAAGGACATCAACAGTCCCTAAAATGTGCATTTCCGGGTCCATTGTTCTTGTCCATCCTCAGCGCAAGCACAAGCGGGATGGGGAAAGCCAGGGCAGAGCCGTGGGGTTGTGCTGAGACTGGCTGCTGGGCTCCTCCCCTCACTCCTACAAAGCTGGGGCAGGAAAATGGGCATCACAGATGCTCCAGACCTGCCAGGTGGCTCTCCTACTTCAAATTCATAGTCAAAACCCTCAGATGCTGCTGGCCCCGGCACACCCCCGTCTTGCAGAAGGGAGAAGTGAGGAGGCTTGGCAAGGCCTGGGTGCCTAAGGCGGGGCGCATGCACGGCATGGGCCTCTGAGATGCTGCCAGCTACACCCAAAGCCTGCCGCATTTCTGGCACATTTCTTCCACAAAGTATCTTTCAGTCTTCTAACCGTTTGTCACTTTGCAGGCGCATCACTGCCCTCACTGTCTCTAGGAGAGACCAATCTGGATGTCCCGCAAGCTCCCTTCCTCTGCCACTTTGGTGGCTCAGCTAACAGCAGGCCCTGCAGGCTCCCCTCTCTAATGAGCACCTCCAGCCCCAGATGCTTGCCTGGTTACACGGTCAGGGACATTCCTGCCCCAATCCCCGACAGGCACACATCATCCTAGGGCAGGGCCCTTCCTTGTGGGAACCATCCATGCCCAGCTGAGGGCCTGGGGAGGACGAGTGCTGGGTGGGGGAGCCCTCCCTCTCTCTGCACACCCCTGGGAGCCCACTTCTGTGTATCATGGCATACGTGGCATGTGCTGTGGTCTCTGCCATCAGCATCTAAACAGGCTCAGCCTCTGCTAGCCTCATGTACAAACCACAAATTTCACCCAAAAAGTAAGTTCACTTACGCCAATTGTGAACTTGAACTTGAATGGGGGTCCCTCAAAGAATGCCGCGCAGTTATCATCGCTTCCCGTGGCCAGCCGGTATGGCCGGCTCTGCTTGATGTCCACGCTGTTGATGACTTTGTTGTGTCCTGTAATCTCGCCCACAGAAGAGCCACTATCCCAGAGGAAGACTGCTCCAAACCTTGACCCAATGACACAGGTGGAAGACAAAAAAAAAAAAAAAAAATCAATCCCAGAAGGCTGGTAAGCAATCTGATAGCTGAGCTGCCAGTGCACAGAGGATGGAGTGACTGTCAGCAGGCAGCTCAGAACGCCACAGGGACAAATGAGGGAAGCACTGGGGTTCTGGCTCCACAAGGCATTTGTCCAAAGGACCCAAGAACAAGATGGGGCAAGCCGGCGCCTTCGGGAAGGGGATGCATGTGTGTGTCTGTGGGGCCCCACGCCACAGGGCCCAGGGCTATCTTTACAGCTTCACCATTCTCCTTACAGTTCTATTGGGAGGGAACAGTTACCATCCCCTACAGGAATGAGATGCCCTGCTCTTGGCTGACATTCAACAAAAACACTGTTTTAGTTACTATTTGCTACTGAAAAAAGAAGGAATTAAGACCAACAGGAATGACTTGAGAAGCCATGGAAAAACACCTACTAGAACATGTACGAGAAAGTGCCATTCAGTGAAGAACAGACATGCCACTGTCAAGTTCAAGGGGTTATGGCCAGCCATGGTGCTGCAGGGGGGACTCTGACTCTCTTGAATTAAAAAAACCTGGGTTTCGGCACCAACCTCACCAGTCACTAGGCCCCTGAGGTCAGTAGCCACCCAGTGCCACCCAGCCAGCATCCACTGCCCCTCCCTCCTCCATCAGAGACCCTTGGGGGAGGTGCCCAGCTGGAAGAAACAGTTCAGCCTCCCTGGCAGCTTCATGGGGCAGCTGCTGTGAGGGACCCCGAATAGAAGTGCTGTTGCTCTTTCACTCTGTCCCCTTCTTGCTGCCTGCAGGTGGGCATGAGAGCTGGGGTTCTAGCAGGCAAGGCACTCAGGACGTCAGAGGAGATACATGAGTGCTGGGCCCTGGTGACAAACCCAGTGTGATGTGGAGTTCTACCTTACCTGGGGCTGCAGCCAGCCCTCACGGGGCCCGGCACCTACTGGGAGCTCAACCCTCACGAGTGCAAGTTAGTACAGACATCAGCGCATCCCCCTCCCAGGGTCATAGCACATGGACGCATGAGCCACAGCAACAGGGCAGGGAGGGGCTGAGAGGAGTGACTCACTTCTCCCTTCCTTCCCCGACCACGGCGATCCTCTTACTGTCTTCAGTCCAAGCAATGTCTTTGATCTTCCCAGCGAAAGGCTGGTACTCATACTTCAACAGGTGCTCCTTCTGCGTGGTATCCCAGATCCTCAGCTTCCCAGACACATCTGTGGGGCACAGCGGGCGGGGGAGGGGGGGAGGCGGTGGTGGGGTAAAGGGCAGGGGGAGAGCCACAGGTCACTGCCGGGCCAGGGCCACGTGGCCATAGGCCCACTCAGAACCATGTCTGGTTGCTTAGGCTTTCTAGAGGAAAAGGCCTAGTGAAGAGAACGTGTCTTAGGGCAACAATATTCAGCCACCCTTAAGTCAGAGCCCGTGGCATCCAGAGGCCTGCCATTTGGGCCTCTGCATTTTGCCAGAAATCTTGCCAGAAATCATCTGGATAACAAACCCTGCTTAGGCATCAGAAAAAGCCCAGGGACACATCATGGTAAACTCCAATATGCCAGGAAGTGGTTTAGTTTTCTCACTGTGTTTCTTTTCTTGTAGGGGCATCAGAATGACGTGTGGGCCTCAGGCCACCTTTGTGGAATGGGACGGCACTGGCTACACCTGCCTCTCCTTTGCAGTTGCTGCAGTGACTTCTGGAAACGAGGTGCACAGCTGTGAGGGTGCAGCGTGCTGCCCACTGCGATGCCTCAGCGTGGCCTGGCGGCCTCCACCTGGGCCTGCAGACCGGGCTTCCTGTGCAGCTTCCCAACAGCGTGCTGCTGCCTGGCAAATCAGCAGCCTCACTCACACACCGAGCAGTTCCACGACGCACAGGAATCCAAGCGTAAGATTCTTCTGTGAGAGTAGCAGGTGGGTGTTGCGGGGGAAGGAGAATTACACACAGAACTCGATGCTGATTCTCTTCTCACCGGAGCGTGGGCAGCCAATTGTAACAGAAGCAACACCGGGGGCCACGTACCCCCAATCCCCCACCACGATCCTGTCACCAAGTACCAAGTCCCAATCCCGACACACCCTCTCCAAATGAGCACTGTGTTGGCGTGAAGAAATGGGAGCATTCTAGACTAACTCTCAAGGCTTCACGCTTTAAAACCTCAGCCCCATCTGCTAAGCAGGTAAAGGCGCCTTTTTAAGAGGATTGTCAGGACACGTTAACAACCACCACAGCTCTACAGCTGCTTCCAGTGAAAAGAGCTTTTGTTTTCTTGCTGCAACTGAGCAGCTCAAAGGAGGGCAGCAGCTAAGAGCCAGGCCTTGGGAGCAGGGGCCCTGGGTTCAAATCCAGCCTCTGCCACACACAGGCTTTGTGGGGCTCAGCAAGCAACATGGCTTGTGTCCTTATCCAGAAGAGTGGAAATAACAGAGCCACTCACAGGGCTGCTGTAGGTTCCACGAGTTAACACGTGCGAAGTCTCCAACTAGTCTTCAGTGCACAGCAAGAGCTCGTTACGAGTCAGGTGGAACGAGTCCACGAATTAACGGAGGCTCTACACAGGCCACGAAGATGCCTTGCTTGTGGGCAGACACAGCCCGAGCCTAGACTGAGCCATCCTCTGAGATGAGGGAGATGCACGTAAGGACTGTCCTGCTCTCAGTCCAGCTGCGGGGACAGGCAAGAGGTGATGCCAAATCCAGTGAACAGCACTAACTAAGGGGAGTCCCAGAAGGGCCCAGTTCTCTGCACAAGGTCCAGGAAGACCACCTGCTGTGCTACCTGAGCTGAGTTCCAAAGGTGACCTGGAGATCTGCTTAGTTAAGTCCTTTCACTGATAAAACAGGCCGGGGGGGAAGAAGGGGTCAGAAGAGGAAGTCACCACAGGCTGGCAGCATCGGAGGGGAGCACTGTGTGTGCAGGAAGGACATGCAGATACACTCAGGAGCATACATATCCACACATGCACACATGTCCACACATGCACATGTGACCACGTGGTCTGCTATGCTCAGGCCCATCCAGGGCCCATGCTGCCCCATGGAGAAGACATTGCTCTCAGGACAAGGCAGAGGGCGTCCCACCCTGAAAGAGGCGCCTTCCTCCAGGAAGCCTGCCCTGGGCCTACGTAAGGCCAAACCACACGCCTGTCACATGGCCCTCGCCAACTCCCAAGGGCAGCCTGGAACCACGGCCCCAGCGCCAAGGCAGACAGAACAGTATCATGAAAATAACCTCAGGAAAAGGAGGCCTGGGCCTGCCCCCGAAATGACCTGTGCACTGAGGACTGCCCCGTGGGAATGTGGGCTCCCAGAGTGCCGGAGGCTCCCAGGTGCGCAGCCCTTCCCAAGGTTCAACACTTCAGCAGTCATGAACCAGTCAGACTGACAGGGTCTAAAGATCCTGCAGAGGGCTGGGGCCAGCTGCCAGGCAACCCACTTAGTGGGCCAGCACGGCTCTTTCTCAGCCCCCTTCTCCAAACCACCCCCCTACCACACTATTTTTAGCCCCACTTCATCTCTGCAGCAAACGTTCCAATGTAAGCCTTAACAATTGCTTCGCTCTATTCAAAGAAATGTATTAGAAACATAAAATATGATCTCGCCCAAGAACACTTGGACCTGAGGATGGCCCCAAACTCCCTTGGCTCCTCTACAAAATCAGGGCACTTTTCAGGGAGGACAGCGTCCCACGATGGCCACTTATTTATGTGGTCTGTCCTTTGCAACAGTCTCCGCAACAGCCTTCCATTGAATTCTGTCTCATTGGACACCTTTCTGGGGACTGGGGACAGGGCAGGCCTGGGCCCGCAGGTTCTCAGCTTGCAGCTGACAGGGCACGGACAATGTGCCAGGCAGGAGCGGAGGCCCTTGCCAACTGCATTCCTCTCCTGAGAAGACACTTCTAAGAGCATTCGGCTCCATGTTAAACATGTAAAAGACATTCGGGCCAAATCTTGGGGCTTTAAATGAAGAGACTTTTGCTGGCAAGCAGGGCTTGGGGAAAAAATAAATCACAGAGCTAAATAAATCATGGGATGTAAATGAGAGCATGTTTTACAGATGGAGCTGGAGAAGATCTAAACACAAAAACCATTAAATGCCTACTATGAGCCAGACTCCGGGCCCAACCCTTCACCGTGACCTCAGCTGACCGCCAACAGCAGTCAGCCAGCTCACCCAGCCGCCTGGCTCGATCAGAACAGAGCCCCAGTTTTGTGACAGGTAACGGGTCACCCAGGGGTAAGTACCCATTAGTGCAACAGCCATGCTGGGCATATCCATGCCTTACTGGCTCCTTCACACCCTAAGAGGCAGGCACTAGCAGCCCCAGTTTGGAAGAGAAAATTTGGGCCCAGGAAGGTGAGTTACTCAACTAAGGCTACGCCACCAGTAAGAGGCTGCCATGGTCTGAGTGTGACCTCGAAAACCATGTGCTGGAAACTTAATCCCCAATGCATCAGAGGCGGCCTATGGAGAGGTGATTAGGCCAGGAGGGCTCTGCCCTCAGGAATGGGTATTATGACATGAGCAGCTTCCCAATAAAAGGACAAGCCCAGCCCCTCTTCTTCTCTCACCTTCTCTTTGTTCTTCTGCCATGGACTGACACAGCAAAAGGCCCTTGACAGATACCGGCCCCTGCTGTGCAACGGCCCCTGCTGTCCAACTGCCCAGCCCCAAGAACTATGAGCCAATACATTTGTGTTAGTCGTAAATTACCCAGCCTGTGAGCACAAAGCAGAGTAAGACAGAGCCGAACCCAGGTCTTCCCCAACCCCAAGGCCTACCATCTCCCATACACCCTTCAGGACAGGCTGCTGTGCACACGCAGGATGGTACAAGCATAGGGCCACGGCGTGCATGAGTCCCGCCCTCCCCTACTGGTGCTTAGCTCTCTCAGCAATTTGGTCATAGCTGTCACTCTCCAGAGAGGCTGATGAGGCCCACATCAGCTTACTCACTTGGCCTCCCTGGGCTGCAGATGGCTAGGCAAGGCAGGCAGTAAGTATCTGTTGAGCTTATGAATGAATGAGTGAGTGAATGAATGAGTGGGCCACCATTCTAGAAGGGGTACCACTCTCACTCCTGTACCTCTTGTTCCCATCTGTGTACAGGAAAAGCTCTGCGTCAAAGAACTAAGTAAATAAAAAAACATCCTTCAAGAGGAAAGATCTCTCCACCCCTGCCTCTGCCTAGCCTCCCACTGAGCCACACAAAAGCCCAGGCTGCAGAGAGCAAAGGCCCAGTGTACAAATAAAACGTGAGCGCTGGCCTGGAGGCCAGCATTGTGGTAGCACTGGGAAAGGAGCAGCGGGTAAAGATGACACAAAACAAAACATCCATTCACACATACACACACACACACACACACAGACACACACACACACACACACACACACACACACACGGCCCACAAGGGCTCCAACATACCATGCCATGGCTTCCCGCAAAAGGTCCCTGGCCAACCTCATGGTGGCATTTCTGCTGACCTCCAAGCTGGAACTAACTGCAACACTACAAACTAGAAAGTGTCCTTTCTGTTCTAGAACTAAGGCCAGTTTTGAAAAGGGGCATTTTGGTAGCTTACACCAGGGGTGTTCAATCTTTTGGCTTCCCTGGGCCACAGATAAAATACACTAATACTATCGATAGCTGATGAGCTTGAAAAGAAAAAAGAAAAGAAAAAAAACCTCACGTTTTAAAAAGTGTACCAATTTGTGTTGGGCTGCATTCGAAGCCATCCGGGGCCACATGCAGCCCATGGGCCACCGGTTGGACAAGGCTGGCTTACACATTCCTTGTCAGCCTCAGCTGAAACTAATTATACTGGCTCCCCTCAACTCACCACCCCCAGCCTGCTCCCCCACCCCCCACCTCCCTCCTCCCACTCTCCCAAGGCCAGAAGCCCAGCTTCGCCCTGGGCCCTGAGCGCCACCCAGGCCCCCACAGGTGTCCACGAGCCTTGCCCCCATACAGTACCTCCGGAGGCAATGTAGAATCCGCTGGGCGCATACTTGGCCACCACCACCTGATGGGCGTGCTCTGTGTAGATGTCAGCAAGGGCTGGGTTCTGCAGGAGGAGACCCCGGAATGAACAGAAGGAATGGAGAAGCAGTCAAGCTTCCAGCTCTCCACATCAACAGATATGGGGTGAAAGGGGTGTACAAAGAAACACTGAAGCTAAAACCGTGAAGAAAACCGCAGAAGCATACCACTTGCCTACGTATCTACTGCCTGCCTACCTATCTCTGGGTGATAGAATTTCATGTTACTTTAATTCGTTCTCCTTAGTCTATGACTGTACAACAAGGTGATTTTTTTCCTTTTCTGCTTTTCTGTACTTTCCATAATACAGAACAAATATATCAGTGAAACAGATACACAAAAGGTGGATTAGAGCAAGAAGCCCTGGTTCTAATCCCTCCCATTTGTGGGAAGCTGCATTCATTCCAGCGCTCTGTTCTCTTCCGTGTTTAGGACCAGCTCTCCTGGCTGCCAATCAATGTTGGACCCCAAACTCAGCGCCTGGCTGTGCTGTGCAGGAGCAGAGCAGGACACGCTGTGGGAGCCCTCTCTATCAAAAACTTGGGTTTGGAAAGGAAAGTCGATTCCCCACTCCCTTGCATAGCACAGATCAAAGGCTGGGTGGACTTTGTGGCAAAAATGGGGCCAACATTTGAGACTAGAAGCATCTTCAGCAATGAGGTTTCAACATGTAATGTGCTAAAAGTAGATCCCTGCGCCTCCCTCCCGGCATACACACACACGCAGGGCCTCAGTGAAACAGAAACACACACACACACTGGGCTGCTCTCAATCTGTCTCCACAGTGAAGCTTTCTTTCAGGAGGGAATAAAGACATGGCCATCTAATCTCTGCTACCTACTGTCAGCTTTTTACAAACCAAGTGCTCTTTGAAAGAGGCAGCTTCCCGCCAGCTTGAGGCTTAGGACACACCAGACTCCTGTGAGGGTGCCCGGGCACCCCTAGCATGACCCCACCTGCTGCCACCCCACCCCTCATCTCCCTTAGACCCCTCCTCAAGACCTGAGGGGCCCCCATCTCACGAGACTGAGACCACAGAAGTACAGACCCTGATTCCTGCCCACCTTCTGCCATCCTGTTTAAGCTCCACGTCTGTGTGTAGTCTGTGCCCTTGGCCAGCACCTCTCCCTGCCTACGGACACCCACTCACCCATCAGGCCTAACGGAAGCGTTCCCTCCTCCATGAAGCCTCCAAGTATGGCCCAAGCTATCCGTATCAACTCTTCTGTGCTTCCAGATCATTTAACATGTCCACCGGGATGGCACAACACACATCATAGTCCCTAGCATTCCTGTCCATCTCCTCCAACTCTGCTGTGCCCTGCTTAACATGACCTTTATCTCACTAGCCATCTCAATAAGTGGTTTGGGGGAGAAAAAAAGAAGTACACACAGACCTTCTCTTTCATCCCTAAGACTTAACACAGCATTATGTGATATAATAGACACCAGTCATAAATTAATCCATTTTGGGATAATCGTTCGCCAGTGAAATTAGAATGTATCAAGGTGTCTATCCAAAGAAGATACTACGAATGACAAGTAAGCACATGAAAAAGCGCTCAGTGTCATTAGTCTTGGGAAATGCAAGTCAAAACTACAACAGAATACCACTCCATACTCACTAGAATCAATAAAAAGAAAAGACTGACATCACCAAGTGCTGGCAAGGGTAGAGGGGTGGGGACACTGGAATGTTCACACTGCTGGTGGAAATGCAAAATGGTACAGTTGGAAAAGAGTTGGGCAGGTTATTTATAAACCTAAACAGACACTACTCACACCAAACACCAGCAACCCCACTCCTAGGTATCTGCCCTGGAGAAATGGAAGCATGTGTCCACCAAAAGACACAGGAGCAATGTTCACAGAAGCTTTCTTTGCAATGGCCAAAAACTGGAAATACCCAAATATCCATCAACAGGTGAACAGAGAAACAGGCAACACACCGCACTGCTTAGTGATAGAAAGGAACAAAGTGCAAATGCACTCAACACCAGCTATCAATCGCCAACATGTTATGCAAAGTGAAAAAGCCAGACAGAAAAGACTACACATTGCCTCTCACTTCATATGAAAGAAGATTTTAGAAAAGGCAACCCCAATGACAGAAAGCAGATAAGCAGCTGCTGGGGGTGAGGGTGGAAGGGGTGGCGGGGGCGGGGGGCACCCTCCGGAGTGACAGGAATGTTCTGTCATGACAGGGGTGGTGCTTATGGGACTATATAGGTCATCTGTCAAGATCCAAGCCACACACTGAATACAGACAAATTCTACTGTATCTAAAGTACACCTCAATAAAACTAAGATGCTGGCTATTTATTAAATGTCTGCCCAATCCAACCCTCTCCCACTCCAATTAGTCCTTCATATTCTGACACTGACACATCCCTACCCAAAGCACCTGGCAAGAAAATGATCCACTTAACAGGCAGCCCCTCCAAGACCCTGTTCGGTGTACACTCACAGCTGACTGGGGATGGGGGAGGTCTCACGCTCACATACAGGGGCACCTGCCCATCCCGCCAGACAGATGGCCTCGTGGGCTCTCCCAGCCTGGACGACCTCCTCCCCAGGCCGTGCTGCCGTAGAAAGGGTGGGGCTCCCATGGGCCTTCCGCTGGGGAGGGCATCCAGAGATGGAAGATGCCTGGGCAGGGGCATGAGAGGAAGTTCTGCCCCTAAAAATTCCTTCCCCTAAATGGTCAGGGCTGTGTGTAAAAACCCCAAAGGGCAACAGAATCCTGCCAGCTGATGAATCACTCACTCTCGTTTGTATTCTAAATACAACTGGGTCAGCGGTGGGGGCTGAGATACTCCAAACTGCAGATAATGACTTACATCTGAGTCAGAGCAGCCTCCTCCCCAGCTCCTCAGCTCGCAGAGGGAGGCTGCTTACTACACCCAGAAAGATACCTCACACCCCCACGTGTCACTCGGCCTGTGAGGCTCTGTCCCCATCAGCTGGGTCGAGATGGCACCTTGACACCCTCAGTGTGCCCCTCTCCCCCCAGCCTCCTCCCCCTCCTTCCATCTTGGGGAAGAAGAATGAGATTGGGGGTTGAGAAGCTTATTTGGGGAAAAACTCTGGAATGGGGAAAACGAGACAGGGAGGGCAGGAAGCCAATTCCAGGAGCCCCAGTGCTACTGTAGGCAAAAGTTCTGTCTCCCCATCTCCCTGGGGGCCTGGGGGAGACCACCATGAGCAGCCTTGGAGTTGCCCACTCAGGGACACCCCTCCTCCCAGGCTTTCTTCTCATGCTGCTGCAGGCTGGGCCAGCTCTGGCAGTGGGAGGCTGCCGTTCAGTCCTCACCACAGGCCTGCCCAGTTTTCCTTGCCAACTCCCAACCCATCTTCTCTTTTACCTCCACCATTTTCAATGCAGTCCTCCTGTTCTTCCTGGGAAGAGCGATAACTGCTTTGGAATGCATCTCCACCCTCCACCAAGCCGGTAGTCTTCAAATCCCGACCCTGATTACCTCACGGTCCGGCTTGCAACCCACCCTTCCTGAGCTCCCTCCAGGCTTCAGCCCACTCGTCGCTACCCTGCTGCCGCCCTGACGTTGCCAGCCACTCCTTGGGCTGACTACCCCAACCCATGGCCCCTCACCCCAACCCTTGAGGATAGAACAGGTGCAGCCCCTCTACCTTGCTGGCCCCAGACCCCTTCCCCAGTGGCCTCCACACCTGGGGGCTAGGGCCTGTGAGGGCCAGAGCTGGGGCTGGGATAAGACCTCGAGACAAGCCCCAGAATTCTGCCACCACCCCTGGAGGAGTCCGGGGGCCTCTGAGGACATGAAGGACACCAGCCAGCAATCAAGGAGTCACACACGCGAGCAGACCCAGGACCCACGGACTTCGGCAAGTGACAGCATGTAACAGCACCCAGCCCTGCCAACACAGGGCCTGGTTCAAGGCCCAGTGGTGCCCATTTGAAGCAGAAGCTTTGGACTTGACCCGGGAGGCCATTCTACTCTGTCACACTATGCTCAGGTCCCACCAGCCCCCACCTCCCACCTGTGCACTGAGGCATCCTGCCCAGGAATAGCTGGTCTTTTTCTGAGAATCCTGTTGAATGGCAAACCTAAACATACTCCCCCCCGGCACCTGTACAATGTCTGTGCCGCCTTTGAGACTCGCTATAATACACAGGTCATGCAAACAAGCACACAGAAGCGACATTTCCGTAACTCTGTTATGCCCCAGGCAGCAACATTTACAATTAGTGAGCCCTGAGCCCCTCAAAGCTCTCTTACTTTCCTATGTCCTCCCAGTCTCAGGTGGGTGACGGAGGGGCCAGAGGTCACTACTCCAATTTACAGGTAGGCTGTGATGACCCTGGGTCCTGGGGCTTGGGTCTCAAGGCTTGCCACTGGTATCTCAGCTCCTGGCCCACAGTGAACCTGATGGAACATGCTAGAAGGTTGGAGATACCTGCCCAAGCAAAAAACATTTCAGCAGATGACGACACAACACTGATGAAGGGGCCTGCTGTGCCCTCCTTTAGCTGCCAACTGTCCCCGGGAACCCCAGAGAAAGTCTCAGGCGTCCTCCATGGTCCACCCAGGCCAAGTGAGCGTGAGCTTCCAGTCAGGGCACTGGCTTTGTAAATACTCCAAGTTCCTGCAAGCAACAGAGGCTGAAAGCTGTTACTGCTGTAACTGACCTGTGCAAATATAACTGGCCAGGGCCCTTATGTTCACTGGTGACTACAACTAAGGCCAAGGCTGAATGACAGCAAAAAACCTCAGCTCCAAAGCAGGAATGTAAACTTCTGCGACAACACAACGCCTTCTCCTAATTATCTTTTAAGGCCCAGGCAAAGGGCTTCTCCTCCAAGCAGCCTTCCCTGATGCTCCAAGCTAGAAATCATCTCTCCCACCCTGAACCCCCACCTTCCCTGACTCCCACCCCACTGCCCTCACTACTTTCCACCTTGGACTACACATCATTTGTGCCCCACCTGCCTTCTGTACTACGTGGACACCAGAGTGGGGAAGGTTCACACTTGATTCACCATAGCAGCTGCCAAATACCGACAAAGACCAGAACTTGGCTGGAGCCTGGTAGCTGTTTATCAAGAAACAAATCCCCACCGGCCACTTACTATTCACTCTCAGACAGGCCCTGGGTGGGCCCCTCAGTGGATTCTCTTTGAAACCTCACAACACCTGCTGTAAGGAAGGTAACCTCATAATCCCACATGACAAAGAAACCAAGGCAGACACTGGGCGATACGCCCCAGGCCACCCAGCTGTTAAGTGGCAGCGCCAGACCTGAACTCAGGGCCAGTTGCTGACTCACCTGGGTTATGAGCATATAACTAACAGCACGGTGAGTCAAGGGAGGTAACAAATGCTCAACACCTTCACACAATCCCAGGTCACGTCACTGCAAATCAGGGACCATATGTGGCGGCCTTTACTCCTCCCTGTGGTTTTGTTGTCTTCCTTACGGTTGGTCTCAATGTTAGTGTGATTCTTTAATACAGAGAATAAAGTCTGCACTGGCCAACCAGCTGTGTGCTTCCAAACAGTGTACAGGCAGCTCCTTGAGCTGGCTGAGGACGGGGTGGTCACTCACAGGCCGCCATGCCCTGAACGACTTTCCCCTCCTGCCTCCCAGCTCAGCCTCAGATGCCTTGAAACAGGCCTGGGGGTACTCACCGTGTGGCCCTGCACAGCAGCACCCCTCATTGGACTACGTGTGAGCGGGACACCACCACCTCCGTTTTCAGTCTTCCCCTCTCCTACTCCCCACCCAGGGCCCACCAGGGCCTTAACTGATGAGTTGCAAAGGTAGACCTGGGGGTGGCTCCCAGGGTTCAAATTCCAGCACCTTCCAGAGGTTCAGCATCCTCACCTCTCAAAAGAGAGATGAGGGTATCCACCCAACAGGGCAGTCATGAAGACAAGAGCAGAGGTCCCTGCCAGGGCCCAGACAACCTTCTGAAGATGCTTTACGAATTAGCTCCGTTAAATCTTACACTGATCCCATGATAACATTCCTCCCACTCTCGCAGGCATGGAAACAGAAGAGGCAAGCACACCAAGTTTCAGCCACAGACCAGCACAAAATACACTCAACAAAGAACAGAGAGGTGCTCAGGGGTATACACTGGATTGGACAGTGGGGCGGGGGTAGGGGTGGGATGCTGGCCTTTCCCTGGAGAGCAGGCAGGACCCATACGTAGAAGTGACAAGCAAGGTGACCAAAGCTAAGGACCCACAGGTCTAAGGAGC
This sequence comes from Homo sapiens, assembly GCF_000001405.40. Taxonomy (NCBI): domain Eukaryota; kingdom Metazoa; phylum Chordata; class Mammalia; order Primates; family Hominidae; genus Homo; species Homo sapiens. Next base: position 10,110,204 of record NC_000004.12, read on the forward strand.
AGGCACATCGCCAGGGCAGGGAGTGCCTGCCCATCACTGAGACGGCGAAGAGACGCACACAGGGCCCTTTCCTGTGTCCACAGCTGTCCCTAACAAGGGCCTTGCAGAAGGTGGAGGTCACTCTCCAAAGAAGCATCTCCAACTACTCTTGGGCAAGGCCATCTCTCCAGTAGTCTTACGCATGAGGCTAAACCTCTTCTCTTACCTCAAAGATGGCTTCAGTATCCCTCCCGTTACCTCCAACAGGGCAAGAAATGTACCAAAAGCAACACACAGGAGGCCACAGTGGGGCTGAGAGGACCCAGGTACACATGCTGTTTCCTGCCTGGTTTCTCCCCACCTCTGCCGTGTGTCTCAACGCTCCTCCTGGAGAACTCTTATTCATCCTTCAAGACCCAACTCAAATGTGGCACTTCTCCAGCAGCTGTCCCCGCTCTGTGGCACAGCTGGCTCCTCCCTCACATTCCCAGAGCACCCAGGGCATTGTTCTTTTGAAGCACTTAACCTGGTGCCTTCGAAGGTTCTTTACCAGAGTTTTCAACCTTGGTACCCCTGGCATTTGGGGCTGGACAGTTCTTTGTGGAAGGACGGCCATGTACCTTGTCGGATGTTTGGCCACAACCCTGACTTCAGATACCAGTGGCACAAAAATGTCTGCAAACGTTGCCAGATATCCCTCAGGGGAATGAGGTGGGGGAAATTACCCCTCCCTGAAAATCACTGATTTTAATCCTGGTCCTCTGTGGCTTAGGGTATGGCTTGCCAAGACAGGGGCTTAGTGAACATGTGTGGGAAACGTGAGAGCCAGAGATGGCTGCACCACGCAACGGAACCTGCGCTGACGCCGCCTTCATCTTTGAGCAGCTTCCTAATTGGCTTCCCTGCCTCAGATCTCAGATACAGAACTTCTCCTTACCGTAGGCTGGATCTGATTACTTGTCTGTGAGACCTCTGAATGGCTCCAGTGGCCTTCAGAGCAGGGCTGCGCTATGGTAGGGCTGTGTGAGCCACCTGCCACCACTGCACACCAGCACTTCTCAGCCTGGGTCCTGTCCACTCCCCTCACGCTCAGTGCCACAGTAACAGCCCATAAGCACCCGGCCCTTCGGTCCTCCCAGATGTGGTCCCATCTGCAGAAGCCCAGCGTCCTGACTGGCACCTGCAGCCACTCAGATTCTCCTGAGATGAAGGCCCCCCACCACCCTCTGCTTCCCCTGCCATCAGGTGGTCAGACTGAAGGCCTAGAGGTTCCTGGCTCTGCACCTGGCAGGCGCTGCTGCCAGCTCGTTTGCACCCAGGTGATAATCCAACGCACCACTTCCTTCTGCCACCTAGAGTTTATTTCACTCCCACCCAGGACAGTGAGCTCCATGTGGGCAGGGCCTCCATCCTGCACCCCCACAGGCCAATGGCCATCTGGATACACGCAGGTAGTCAGCAGGCGTCCAATTCCGGAGAAGCAGCTAGGTCAGTCCTCAAGCCCTCTGTCATGCCACCATTACCCCCAACCCGCAGGAAACACAGGTGAGTCCTCTGCATGTGAATGGTGGCAGCTCACACCAAGGGAAACCAAGAGTGAGCCCAATACCCTCCCCAACCCCCCACTTGGTCTGCCCCCTGTTCAAGGAGAAAAGTCCACTGATACTGCGCCTGGGTTCCCAGCAGTGTCAAATTGCTATAAACCTTGCACTCCCGGAAACTCAATTTTATAGACATCATTTTTCCAAATGTGTATTTTAGTTCTGGAATCTAGGAACTGGATACTTTAAAAACCAGGCCCCAAACTTGCCTGCATAGCAAATCTGCTGGCTGCCTGGCAGCACACAAGAGGGCCTCTGTTGTGAGGCAAAAGTTGCTTTTTTTTTTTCTTTTTCTAAACAGGGACTACTGGCACTACTGGCATTTTAGGCTGGGTAATTTTTATTGTAGGATGGTCCCGTGCCCTGTTTAGAATCACAAACAGGTTCGTTCACAGCCATTGGGGGTGACCCTTCCCAGTCTTTGCACAGAGGTCATAAGAGGCAGAGGTGATGCAGGCAGGGTAAGGAAACTTAGAAGGAACCACCCCAGACCTAAGGAGGTACCAGCACCTGCAGGAAGCCTTCCTTAGACCCCCGAAGCACAGACTATCCATCCCTTCTCCGTGGGGAACTAATGTCTCTCAAACACAGTGTACATATGGTTCACTGGAATCCCCTTCTTGGAGCTCTCTCCTTCTGGAATATTAGTTTCTACATGGCCACCATTATAGTCTTTCACTCTACAGAGGAGAGTTGCCTCTCCAGGTGAGGCAACGAGATGTGTTGAAATAAACAGGTAAGAAACACCCTTTTTCTACAAGTTTAAGAAGTGCCATTATGCTGGGTTCACAAAACAGCTTTTAAGTCAACAAAATAAATGACAGAGGGGGCTCCAAGTGCAAAGCTGGCAACGGTGCTCGCCTCTTAGGTATGAAAGGCGATTCCACAAAATTTAGGTCCGGCAATCTACACTGAGCTGAGCTTTCCTTGTTCTCATGCAGTAAGACCTCAGTGGCTGCCTATTATCTTCACGACACAGCCTGGTTTTCCAGGCTTTTTAATCAATGAGTAACTCACTGAGCACCTACTGTGTGCCAGACACTCTCTTAGGCGAGGACACGGCAGTGACTGAAAGAGAGGGGAAAGCCCTGCTGGCCTGGAGCTGATGCCCAGTTAGGGGGACAGGCAGATACCTATGTACACTTGTAGGCAGCCGTAGCCTGCTGCTTGTTAGCTTGCTTCCTACTTATTGTCAGCAATGAGAAAGACAGAAGGCCGGGGATGGAAAATTCTATTCCGGGGACACCCCTCTACTAAGGTGACTACATCTAAGTATAAACCAAAGGGAAAGGCCTAGTGTGGTGGCTCACGCCTGTATCCCAGGACTTTGGGAGGCCAAGGCGAGCGAGCAGATCACTTGAGGTTGGGAGTTCAAGATCAGCCTGGCCAACACGGCGAAACCCCGTTACCTACTAAAAAATACAAAAATTAGCCAGGTGAATTGGCACGTACCTGTAGTCCCCACTACTCGGGAGGCTGAGGCAGGAGATTTGCCTGAACCCGGCAGGTGGAGGTTGCAGTGACCCAAGATCACGCCACCGCACTCCAGCTTGGGCGACAGTAAGCCTCCACCTCAAATTAAAAAAGAAAAACCAAAGAGAAGACAGGGAGCAAGACTTGCAGCTATCTGAGAAAATGTCCAGGCAAAGGCAATAACTAGCAGGTACCAAGACAGATGTGTGGCATGTTCAAGAAGCAGCAAGGAGGCAAGAACGCTGGAGCCGAGGCCACGGTAAGGACTCTGGCTTTCACCGAGGTGGGAAGCCACTAGAGGCCTGTCTTGTGTTTCAGCCACTCCAGCGAGTGTTGTGAACAGACCCCCAGGGCAACAAGGGTGAAAGCAAGGAGACCTGTTTGGTTTTCGGGAGTCTGGGGGCAATAAGTCAGGTGGGGGAAGATAGCTTAGTCGTGGGTGGAGGCAGAGGAAGCCAGGGAAATCTGTTAGATTCTGAAGATACTTTGAATGTGGAGTCAGAAGGATTTACTAAAATTAAAATGTGGCGCAGTAGCGAAGCAGAGAGTGAAACAGGAGTCCAAGGTTTGGGGCCTGAACAGCTGGAGGAACGGTGTTCCCTTTTAGGGGAAGAGCACGTGGGAAACACAAATTTGGCTTGGAGTATGTATGTTGAGTCTGAGATGTCAATGAGACATGTTAGATCTTCCATGATCTGGTCCTCCATTTCTTCCCTCTTCCCTCCCTGAGCCTGCATTCCAAACAGACCATCATCCTTCCTGAACGGTCATGCCAATTCATGTCACTTTTTTTTCCAAGAGTACTTTGCCCTAAAAAAAATCGTACCCACCTTTACTTGAGTACCCAGTCCACCCATCCAACTAACAAGAGACTCAGTGCCTGATCTACATCCAGCCCAGGGAGGGCTATATTAGTAGCATCTCGTGCTGACCTGGCATTGCAGAAACTTAAAAATAATTGAGAAGGGAAACAGGGTAACCCCTGAGAAGAAAATGGCAAACCACGGGGAAGGGGTAAGAATACAGAGCTCAGAAACAGGCAGAATGGGTTTCACAAGCTGGGAAATGCTTTCTGCAAAGGGGTGCCTGTCCCTGAATGACCACTCCATTAGAAGCAGCTCCAGTTACTGGCCTGCCTCACCTTGCTAAGTCTGACTCCTCTTTAGAGTAACGGACCCATGTGGGGTGGAAAGAGATGCTACAGTTTAAGAAGCTATCACAGGGCCAGATGCACAGCAGGTACTTTATGTGAGGCCCCCTCCCTGGAAGTCAATGTGGACTGCAACGACAGGGAAGGCCTGGTTAGGGGCAAAACGAAATATCCTACTGCTCTGTATCCGAGGACGTGTTAGTGGATTTTATTTGCCAAACTACTAAATATCTCTTTAGGGTTGTCTCAATTTTTATTTTCTCAAAAGCCTCAGGACCTGCCTTCGGAGACTTCCAGATCATTACCATTAGATCCCTGGTGATTTTCTCCAGTTCTAAGCAAGGCCCTTCGGCTTTCTAGGAATCTGTGTGACTAGCAAGTTGTTAGCACCTTCAAAGCACATTCACACCCGCCCACCCCCTCATTTGAGGGGCCCAGCAATCCAGGGCAGGTAGAGCTCTGTCTTCCAGCAGAGGAACAGCAGCGACTGCCTGGGTTAACGAGACAGATGCGGGCAGAGCCAGCAGCTCTTCGGACCAAGAGGCTTCTCCTTTCACAGAGAAGGAAACTGAGACCCAGAGACCCCTTCATTCCCTCAGCCAGTTGCTGGCCTCCTGGAGGGCAAGTGTGTCCGATCAACAGTCCCAACCTACCAAGGGAAATCAGGCTGACTTTAAGTTGACAACCCTTGTATGCCTATGGCATCAATCAAAACATACATCTTTGTGCCAGCCGCCCCCACTAAGCACAGCACAGGAGAAATCACCCAATGGCCGGGCCGGCACCTCCAACTCCCACCCCACCAATTCCATCACTCAGGCTGAGGAAGGGAAAAGCAAAATTTAAGCGTGTAACCCAGGAAGGGAGGGAGACTGACAGACTGGGTCACCCCAACAATTACAGAGGAATAACATGAATTTGCAAGGATTTCCCAAGGAGCTGGCTCTAGAAGCCTTTTCAGCCTGGGTACCGGAGGCTTGCAGAGAATGATTCATGGGAAAACACTGCTTCCTGTTTTTGCTTTGGGGCTTAGATCCATGGTGGCAGATCTGGCTGGCCCAGAGGCCCGGGTGTTTTTCCGGGCTCTGCCATACTGGAAGACCAGGGTATTAACAGCGAGTTAGCTGAGTGCCATTCCATTCAGCAAGGGCTCAAAGTGCACCAGGCACCGCTGGGCTTGAGGGACGCCAGCAGCTCATTCATTCCATCTGCCCAGCCAGCAGGCGAAGCGAGAGTGGTCATCATCTCATCATCTGTTTTACAGACGAGAAAACTGGGGCTCAGAGATGCCCAAATCGCCAATCTTCTCAAGGTCACGCAGCGGCCGACCGGGTCAGTCTGATCCCTCAAATCCGGAGCCCTTGCTTTTAAGGAATGAACTAATCTAATCTCCCATCCACGTACTAACCAGGCCTGACCGTGCTTAGCTTCCAAGATCAGAGGCGATCCGGCGCTTTCAGGGTGCTATGACCGTAGACAGAAACGAACTAAGACTCAGTTTCCTCATCAAGAAGGAGCAGACAAGGACCTGGGTGAATCTGAGGCCGGCTTCCGGGGCTCCGAGGTGTGGCTCCCGGTAGAGGGGGCGTGGCGCCCTCACCCTCCCCGGGCCAATGGGCAGGAGGTGAGAAGTGGAGAGGAAGGCGAATTATCCCATCCCAAGGTGGCTCCGGAGCAGAACCGCGCCCGGGGTAGGGGGTACTCACGTCGATGTTCCTTAGGATGACGCACTTTCCATTGGTGTACAGAAAATTGTTGCCCTTAGGGTCGCCGCCGATGATCTTGGAGACGCCCCTCTCCACCTGCGGGAGGCTGGCGAACACCTTCTCTGCGGAGACACAAATGCGGCGGGGCATGTCAGGGCAGGGCGGGGACGGCGGGGACAGAAGGGAGAAGGAGCCCCGGACCGGTCTCGGCCGGTCACCTGTTGACTGCGCCGGGAGGGCGGCCTCCACTTTCCACGAGCGCCAGGAACCGCGCGACTTCCTGGTCCGCGCCCCGGGCCAGGCCCTTGGGGGCAGCGGGGCTCCTCCGGCTCGGCCCACGGCGCCAACTTGGGGGCGCACCCCCCGTCGGGGGTCCCGCCCTGCACCACCGAGGGCGGCCCCGCCACGCCTCCGGCCGGCGCCCGCACCCCTCCCCCGCGCCGAGGACTCCCCCGCCACCCGCACGGCGCCTAGGGGCCGGGGACCGGGGCCGGGGCAGCGCGGCGGCCGCTCGGGGGCCCCGCGCCGCGGCACTTACTGATCTCGTACGGCATCCTCGCCCACTTGTTACCGCGCCGCGCTCGCCGAGAGCCTCCGGGGCCGGCCCGCGCTGCGAATTACACCTCGCCGAGGCCGAGCCCGGGGACTGGAGCCGGAAGGCGGCACCGGGCGTGCCGGGAGTGGAGTGGGCGGTCCGAGGCCGGGGCTCAGAGGCCAGCTCGCGCCTGCCCTGCGCGCTGTGGTTGCGGACGCCCCGAACCCGGAAGCGCGGTCCCGCGCGCGGCTCGCCCCCAGCTTTGACCATATATAGTCAAGCGCTCGGCTCGGCGGCTGCGGTCCCGGCGAGCCTGCGCGGACCTGGCGCTCCCCTCCCCCGCCGGCCCCGGCCCCGCCTCCGCCTTGCTCGCCCCGCCCCGGAAGTGACGTATAGCACGCCCCGCGGGCCCTTGAAAAGGCGGCGCAGACAAGCAGCCGCGTCAGAATGCTTCTGGGAGTCGGGGGGTGGGTGCCTTTCTGTTGCTAGCTTGTAGGAGAAGCTGGGCTGTAGGAAGTTTATTTGCGGGGGGGTCTTAAAGACGCTGAAAGTACTGGCGGGCTTTGGTGGGGGTCTGGAAAAACCTCTCTGTACCTGTGACCGCGTTGCGTGGCGGGCGCTCCCCGGCCTCTCCTTTTTGACCGGTCCCGGGCGTTGCCCAGCCGCCAGTCCTCCTGCTCGGGTTTTGTAAGCAGGAGAGGGATGCTTTTTACGTCTTCTTAAAGTACGGTTAAGTGCCCTTGCTTGAAGTAGTTGCTGGCAACAAGAACGTAGGGGTTACTCTTTGTTGGGCCTGAACTCGTGCTTTTTCTCTCAAAAGTTGAGCTTTTGAAAGGCAAAAAAGGCGTGGGGGATGGGGGAGCTGTCGGTCTTAAGGAAGTTAAAGGTTATTTCCTAAACAAAACAAGTCTCACTCCTAAAACCAGGGTAGTGGCTCAGTTGTGGCGGGAGAGCAGGGGCTGTAAAGTGTCCAAGTTTCTAGTCTCATCTTTCAGTAGGATGGGTACAAGCTTTCCCCTTGGGGCTCTGGGGGCTGGGAGGGTTGTAAAAGTGGGAGAAAGCAAAGTATTTGGCGGGGTGCGGGCGGGTAGCTGAATGTTGTTGTAAGTGGAAGAGGAATGCTGTTGGCGTCTTTCTCTAAGCACGGTTAAGTGCTTTTTCTTGAAGTAGTTACTGGCAACAAGAACGTAAGGGTTACTCTTTGTTAGGCCTGAACTCGTGCTTTTTCTCAAAAGTTTAGCTTTTGAAAGGCAAAAGTGGGGGTGGGGGCGCTGCTGCTTTTAAGGAAGTTAAAGGTTATTTCCTAAGAAAGCAAAACAAGCCCCACTTGTAAAACCCGGGTAGTGGCTCAGCTGGAGAGCAGGCGCTGTGAAGTGTACAAGTTTCTAGTCTCATCTTTCAGTAGAATGGGTACAAGCTTTCCCTCGGGGCTCTGGGGGTGGGAGGGTTGTAAAAGTGGGAGAAAGCAAAGTACGTGGGTGGGGGGTAGCTAAATGTTGTTGTAAGCGGGAGATGGATGCTTTTGGCGTCTTTAAGCACGGTTAACTGCCCTTGAAGTAGTTGCTGGCAACAACGTAGGGGTTACTCTGCTGGGCCTGAACTTGTGCTGTTTCTCTCTCTCAAAAGTTAAGGTTTTTAAAAGGCAAAGGCGTGGGGAGAGGGGTAGGGGAGCTGCTACTTCTAAGGACGTTAAGGGTTACTTCAGAGCAAAACAAGCCCCACTTCTAAAACCAGGGCAGTGGCTCAATTGTGGAAGGGAGAGCAGGGAATGTGAAGTGTCCAAGCTTCTAGTCTCGTCTTTCAGTAGCGTGGGTACAAGTTTTCCATTGGGGCTCTGGGGGCTAGGAGGGTGGTAAAAGTGGGAGAAACCAAAGTACTTGCGGGTAGCTAAAAACTCTGAAACCCACGCTGTGAGCGGTTCCTGCTTCTCTGAAAGGTCTGTTCTGCTTAAGGTTGTATCAAGGTTAGTCTCTTGCTACCTACTTCTGTAGAGCAGTCTCTCGTGGCTCACCTGGGTTAGTGGCCATGTTGCCTGTCTCCTATTCTTCCTAACCTTGTGTGTTCTCCAGGTAGCTGAGTGATCCATCCGAAGTAAAATATTCCTCAGCTTGTCTGTAGGGGCTCCAAGTTTCATGAAGTAAAAGCTAGTCTTGAAAACGGCCCATTAGGGTCCTGGATGACAGTCTCCGGGTCACTTAGACTCCGTTGTCCGCCTCCCCTCATCTGTATCATCTTTGCCTTGGGTACTGGCTTCGGAGGGTGTTTTCCTGAAACTCTTACCTGAGATCTACTTGGCTGACTCCTGTGTCCTTCAGAAGTACTTAATTGCTCAAATGTTAGTTGATGAGTGTCACCGGTCTCATTTTAAATTGCAACTTCAACCCCTTGCAAACACTGCTTCTCATTCCCGCGTTCCCTAACTTTAACTCTCAGGAATAACCCTGACACCTGGAAGATGCTCCTAGGGATGACCCCACTCCCCACCCACAACTGTTAATCAGGAAATAACGGATATGAAAGTAGCTCTGCGAACTGAGGAGCCGTGGAGAATGTACAAAACAGATTCCTAAAGTAAGATACGCAGGCCCGGCTTGTAGGCCGCTGCATCTGCTTTGATAACTTAGAACTCATCAAATCACCTTGAGACCCTTAAAACAAATGGTATAATTGCATTCACAGGTAGTGCATTCGTGTAACAAGATTAAGAAAACGAAGGACCAACTTCAAGCTCTTGCAAGCTGGTAACCTTTACACTCGTGCATAAAGCCTTGCTGGAGTTGACACTGAAAACTAAACAGTCGAACTTGAGTAAAACATATCCAAACTCCCAGCTGCTGGGCTCTACAGCTTATTTTTAGCTTGAAAGTTACATGTTGGAGCTGCAGAGGCTTTATGGTGGTGGTGGGGGAGCTGTTTGTTCGTAGTCACTTGAGTCTATATGAACGTGGCAGGAAATCTGAAGGATGTGAAAGGAAAATGGGAAACACCAGGGTGTTCCAGGATTTTCCCTGTGGGGCGCGAGCTCAGTTTGGTGTTGTCAGCTGTGGGAGCTTTAACACTTGAACCGTCTTTACTGTGGGTCTAGCCTATTCGTTGGGCTCCCCTAGTCACCACTCATGCCTTCGTGTATCCTGTTGTGTTGGGCCCCCACTGAATTAAATAGGGATGGCACCATGTTCGAGAAGCCGAGGCGACCCAGAGCCAATGAACACATATGGTGTATGGAGGGGACTTGAATACAGAGTGGTCCAGAGCAGCCAGCTGGGACAGAACTGCGCTTCAAAAAGCAGTTGATACAGATCAGGTACACCTACACTCCCAAGGTGTGGCTAAGCCGCTATCAGGTGTCAAGCGTGTAAGGGTCACTGCCAGGATATACTTGAGTTGCTTTCAGCTGTCATAACTCTCTAATAGGATGGGGATCCTGAGGTCTGCATACACCAGTGGTTCACATCTCTGAGGACCCAGCTACTTCTCTGGCCCTTTCTGGAACCTGTCTACTTGGAGCTCCGTAGGAAGGGTCTGAAAGGCCCCTTACTCGCACTGAACGACAGCCAGAATAAGACTAATTTGCCTTCCCCTTCCCTGCTGATTTCTCTGGGGTGCTGCTTCCGATAGTGACCAGCGTCCTTGCATCTCCAGCTGCACTGACCAGAAATCTCACCCCCCACTTAGGTTAAAGCCTTCACTAAATCTAGTTGCTTAGAACCTCTGTATCAAATCTTTCTGTAGCCACAGCCCTGCTTTGGTGCTCTTTAACCTGGGTTATTCTAATTTCTTCCTGACCAGTTAATCTGTATCTGCTTGGAGCCCCTTACTGCAGCCAGAGAAACTTTAAAAGCTTGTTGAGCCTTGGGTAGCCTAGGTTTCTATCTTGAGACCGAACATCCTCCCTGGGCTTCTGAGACACTGGCATGCTGAGGCTCTGCCTGGCTCAAGGAGCAAGTCTCCTGGGTCATTCTGTTCTGGCACCTGTCTCTGGGTCTTCACTGATGCCTCAGTTTAAGGCCAATCCACCCTCAAGCTATACTCCCATTTTGTTGCACACTGGTTTGCTTATGACTATGGGGTTCATCAGCGTCTCGACTCTCCCCTTTTTAGGGATTGAGAGCAGGGACCTTGTTGCTCGAGCACTTGTTGCAGGGGCCCACCCAGACAATTGGAAACAGAACGCAGGTGTGCCAGATCTATGAACACCTGCGTGCTTTTCAGACAGTGGCAATTCTTCCTTTTGCTGTGTGAGCGAGCAACATAAGTATCACCTGAACTTAATTCTAAAGTGGCAACAATGTGTTCTTGAAACTTCTAAGCAGCAGCAGCTTAGGATACTTAACTCTTCGACTACCTTTGGGGTAAACTAGCTCCAATTGGGTAACTTGGGCAAACCGCTAACTGGCGTCAGGTGCTAAATGAGCTGTTTAACAGCTTTCCACTCAGGGGAAAACAAGTTTGGAGTGGGTTCTGAACGCTTTATGTAACGCAAACAGTGGGGGCGTGTGGATTCCTGGAATGCACCTTGTCCTCTGAGCACGCTCTGAGTCCTGGCTTCTAGAGCCACAAACTGCAAATACGTCAGATGTGTGAGGCCTATACTGGAAGCTTTGGGGAGGAACAAAGCCACAGGAGAGCTGAATTTCTCTCCAAAGCCTGTCAAGCTGCTTCCTCACTTTCAACCCTCATGGGTTCTGTCCAGGCTCAGGAAAAGGGGGCTTTCTCTTTCCTGTTGCTTCAACTGTATCAACCCCCTAGGAAGAGCCCTATGCAAGGGTAGCGCTGCTCCCGTCTAGCTCACCCTGTGGACTGAACCCCCGCCCTTTCCACAAAGGACTGTTGGGTATAGTGGGGGAAGCCTTTCTGCTCCAGGAATTTCAGTCCCTTTTGCAGGCCTGTCCCTGTCTCATAAATAAGCTCAAGTCATATTCAAAGTTTCATCTCCGGAGTGTCCCTGGAGTAAATCACCTTTATCTACTACCTCAAGCCAGTCTCGCTGCCTCCACCTCCCCATCTGCACAGGGAGTTGGAGTGATTGCCAGTGAGTCCTCTAGAGGGTCTGACACATGGTGGGAAGTGGCTGCCCACAGCCTGAGTTAATGTGTAACGCTTTTAGCTTCGCTGTCAGGCTTTCAGATCTTTAATTCTCAAATCTCACTGGTTGGATCGAGTCCATAGTCCGTTACTAGCTGTGACTAGGGAGGGTGGTGAAATGCATGGCAAAAGCAGCTACTGGTATCCACCTTTTGACCTGGAAAAATCCGGGTTGTGGGGCCTGGGCTGTCCCTCCAAAGTGAACTGGAAACCGGGCTACCTTGCCAGAAGTGCTTGGATGCCTTTGTCAGAGGACTGGTAACAAAGCCTTTAACCTGCTAGCATAAACCTTATGCAAAAGGGGTTAGCCCGGTTAATTCTGCCAAGGCAAGAAATGAGTTATCTGCAACCCTCCAGTGAACTCGTTTACTGAATCCCTTCTTGGGGGGCCCTATGTGTTGTAAATACCTTTCTTTCCAGTTGAGCAGCCCATTGGAAAGTGGGTTTTGCAAATAAGCAAATAACTAACACCTGCATGCTGCAGCAGCTTTAAATCCCTGCAAGTCATGGAAGCTTGGGCATAACTTTTCAGTTTGAGGTTACTGAAGGATGTACTTCTAAACAGCTAATCAACGGCATAACTTTAGTAACACAGTACAAGGAATATATCCTACTTGGGTTGTCTACCCTTGTTTCTTAACCATAGCTTCAGGCAACGAAAGCTATCTGATCATCAAGATCCCGGTGAAGGGGGTGGTAACTGGGTGGAGTTGAGCCTCCACACTGGAGGACCTAAGGCCGTGTCTTGCACTGCTTCGAAGCTCCTGTAGCTGCAAAAGAACTCTGGGGACAGTTAAACAATTCCCCTGTCCCATTCTTCTTAAACTCCCATAAGTGATAGAACACAGTCGCTTCTGTCTACCTGCTGCCTGAGACTTGGTGTGTTGCTGTGAGGCCTGGTGACAGCCCCGGCCTGTCCTTTCCCGGGACCCTTCCTGGAACGTTTACTTACCCTCATACTTGCAAGCACTTCGTGTGAGCTAGATGCTGGGTTTGTGGGCCCTTGCCCTTCATCTTACATCAGGGAAGGGAACTTGGGTTGGAACTTTGCCGAGTTGAAAAGCAAGTGATGCAACCAGGAGTTAAACAGGTTGGGTCTACAGAGTCTAAACTGTCCTTTACACGTGAAAGGGCTGAAATGGATAGATCAGATATGGAAGTTTTAATTGTGCCCCTAAATAACCAACTTTTCCAGTGAAGGTAGAATCTTAGCATGCTCTCACCCAAGTTCAAGGATAGCGTCAGTCGCTCTCCAGTTGAAAGCTTTGTCTTTGGGTAACTACTTACCGTCCTAGGGTTTCTGCCTTTTCCTTCTGACTCAGTCCACAGTGCCTGGGTCTTTGCTGGCCTCCAGTTGTGTGGTCAGAGCTAACGTGTTTGGCTGTTGAGCACCGGTGTCTGGCTTGTTTTGTGCCCACAGTGCAGGGGCTTGGCTACGTGGTCACTGGGCATCCTGTGGTGCTGTGGGGGTCTGGTCTGAGGGCTGTGCCAGTGCCTGTTGCTGATATGGAGATTCCGGTCATGAGGCTGTTCGCTGCAGCGAGTCTCCTTGTACAGACCCTGTGGTGTGGCCTTCTTGCCCATTGGCCTGAGGGCTTGGGTCCTTCCTCTGCTCCATGAGCATAGAAACTCTAGATCTCAACACCCTGTGTTTGAGTGTTCAAGACTGTTAAACAGAACTGGATCCCAGCCCTCTTTTCCAGGAGTGCTGAGGATCTTTGAGCCCTGACACAGCCACAAATCCATCACAGCTCCTGCCAGCACCTCCCAATGCTGCCCCTGGTTCCTTGGCGGTGGCCTCCGGCCATTTCCAAACACTTCTGCTATTAGCTGCCTTTATAGTCGGCTTCCCTCAACACGTGGACCAAAGGGTCAGCTTTTCTGCCAAACAGGATGGACATAGATTGTTAGTGGAGGAGGGCTCTTGTATTTGTTGCCATGGAGACAGTGACCAGCTGGATGCCCTGCCTCTCCGTTCGCATGCCTCCCTGTGGGGGAGGGGGGGAATCGCACTGCGGATGGGCCTAGGGAACTTGGACATGTGTCATTCAGCCCTTTGCTCCTTTGACTCAGGCTCTGCCTGCCTGTGGTAAACAGGTGCTCTGATCTGCTCCCTCCAAGTGGGTGGTGTTTCTGGGTAGACATTGCCCATCCCAGCAGTGGGGATCTGGTAGTTGAGATCTGCATGTGGCTGGGAAGCTGTACTGCTCTGCTAGGGCTGGCATAACAAACTGCTATGAACTTGGTGGTTTCAACGGAAATTCTTTTCTGGAAGCCAGGAAATCTGAGATCAAGAGGTGGGGTGTGGTTGGCTCCTTGCCAGGCTGTGAAGACTGTTTCAGGCCTCTAGCTTCTGATGGTCTGCTGGCATCTCTGCTCCTTGGCCTGTGGGACCACCACCCCATCCCTGTTTTCATCCTTAATGTCTTCTCCCTGTGCCTGTTTCCGCTTCCCTGTTTAAAGGACACTGGTCCTATGGGAGTAGGGCCCACTTTGAGTTTTACTTCATCTTAATTGCAGCAGCAGGCCACCCTGTCTCTAAACAAGGTCACACACTGAGAAAATACTTCACTGTAGGGGCTGAGTTTCATCTATATTGAAGGTAGGGCTTGCCCTGTCATCCTCCCACCCGTAAAGCCCCAACCACCAGCCTCTCAGCGCCTTGGGGACAAGGCAGAGGCGGTTGAGTTGCGGTGACCCACCTTGTTGACAGTGGCAGTGGTCACACTGTAAAGTGTTGCCACCCATTCTGGGGCACCAGCCCTTGGGGAAACTGGACTTAAGGCACAACCTGGATCAAGAGGCTAGGTGCCTGCACTATATCTGCCTGGCAAAGGAATCACTGAGGAAGTGACTGAAAAGTGCTTCCCTATCTCTGACCCTGGTTTTGGCTTTCATCCTAAAATGCTCTAATGAAGCGGCCTAAAACACATGGCTGCCTTAGAAAACAACCACTGGAGCATTTGAGGAGTTGGCATCTCCCCCGCCTTTGGGGACCGTGGGACCAGTTTCTTAGCTCGGCTGCTGTGGCCATAAAAGTACTCCTGCTTCTAGGCATGACCCGGAGGATGGTGGTGGCCACAAAGCAACCAGGAGTGGGTGCTGTCTCAATGTCCCTGGCTTGGGCCCTAGGTCTAGACAAGGACCTCGGTCCACTTTGTTCCGGTCTGGGAGGGTTCCAGTCATTCCCGATGGCATTGCTGGGATTGGACAGGAAGTCCCTACCATACACAGGCAACTCAGGTTCATGTAGAAGGAGGCTCCTCAATAAGGGAAAACATCAAAGGGGGAAGTTTTAGATGAATGAGCTCAGACTCCGATGAAGCTGATAGACCGAGTAGCTCGACACATTCTGGAATATCTGGCAACTGGCATGGACTCCGTAAAAGGATTTTAATTTTTGTCTGCTTTTCGAGGTACATTTAGGCACAGCTGTTAAATTGGTAGTTATGTCCTATTGGGAAAGATGCTGCAGTTGTGGCCACAGTGGAGGCTTCTACACACGTGGGACACGGGGGACCCTGAGAGACTTGGCCCTGCTGCAGATTAAAGATGACCGAGGCAGTATAGTGTCGGCAGGTCAGCCACATACCTAGTGCTTGCCTGGCATACTGGATGTTAAATGATTTTCAATCTCATCTTAGGTAGTACGGGAAAGTGGTCTCTAATTTGTTCCCCATATGATTTGTAGGAATGGTCTTAAAATGCTGGGTGGTGAAATCAACGTTGTGTTCCTTGTAATATTTGAAACCTGGAAACTGCAAGTGCTCAGTCATAAGAGCTGGTGTCAGCCACTGGGTGTCTATTTGGTTCACAAAGCTTACTTCAGCCCTCCCAAATGTTCTCCCACTCCACATCAATACCCAGCTTCAAAAGGAGCCTCCAAGCAAAGTGTTTTTGGGTATCAACCTTGACCGTGGAGGAATTGTGAAGCCAACGTAGCAAGATACCTTGATCATGTGGACTATCACAACCTGTGGGATTGTGAACATCTAGAGTCATGTATGCACCTCACATGTCTACCGAACACCAAAGGGTCAGACACGAATGCAGTATTCTGGAGCTTGGTGCCTAGTCACTTATTTCCCCTCTGTAATACAAATTGTTGGTGCGTTATAAGGATAAAACGCAGGCTCTTAAGGCCTGGTCATATTAGAAGTGCTCGAATGTCATGTACATGTTAGGTGGCTGGAGGTACTATGGAAAATAGGAACATGTTATCTCTTCTGTGTGAAGGTCAGGGAGGCTCTTGTAGGACTCTAAAGTTGATATGTGAAGGATGTGAAGAGCATAGAGTAGTATGTGATATGCTTGGCAAAGGAATGGAGTCTCCCTGAATACCCGTGTGGAATGGAAGTAGGGCTGGGAAATTAGAGCCAGGGCGAGTGGCTGGGGCTGCTTCATGGAGGTTCCCCAATGACCTCATGATCAGATGCCATCAGGATGTGTCAAGCGTGATGTGGATCAGATTGACTTGTTGGGGTCACTACTCCCTGTGGAGGGTGGGGTTAAATGGACCAGCCTGGGACACTGGAGTTGGGCCATTGTGAGTGGTGGCCTACGGAGGATTGGAGGGTAGCAAGCCTGACATGTGCAGGCAGGGGACACACGCAGCATTGTCCTGGATGTCAGAGGAAAGGAGCCCAGGGATGATGAAGCTATGGTTTGGACAATACAGTGGGTGGTGGGTGATGCCAGTCACTTAAAAGTGAAGGCAAGCAGCAAGGGATCTGACTGCCTCCTTTGCATGCACTATTAGAATTGATCCTTCTATATCAGCAATCTCGTACTCCCAGAAGCCCTACCCCACTGTACGGTGAAACACCTGGGTGTGTAGCTGGTGGCTTCAGGTAATACTTAAGTTGTAACTTTCCCAAACCCTTTGCATGTTAAACAGTGATGCTCTCAACTTACATGCAAGTTGGATCATTGTTTTGAGAAAGCTTTGCGGTCAAGTCGTTCCTCAACAGATACATTGTATTTCAAGTTCCTCTGTTAGAATCACAAGTATTGAGAATGTGGGTTTATGGTCATCATGCTGTTAGCTTGCGGATATCAAGGTGATGGCATTATCAGGTGTACTACACTGGGATCTGTCATGCTAACGACTCAGCAGCTAGACCACTTCTACTTGAGTTGTCACAAGGTGGGCCCTGATTGTCTCCTTGGAACCATGTCCCGTGTCTCCTGCTTTTTCCCACTCAGCACAAACATCCTGGATTTAGGATGCACAACTAACTTATAGCTATCTTTAATTGCACAGGAATAAAAACTCCTGTGAGGTCCTCATCTTAATGTTGAGGCATTAGTCCCGAAGTTAGTTCCCACAGTGCTGTATCTGACTAGGTAGCAAACAGATTTCCTCTGGCTTGAGGATGAGTTCTAAGTTACGTGTTTTGTGTTAAAGGGAAATTGGCTGAACTAACAGGGCTAGGATAGTACACAAATTCTAGTGTTGGTAAATTAGGTCTAGGCTTAAGGTGGCGGGTATCTTGGCCATAAAGATACAAATTTCCATTCTATAACAAAATCACTAACATGATCAAAAATGGTTTGACAGGATACCAAATAGAACACTTGAGGGTAGCGACTCTTGATAATCAACTGCTGCTTGAAGTCACTTATGCACGCAGTCTTTGAGATTTGAAGGGGCGGGGTTGCCCCTCCACATCCGTGGGTGTTTCTCGTTAGGTGGAACGAGAGACTTGGGGGGAAAAAGAGAAAGTATAGAGAAATAAGGGGACCCAGGGAACCAGCGTTCAGCATATGGAGGATCCTGCCAGCCTGAGTTCCCTTAGTATTTATTGATCATTTTTGGGTGTTTCTCAGGGGGTTGTGGCAGGGTCATAGGATAATAGTGGAGAGAAGGTCAGCATATAAACACATGAACAAAAGTCTGCATCATAGACAAGGTAAAGAATTAAGTGCTGTGCTTTGGATATGCATACACATAAACATCTCAATGCCTTACAGAGCAGTATTGTTGCCCGCATGTCCGACCTCCAGCCCTAAGGCGGTTTTCCCCTATCAGTAGATGGAACATACAATCGGGTTTTATACCGAGACATTCCATTGCCCAGGGACGGGCAGGAGACAGATGCCTTCCTCTTGTCTCAACTGCAAAGAGGCATGCCTTCCTCTTATACTAATCCTCCTCAGCACAGACCCTTTATAGGTGTCGGGCTGGGGGACAGTCAGGTCTTTCCCTTCCCTCGAGGCCATATTTCAGACTCTCACAGGGGGAGAAACCTTGGACAATACCTGGCTTTCCTAGGCAGAGGTCCCTGCGTCCTTCCGCAGTGTTTGTGTACCTGGGTACTTGAGATTAGGGAGTGGTGATGACTCTTAACAAGCATGCTGCCTTCAAGCATCTGTTTAACAAAGCACATCTTGCACCGTCCTTAATCCATTTAACCCTGAGTTGACACAGCACATGTCTCAGAGCACGGGGTTGGGGGTAAGGTTATAGATTAACAGCATCTCAAGGCAGAAAAATGTCTTAGTACAGAACAAAATGGAGTCTCCTATGTCTACTTTCTACACAAAGTAACAATCTGATCTTTTTCCCCACAAAATTTAAGTAGACTTGGCCTTGTCATTCTGTCCTTTGGAGCTGATCTGGAACAAGCTTTTAATCTAGTCTTGCAGATGGAAAAGCTCTTTACCCAGATGCACACAGGGCATAAATGTGGGTGAGTCTTGGACCTATGAGTAAAAAGACACCAAGGTATCAATCGCTGTAGCTTTGCTCGACACCTGAGTCTACCTCACTTACAAAAACGGACAATTTGGCAGGACTGGCTTTTGAGACTCGGAGACAGATCAAGATGCTTTGCAAAGGGAATGTGTTCTCCAGTCGTGGGACAAAACGTGTCTATTAAATTCTTACTACGTCGTAGGTATTACAGTACCCAAATACCCAAGATGTCTCGGCTGAAAGGCCAAGGTGGACTTAAGACCGAGGAATACCATGTGCCCAAGTCCATGGTCACAACTATTCTGTGTAGAGAATCATGGCCTAGTGCAAGATCGACCTCATATCCCTGAGTTAAGGCACTGACTACTTGTGGGGAGATGAAAAGGTGGTAATCTTGAACCAACTTGAGAATGGGGGTAAGCTCAGATGCAAGTGTGTGCTTCCCCTACCCCTTATGACTTGGAAGGACTTAGCAGAAGTGGCATTTTGGAGCTCCATCTTACATTGAGTGAAGGGATGGAAAAAACCCTTCCCTGGTAGGGGAAGTATGCAGACCACAGGTGGAACAGATTACTGCTCTGCAGGTACAAGTGTGCAAGCCCAGTAATTGGGGTTCTCCAGAGGGAGAAAGATACACTATAGTTTTTTGTAAGACCTTGTGGTCATGTAAGTTAGTACTTAATAGGGTGTCTGCAAGCCGAGGAGCAAGGAGAGCCAGTCAGATAGCTCTGAAACCCTGGAGAAAACTGAAGAACTTGGAGTCCAGTGTTCGAGGGCAGGAAGCATCCAGCACAGCACAATGATATAGTCTGGGAGGCTAGGCCAGTCTCCTTTTCACGTTTTTCTGCCTGCTTTTTATATTAGCTGGCAGCTGATGAGTGTGCCCACCGGATGTGAAGGGTGGATGTTCCTTCCCCAGCCCACTGACTCATGTTCTTTGGGCAACATCCTCAGACACACCCAGGATCAATATTTTGTATCCTTCAATCAAGTTGACACTCAGTACCATCACACCCAGTGAGTCACAGTGCCGGGGGCTATCGGAGGGGACTTACTAGAGAGGGCTGGCCGTCAAAGCATACCCCACAGGGTTTGGTGGGGGGATGCAATTGGGGCCTTCAAGACTAGACAAGGTATTACAGCTCTTCCTGACCGTGTCCTTGGGAAGCCTTTGAGACCTCTTGGCAGGGAAAGTTCACCAGAGACTATTGCTTAAAGGTTTGGCTCATATGTCATTCAGTCCCACAGATGGGCAGAGAGCTTGGGGAATGCTTGTTCTCCTAGGACATCCAGCTGGCAGCTGTGCTATGTGGTCTATGCAGATGGAGCAGCAGGGATCAGGGGTCACTGCTAGTGAATTGCATCTGCAGGAAAACTAAGTCCTGAGTCCAAGAGGGGATGGCCTCTGTTCTGCTATGGTGACTGCCAAGCTCAAGTTGGCAGATAACAGGGACTTCTCTGGAGAATTGTAGGCATAACTTCTAGTGCTTCTCGGGCTAATTCTAAGTACTTCGGTTGAGTGACTCCGTGCTGGGCAGCCACTGTGATTCCAGTGTAGAGATGAGGAAACTGGCCAGTGTCAGACCAGTCCGGGTATTATAAGACTTGACACTGGCTGAGTGCTTCACTTCTGTAAAACCGTAGATCCTACGTGGAAAAGATGACTGAATTGCTGCATTTAAAACCACAAGTCCAAGAGTATTTAAGAACTTGAACCCTTAACTTCAGGAAGTCTTATTTTACTTAGATCTTCTCAGTTCGTTTATTGAATCATAGCTCTCTACTTCGTGTGAAGATCAAATCTCTGCCAAACTTGATAATCACAGTTCATTTTAGACAGCCTAGCTGTTTATGGCATTTTAGATGCTGACATTTCTCGGCACAACTGTGCTGGCTTTTGAGACTAGATTAAGCTGCTTTCTGATTGACCGACAGGACAAGCTGTTTCTGGATGTGTTTTGGAAATCTGGTGCCAGAGTCTGGATGGTGTGTACTCGGCCCTAGGAAAAGCTGCTCTGTTTCAGTTATGGGGAAATCATTCAGGGATGTTAGGGTGAACGGATAACTACTCACCTCTTCCATGGGGGTGGACTGTTCACCCACCCTTCTGGAGCGGGGGGAGCCATGTTGACCTTGGACTTTGCCCTCTTAATCCTCATGGTTCTCATCACTAGGAAGTAAAGGCTAGCCTGGGTAGTGAAGCCACAGTTCGTACCTGTCCTAGTTTCTGTCGTGGCGTTGGGTCTGCGTGGCTGCCCTGAAATGGTGCCCTGCAGTGTACTTCCTCACGTGCACTCACCTGAGTGGAGCTTCCTGTGCTTGTGTTGGAGGGCTGGTGCCTCATCTCCCTCCCCTTGAGGTCTTGATGGGGAGAACCTGGCTGAAATTTCCAGCTGGCAGAGGCGTCCTACTTGGCCACCACAGGCAGTTTTTATGATCTATCGCAGCAGGAGGCCAATATGTTGGGAGAAGGAAGCCTCCTGGGCTGGCTAGGGTAGTGTCTAAGTCTGTTTTAGCAGATGTGGGCTGCAAAACTCTTGTGGCTGAGTTGGCTGAAGGTGTCACCTGTTAAAGCCATGATGGGCTCTCCCCAACAGCTGGAGTACTAAACATTGCTCTGCTGGAGGCTGCTCGGGTCCAAGGCTGCAGCTGGACTCAAAGGGGTTCCTTAGGTGTTAAAGCAAACTTAGACTGGTCCAAATCTTCTGTCTCAGCAGACCTCAGAATTTCAGCCAAGAGCTGCTTCTCTGGGTTCTAAAGAGGCTTTAGTGGGAGGAGGCAGGGAAGCCAGGACCCACCCGGAGCCTGGTGCAGAGAAGGAGCCACACTGAGCAGTGTAGAGACCTGAGGAGCCATGCTGCCCTTAGGCTGCAGTTGTGTTTGGGAGGGGCAGTTTTAGACTTGATAAGAGGGCACGAGTGGGCACAGGAGCCCAGCGTGGCTGCAGGGTGACCTGGAAGAGGGCAGGGCACAGGTGGGCGCGGGAATGCAGTATGACTGCAGGGGTTGACCTCTCTCAGGGTGCCAGGAGTGCAGTGTGGCTGCAGGGTGACATCCAGGAGCGTGCTCAGGAGACTGACCCCAGTGACTGACGTGGACTCTCCCCAGTGACTGACGTGGACTCTCCCCAGTGACTGACGTGGACTCTCCCCAGTGACTGACGTGGACTCTCCCCAGTGACTGACGTGGACTCTCCCCAGTGACTGACGTGGACTCTCTCCAGTGACTGACGTGGACTCTCCCCAGTGACTGACGTGGACTCTCCCCAGTGACTGACGTGGACTCTCCCCAGTGACGGCATTTACCTAGAGAATCTGCTCCGATATAAGGCTGGCTAATTTCTGGATGGTGCACTCTGAGCAGGTTGAATCTGTAAACTTCACTCTTGAGCCTTGGCCTAGTGAATCTGGGACTTTTGGGTGTTCTCTCCTGTCCAGCACAGCACAGTGAGGGGAGCTGACTTGGTTGTCACAGGACCCTACTTGTCATCCTGAGCAGCCACTATTTGATTCCCTTCTATGTCTGAGTATACATAGACCCTGCCTGTCACTAAGACTCCACCACACAGGGATGCTGGGCTGCTGATCAGCTGGTTACAGGAATCAGTAGGCTTTTGGGGGGCAGTGGTTGTGGAATTAAAAGAACAGGGCTTTGCTGGGCCTTTCTCCATGTAATCCATACAGAGACGTTTGAGCCTCCAGAATGGGGTCTTGGGGGGCTCAATGAGACCAAGTCTGACCCTCACCCCCCATCCTGTGAGTCAGACCAGGAAGGACCTTTAGTGACAGACTCCAGTAGTTTATCCCATAAACATAGGGTCGCTGCTATTGGGAGAAATCCTTGAATGTCCTCAGTGTGAACAGCCTTCAGTAGTAAGCACTCATCCCGCGACATCCTAGGGGATGCAGACGGAGAAAAAAGGAACATGGGAGAATGTGGGATGGAGCTGCCTTGGGGGACAAACTCCAAAGGCCAGGACTGCAGGACCATCTGGAATGGTCCCATCCCTTCAGAGATGGTTATCCAGTGTGAAGATCCTTATGGAAAAGCTGTCTGCTCTCCTGTTCTGAGGGAAAACCTGAGTCTCCCACCCAAAAAACTCTCCCCATGCAACACGTGGTAAACGTGAGTGAGCCCTCACCAGCACCCTCACTGGAGGGCAACATGGAAGGCAAGCCACGTGGGATGCCCTCTTTCAGTTTGGACTCAGTAGATCGTGCTGGGGTTTAACGTGTTCACCTCTTGTTTGCTGTAAGTTGGATTAGATTTAGTTCTTCCTGCACGATGGCAGTGAAGATCGCATTAGATCGATTGCTTCTGAAAGCTATGCCCCACTGGGAGGCAATCTTCATCCTTCATGGCCCCTTAGATGGGCTAAGAATCCTCACATTCAGGGTGCCGCACTCGCTCTGCAGCAGGTTGTACAGAAGGCAGGAACAAAGCTGGGACTCTGGGAGTTGGATGTGGGCAGCCTTGGGACTTAGTGGTCAGGTCTGTGAGTAAGGGGACAGTGGTTGTGCTGGTAAGAGTAAGGCAGAGCTCCATTGCTGTGCTTTAAGCTCCAATTCTTTGCCAGTGCTTTGCAAGACTATCTCAAATGTCAGTTAAGGCTGCTGGAAGGAGATGGTCTAGGAGAGGTGTGGGGATGGACACAAGGTGGCCTTGGAAGAGCAGGGACCTGCCCCAGCTTTCCTTCTTACTCAGGATACATGGTTTGTCTGCCAGTATCCTTGTTCCAAATGTGACCCGATGTTTGCAAGTCCAAAGAAGTGGTGGGAAGACAAGAGATCCAGAAACACAAATGAGTCCAGCTGCAGGCATCTGGATCCCACCAGCTTGAAAGGCTTGAGTGAAATGTTCAGCCTCTGAACTGTCATCCTCCTTGAAGACCTTGGGTGGAAGGAGAGCCCCAGACAGTACTTAGGGCCCTGAGGACACCACAGCCAGGCAGAGCCAGTGGGGAGCAGTCAGTTCAGCACAGAAGTGGCCAGGACCACCGACACCTCTAACAAGGTTAGAATTTGGACCGCGATGGGACGAGCTCAACTGGAGTCTTGCCCTGGGAGAGCTGGGGCACCTGGGCAAGAGGGGCAAGCTGCTGCCTTCCCATTTCACTTAGGAAATGCCTCCACCCACCCCCATCCATGCCCTCTGGAGTCTTAGTGTTCGGGTAGGCTCTGTGCTGAGCCCGCCTACCCTCATGTGAGTTGGTGACTGAGACTGAGCTGATGCCAAGCTGTGCCCTTACCAGGCCTCACATGGGAACGTGTTCTGGAATTGAGGAACATAATTGCTGGAAAACCTGGACTTCTGGCCTACTGTGACTGTGGCAATGAGGGCCTGAGGCAGGTGGACACGGGGGCTCTCTAGGCAGGGCAGCTGCTAGCAAAGGGATGCAGTGGTGGGGGATACCACCAAGGGGCAGGACCTGTGTTCCTGAAAGGGACTTCACTTTTCGGAGTTACTAAACTTGAAAAACGGGTGCTAGGTCTGCTCAGTTCTGGGGTGTAATGGGATATATTTCCCCATGGAATGATATGCTAGTGAACATGTTATGTAGAACCAAGACATTCCTGGTAACCTGGCGGAACATGGACAAGACTAAGATGTCCTATGTGACCCTGATCTCACTGGCAGTACATAACTGGGAATATCACACCAGGACGAGTCCGGCACTCAGCCCATTGTGGGAGGGGATGACTGTCCTGTGGGGTGCTCAGGCCTGGTTGGTAGCCTTGCTGCCCCCATTTGTGAAACACATAGGCTGGAGTTCTGAAGCTAAGCGGGGGTTCTTGTTCACTTCCTGTGGAATCCTGATGGGTGAATGTAGCGTGGGCGTGGGCTTGTAGACCTTGAGGGCTTCCTGAACCTGCCTGGGAAAGGGATAAGTGATAAGCTCTGTTATCTTTTGGTGTACTGCCTGATGTCTTGGAGTGACAGTCCATGACCGATGACGTGGTGGTTTGATAACCAAGAAGGGTATCTTTGGGTGGTGCTGGCCAGCTGTCTGGGGTTGGGAGTGCTGGGGGCATCATGGCAAGTCTTGGGGGTAGCATCCCAATTGATGGAGAATCCCAATTGATGGAGAATCCCAATTGATGGAGAATCCCAATTGATGGAGAATCCCAATTGATGGAGAATCCCAATTGATGGAGAATCCCAATTGATGGAGAATCCCAATTGATGGAGAATCCCAATTGATGGAGAATCCCAATTGATGGAGAATCCCAATTGATGGAGAATCCCAATTGATGGAGAATCCCAATTGATGGAGAATCCCAATTGATGGAGAATCCCAATTGATGGAGAATCCCAATTGATGGAGAATCCCAATTGATGGAGAATCCCAATTGATGGAGAATCCCAATTGATGGAGAATCCCAATTGATGGAGAATCCCAATTGATGGAGAATCCCAATTGATGGAGAATCCCAATTGATGGAGAATCCCAATTGATGGAGAATCCCAATTGATGGAGAATCCCAATTGATGGAGAATCCCAATTGATGGAGAATCCCAATTGATGGAGAATCCCAATTGATGGAGAATCCCAATTGATGGAGAATCCCAATTGATGGAGAATCCCAATTGATGGAGAATCCCAATTGATGGAGAATCCCAATTGATGGAGAATCCCAATTGATGGAGAATCCCAATTGATGGAGAATTTTTCCCACTTGTGCCTGTGTGCATTTAAAGTGAGATGCCTTGGAGCCTGAGGGGGGTGGGTGTGGGGCAGCTGCAGCATGACTATGGTGTCTGCTGAGCCCAGGGGATGTCCTAATCTAGAAATCTTGCTCTGGGCATGCAGATGCCTAGGTCCCTAAAACTGACAGCTCGTGGTCTAGGGCTTGGATGGCCCCTTCCCATGAAGGATATGAAGCCAGCTCATGATGCTGAGAAAGACCCCCTTCTAGGCAGATTCAGGTGAGATTTTTCCTAAGGCAGACAGGCTAGGTAGAAACATCAGGAGGCCACTTGCCTAGCTCGGGAGAGGAACCTTGGCAGGAGCCCAAGCCTGTCATCACGGGAAACATGACAATCTCCATTATGCCCTGAGCATAGTCAGAACTGAGGAGACTTGGTGCCTGTCAAGTTTCCAACAATCCCAGCAGCCTTGAAGTCTGCTATATTACATTAGTTACTTCCAGTGCTGCTTCCTGGTCTGTTCTTGTGGTCCTTAACTTGGATCAAAATTTTCAGGCTTCCAGGGAGAGTTGCCTTTATCTCCAGCCAACTTTCTAGGCTGTGCTGCAGACTAGGAGAAGCATTCTCAAGGTGGTCCTCGGTGTTGAGGGGAGAGGGGCTTAAACACAGGATGCAGCGGGAATCCCGTCAAAGCAGGTCTTTCCTGGAACTTGCACCCTATCCCCTATTATGCAAGGATTGCCATGTGAGTGACCTTGATTCCAGCTTTCTGGTTTTTCTCACCTGGTGAATGTCAGAGTTGTACCTTGTTAAATGTAGTTGCTGCTTGACTGGGAGCTCAAGGCTGGGAGAGTGTATTGCTGAAGACTTGTTTTTGTCTCTGTTTAGGATCTAAAAACATCCCAAGACTATTTCTGGAGGTGTTGAGGGTTTAGGGTTCAGTCTCTTATGAAGTACAGCCGAATAACATACTAGATCCCAGGATTCCAAGTATACCAGGGTGACGATTCAAATGACCAGGGACTCATGGGAGGGGCTGTGTTCCTCTGGTCATTTTTCATGGTGGACAGAGTCCTCAATGGAGGGCCTTCAAGAGCTGACTCATCTACCTTGAGTGGGATGAGGTTATCAGCTCCTGGGTGACCACCTGTCTGTCTGGGATGTTCCTGGATTCCAGACCCCTGCTGATCCTCTTCTCAGTATGCAGTCCATCTCAAGACCACCAGGAAAAGGTGATGGGAGTGAGGAGGGGAGGGGAGGGGGGAGGGGTGGGTCACAGATTTGGCCCTCAGAAGAGGGGGCAAATGACTCACAACTTCGATACCCAAGCTCCAGACTTAATGACCTTGATCCTGAGGTGGCTATAAACTCACCAGCTGTCTGTCTTCCGGCTGAACTGATCTTAAGACAGGAATTTCATCTCTTCCATAGGGTATCTATACTACTTAAATGGTTTCATCATAGTGGCTTTGCACTGACTTCATAATCGCATGTAGATTCCTGAAGATACTTCATTCATGCCAGCTCCAGCCACTAGTCTTCACTGGGCTTGGCTTTAACTCCATGCCTTTCGCCTGACCTCTTACATCAGACTGGGGTGTTCAAGCTACATCCATGGAGATACTTAATTCTCTATGGCAACAGAATTGGTATATGGGTGAAGGTGGTGGTTATTCATGGGCTTTCCTTACTGTGTGGCCACTGGAGGCCTGAAGCTGTCCACAGATGTCCCTGAGCTACTAGATGGGGCTCTTATTTTGAAGGTTGTCCCGGGATGTTGCCAAAGAGAATAGAGGAAGGCGGCACACCTGTCAGTGTGGTCTTTGTACCAATGGGGTTACTGTAGTCTGTTGAATACCCTGTCATCAGATAGGATTAACCTTGGCCTTGTTTGCTGTCCTCACTCGAGATACTACTGCAGTGACTGAAAGGAAGTGAGGTTTTCTTCAACCCTTTCTTCCCTTGCAAATCTCAGTGGAGCCTGACCTGAGGTATCCATGGCCAAGAGTTCCTATGCAACCTTAGGGTTGGAGAGGATGTTAGTTCCTGGTCTGATGGACCCACCAGGGGCTGTCATCCTGTGTGCCTGCTTCCTGTCTCAGGGGTGTTCTTACCCTCAGCAGTTGGGTGTTCCATGGAATGTACTGGGGTCCTGCCAGACGAATTCCCAACAGACCACATCCCACCTCACTGTGAACATAAAGGGCACGTGCTTTGGGGACTGGCATGCCAGGATTTTGAGGCGGCCCCTCCCTAAGGTTTCAAGATTTTGGGGTGTTCTTCGTGGATGCTGTTGCCATTCACTACCTTTGGAGGTAGACAAATGATGCCCGAGAATAATGGAAGGGGTCAAGAGCATGCAGGCCTAAGATGTGGGGAGGTGGCTCTTGGAACTATTATGCCGACCTGTCTCCAGAAGGAGCCTTCTGGATGTCTTGGTCCTCCTGGTATCTGAGCACTTCTTGCCTCTGGTTGTGTGGCCTCGAAGGGTATACAGCAGCCCATGGGGAGTCCCTGCTGGGCCCTGGGGAATGTAGGCTCCACAGCTCCTCTGCCCTGGGCTAGGTCCTGTCATATGTCAGGTTTTGCTCTTAGATTTCTTTGCAGTTATGTTGTAGGTATAGATGTCTTGCTCATGTTACCTGGACCTGAGCTTCCTGGATCTGGTTTGGCGTCTGTCACTAATCTTGGAAAACTCCTGGTTAGCATTACCTCAAATACTTCCCAGATGAGGCAGGACGGGTCAAGAGAGCGGGAGCTTATGTTCCCATGTCCAGGTTGGTTGGGCCTGGGTAAAGTAGCCCACAATCCTTGTTAGGGAGAGTCCTGGGTATATTTCAAAATAGTTTCCCTTGCCAGAGGCATGAGATTCTTCCATCCTCAGTTGAGACTAAGTGTGGGGCTCTTGGAAATAGCCCAAGTCATTTCCGTCCCTGGAGCCTGAACTCCTTTTGACTACGTTGAGCCTATACTCACTTTCAGATAGTCAAAGCTGTTCCTGCAGGTACTTTTCCCTGCTGGCTGTGACAGGGTCCTCTTGTCTGGCTCTGTACTTCCTGGGCAGTGGCTTGCCCTGTTCATCTTTGGCTCTTGAGAATGGTTTACTTACGGGTTGGTTCAACCTTTTTCTAGTCAAGAGGGGGATGAATTCTAAGCTCTACAAATATCAGACAGTAACCCTCGTCTGGAAAATTTCCTGCTGATCACATCCTGGTGGGTTTCCTCTTCAGCCGCGTCATCACCAAGTAGGTGAGCTGCGTTTTCCAAAGTATTATAGTCAAATGAACCTAAACAAAACATTTCTATTTCAACCATGTTGAATTTTATAATCGGTGGCATTAATCGCATTTACAATGTTGTGCACCTATCACTTGAACTAGTTCTTCACCCCACCAAAAACTGCAACCACTAAGCAGTAATGTTTTCCTTCTCCCTTCACCCCCAGTCACCTCCAATCTACTAGCTCTATAAATCTGCCTACTCTACATATTTCATAAGATTATAATCATCTGTCTGGTTTTTATCAGTTTCCATCCACGTTGTTGCGTATCACAGCTTTTGATAAACAATCCTTTGCATGGAGATGTCAGTTTCTTCTTGGTATTGACGTTGGGTTGGCTTCCGTGTTCTGGCTGTCATGAATAGCGTTGCAGTGAACATTGGGCATATGAAGGTGTTTGCTTCAATCCCTGTTTGCAATTATCTTGGGTAAAAGTGGAACTGTTGGATCATATGGTAATTCTTAGGTTTTTGAGGTACTGCTTCTGGAGGTGGTTCTAGCTGGAAGACTTATTCCTGAGGCTGCTGAGTAAAATCCCCTATCACATCTACACTCCATGTGGCGATTACATGATTGAAATTAGAAGGGAAGGTGGGGTTATCTGCTTCACAAGCCTCCACCCACATTGTTCAGGTGTGTTCTGACTTCATGGTAAGACTCAATCGTTGGTAACAAAATACCTTAAAGGATCCATCAGTCCTCAGATCTGATACCTCAAGGATCAGACTTGAGAATCAGGTCCCAACTTGGCCATGAATTCTCAGATGTCCTTACTCGGTGACTTCAGATTTTGACGCGGATGATTATCCAGTGGCAAACAGAACAGGCTGAGTCTACTCAGTGTCTCTCATTACTTACGACCCTCATTTCTGCACTGAACAGGTGGCACCTGGCTTCACTAGACTTGGAGTTTCTGGGGAGTGTGCAGTTTCCTTAGCTGTTCCTAAGCCTGGAGTGGTTCTCTGATGCTTGTCCTTGTGATTCTTGGATCTTTCCCGGCCTCGTCAATCCTGGGGGTGGGAGAGTCTGTTTTCATCCCACTCCTCAAAACTTTTGAGTGCTCTTAGGTGTTATTAGTGACCAGTGGTGTTACAGGCTTATCTTTCTTACAGAAGGAGGGTGTCTCTAAAATATGTGGGTGGAGGCCTCTCGACACCCTAACTCCCCTAGACTGACACTCTGGGGGTCCCAGGAGCATCTTGGGTGGTCACCTTCAGCCTGACAGGCAGCTGCTACTAGAGGCAGGATGTCCTAAACATGGGAGCTTCTTAGAAACAGGCCCCCCTCTCCTGGTGGCCACCCCTGGGTGAGAAGCTCCATGTGCTTATCTGAAGGTGCACAGTGGGTCCACGAGGATCAGCCATGTGGAAGAGGGGGAAGGTTCCTATGGCCTGTTGACTTCACCCTAGGACTGACTATGGGGTGCCCTTAACGCTCCTGGGCATGTACCCCTCCTGTAGACCAGAGTGTCTCCAAAGAGTTGGTATCTAGCACTCTTCTGGGAGGCTTGAAGACTTGCAGAGCACTTCTGAATTGGAATATGCTCCTATAGAACTCACAAGACTGTCTTGAACTGCAGGGGAAGGGGCTGCCAGTCCTTGTGCTAGGATGTCCCATGGATATAGACTGTTGGCAGGGAATGTGAAGAGGACTCAGCCTCTTGCCCTTGCCGAAGGGGGGGGCATTTGGGCCCCACAAATGGTAACTTCCGTCCAGCCTCCCTGCGCGTCTCCAGCCTCCCTGCGCGTCTCCAGCCTCCCTGCGCGTCTCCAGCCTCCCTGCGCGTCTCCAGCCTCAGCTCCAGAATTGTGCAGTCAAGGGCCAGTTGCTGGGGGCTAGGCTCTGGTTCTGCTTGTAGGGATGGGTTGGCTGGGGCAGGGCTATGAAAGCAACTTGCAAGCAAACCAGGATTTTCTTTATCGGGATCATCTGATACATCAGGCCTACTTTTCTGAACTTGCAATAGCATGAATTGTGACTGAAAAAAACCTGTGAAGCATGAACTCAAGCATGGCTTTATCAGACTGAAATTTCTCATCTAAGCCCAATGGCAGTGGGTTTGACAACTGTCTCCTGGCTGCTTGTTCCTTTCATCTGCTTGACTGTCTTAGTGCCGTAAAGATGAAGCCATTCTTGTACATTGAGCTGTCAGAATTCTGAAAGTGGTATAGGCTTTCAAACTGGCCCATCTTTACTTGCTCATACACCTTGGAAGGGAAAGTGTGAATACCTGTCTCCACATATCCATTTTAATTTGTAACCTAAGGAAGATGTCTAAGCATTGACATCTGCTTCATGATGAATTCTAAAGGTTCTCTTAGAAACACTTAGACATATGCACTGAGCTGCTTAAAAGCAAGTCCTTAATTTGGTCTACATATCACATTGCCGACTCAAGTTTGGAAATTCTTTTGGCTTGAGACTCCAGGAAGACCCAGTAGCAGGGTGTGCTGGATGAATATCGATGGGGGAAACCAGGAGAAACACCCTCGGAAAGATGGAAGAACGGGTTCAAACTTGCTTAGTGTTCAGTTACTGGTAGTTAGCACTTGTGCTGCTCCTGAAATAGCTCAGCAGTCTGATTGTACTTGGAGGTGAATGAGCCACCCAGCTTCCCAGGAAATGTGGATAGAAGTCCTGGGTGCCTGGAGGGTGGGCTCTGGGACACCAGGATAAAAGGATCTGATGGGAATGCTGGACCATGGACTGGGGATAGGGGGAGCTGTCCCAGGAAGTGACTCTGGTCGGGTTCTTCGGTATACTTCAATCAATGCCTGTCTCTCACAACTGACCTTTTTGTTATTCCTTCCCCCACTAGCATAACCGTACATAACTTCCCTTGAACCACCATTTACTAAGAGCTATTACATCAGGAAACAGGCAATTCTGTGCATAGTGAACCTAAAGATAGCCACAGAGGCAATAACTCCTCCTGACCTCTTGATGGTAAAAGGGAGTCTTCCAGGCTGAGCCCCTGGAGGCGCTGCTCTGTGACCCGTGTCTGTCACTGTGCCCCTTCTGAGCCACAGCCTGCTACCTATGCTGATTGTGTGGCCCTGCCATCCCTTATTCGAAATTCAAGCTTGGCTCACTTTCTAACAGGTTGTCTGTGCCCCCTTTCCCAGAAGGGTTGACTTGCAAAGATTCACATCTTTGTCACGGGCACAGGACCTCCCTGGGGGAGGGGTGGGGGTTGTCAGACTGTCAAGCTCCCAAGCAGATTTCCTTGTCTTGATGTGCTGCCTCGTGGCCACCAGGTGGGGACGCCAAAGGACTCCCCTCAGCCAGTGTCCAGGATGGAAAGAAAGCCCCTAGCGCTCTGGGGACTCAAGGATGGATCTTAAGGATGGCACTGGGGAGTCTATCTTATTGTCCTTTAGAAAGAGGGGCTTGTATCCTGAGACACAGGCAGTGACTCTCACTTGGGAGTGACATCACTGAGCCACGAGAGACTGGCATCTTGGCCCATGTGAGCCAGAGCTCCACACTCGGGTGTCTGTTTCCTGGGTTAGGGGCTCTGCTGAGTAGAAATGCATTTCCTTGGTCTTGTTGCATGCATATCTCAATATTAAGTGACCTCTGGCACAGGTGTTTCACATTTTTATTCAACATCTTAATTCAGAAACATAGGAGCCAGGATTGTAAAATCTCACTTGGCAAAGGCAGAAGTAAACATGCAGTAAAGGGGTGGTGACTCCAAGTGATCATATTCGAGTTTGTGTGGCCATCCATAAGGTAGTTGCCACACTTGAACTTGGTTATGAATCTTTTAGTGTCTATAGGGCTAGATCACAAAATCTCGACTTCGACTGACTGTCCACACCACTGGCTTCCAGTAGTGATCTGAATCAAGTATAAATAGTTACTGACACCTCTGATATATAAAAGATTAAGCATGCTGCACAGTGGCCCACACCTAGGTTTCACTTCCCAGGCTCTTGCAAGGATCTGGGTCTTTCTATCCAGAGTTCCCCTACTGTTGGTCTAAATCTCTGAAGACTTGAGTTCAACTTGCCAGGCAGCTGGTTTTGCTTGGAAGACTATCTTTACATCAGATCCAAGCATGGGAGGTTTGGCTTGGAAATTCAATCAAGATTCCATGGGTGAGACCTCCTTAGAAGCCTGAGGGGCAAGGTGTTGGGAATCCTTGCCAAGAATTTGGCAAACAGCTGTAGGCTGATATCTCACTGACTGCCTGAGGGCACCATAAAAGGATCCTCAGGTGTGAGGACAAGTGAGCAGTTGACCAAGTCAAGGGGGCAACAAGAAACTATCCAGATAGTCTCTGCAGAATGTTTGGGAATGCCTCTGGCCACTTGCCGTTCTATCTAAACATACTAGCTTTCTCTCCCTTAACTGAAAATCCAAAGTGTCAGTGACCGACCACTCGCATAATGGTGGCTATACTAGTCAGGGTTTCCTAGAGGAACAGAATAGGATGGATACACACATATAAAGGGGAGTTTATTAACTTACACAACCATAAGATCCCCAATAGGCTGTCTGCAAGCTTGAGGAGCAGAGCCAGTCCAAGTCTCAACTGAAGAACTTAGTCCGATGTTTGAGAGGTTAGGAAGCATCCAGCATGGGACAAAGATGTAGGCTGGGGGTCTAGGTCAGTCTCACCGTTTCATTTTTCCTGCCTGCTTTATATTTGCTGGCAGCTGATTAGATTGTGCCCAACAGATGAGAAGGGTTGGGTCTGGTTTTCGCAGCCCACTGACTCAAATTTTTATCTGGCAACACCCTCACAGATATACTCAGGAACAATAGTTTGCCTCCTTCAAGTTGACACTTCAGTGTTAACCACCACAATGGTTAATGCTGTGGCAAAGTGACAATATCTATGCGTACCATAAATTATCCCACCCAGTAGCAAATTCTGCAGGGCAGCTCCTCTGGAGACTATTTTTCCCCCCTCCCGGAAGGCTGTAAACTGAGAGAACTTTGAATGAACAAATTCCCAACATAGCAGCCCGCATCATTTCAGCATGTCTTTTAACGCTGATTGCTTTTCACCTTCTGGCAGTTTCCCAGGCTCTGGGGTTTAGTAGGCACATCCCCTTCACATCAGGATCATCTCCATGCTCATACCCAGTCTTTGAACCAGTTCCTGGCAATCAGCTTTCAGCTCAGGGCTTTGAGCTGCAGATGCTCCGTCGTCCTCTCTCTCCTGAGCAGGTGAAGAATCTTGACTTTGAGTTGGTGGTTCCACTTCTTCAGGTGGTTCATGACTGAACTGCTTGGGCAGAATAGGCCAGATCACCTTAGGTTGTACAGATTGTATTGGTCGAGGCTGATTGATCTTCCTCACCGACTCATTTCACACAGATGAGTCTCAGTAAAGGAGTCAACCGCCGGAATGTGACAGCATATCCTCACAGCTCCCCAGGACACTTTCTTGGTGTTGATTCTGCCTCTCAAACTTAACTCACTGTGATGTCCAAACTTTGAAAAGGGAGCCTACTGATACTCATGGAGGGACAGGCATGCAGGGGACCCGTGTGCAGCGTCAGAAGGTGTGAGGCTGCCTTGTCAGTGTGGTCCCCATCTTTGTGCTAGTAGCTGCTTCTCGCCAAGAGCCAAGGTTCTTCCAGGTTGGTAGGGGAGGAGGCAGTGCTGAATCTGACTTCCCAGCTTGGACCACGTTACATCCACTGACACTCATGGCTCATGGTGGTTGTGTGGTTGAATTGTCTGGAAAGTATATGCACTAAATTAGGAATACAAAAGATCTACGATTTAAGAAAAGGGAAGCTGTCCCATCATAATTGAACCTGACAATTTTGCCAGTCCAGCAGGGAGCTTTGGAGCAAGATAATCCTCAATTTGAATCCCACATTAGGTGGAAATGGCTCAGCTCAATGTTGGCTTGGGGCCACCCCAAAAGGAACATGAGCTAACAGCTAGAGCCCTTAGTAGGTAAGCATGCTCACAGCCAGACAGTTCTGTGAAGGTGGTGTGTGACATGTTGTCAGATCTGCAAGTGATGGGCAGCTATGGTTTCAAATCGGGTCTGTAAGGACTGTCATTCTAAGATGTAGTTGATAGTCACTGTATCTTCTGCGAACTACATCACAGCTGGCCAACACTTGACTGGTTTAGGTGACCAAAGTCTTTTGTTCCTAAGTGGTCTGAGATCCTGGTCTGGTCAGGTTATGGCCATTGTGAAGCCTAGCCACTGGGAAGCTCCAAAAAGTGCCCTAGTGACTCACCCACATCCCATATACTTTCCTCCCTGTATCAGCAACCCCTGATCTCCAGGCAAAGGAGCTCAGAATAACCTGGTGGCACTGCTTTTGTTCCCTGGTGGAAGTGTCTAGGACTGCAGTGTCTTAGCCTGCCAGAACTAACCTTGCAGGGATGGAACATGAATGGTCTCCCTCCTGAGCATTGTGGGTTGTGAGGGAGAAATTTCTCCTTGGATCCAGACCTATACTCTTGCTACTAGATAAATAGTATAGGACATCTGTCCAAAATACTGCAACTCAAATATGCTAGTTCCAGACTGGGTTTCTTGTTAGCAAACTGCCTCGAAACTGCTGGTGAACCAAGGGTAGGCTATGGAAGAGGCCATCACAAGCCAGTCTTCTTTCCCCCTTGAGCCAGGTTGGGTCGGCTGTGGAATAGTTCATGGAGATGGTGCAGTTGAGCTCTTGGAGGTGCTGAGTCAAGACTGGAAGAGTTTGTCTAAAACGTGTAATAGATTTAAAACCTGTGAAAAGGGGAAGGAAGCAGGATCGGGCAGAGGTCAGACTAGGATGTAAAGCTTGACTGAGCCTGTCGGGGAGCTCCAGAGGCAGCATCTCATTAAGGTGGTTCCAGGTCACAGATGGGTAGGACTGCTGGTTTGGCTAGTTCATGGCTGTGGGCTGCCCTTGGAGGGACTGACTAAGGCTGGCAGACTACTCCCTACTGAGCAGCATGTTGTGTCTTGAATAGGGATTGGGTGGTGGATTTGTCTAAGGGATGGTGGCTTTATAGAGGTCTTAATTGAAGTCTGTTACAGGTCAGGACCATGGAGTTGGATGGCTGTCAATGGGCCTATTCTAGGAGCGCTCGGGTGGCCGAGTTACACCTGGCTATAAGTCATCCCGTGCACCTGACTAAATGCATCCCGTGCACCTGACTAAATGCGTCCCGTGCACCTGACTAAATGCGTCCCGTGCACCTGACTAAATGCGTCCCGTGCACCTGACTAAATGCGTCCCGTGCACCTGACTAAATGCGTCCCGTGCACCTGACTAAATGCGTCCCGTGCACCTGACTAAATGCGTCCCGTGCACCTGACTAAATGCGTCCCGTGCACCTGACTAAATGCGTCCCGTGCACCTGACTAAATGCGTCCCGTGCACCTGACTAAATGCATCCTGTGGGAGCTTCATGCCAGGCTCTGACCGACCTATGACTTGGCCTATATAGGTTTCCTGCCCATTCCCATGGGTTCCTCCCCATTCCCATGGGTTCCTCTTTATGCCTCTTCTCCAGATCTTGTTGACTTATCTTCTAATCTCCTAGGGCCTGGACAGCCAGTCTGTTTAATGCATATGATTCAGTATCTTTCCTTAAACTTCTTATAAGAGACAATCAGGTGAATTTAAATCCTCAGTGGGAAGACGTGGTCCGTTTCTTACGGTGCCCTCTGCATAGTGTTGGAGTGGTTTATATTTAGCGCTCAAAATAAGCCAAATCCATCTATAAACCCTGACTCTAACTTTTCCTTTTCTAACTTGCTTAAGAATTCCCAAGGAGGTTAGAGCTATGAGCTTTGAGAGGGGTTGTAGGTACAACAGAAGTTGGTGTGGGAATCAAACGCCTGAAAACGTCACTAATATTGTAGGCCCTGGGGTTTCTGCAGGCTTCTCCCTCATTCTTGCATAGGAGTGTTTATCCCGTGAGCACTTGTTACTTCCTAATTGCCAAGTGTGACTTATGGCAATAATAGCCCTGCAAGATCTCCCGTGAAATGCCAATCCAGATTCCTGTGGATTGGATGGGGGTAGAGATGAGAAGGGTTAACCTGAGGACAAAGACTACATTGCTAGCCTTCCTATTAATATGTACTGATGGCCTTTCCATCTTATTTAAAAAGCAAATGGATGCTAGCCCTCTTTGGAGCATTGAAATAGTCTATTGCTATCTGGCATGGGTCTTGATTTAAAAAATTACAAGACCCTGGTGTGGGGCACAGTGGCTCACACTTGTGATCCCAGTGCTTTGGGAGGCTGAGGGGGGTGGATCACTTGAGCTCAGAAGTCCGAGACCAGCCTGAGCAATGGGTAGAGGTTTTGCCAAAAACTAGCCAAGTGTGGTGGTGCATGCCTCTGTAATCCTACCCAGAAGGCTGAGGCAGGAGGATCTCTTGAACCCAGGAGGCAGAGGTTACAGTGAGCCGAGACTGCACCAGTGGCACTGGACTCTAGTCCAGGTGATAGAGCATGATCTTGTCTCATTCTCTGGTCAAAGGCAGGTGGACTTTTACTGGCCAAGTAAAGATCAGACATGAGGTCTGTTATCAATTAGTCAGCTTGAACCAGCTGCCAAAGTAACGATTTCTGTGCTGGAAAGCTTTCCTGGCTTCTACTCACTTGGGGCAGAATAGAAGTTGTACTTTGAGGGAACTGTCCCGGGTAACTTAAAACATGAGCCCTTGGAGCATCAGACATTAGAAAGCCCGTTCACATTTTTAGGACTGGGGTCCTGGCCCAGGATATGGCTAGATGTAAAGGCAGGAATGATCCACTCACTTTTCTTTAACCATTGCCCAGGCATGGAAGATCCCAGCAGCAATCAAAGGGGGGAGGGTCTGCAATGATGGCTGGACTCCCACTGGGCCTGGGGCCTTATGAACATGCCGTTATCCATCTTATGTCATGAGAATCGTCTTCCCAGAGTAGATCCTCTGCAAGTCTCTTTACAGCTGGAGTGACTTCACTGTCAAGCCAGCTGGAGGGGAAAGGTAGAACCTGGGAGTGAAAAGGCCGCAGGCAGAGGTTCAGTGAGCAAAATTGCTTACTGCTGCATGAGGCTGTGACTGACTCTATAGTCTTCAACTCTTGTCTAAACGAGACTAATTCCTCAGCGGATGATGAACGTGTATTGGTGTGAAGGTCTTCACCTCATTATGGAGCTTCCCAAAGCATGGGGATGGAGGCCTCAGTCTTACTGGCTCAATGGCTGGAAACATTGTAAATGGCCTTTGTCAAGTGATGAGAGTGGTGGATTGTCGTCCACCACTGTTATCTGAACATACTTGTTCTCATCCATCTCAGGGTGATAAAAAGAGCATGCCATGACTACAGAAAGCTCCCCCTAGTCCCCATGGTGTTCTGAATCTGGCAAAGTGGACAAAGCTGGGGGAGGCTTAGCCATCCCCTTTTTTTATACAGACATGATCCTCAAAACAGTCCCATCAAATGTGGCCTCTGTTGTCAAATTTATTATAGACCTTCCCAGACTACTTGTTTTAAGGAAAAGTACTTATGACTCTGGCTAAAGAACTGTCAAGTTTTAGACTTCCTAGGTGAAAACACCAGTGATACAACGTAGAAAGAAAAGCCTGCAGTGAGGTGGTATTGCCTAGGGAAGACTGGGTGGTCCCTGGAATTCAACTTTTATAAGCTGAATAGTCAGTTGCAAATCACGTCTGTCCTGGTAAACCCAGGGGACTTAGGCTAACTCATACTCTTGAGGGAACAAAGATTCCCTCTCACAACTTGAGTAAAATAGTGGATGTTGTAGCTTTCAAGATGTCCTAACTGGCCACTATGATGTCAGTATCGGAGAGGGAAACAAACTCATTCCTGCCTCCGATGTCTATTTGCAGGCCCTTAAAGGTGACAGTGCATTGCAAGGAGTGGGGGCCCTCGGGAAAACTGAAGCAGAGGTGGCCCCACCCCTCAGCTGAGAGCGAGCTTCAGCAACCAGGGTGGCAGTTCTTCATTGCTGGGTGGTTCACCAGCACAGAGAATCAAATTCTGCAGGCATTGCCTCTACTCCTATATAGTTTCCAAAAGCTGATTCTTTGGTCTTTTGGTGTCAAAGCTGCCAGCTAGATCAGGACTCCTCAACCTCATTAGCATTGACATTTTGGGCTGGATGATTCTTCACTGGGGTTGGGGGGGCTGTTCTGTGTACTATAAGATGTTTAGCACCTATGGGCTAATCTTCCTAGATGCTAGAAGCATTTCCCGTTCATGACAAATGTCTCCAGACACTGCCATAGTGCTGTGGTGCAGCAGTATCTCCCCTGAACGAGGAACTTGGTTCAGTGGCTCTCAACACCTTGAAGGGTGCCTTGGAGTTCTGCAATGGGGAACCTTCATGGGCTGGAGTTCTGGATGCCTGTGTTCTCCCCATAATCTTAGAAGGCTGGGAGAGAGTATCTTGGAAAGGAGACACCCCATAGAAGCTCACTTTCTCCCTTCTTGGAAATGTTCCCTCAGTCCAGGTCCTAGGACCTGTGACTTGCAGCGCTTTGGCCCTTCTCACTCAAGTGGTGAGGAGGATTCCTGAGTCTTGGCATGAAACTTGAAGTTCAAGGTCATGTCCTCACTGCACATGAGTGGACTCAGGTGCTCAGGGGTCGGAATTGTGCCTCCATGTCCTCCTGTGGGACATTGGTTCATATCCAGTTTGTGAAGATGCTGAGATGCTAGTGTGCCTTGTTGCTACTGCTGTGACCTGAGTCTCTGGCTGTGACACAAGGGCTGGCCCTGAACTGGCTTCCTTGAACCAATGATGCCCGAGATGACTTTTATCCACCATCAGGGGAGGTAGTATAACTTCTGCAGAACTTAGGCTTTCACCAGGGACAGGAGACCTGTGAGGAGGCTGCCTTGGTGGTGGGGCCTGGTCAGCCAAGCTGGAACTCTGCGGGACAGTCCATCGGGAAGCACGAGCTGTGTAATGTTTCTCCTTTGGCAGGGAACGCTTATGAAGGTTGCCTGCTTCATACCTGGCCCATGCAGTACTGGTGCTGGGAATGGATTAGATTCCTCCCCTCAAGATGGTGATGTCTGTGGCTGGGGTTTACCCTATGGCAGGCTTCCATGGCCTGTAGTTGAATCAGTGTATGATCCAGGTGGGACTCTAATCAAGCACTCCCCGTGTATAGACAGATGGCTTTTCTGTCTTGGTCATTGCCCTCCTGAGGCCTGAGCTTTCTGTACTTGCTGTCATAGAATGTTCTAGAGCTTGCTTACAGGATGAATATTTCCATTTTGTGCTGTGGCCAGGAGTAGGCTGCTGTAGTGGCTGTGAGAAGCAGATGGGCAAGCCTGCAGGCATTGGCCATAGACATCCTACAATTTGAACTATTTGATCAGGATGCAT
Organism: Homo sapiens; assembly: GCF_000001405.40. Taxonomy (NCBI): domain Eukaryota; kingdom Metazoa; phylum Chordata; class Mammalia; order Primates; family Hominidae; genus Homo; species Homo sapiens. The sequence goes on from NC_000004.12 coordinate 10,149,692, forward strand.
CCTTCCTGGAAGGCTCTGGTATATTCTGACTTCAGGAGAGCATGGCCAGGGTGGGGACTTCTCAAAAGGTGGGGCTCCTTTTCCATGTCCTCTCATCTGCCAATCAATATCTCCATGTGCCAGGCTTGGCCATACTTGCTCTTTCAAACTCAGAACAAAGGTTTCCTTTTGTCTCCTGCATGGAGTATCAGGAAGGTGGACCACAGAGTCTGGGGCCTGCCAGTCTGGCCTTGCGCCTCCTGGGGACCCCTGGGTAGGATGAATGCTCTTGCACATTGGGTCATGCTGCTTCCTGAATGCTCCCCGATGTCTAATAGCCCCAAGCAGAACATAGACACTGAGACTTGCATTGCTTTTAGGAGCCCACTCAAAGCAGCTGTCTGTGTGTGGTCCATCTGCTCCTGTGCTAGGTGATAGCAGACCAGGAAGTGTCAGTCACCATTTTTACTCAATGAATGTGGCCTTTGTTACACAGGGCCAGTGACAGGCCCCATCCTCAGCCCAGCTCTCTGGGGGTGGGTCTCACCTGAGACATGGAATATATCCACTGCCATGTGCATCGTCAAGCTGTTTGCTGCCCTTCCCAGGCCAGGAGGGTCTGGTGTGGATTCTATGTGGCTGTTCCCTCCAAGGTCACAATATGCTCCCCTTGGTAGGGCTGCTGGTTCACACTGTCAGCTCTCAGTGCTGCTGAGGGCAGCTGCAGTTGAACTGATAATACGATGGAACAGTAGAATAAAAGGCTGGGGAAACAAAGGTCGGCAAGTCAGGGCTGGGAGGAGCAGACAGTTGAGAAGCCCTGAGCAGGCTTTCTCCTCTAATTCTGGGGGCTCTTGGGGCCTGAAATTCTACAGGAAGTCAGGGGCTTGCCAGGACTTGGAGTTTAGTAGCAACCTGTCTTGTTGGGTGTTCAGGGTCTCCGGTGTCTGCTGGCATAGCTCTGGTACCTTTTGGTAGTGGTTAGGAGAGCAGGGTTGACTTGGCTGGGGGTGTATGGGAAGGAGACAAATACAGCAGCTGGAGGCATCTGTCAGCTCATCTGGGTGCAGTAGTCTGAGCCTCAGCAGACATGGAGAACATATTTTCACTGAGCTCATGCAGATGGTTAATTTGCAACCCCAGCAACAGTTCTGTAACCTTGGTCCACGCTGACCAAGAAGCTTCCACTCAGTGCACTCAGTTGTTTGTGGAAGGTGACCCGCCTATAGAACTTGAGGAAGGCAGCAGAGGTGGCTCCTGTCACAAACGGTCAGGATGTAGGGCTTTCCTGAAGTTACTCTGCATGAAGAAAAAGGATTAGCTTGCCAGTTAGAGGAGGCTAGGGCATATGAGTAACTTCATGGATGCCCCGATCTACTCAAGCTGTTTGAATTAGCACCTTGGAGGGCTTTATCAGTGCAGATGTGCTTCTAACTTAATGCAGAGTGGACAGGGCTCAGCACAGAAGGAGCACCTGGGTGGGTTGCAGAGCTCAGGGACCTGAGGTCTGAGTCCTGCACCCAATCATCAGGACTGGCATCCAGTGGATGCGCCAGTTGGCCCTCGAGTCATATTTCTTGAAGCCAAAGTAGTCTCCTCTGTCCCTAGAGAAATAAGGGGAAAGCCAATTTTTCAGCATCGACGCACACACCCTTGAAGGCAACGATGCATGGCAGAGGTAGGCTTCTTGAGGAAACTGAAGAGCCAGGTGGAAGATGTCATAGTGCCCTCTGCTTTGGGAGATAAGCTTGAACAGGTGGGGGTTGAGCTTGATCATCTGTGCACCTCTTTGGTTCATGAATATTGCAAAACCCAAAAGGTCTTAGCTGTGCTCTTGGACAGACTGCATTGTGGCAAGTTCAGATCTTTCCTAAAACTACCAGCTTATTCTGACTTTTCTGTCTCAGGACTACAGACCCTCTTGGGCTTCCTGTTTCTCTGTGTGGGCTATACCCTGCTTTCTAGGATTTTCAGCAGCACTCCTGAATTCTTATTGATGTGTACCCTTCCACCAGCTGGGGAAACCAAAAATATCTCTGTCCATAGCAAGTTAGCAGTTTGTGGGGAGCAAATAGCCACTCAGTACAGGAAGGAGCTGAGCTAGTTGTTAGGCATAGTGGGAGGGTATCTTGCAGCAATTCTTCTAAAGGACGGATAATGGCAGGTGGCTGGATGGTGGAATGGAAGTCTTCATTGATTCCAAAAAGTAACGGTGAGGGGCTTATAGGGATTTATCAGATGCTTAAGGGAGTTCTCCAAGAGAACAGGCTTTCTGCCTCCTTGGTTGACTTTTTCTTCATTAAATTTAGCTTCTAGGGCTTCCAATAACTGCCTGAATTTCTCCCCTCTTATATGGGAATCTTTAGGGTTACATCCTACACGATGTAGCTCAATATGTCGTATCACCAAGCCAGGGGCCTGCCATCTAAGATGACATCTGATCACATCTAGCTTGTCTGGGCAAATGCAGAACAAAAACCAAAAACCTGCCCTGTGGATACTGCACACCCAAAAGGCAGGAGTTGCCTGCTCCTTCAGTTGCTGAGCTGAGCTGCCAACAGCCATCCTTGGTTGACTTCTGTCCGTCTTCAGGAAACTGAGCATTTTAGTTGGCATCTGTTCTGGATAGGGCAGTCACATAAGCTTTCTTGATGTTCAACACTGCTCAGTCAGCAGCCATTCCTTTAATCCTCCAGGTATTATACATCAACCACATGCACTTGTACGGCACAAGTTAGAAACTACTGATGCCCAATTCCTATTCCTGAAATCCTTGTTCATGCAGGAAAGCCTCAACTGGAAGAGGATTGTAGAGTTGGGGGCAGCTAGTTGAAGATTCTTGCTCAGAAATGTGATGCTCGCTATTGGGGATCAAGTGTTCTGCAGTGTCCCACAAGTGGGAAATGACCTTGGCTGAACAAGAGGTCCTAACTCTGGGTACTGGCTGATCTAGGGTGAGGGGAGCTGCATGTGAGAGGCCTCTCGGGGGTGGACCTCAGACTTTGGGAGAACCAGAGCAGAGAGCTCACGGCTGGCCTCTGCTCAATAAGCAGCCATGTTGTGAGTAATGGGAATTACTAAAGGTCCCATGACCAGAATGAACGTTGGCATCTTCATGCTAAAATTGTTCCAGTGAAATATGCACAGGTCAGTGACAGGGCATTCATGATCATGGGATGTTCTAAATGGAATTATAACTTTCACTAAATCCTTTAATCTTCAATTCTCTGTACTACTTGGGTTTCACTGGGCATGAATTGCTAGGTGTCTTTTTCCAGGAAGGCCTAGGCCCATTGTTGAATGGTGTCTAGGTGCCTACCTACAGGAATGCAGATAAGGGATGCAGACTGGGTAAGTCTCAAGCCTTCCCTGAAAGGACTTTCAGTGAATCATGACCCAGGACTGGAAACTGACATTGCCACAGGTGGTTACTATGAATATTCTGGGCTTGTACAATTTTGCAGACAATTACTTTGTTCTTCAATGTCTTCATTCATGACATGGTACTTCAGAGTTGTACAAATTTCTTGACTAAAAACAAAGAATTGGCATCACAACCTCACCATGTGAATTTCTTCCTGGACAAAGATTCTCATGTCTGACACTTGAGCTGGGTCCAGGATGCAGCCATTCTGAGTTGCAGAGCCAGTCATAATGGTAGAAGTGCACTTGGAGGTGACGCCCCACCACCAGGTGGCTGGGTCCCAGGTGCCACCTTTTGCTGACAGTGTAAGTATGTAATGAGTCTCTGGGTTTCAGAGTATCTGCTAGGTCAAGCAGGACACTAGTGCCTGGACTGCCCTTTGTATCTTCCTGTTTTCCCTTGAGGTCTCTAGACAATGCCATTTCATGTCAGCCTCTTGCTAAACCCCAATATGATGTTGGATTTTCCCATCTCTTCGTTCTAGTTGACTCCACTTTAACTCGAGTATTTCAAATTGTAATTAGTATTTCTAAACTGTTCTGAGGCTTAAAGAAGGTCGTCCTATGTGAGGCTTTAGGGAAAGTGACATAAGGCTAAGTAACCCTAGGTGGAGCTCACTTCTGAATGTTTGACTTAGGGTACCACTGCTAGCTCAAGGAGTTCTCCATGAACTATCAAGTTCATCTCATTCCAAACCAAACGAAAACACATCCTTTATATAATGATGGTCCTGAGTTATGGTGCTACAAAATCACCATGGGATTAACCTTGTGAAAGCTGATATGGGACCTGGTGAATGTGGTGGATGTCTGGACCTCCCTCTCGGTGGACCTTTCATAGCTGTACAATTTTTGATGTCCTTTGAGGCGTGTCTTATGAAAGTTTCTTCTGGGTAAAATCCGATTGGTAGAAGACATCTGACCTTATTCCAAGGGATGTGAGGTTTACCACTAGTTCATGTGCAGGGCAGGCTTAAGATGGAGAAAGGCTTCTCCCCTACCCATGACTAAGACCTCCCCCTAAGGGAGGTACTGGATCTTTGGAGTCTGCCCTCTGACTTGGGAAACGTTCCTCACCCTGGTCTTGCTGCTAAAAATCCTGTCTTCTCAAATCAAAAAGCTTTGAGAGGACTTTGATGTTAGGAGGGACGTTGATTTGTGCAGAAAGCTTCTCTAGTGGTCACTAAGTGGCCCATGTCCTGTCTGAGTTCTAGGTGACCCACATGTCTCCATGAGGACTTCCACTGCTGTTAGACCAGAACTGGAGTGGGTGTTGCCCAAATGACCTCATAATAAAAGAGGAATGCACCTGTGCTTAGAGTACATCCAAGCCAAAGTTGCTGAGCTCAGCAGATAGCTTTTGTACACTTGGCCTCTTCCAAGCATATCCCATGTTTTTATAGTCATCAGAAGATACGGGTCAGTGGGAGATGCCAGTGCAGTTGCTACAGTGGACGTCTCCAGTCTGTTTAAATCCAGGACTTGACATTTTGTCATACTCCCACTCAGAATTTGACCTTGTGGGGGACACATTCTTCCAGAAAGTGCCTTGATGAAATAGGGAAATCATTCCTCTTAAACTGAATGGGCCTTTACATTAACACGAGAGTGCCTGGATGCTCTAGCTGTTTTATCCTGGCTCCTGATCAAGTACCATAAGGGCTACCCTGACAACTGCTTGACTTCAGGTATCAGAATGCTATCAACTGGTCATCTCTAAGAACTAGGGGGGCTTTCTTCAAAGAGCAGGAAAACCCCATTTAGCGGAGATAGAATGAAGGCTGGTATGCCTTGTCATGTCTGTCCTAAGGAACAGCTCATTCCTACGAACAAACATCCATGTTTTCTCCTACAGATGAACAATGTGGCATAACACATTTTGTCTTGACCTGTGGCTCAGCATGAAGCACTGGTGAGATCTCAATCATGTAGCAGTGAGCTTTCCCCCTGCAGGCTTCTGAGCAGAGGATGCTGCTTCATGACCCCTTGGCTACTCTGTTCTCCACAGGAGTGACTGGAAGGTAGGGGGGATATACAAAATACCCTTCAATGGCCTGAAGGGTTTTGAGATGAATTGAGTAGCACATTGCACATGCAGTGGAGGAAAGTGAGGCTTTTGTATGCACTTAAGAATAAGCTCACTAAGGAACTGGAGATGGAGGCTTCAGTCCCACAGGCTGTTCTAGATTTAGACTTGGATTTTGTGGTACATAACACGCTGCTTTAGTGTCTTAAATGACTGAGGAATGTCGGATTGTTCTGTCCCTCACTGGCAGGATTCAGTGAGTGGTGCTCCTCCTCCATCTCCTTTGTTCCTTCATCTGCTGGGGTTGAAAGAGGACTTAGCATCAAGAGCTTTTCTCCCCTCTTCCTCGTGGTGTTCTGGGGCCTGGAACATGAAAGTGGTCTGCTGAGGTCTGACCACTCCCCTCCGCTTCTCCCTCATCCAGACATCCTCAGAGGGAACTGACTGTTCAGAACCAACAGAATAGTTTTTCATCCCACCTTTCAGAAGTTAGGCTTGAGTGCTTTCCTCCCACTTTTTGGGAGGCATGATGGACTAGCTGCTGAAGGCGTACCTTCCTTGCTTAGTTATCGGGAAGGAGGGGCATATTCCATAATCTTCGCAGATGAAACCCTGTCCTTGACATCCTAACCTCCCTGGGTGGCAATGTTTCGGGGGAAACTGGGAGGTTTTGGATAGTGGTCCCAAGCTTTATCTTCCCTGGTGAGAAGAGGACCCAGAAAGGGCTGTGGAAGCCATTGAAGTATTTCTGACCAAGATAACTTGATAGTCATTGTGGGCAGCTGCTAATAGAGGCAGGATGTCCTAAACTTAGGAGCCTTCTAAAAACAGGTCTGCTTTCCCTGGGCCACCCTGGGAATTAGAAGCTCCATGTGCTCATCTGAAGGCAGAGTGGGCCCATAAGAAGTGGCCCTGCGGAAAAGGGAAGGTTCCTATGGCCTGCTCATCTACCCCTTCCTCCCTAGGACTATAGGGTGCCCTCATCACTTCTGGGGACATCACTTCTGGGCACGTACTTCCTGGAGGACCAGAGCATCTCCAAGGATTTGGTGTTTAGTGCATTCCCTAGGATGAAATCCCTTCTGATGGGAATCTGCTCCTGTAGAATGATCCCTCAAGAGCAGCCTTTGGACTGGAGAGAATGGGCTGACAGTCTTCATGCTGCAGAGCCCAGGGGAGATGAATCTGTTGGCAGGGAGACTGAAGAAGGGGCTGAATCTCTTGCCCTCCCAGAGGGAGAAGCAGTCATGGGTGGGGTGGGGGCGGGGCCCGTAGGACTCTAACTTTCTTCCAGTGCCCGCCGCTGGGCTCCAGCCTGATCCCTAGAATTCTGCAGTGGAGTGCTGATTGTGCTGAGGCTGGGCTGTGTGATTCCCCTCTTAAGGATGGTTGGCTGGGTGGGACTACAAAAGCAACTTACGGGCCAACCAGGGTTTTCCTAACATCCTTTGACACATCAGTTCTGCTTTTCTGAACTTGCATGGTGAATTGTGAGGAAAGACTAAACTTGTACAAAATCCTTTGACTTAAATGTGCAATGAAGACTATAGAAGATGTGATGTTTTCTATTAGACAAATGTCTCATCTGTTCCAGGTGGAAGTAGATAGGAGTCATCACCTGAACTCGCTTGTTACTTGACTATGCTGTTATTGAGTACGTTTTAGTGTCTTAAATACAATGAAAGTCATTCTCAGAAAACATTAACTGTCGGCTTTCTCCCAACTGAAGAGCTTATGGGCTTTCCAACAAGACCATCTCTGCTTGTCAAGACACCTTGGAATGGAAAGTGAATGCTGCTCTGCCTCATTTCCCATCTTTTATTTCTAATCCCTAAAGGAAGGGGACTGAACTACAGAAACCACTCTATCCTGTTGTTGCATGACAAGGGGAGCCTGATCTGGACAACTGTTTCTTAGCATTTCCAACTTGGAGTTTGATATGTCTTAATCCTTAGGAGCTACATGTGGCCCCAGGAGGACTGAGCCAGCAGCAGGTGCATTGGATGAAAGTCGATGCAGGGGGGAGACCAGGGAAGAAGCAAACTCCATGACAGGAAGAGGGGGGTTCAGCTTTCAGGTACAGTGTCTGATCACTGGCAGTCAGCACTTGACCTGTTCTAGAAATGGCTCCTGGGGCTGCTGTGATCATGCTTGTAGACAAAGGAGCCAGCCTGGCTTCCTGGGAAAAGGACTAGAAGCCTTGGGTTCCTGGAGGTGGCCTTGAGGACTCTAGGGATAAAGGGATCTGATGGGAATACTTTACCTTGGAATGCAGCCGGAGGAGCCATCCTAGGCAGTGACCCGGGAATCCTTCAGTGTACTTTGTGAAAGAGGCTGTCTGCTGTCATAACTGATCTCTTCCATACTTGGTGGTTTTTCCTTCCCAGGCACTAGTATTACATACATCTTGTTTCTTAAGTCACTACTTGGTAAGAGAAGCGTTGCCTCAAAGCAGGTAATTCTGTGTACTGTGAACCTAGAGCCACCAGGGAAGGCCACACTTCTCTAACGGTGAAGTGAGTCTGCCCAGGCAGTCATCTCCAGTGATGGGTCCTGGAGGCTCTGCCCTCTGTGGCCTGGGGTTGCTGCTGTGCCCCTTACAAGACAGCCTGCTGTGTGTGGCTGCCATCTCCTAAACTCAAGTTTGGCTCATTTTCTTTGAGCATGGGTGATATATCTTTTTCCTTTCCTAGGAGAAGGGGTGACTTCTAAATAATAAAGTTCCATTGTTGCTAGGGCACATGATCTTTGTTGGGTGGGGTGATGTCAGAATGCTAAGTTCCTAAGAACTTACCATTTCATTGTCTGTTGTGATGCCTCATGGCCACCAGGTGGTGCTTAAGGACCCTCAGCCAAGGGCCAGAATGGAAACAAGCTGATGGCTCTTGGAACTCCTGGACGGATTTGAGGAATACACTGGGGGAGGAGTTCTTGTTACTCTTATCATTTTCATTAGATTCGTCTGGATCCTGTGTGAACTAATGCCATCCCCCTGAACAAATGGCTTCTGAAATGTGGACAATTCCTGCCTGGGGAGGCAGCCATGGATGAGCAGGAGAGCCCAGGTTCTCCTGCCTGGCAGGAGTCTGAGCTCAGTGCTTAGAGGCTGCTCTGCGCACCCCACCCCCACCCCCACCCCCACCCCCACCCCCACCCCCACCCACCAGGCCGGGCACCGTGCTAAGCAGGCAAATGTTCTCAGTGTTAGGCGAGCATCCCATGTTACAATCACGTGATCCCAGGTACCAAGTTTGTTTGCAGTAATTTTCACGGAAAACATGAACACAATCAGCTTGGCTTATGAACTATTTTTTGCCGTGGAAATACGTACAAAGCCTGCTTTGTTCTGTAGACTAGTATCACATGACATTGGTTAGAATGTAAACTTGAAAAACATCCAACAGACTTAAACTCCTTACAACATAATTTATACAAAGAGTTTATAGTCTTCAGGACTGAGAACAAGAATAAAAGACCGTTTTTACTTGGTAACTGTATTGCTTAAATTATAACATTTCGTAACTACATTAACTATTGTCAAGTAAAGTGGAAAGAACACAAACCATGATGGACATGCTTTTACATAAAAGCACCTCCTAGGCAACTCTGCCCTTCAGGAAGTGTTGCTCACCTAGAAGGCTGGCACTGCTGTGTGAGCGGTGTTTCCTAGTTATGTAGGCTGGCCTGATGAGCTATGTATGGCAGCACTAGCAGGACCTGCTCGAAACGACAGAACTCTCCACAATACTTTGAGAAATGATTCCACATCCTAAAGCCCAAAATCATGAAAATTGTCTCAAAGTTGGGGCTTTTTTCAAAAACTCAGGTCAACCATGCCATTCAGCTGCTCCTTTGTGGGTCCCCTCAGATTCTGTGGGTCCCCTCAGATTCTGTGGGTCCATGTCCACAGGTGACTCGTTCAAAACACTAGTCCCAGGCAGCTCTCAGCAAAGGTGGTGGGGGTTGCACACCTGCTCCAGCACAGAGGCCTCCTGGGGCTCTTGACAGGGCAACAGCTGGGGCTGCATCTCCCTTGACATCTCCTATTTTCAATGGAGAAGCGTCAGGTGACTATGCCCTAAGTGTATGCAGGCCAGGCAGATGTTGGGGTGCCCTTCCATCAAGGTCTGGTGGGGCTTTCTCTGAAAGGATATATGGCTGCTGTCCTGGTCCGTGGAGATGACTTTGTAGTAGCTGCCTTAGAGACGCCTTCATACAAAGGCTGAGCAGTGGGGTCCTTCATATTCTTGTATTAGTTATATCTGCTGAGGAGGAGACAATGTCTGAGGCAAGGACTGTGCCAGAACCTCTGTCTTCTGAAGCACAGATTACTTGGGATTTGGTAATGGCTGACACTTGGGAGTTGTTCTTGTTGCTTTGGTGCTTGTGTTGTGCCGTGTGCTCTAGCTGAGCCTTCTTGGGACATCACTGCCCTATCAGAAGAGATCAGTAGCTCACAGTCTTCCTGAGGTCAGCATTGTTACATGCAAGCTCTGCAGAGTCCTTTTTCTCCAGCTTCATGTGGATGGCTGTGGGATGACCTGTGGGATAGTGCTCCCAGAAGCCCAGCACCATTTCATAGAATTGCATTCCTGGCCCCAGGAGTAAACACTTTTGCAGACTTCTCATCCCAAAGCTGCTGGACTTGAGACCTGGGTTGCTCTGCAGCTGCTTGCTGCTGCATATCTTGCCCAGGGGGCACTTGTGGAGATGAGATCACTATTGCAAAAGGTATATGCCACAGTTGAGAGCATAAGAACTCTCCATTACTTGGGAAACACTGGCCATGATGCTGGAACTGAAGTGAAGGTACCTGTTTCCCTCAATCCTTGTGACTCATACATTAGAACCTGTTCCTGAAAGACTAGCTTCTGCTGGTAATTGAGGCTGCTAGGGATGACATCCCCATTCTGCTGTCCTTGAAATGGTGAGAGAAGCCCTTTTGTTGCTCCTGCTGCCTCTTTACCTGCACACCATGAACACAGTGCAAGAGGGAAGGGCCTTGCATGCTGGCTTTCTTGCATCTCAGGCTTGAGAATACTGACATGCAGAAGGATAAGGAAACATTACATCTAGAAAGGCCACTCTGTCACCTGAATATCCCAAATCCCAGCTTGGTATCCTCTTTAACCCATGGGGCTACAGTTATTTGGGCCATCTTATTTGCTGGGATTCCCCTGTATTACTACAGAAGAGTGGCCAGCTCCACCCAGTAGAACTTCCTGGGCACGAGAGTTCTGCTCGGTGTCATCAGTGGGAGATTCCACCTGTTTTTTCTGGATTAAAAATAGGTGACTTGGGCAGAGGGATCATGGTTTCTTGGCAGTGTAGATCGTATGTGCCTCTAGGTGGTAGTATGGCTCTTGTTTTGAAACCAGTTGTTTGTTACGTAGGACAAGAGACTTCGCTGGCCACTTTTTTTTTGGTTGTAAAATCGGGGTAAGGGTTCTCTGCAAATGACTGAAGTATTAAATGACTGAAATATTCTTAGTTGATTCTTCATAAACTTATGCTTTGGTTTTCCACTTCCTCTTCCCCATCTTTCTTCATTGGGATTATCTTCAGAGATCTTGTGTTCAGATCCTGACTGAGGCTGACAGGCCCACAGGGTTGTTGGGCTTGACTGCTAATCACCACATGCTCATGTGTGTGGCCTAGTGACAATACCTACACATAGCAAAGTTATCCTACTTGTTTAAAGAATTCTGAGCTGCTTCTCTGACGTGTGGAGACACAAGTTGGCTTTCTGCCTCTTGCTCTTACTCCTTGGGAAACCAGACTCACTGTCCGAGACTCAAACTTGGAAAAAGGAGCCTACTGACTCAGAAGTGGATGGACAGGTGTGCACAGGACCTGTGCTCAGCACAAGAAAGTGAGGCTACATTCTGTCAGTGTGTCTTCCCCATCCTTGTGCCAGTGTGCTTACCTCTCACCAGGAGATGAAAATTTCTAGCTGGGCTACAGAGGCGGCGGTCCCAAATCTTTCTCTCCGCCTCCTTGCACCATGTTACATTTACTGCTACTGATGCTTAATGGTGGCTTTGTTGTTCAGTTGTCCAGGAAGTAGATGCTGAGAGAACTAGAAATGCAAAAGACCTAGAATGAAGAGGGAAGCTGTCAGATCATAATGTGAATCAGCCAGTCCTGCCAGTCCAGTAGGGAGCACGAGAGCAGGATTCACTCAGGAATTCCACATGAGGTAGAAATGGCTCGACTCAGTTTGGCTTGGGGCCATCCCAAGAATAACAGCAAAGAGCTTGGAGCCCTTGGGTAACCACACTCCGCAGCTGGACAGCAAGTCTGATGAAATGGCTGACAGGTTGGCATGGTTGTCAGTTGATGGGCAGCTATGATTTTCAAATCCTAAACTGCAGCTGCAGTTGGTCTGGAAGGACCATAAGATTATCTGTTTTCCTAATGTCAGTCCTCAGAGTCCCTCACACTTGGCCAATACTTGTCAAAGTTGCTTGTTTCAAAGGTGACCAAACAACCACCTAATGTCTGAGCCCCTGCTGGCCTGTCCTTATCAGGCAATGTTTGCTGTAATGGCCTAGCTACTCCTGACCCATCAGGCATTGGGGGCACCAAGAAATGGCCCAGTGTAGCAGCAGTTCCTGCTCACCTTCCGGCAAAAGGAGCCAAACATGACCTGGCAGTGTAGTTGGGTCCTCTGGAAGTATCTGGAGCTACACTGTCTAGGTCTGCTTTGGACCTACGTTTGGGAAGTAAATGCCTTCTAAACTCACTATCCGGGGTCATTGTGGGTAATAAGGGAGAAGCATCAGAGAACAGTTGTTGGTTTAAAGTAGGTACTGCAACTGGAGTGCATTGTGCTTGTCATAGGTTGTTTCCTGGCAGCAAACTGTCTCTTGAAACTGCTGGTAAACTGAGGCAGGCTACGGAAGAGGCTCTTGCAAGCCTGACTGTTCGCTCCTTTGAACCAGGCTGAGACTACTTCCGTGGGTGGTTTGTGGTGGGGTAGTTGAGCGCTTGGGGAAGGACACTTTAAGCCAACACTAAGTTTGTATAAAATATTCAGATTAAAACCCATGAAGAGAGAAAGGAGGCAGGATGGGGCTGAAGTCAGACTGGGACGTAAGACTTGTCAGTCTTGCTGAGCCTGGTGGAGAGGGTCCAGAGCATACAAAAAAGGCATTCCTGTACTCCAGCCAGTGGACCCTCTCCCTTAAACCTTCTGTGCTGACCTCATTACAAAGTATCTCCTTGATCTATATTTAAATTTCTGTCTTTAAGTTTTTAGATTGGCACACAATGTGAATGGACGAATTCTGTAATGTGTTCTAGGTGGTTCATGGTATAGGCTTAAGACACCAATTGTGCAATGTGAAAAGTCACACGGTGACACACGTGTCCTCTTGGGAAGACCAGGTGGACCTTGGACTTTACACAACTAAGTTTATAACAACCAGTCTAACACCAATGTGTACTAGCAAACCCAGGGGACTTCTGCCTACTTCCATACTGGAGGAGCCAAGTGGGTTGTTTGACTTTCTACAGCGATCTGAGAATGAAATAATTGGGTATGTGAAGTCAATTTGTGTTCCCTAGAGGCAGACTTGTAGATGGAAATTGTTTAAGGTGTTAGGTTTACTGGTGAAGTGAGCTCTCACACCTGAAAGCAAACTGGAACAGGGTGGAATGCAAACTGTTTGTTTTGGAAAAGAAGCTTAAATGAGGCCATAATCTCTGGAGCCAGAGTAGCTTCCACAGCTAGCCTTGAATATTACCTGGCTGGGCTTTTGTGTACTCCTCACACTCCTAGCCATTGGAAGTGGCCACATCCAGGGATGTGGCATAACATTGGCTCAAGAAACTTTGCATTACGACGAGGGCTGTTGTCCGCAGAAGAATGTTGAAACTTCTAGCCCAGGTATCGGGTGTAGCATAGTACCCAGCTCCTTGGAAAGGGAAGGGTGTACTGCCTGTCTTCTGAAAAGGGCAGATCCTGAGACCTTTATCTGGGGACCTGTCCTTGAACTGCTGAGGTTTCCCATGCATCCTAGCAGGGCTTTGAGTTCCTCAATTCTAGGACCATGGATCCACCTACCAAGGGAAGCTCAGGTGATGAGCTGCAGGGTGGGAAAGGAGGCTCCTAGGTGACCCTGGACTTGGCTTCACCATCATTGTGAGATTGACAGCTGGTGGAGCTGGTTGTGTGTACTGAAGGTTGGGTGGGGGTGGTGTTCAAGGGGCTTCCCTGAGTGACTACTTGGGACCTTTATCATGTTTTAGATGCCCTCAATCTTGCTAGTGCTCCATTCTTCACTTAGGGGGGACTAGCTGTGAGCCCCCACCTGTATTGCCACAGCCTAAGTGACATCAGATGAACTGGGAAGTGGTGCTGTGGACTGGCCACACTCCAGGGCCTTGTACTTGCTTATTATAAACTTGGCTTCTTTCCTGGGGACTAGGCTACAGTAGCTGGTGGTCCCCCTCCCCCGCTCATTTTGGGGAAGATTCTCTCTACCTGATGTGTTTCAGAAGAATGCCTCAAACTCCTGTTCTTAAGCAGTTGCTAAAATCTACCTTCATTTAGTCTGAGTCCAGGTGATTTGGGAGATAGAACTGGAAAACATGAGCACGGCCTCACCCCCAAGTCAATGTTGGTGATCTGTGCATGCCCCCAAAGAGCTCAGTGGCCTTTTCTTGGGCCTCAAGCCATAAGAATAAGCCAAGTGGCCCATCTCTAAGCCAGCAGTCCCTCTAGGCATGTGGCATAACCTGTTGTCTATGCTCGGGTTGGGAACTTCTATGCTTGGTGTTCCCCAAGCCCTTTCGCATTACTTGCAGGATGTGTCTGTGCATCCTGTATTCTGGCTGGAAGGCGTGTGCAAGTGCAGCCAGCCAGGAATAAGGTAGAGGAGGAAATACTGTATAGGTGTCTCGCTGTGTTGCAAGAAACCGCTGGGCAGGGATGGGTTGTGAGGGTCAAAATCCCCCCTGTGGAAGACAGCTGAGTGGATGTCTCTTAGGAACACTGGAGGGCCATTGGGTTTCTCCACAGGGGAGATGATGTATGCCTGCTGCCAAATGACTACTTCCAATTCTCAGTGTGGAGAGTCAGGGTAGCTTGGGTCAGGCAAGGAGCATTCCCTGGGGAGCAGACTGCCTGCCTCCTAGAACACATCTCCTAAACTGAGCTCCTAGGGCTTATGATACTGCCTTTTTTCCTCTTGATTTGGGACATCCTTTTCCTATTATGGCCTGGGACTGGGACCGGGACCGGCACCACAGTCATAGTGTGTGGGATACAGCCCACTGTGGGTCTGAATGACCTCTGTGCCTTCCTGTAGGCTGCTATCGGGTCACATGTAGCCTGTCTGGGCAGAGGCTGAGAAGCTGCTCTGATGCTGCTTGCAGGTGAGTCCTTGGAGGACTGAGTTCCTGCTCCCTCTCCATGACCCATGTATGGCTGGCTATCATCCCAGGGGGCTTTCTACGTTCCAACATACCTTCAAGAATCTTGCTACATACTTCATTCAGTTTTACCTGTGGATATAACTTTATCTACTAAGACTTTAAACTACATATTAACCTTAAAAAAAAAAAAAAACTGTATGGCTTATAGTGGGCAGTTTACCTTGGCTGAACACATCTTTAAAACAATTAGGAAATGTGGAAAATTTGACGTTAATACCTAATTGGCACATATATTCAATTCACTGAAAGAAGTTTGCAATAAGGCCTCAAATTCAATGGCAAGAAACTTCTACACTTCATAGTTGGGCAAACACCTAAATTCATTGCCTGAATGACTTCCTGAACATCCTCTGGATATTAAACTCAATTCCTGGTTGGTGTCTTGGGAAAAGACAATTGGACAAGAACATGTCTGAGGAAGAAATGGGTATTATCACTGAAATTCTGACCAACAGCCAGTTGGGGGCAGGGGTGAGCAGCGAACCACAAATCCCCTGCTTCCCAAGCTTTCTTTTCACCTCGTCTTTGAGGATTCTTCTCCAAAACTAGTGTCTGTATCATGATGGTTACAAACCTTCCTACTCCACCTCTCCTCCCAGTTTGTCTTCAGTAAAAGCAAAAATTCCCTACTAATAAAGTTGGATACTCATTGACCCAGGACAAGTGAAAAAGATCCACGGCAAGGCTGTAAGTCTAGGAAGCACAGACTAAACTTAGCTGGATACATTATGGTACAGCTTTATGTCAAATCTAAATTTAAAAACGATCCAATTCAACTAAAATGGTGCAAAATTATGCTTGCACATTGTGAATATGGTTCCTTAAATTCATCAGGTAACTTAAAACTCAATTTGAGTGGGAAGCAACCTTAAAAGCTTTAAAAAGCAGAAAAAAACCCACAACTCAGTAGAAAATAAAGTGCCTTGTGTGTTTATCCTGGAGACAAACCATAAAGGCCTCAGGTTATTGAACTCAAATATCCTGAAAAATGTTTTTTGGGAAAGAATTTTAAGTAGGGGAGTTGATGCTGTTTTGTGCAATGGGGCTGAGCTCTGTGCCCACTGAGTTGGCATAGTGGTGATGTTCTTAGTCACGTTCATCAGGGCTCTCTGAAATTCATAACATGTAAACATGCTAGTCTGTAAGTTGTCCTCGTGCTTAGATGAAACTGTAAATGCTCTGGAAGGCAAAGGGAGCTTTTCTCATTGGTCGACCATTGTTCCAGTACTGCATTAAACTGCTCTGGTCAGAAGTTGTCAGTGATGCTATAAATGAGCTTTCCATTCCAGTGCAAGGGAATTGACCAGTGAGGTAGGTTTTGTGTAACTTTGCACTTGCAGGACACATTTAGTCACCAGTCACTCCATTCCTTGTTAGGATCAGAAATACAAGCGGGAGAAGCTGAAACCAGTTAACAGCTGGTAGATCTAGAAGCATTAGGCCAAGTGGGATACATCTTTCCAATATACGGAATATCTTGCATAGGTCAAAAAGGCATAATTGAGATGCTTGTTAGCAACTTTTCAAGTTTGGTGTTGAGCATTTTGAGTTTGCTTTTTAACTAAAGTTTTCAACGGCATCATGCACAGTATCAACTTCTCTAGCCAACTGATCTCAATTCCTTGATATTTAGCATGTCACAGCTTTCATGACTAGGGATTGTTTTTGTCTGCTTTTCATCTCATTCATGAAAGCCTGAGTGTCAAATACTCAAACTGCTTCCACCCTAGTTCCTTCTTCAGATATAGCCAATGACAAAGCAGGAGCAATGACGTTGAAAGAATCCTCCAAGAGCCTTGGATTCCTGTAGTCTTGGTCCCTTCATGGAGTTGCTTTGGGATCCAGGGACATCTTGAATGTTAGTCTGAGTGCCGCTGCAGGTGTTGTCTTTGTCTATCAATTTCTGGGAAGGAGAATTAAAGGACTCTGTCTTAACACTTACACTTGAAGTCTACAACTAGAGTGAAGCAGTTCTTATGGCAGTATTCTGAGAAATTCAGTACAGGAGCAAACGGCTATTTCTTCTCTCAACTCCTTTACAATGGTCAGCTGAGGAAGTTCCCAGCTGAGAGCTGCTGAAGTCATGTCTAGAAGAGTAGACACCTGGGAGTATGACTTGTTCTACTTATTAACTAGAATCAATGGTAACTTGTGAAATGTTTCCATCTTCAAACCGAGGCTCTGTATCTCAACCTATGAAGCAGCAGGCACTGCTGTGGGGGGCGGGGGTGTGTCTTAAGTTGACATCTGCCACCCACTGGTGTGTGCTTGGCCTGTTAAGGTATGAAGACCGGACTTCAGAGGTCAGCACCATGGAATCGACTGAGGCTTTGTCGTTAAGTGCCATAGATATGCCCTTCTTCCTGATGTTCTATACCTACGGGAGGCTTTTCATCAAGACCTCACTTAACACACTAGAGGCACAACGTAGCACCTTCAAGGTATGGGGGTGAAATTGGAGGCAGGAAGCAAAAATAAACTGTTGCCTCCTGGCTTTCCTGGAACTCAGGTGTGTCCAACATGAAACGGGAGATGAGTGAACCCAGACACCTCTGTCTGCAGGGATACTTCTCCCGTGGATCCCACACCACCCAACTCCATAGGCCTCTTGTGGCGATTGCACTGCCTCTGGTGTCCTGGCCCTGGTTGTGATTCTATCCCCACAAGGCCAGCAAAGTCTGAGGTGAAAGTTGTCACCACGATTGTATAAATCCTCTTGAGAGAAGCAGGCTCTTCCAGGGCAGGCAGTTCCTCTGAGGAAGATGAATCTGCTCTGAATTTCACAGGGATGTTTCCCTTGTCCACTTCAGACAACCTTTGTGATGTCTGGATTCCAGTCTCAGCTCTGCTGGGAGCATCCTTTTGATGTGGGTAGGCAAAGGTGCAGATATGTATGCCTCTAACTTTTGGCCTTTGCTCAGCTCTAATAGTTGGCACTGGGCCTACAGAATGTCCTGGTGAAGCAGGTTAACCGGTGGTGGTTTTTGATGGTAATCGGTGAGCTTGGTATACTGAGGCTTTGGTCAGTTACTGCGCTCTGCCCTCTTTGGGTGGAGTGTTGTCACCTATAACAGACCTTCTGTTTGGTCTCCTTTGCTGGCGTTCCTGGTAACATGGTTATGCCTGGGGAATTAGAAGCCTGCTGTCCCTCTTCAGTTCCTACTGATGGTTGTTCAAACATGGGATTATCTTCCTCGATCTCTCTGAAGGTTCCACTCCTTGCCTCCTGACTTCTCCATACTCAAGTGGAGGTTGATCCAAGAGTCTTTTCTACCTCCCAATGCTGGTTGGCATTTCTGTAAGCGTCCTGAAACCCCCAGGTATTGTCCACCACCTAGATGTTAAGGCATAAGGTAGAAACTCTAAGGCAAAACTCAGATGTATCCCTGACATCTCTGCTGGTGCAGGAAGGCCTGCCATGGGGAAGATGGCAGTGTAAGGCAACTGGCCTGGAGTCCAGTCAGCAGAGACCTGCCACTGGCTGTGGGTTGATCAAGTGTCCTTCAGTGTCCCAGACTGCCAAAGACCAGCTTGGTTGTGGAGACCCTAACCCAGTGGCACTAGAGGAATTAAAGACAGAGACACAGGAATGAAGTGGGAATCAAAGAGCTGACAGCCTTCAGAGCTTGAGAGTCAGTCTGACCCATACATTTGACAAAGTCAGTGATAAGCATAGTTTCTACATATTACAGACTAGCTAAAAGCATTCCTTATGGGAAAGAAAGCATTCTTAGTGAGGAGCAGAGAAACAGGCCCTGGCTGATTATCTGCAGCAAAAGCATGTTAAGGCACCGGCAGCTCCTGCTATTGTTTGTGGTTTGAGTAGTTTTCCTGCTCTGGGTGGGCCAGGTTTTCCTAGCGCTGCTCCAGTAAACCAACCTTTAGCAGTGTGTGTGATAGCCATCATGAGCATGTCACATTGCTGCAGAAATCCTGTTTATGGCCAGTTTAACGCCTGTTTATGACAGGGTTAGGGCTTGCTACCAGCAAGGCCCCCTTTTCCTTTTTGTAAAGCGATAAAGGCATAGGCAGCTTTGTCATGGTGGGCTACTTCTCGCAAGATTCGGGATCCGCATCTGTAGGCTACAGACTACACAGATTAAAAGCACAGTCATAGAAATCAGAGTCTCCAAGTGTCTTGATCCATTTTAATGGGTTAATAGCTGCTAATCCATCTGCAGCTCCTTCAAGCACTGGCATTAGCGTCAGATGTTCCTGAGAGGCTTCTGAAACACTTGTTCCTTCAGTTTTGCAATATCTGAAGAAAATATCCAGTATGACCTTTTAAATGTTAACTTTTTCCCACTCATGCTGTTTCATTTCACAGATGAGGAGTAACGTAAAAAGAAGTACTCCAGTCACATTGTAACTGTACTCTATATTCTAACTACTCAATCTCCTAGCCACATTAGTTTGTTGGAGATCTCATTGATGTGATTAGCTAGTTCGTGGTCTATTTGGGAACTCCACAGCAAAGTAGAATTTTCTACCAATTATTTACATAGTCTGCTGTTTGTACTGTGTAATGCAAAGCAACTCCAGCTACTGTGGCAGCAGCTGTGACAACCTTTTGAAGAATTTTAGTAACAATATGCACAGGAGAGGCTTCCCAAGGACAGGAAAGCTTTACGGGTATCCATACTCCTCCTCGGGCTCTTACCACTAAAATAGAATGATCAGTATTATACAAGGAAGAATTAACACAAGAAAACTACATTCCTGACAAGTTACATGATTAGGGAGATCAAGTTTTAAAAAACCCACTCTACCAACAGGAAAGGCAGATGGACACAACTCTGTATCCGGACTGAATCGTTAGGCCAATTCTACTATGTAATTAGGATTATATTGGGCTGGCTTAATAAATTTCCCTTCCCAAATCTTTTTTTCAGTGCCATTAAGATTTTCCATAATTCCTTACGTTTAGCTCCTACAGCACGCCATATCATTTGGGGTTGCGGTACCACTATACCATATGCCCAAATAATAGGAACCCTTGCTGTACTTAGTGTCCACCATCAGATTATTTTTTGTTTAGATGCAGAGTGACCACTACCTGCAGATTGAGAGGTGGGGCCTCATAGATGCCCCTTTAGGGGACCAATCAATAACTCCATATGAATCATTATGCAACACCTCTGCCTGCGTTATGATATGATCGTCTGAAATGCCTTCATTTTTTCTGACCATGTCCAATCCACTTTACAGATAGGTTTTTGAGGGTGGTAAACCTTGGCTACAGGAGCATAATCATTGTAATAAATACTAAGATTGGAAAGCATATGTAAGTGCCGCAGAGATATGTTCAGGCACTATCCCCAGCCAAGATTGGGAGGTAAACGCCCATTGGCTTTCCCTAAGCAAATAGGTAAATGCTCAAATCCCAACAAGATATTTATAATTGTTCCCTCCTCTTGGGGGTGAGACACGCCTCTATCTGTAGAAAAAGGCATCCAAAAGCTATCATTAGTGTATACCTCCACTAGGGGCTCTAAGCATATTACTGGCCGTAGAAGTGGTAGAAAAGGAATATATGCCCAATATAATTGTTTCAGCAGTTACTGGGGGGGGGGGGGGTGGGGGGAGTACTCATAGCAATGGTGAGCACAGCCGTCATAGCTATTATTAGATTATTCATCATAGCTGGTCATTCCGCCACCTTCAGATTTTCTTCTCCCATCTTTGTCAACTTCTTGATGTGGCCCCAGGTGAGTGGCTGTGCCTGGTGAGTGTTGCTTGCCGGGACTGGTGTCTTCCTTACTGTCAGTCTCGACATGGCTGCAATCGGGGGTCCTCGGGTTCCTTCCCAAATCTCTTCCTCAGCATCTGGCTCATAAGGTTTCAGGTACCTTGATGGTATCCAAGTTGGCTGCTGGTTTTGGCCTGGAGAAACACAAGCATAACCTCTACCCCATGTTGTTATTTTACGTATTTCCTAACTTTGTTATCAGATCTCTCCACCAAACCAGTCGTCTTGCTTCTGTCTTTGCCACTGGTTTCTATAGATGTTGTTCAGCTGCTTGATAGCATCTGGCCTTTAGGCAGGCTCAGAAAATTTAAAGTCAATAATGCTAGATTCAATTGTATACTTGGAGTTCCATAGTCACTGTTACCCGCAACCCCACACTTTGTTTTTGTAATTGCTGTTTTAGGGAGAGATTGATTCTACAATGGCTTGTCCTTATGAATTATGGGATGCCAGTAATGTGTTTAATATTCCATATAGAGAAAAATGTAGCTAGAGCTTGGCTAGTATAGCCTGGGGCATTATCTGTTTTAACTGAAGTTGGAATGCCTATGATTGTGTGAAGCCTTGTAAAAGATGCCACTTAATACAGGCAGAAGATTCTCCTGTTTTGACAGGTAGCTTAAAGTGAGAAAATGTGTCTACATATACATGCACGTAAGCTAGTCTCCCAAAAGTTGGGAACATATATGACAGCCATTGGCCAAAGAGAATTAGGTTCCAATCCTCGAGGATTAACTCCTGTAAAAGATGAGGAATGCACCATTTGGCAAGTTGCGCATTGCTGGATGATAGCTTTAGCTTCTTTCCAGGTAATGCTGTATCTGCATTTGAGACCAGAGGCATTAAGGGTTAAATTGTGAAAGTGTATAGTATTAGATAATGCAGTAGCAACTAGGCGATAAGTCATTTGATTGCCTGTGGTCAAAGGTCCTGGAAGGGAAGTGTATGAGCTCTAATTGAGTAATGTAAAAAGGGTGCATTCTATTCCTAACTGCCGTTTGCAGTTGGGTGAATAAAGTAATCAGTTGTTCATCTGTATGAAATTGTGTAACTTAGCATTTTCAATTGGGTGGAGTGAACCACATATGAACAATTAGAAATTACATTGACAGGCATCTCAAGCACTCAGCACCTCAATTACAGCTACAAGCTCTGCTTTTTGAGCTGAAGTATAGGGTGTCTGAAAATTTTTTAATCCAGAATGAGAAGCTTTACCATTACTAGACCCATCTGTAAAAATATATTTAGCACCTTCAATTGGTTTAAATTGTTCTAGGGAGAATCCAATTTTAAAAATTGAAATAATTTTCAAAGTGATCAGGAACACCTACAAAATCAGCTAAATGGGTTTACCAAGTAAGACTATTTATAAAGGCCTGTTGTATTTGTGCCTTTGTAAGAGGGACAATTTTTCCAAGGTCATATCCATGCAATTTAACAATTCAAGTTCTCCCATTTCCTATCAGTAGCAGTTTGATCCAAATAAGGAGTTAAGGACTGCGAATTAGTATGTGGAAGAAAAAGCCATTCTAAGTCTTGGTCTTGGACAATAACACCAGTAGGTGAATGCTGAGTTGGAAAAATCTAAAGTCTTTTTTTGATCTATTCCGTTTGATCTTTATGTATTTGCTTCTCAATTAGCTGTAACTCTGTCTCAGCCTCCTGTAATTGCCAAGGGCTAGCGAGACTAGGATCCTCCTCTAACGATAGAAAACAGGCTACTCATGGCACAGGTAGGAATGCCTAGAGCAGGTCATATCCAATTAATGTCTCCTAGTAATTTTTGAAAGTCAATGTCTTCAATTCCAACGTATGGTTAGTTTCTGTGGCACTATTGTAGTGTCATTTACTAAGCCGTGCTATACGCTCTCCTGGCTCTGCTTTCCAGGGAACAGAAGTAGATACAATAACTTGAATTTCTCCATTGTAATCTGACTCCTGTTTGTACTTGTATTCCTTTTAAACTTAAACTAGACCTACCTAGAAGTAATTCTGCTGTCCCCGCAGGCAGGGGTCCGCTCCTGTTGACACCTTTTGCGGGGGTTCCCCAGGCAGAAGGCTCGCAGCTTTAGTGCAGCATAACTCTGGCGGGTACTGGCTGTGGCAGGGGACAGGCATTGTACAGGGGTGAGAGAGTGGCCTGAGCCAGGAATGACCCGGTTTGGAACGGAGCCTGGGACGGACCCTCATGGCACTTCCCGAAATTGGGTTCTCATCTTTATCAGACTTAGTGACGCTGATTAGCCCAGTGTTTTCCTTTTTTGCATTTTGGACATATTCCAGGCTCAGCAGTTGTTTGCCCCCCCAACTGGGAGCCTGACTTGCTGATTTTTTTTTTTCCCCTGCATTCTTTTTTAGTATTACCATGCTTCCCACAGTTAAAACAAGCTCCAGGAAATGAATATTTCCTTTACCCACTTTCAGTCCTGCCATTGCCTTGGGCTAGCAGGATAACTTTATGCAGATTACCTCTGATACTATCACAAGCTTTAATATACTCGACCAAATGTGCTTTTCCTTTAATAAGTGGCAGAGCAACTTGGCACTCAGGATTGGCATTGTCAAAAGCAATAACTGCAACACCATATCCTGAGCAGCAGAATCTGCAATCGCCTTTTTAAGAGACTCCTGTAACCTGGCTATAAAATCTACATATGGTTCTTTTGGTCCTTGTCTCACAGCACTAAAAGATGGGTATTCTGAAGTGATTTTCCCCAGCTCTAATACGTACTCCTAAGGTGCTCTATGGCATCATCCTGCATGACCACTTGCACATCTAAACCAGCCCAGCCGCTAATCCCCAAAAGTTGGCCTGCAGTTACATAAATTTGAGGTTGGGCCTGGGCAGTGTGAGCAGCCTGAATGGAAGCTTCCTCTGCCCACCAAGTTTTAAGCTGTAAGAATTGAACATGAGTCAGACAAGCTCGAGTAAGAGCCTCCCAGTCAGTAGGGATCACCTGACTGGAGACGAGAACATTTAACAGTCTTATTACAAAAGGAAAACCTGGTCCATACTGATTAATAGCTTGTTTAAATTCTTTAACTTAAAAGGAAGAGGCTCACATGTAACCATAATATTCCCGTTGATCAGGTGGTTGTATTGTCATGGCAACTGCCAAGCATCCATATCACCCTCTCATCTAGCTTGCTGGATTCCTGCCTGAATGTAACTGAGAGCGGTCACTTGAGGCGCTGCTCAGTCACAGGGGCAACTACTTTTCACCCAGTGTCCTCCAGAAGAGATCCGGAGGGGGTCAGGCCACTTTCTTCAAAATGGGTGGGGAGGTGTAGAGGGTTAGGGATAAACATCTCCCTCTGCCGCTTTAGCTGGCAAGCAAACTTGCTCTGTCATCTTCGGTTACTTCATTGTACTCTCCTTCCTGACTTTTTTTTCTCATCTGTGTGGAAAGGTTCCAAGGTGGAATGAACCAGAGCCCACACTGACTAGTTTACAGGAATATCCTCAGCACCATCCTTATATGCCTTTTTCAGTGCACTGCCTACCTTTTCCCAGACCTCTACATTCAGAGTTCCTTGGTCCAGAAACCAGGGGCAATATTTCTCTACCACACTAAAAAGCTGCATAAGTCATCTGGTGCTACCCTTCACTCCTCCTTTTGAGATGCCAAAGCAGACTCAAGCCTCATGTCTGCTCACCCCTTGTCCCATTGTTATCCTGATGCTTCTGAGCTCCCCTTCTTACCCACAGGGATTGCTTAAAGAGTACTCGGGTGTGCTCCAGTGTAGTTCCACGTACTCCAGCCGTTGCTCCAGTGACCTTTCGACTGGAATTCGAGCCCCCCCATTGGGCACTGCTTGCCAAGACCAGCTCGGTTGTGGAGACCCTAAACCAATGGTGCTAGAGGAATTCGACTCAGGAATTAGGGTATAAAGTGGAAATCGGGGGGCTGACAGCCTTGAGAGCTAAGAGCCATGAACAGAGACTGGCCCACACATTTGACAAAGTCAGTGATAAGCATAGTTTTTATAGATAAGCTAAAAGCATTCCTTAGGGGAAACAAAGCATTCTTAGCAAGGAGCAAAGAAACAGGTGCTGGCTTGATCATCTGCAGCAAAAGCATATTAAGGCACAGGCAGCTCCTGCTATTGTTAGTGGTTTGACCAGTTTTCCCTCTCTGGGCAGGCCAGGTTTTCCTAGCCCCCTGCTCCAGTAAACCTCTAGCAGTGTGTGTGATAGCCATCATGATCGTGTCATGTTGCTGCAGAAATCCTGTTTGTGGTGTTTCTTTAAGGCCTGTTTGACAGGGTTAGGGCTTGCTACCAGCACCAGACAGCACAGGGGCCAGTGTGAGATTAGTATGGCTGGGTGAGAAGTCCTGCCAAGGTGCTGGCAGATCTGGGCTGTTGCCAGATGGACTTGAGAGCTCTATTCTGGGAGTAGATTTTTGGCAGGCTTTTTCCAGACTCGAGAGGGCCCTCAGCTGATATATGGTCTCAGTAATGGATCAGGCTCTACCATGTACCATGAAAGTGTCTTATGACCAATTTAGATCTCAACTTCATAGAAAGCTGTCACAATGAACTGAATGTTATGCATAGTCCAGGAGAGGGATTTTTTTCTTGGTCATAAAATGGTTTGTTAGGGAATCATGACTCTTCCCTTGTTATCTAAGTCCTTCAACTTCATACCTGTTACCCGTCTTTGCCTATGACTTAAACTGAAGTGTAGTAAAGTTATGTGCTTTTTGTGGGAGAAGTCCTAGGCCTCTCGCTTAGTGGTGTCCAGGTAGCTACTTAACCCCAAAGAACAATCTATACAATAAGACCTAGACTGGAAACACAAAGTTCTCTGTGAATCTCGTCTGAGATGGGTAATGTGGTGTGAGACCTTATGGCTGACAGGTGTCATAGCCACAGCTGGTTAGTGTCAGTTACTATAGACCCAGAGGTGCGTCTGTGCTTGTGAAATACTTGGAGGGAATTAGTATGTTATTGGCTTCTTTGGTTCCCTTATGCCTTTATGTCATGTCCCTTAATGGAAGAATTTGTACAGCTTTTCCTGTATTAAAAATAAAGAACTGGTATCATAACCTCTCCACACTTAAGGCCCTTCAGGGACTAAGACTTAGGCCTGACCTCAGCTCAGTGGCTGAGCTCATGGATCCCAGCCATGTTGAGCTGCAGAGCTAATCATACAATGCTAGAAGCACACTTGAAGGTGATGCGCCATCACCAGGTGGCTGGGTCCCAAGAGTCATCTTTTGCTGAGAAGCATGTGATGGGAACCTCTGGGCTCTGGGGTGTCTTCTGGGGCAAGCAAGCATTGGGGCAGGAGGTACAATAGTGCCTGAGCTACCCTTTGTACCTTCCTCTGCTCTGAGGATCCTAGACAACTTTGATCCATGTCAATGTCTTACTCGGCTTTTCAGACAACTGTGACCTTGGATTGCCCACTTGGCTATCTGTTATAAGTAAAACTTCCAGTTTGTTCTTTCACTCAATGTTTTGAAATCATTCATAAACTTCTCGGCTGTCATAAGGCCTCAGGAATCATTGGTATGAAGAATCTGGTTAGAGGGTATCGGAAGATACAATGACATAGCCATCAGAATGGAACCTTTAAGTCTGAATTCTTGGCCCTTAGAGCTTGGGCTATAATGTAGCCAGAGATCCATCTCATCCAAAACCAGACTGAAACACACGTTTCCGTATACCACTGTGTCTGAGTGATGCACGTAGGATCGTTTTCTGCTGGGATACGCACTGAACTGACAGCCTTGGTGAACATGAGGGAGATGGATGGACCCCAGTCTCTGCACCTAGTAGACCTTTGGTAGTTTACCCTGTTTCATGAAATGTGTGGCTCAAGTCTAGTTCTTTCACTGCGCACTGACACTGCCAGAAAAGGCCTTGGAACTTTCTGCAGTGGTTGTGTTGTTCATACTGCCTTGTGTGCAGGGGAGACTTAAGATAGAGGAAGGCTGCTCCCCTGACTAAAATGAGGTGCATTCTCAGAGGGGGCACCTGAATTTCCACTGGATGTGGGAAGCATTCCTCACCCAAGTCATACTACTTTAGATCCTGGATCTGAGTCATCCAGGACCCAACACTTGAGGTCTGGCCCCAGTGGAAAGTGATGGGAAGGTTGGTCCTCCAATCACAGCTTGCAAGATGTCCCTATGTGATCACTGTACCAGTGTCCATAGTAGGAGATGTTAACACCCAAACTCATTGTTGCTTATAAAGGTCTGTATATAGACACTAAGGTAAATGCGTAGCAAAAGGGCCAGGTGTTAGGGAACAGGTAGAAGGTGGACCAGTTCTCAGCTCCAGAAAACAAGCTTCAACAGTCATAGTGAGGCATCTGCATGCTTCAACCTGAATCTGAAATACTTAACACACTACCTATGCTCCCAGAATCCTCCAAAGTCCTCAAATTACATGTATATCTGATATCCACCTATCAACTAGATCAGAAACTTTTAATTGGATGCTCCTGTGTAATTTTTCATTGGGGGCTGTCCTGTGCACTGTAGGACTTTAAGCAGCACAATTTACCTTTTCTGCTAGGTGCCCATAGCAATTCCCTTCAACCCCTGAAGGGCTGTGATCAACATCTAGACACTTCTCCCTGGAAAGCAGAATTGACCACTTGAATACCTAACTAGGTTTCAAGAAACCATCAGCTGTCTTGGGGGTAGTTCTCTCATGGCACCTTCATGTGTGGAGTACTAGATGCCTGTGTGTTTTCTCCATGATCTTTGAAAGGTTGGAGAACAGACAATCTGAAGCTGAGCAATGCCTTCACAGAGGTGAACTCTCCCAGAAAAAATCCCTTCAAGGTAGCCCCTAGGGCCTGGGATTTAATTGTTCTCCTTTCCACGTTGAAGAATCCTCTTCACCACCGAGTCTTGGGATGCAATTGGCAGGTCCATACCCTTATGTCTTCACTGTGCGTGTCTTGGCATGGGCTTCTTACTGCTCAAGAGTCTGAATTGGACCATTCCCATAGGCCCCTCCACATATGAGTGTTCCAGATCTCTTCTATGTAATCATCTTCCGGGGTCTGACCAGTCAGTCCATTTTCCAATATATGGGACCAATTATCCTCAAATCCCTTATCCCGTAAGAGATGATCAAGTTTATTGATTGAACTTCTGCCAAATGAGAGGATTTTTTCCCCAATGACGACTTAGGGTGCCCTCAGAGAAGCTTTAGTGTCACAACAGTTTATACTCGGCTATCACATATTGAGTCAATCATCCATAAACCAGAACTTTACCCTTTGCCAGTTGGTCATAGAGATCTCCCCTTGAGGCTACAGGTATGAGCTGACAGATGCAGGTACTACAGAGCTTGAGGATGATGGGAGTCTGAGCCACCTAGTTTTGTGATTTAAATGTAGTTCTATGTTTATTTCCCTCACAACCTTGTTGTGCCCATGGAGCTTCTGCCTCTATGGGTCTCACAACACCCAGATCAGGCTAGGAAGTTCTAAAAGTTACTAGCTGTCTCATGGCCAAGAGCTCAGTCTCCAAGGCTCAGTAACATGGTTGAAGCTGACCTGAAGGGTAATCAGCCTTCTACTGGCAGACTTAGGCTAGAATCTTAATGGTCTGTAGTATTTTTACTAAAGTATCCCCCAGATGCCTCCCATGACCACCTCCTACCATGGATCTAATATGAGAGGCAAGGCAACATTTTAGAAGGCCAAGATTAGCTGCAGGGCCCTCATCTGATGAGGCCTCTTCAAAACTTATACCTGTTGGAGCCCACTAAAAATGGCTTACAGTAGTTAAGTGTGATACGCTGTATCAAATTCACAAACTCCTATTTTGAAAGTACACTGTTTATGGTAGGAGATAATCCAAGGAACTGTCCTTGAATTTGAAAGTTGGAAGTGATGTCCCTGCATGCCCTAGATACTTAAGCATTGTGGATAGACCCCTGAGTCTTGGTAGGCTTTCCCCTCCCTCTGGCACTTGGGTATGCTCCAGAGCACTGGCTGCTTCCTGATGGGTCTGACTTATGCCAATAATAAAGTGGCCCAGCGAGATCTCCTGTGAGATGCCAGCAAAACCAAGACTTCAGCCTATGACATTAGGACAGACCAGTAGAGTTAATACCGCCTGAGGACAAGACAATGTGTATTCCTGGCCTTACCATGAATAAGCCAAACTGAACTTGGAACCTCAATGAGGAGGATTTGAAAGAATGGATTTTCCAGAATGGCGGTAAGCCTCCACTCAATGTCAGAAGTGGTGGTTACTAGCAAAGATACCATAATGTTGCATGATGGCTATGCTAAATCAAATATATGGTAGTTCACTGTCATGTGACATGGAACTCCAAAAGATGAAAACCACAAGAATCTAGTCAAATGCAGAATGACATCCTTTCCATATGTGGCAGACAAGTGAACAGGTGCTGAAAAGGTTCCCTGTTGAGTTACCTTGAACCAGTGGTCAAAGTGAGGTTTTCTGTGCTGGAAAACCTTCGTAGCCTCGTGTCCAATTCAAAACACTTGTGTTTTGAGGATGAAACTAGGACCATTCTAACTTTTCAGAAAACATGGGCCCTTGAAGCAGCAGTTTCCATACTTTGGGGACAGATTCTTTATTGGCGTAGGTACATTACTGACCTAAAAATCCAGATTTCTCTAGGAGAACTGGGGTCCTAGTCCAGGATGCTGGCTACATGGACGGGCAAGGAGTGACCACTAGCTTGTCCTTAACCATTGCCCAGGCATGGGAGATCCCAGCAGCAACCATGCCGGGAGTGTCTGCAATGGCAGCTGGACTCTTGTTGGGCTTCTGATGCCTCATGAACTATGCCACATCCATCCACCTTCACTTGTGAGAATTGTCTTCCCAGAAGTAGGTCTTTCTGCCAGTTTGCATGTTTATTGCTAGAATGTACAAGGTTAAGCCAGTGAGGGAGGGGGAAAAGGTAGAGGCTGGGAGGGAAAACTCACCAGTTTAGGTTGTGAGCCACCTCCACTCAAGGTGTACCCAATTCTTTAGTGTTGGAAATACATTTAGCTTCTGGTGGCAAAACTCACTGGATTTCTCCTTAACTTCTATGCTCTTCGTTGTCTGACACTTGCACTGCCCCAATATGATCTGTAGGAATATTTGAGTATCCAAAAAGATCTTTAAGGTATCAAGTCACCTACTCTCACATGTACAGAAGATGTGCCAGATGCCAGTCTTCAATTCTTGTTTAAATTGGTCTTTCGGAACTCTAAAGTCAACTGCCACTGAAGTCATTGACTAAAGCTTCATTCACACATCTGTCCTTCCTCAGACTGGCAGATAAGATGGAGATGAACTTCACAAAGACCTTACTGGGAGGATTGTATGATGCTTGGGAGATTCAGAATGCAGACAGCATGTCCTCCTAATCAAGAAGCAGCCCTCACCGTTTTCAGAGCTGACAGACTACTGAGGCTCTCTGAAAAGCAGTTTAGTTTGCCATAAAGAGCCAGTCAATTTAATCCCTGGATGGTGTGAATTGCTCTGGGTGGCAGGAATGCTTTCCTGAACCTTTCTGATAAGGTCCTTGTGTTTTCTGACTATTCTCTAATCTGTAACTTTGGAAATGTGGATGGTGTCAATGTTTACAAAGGGGTGAGGCTGTATTCAAAACTTGCTGTCTCCTTAGTTGACCAGATCTTCATTGCTTAATACCTGAAAGGGATCCCGATACTAGAAGAAAGCATGGAAGGACTTTTTATGGGGGCTTGTGAATTGCCCTCTTAGGGGAAGACAGGAACCTCTCTGCCAGTCTCATTAAACCCTAATCACAGATCCTGGGTAGGCTGAGCTAGATGAAGAAACAGGACCTGTGGTATTTGGGGCAGGTGTTCATCGTATTCCTGCCAGCAGAGATGTGCTCTTGACATAAGTCAGTCACATGTCCTTGAGTCCTAGTCAGCACTGGGGAGCCAGTGTAGGGTGGATATAGATATGCAAGTGGTCTTACGTGGGTCCTGGCTGATCTAGAGTGGGGACTGAAATGTAGGGTCTACCTGCAGAATTGGATCCTTCATAGGCTTTTGGTAGAACCAGAGAGGGAAGAGAGGACAGCCTTTGGTGAACCTGTCAATGGGGAAGACTGAGTAACTGAGAACTGTTGATAGTTACTTGGTTATATGTAGTCTATGACCAAAAGAAACATCCGAGGCTTTATGATCTTCAAATAGTTTGAATACTTGGCCACACCACAGTGATAGGGCTTTTTTTTTTTTTTTTTTTTGGTCATAGAATGACTTAAACAGAATCATGATGCTTTGAATTCTCTACATATTTCATCTTTTTCTATACTTGAGTGATCTTGGCCCTATGGCTTAAACCTAAGAATCCTTGTTTGGTTCCCTTTTCAGGGAAAAGGTCTAGGCCTCCTGTTCACTGGTGTCCTGGTGGCAACCTGAAACAATGTTAAGGGATGTAGACTGGGGAACAGACCCCCATCAACCTTGTTGCAGGGACTGTGATAATGCACCGTGAGCCCTGTGGTTGGAATATACTGTTGCTGTGGTCAGTTATGGTTTCTGGGTACCCAGGGGGTAATTTTGGGCTTATACACCACTGACAGGGAATTGACACACTTGTGGTTTTTTTCCTTATCTCTTATGCCTTGTCCCTTGATACAGGAAGAAGTCATAGAAATTCCTCTTAAAGAATTGGCACTAATTTCTCAGCATGCAGAGATCCTTCAGGGACCAAGGTTCTCATGGTTGTCTGCTTCGTGATTGAAATGGATGTAGAACCCAGCTGTTTTGAGAGCCACTCATGATGGTAGCAGTGCCCATACCGCTAACACTCCACTCCCAGCTGGCTGGATATCAAGTCTTTCAGCTTCCTCTGACAGTGGACGTGTGTGATGGAAGCCTCTGGGCTCCAGAGTGTCTGCTGGAGTAATCACTGGGGCAGTCAGAACAATAGTCCCTGAGCTCCTCTTATCTTCCTCTGCTCATGTTGAGGTCTCTAGATGACTTCACTTCCTGTCAATGTCCTTCCCTTCTTAAACCACCATGAGTTTGCATATTCCACTTCTATCTACCAAGAACACTCTAGTTCATGACTGTCACTCAAGGAGGCTTTCAAATTAAGATTCACAAGTTTGCTGGCTCTGAAGTTTAGAGGCAATCTTTAGCTTGAAGAATCCCACCTGAAGGTTTAGGGAGATATAAGGACAGACATAAATGTAAATAACGGCAAGTAGATAGGAGTGTCTAGAACTTGGAGAGCTGAGATAATCTTGTAGAGGGTGCACTTCATTCCAACTGAATTCAAGACTACATCCTCTATATGCATCACAGGAACTGAGTCACACAAAAGAGTGCAGTTATGGAATTTGTGCTGTGGAAGCTGATGCCCTGGAGAATGAGAAATGGACCTCAGCTTGGCACTGACATGGAGAGAGATGTCTGTCACTTGATCTTTTTGTTGCCTAAAACTTGTGACTCAAACCATCTGTGTGGATGCACAATGCCAGGAAAGGTCTAGGTAATTCAGTAGCTGTGTATCTCACTGGCTTTAGAGTGTATTTAAGATAGGCTTCTCCCTTACTCATGATTCTCACCTTCAAAGAGCAACTCAGTTTGCATGACGAGGTAGTCAGAGTTGATTCGATCCCTGCGTGGTATGAACTGCTCCAGGCAGGAATGCTTTCCTGAACTCTTCTGATGAGGTCCTTGTGTTGCATCACTGTTCTCTAACCTGTATGAAAGTGTGCATATGTGGATATTTTTCCTAAATGAGCTCCTGGGGCTTCTGAATGTCCTGGCTCTTTCCCTGTCACTGAGGGACATCCTTTTCACCATTATGTCCTGGGACTTGCACCACAGCCATCGTGTCCTCATGCAGTACAGCCCAGTGTGGGTCTGAATGGCCTTCATGACTTCACATAGGCTACATGTGGCCCAATAGCATCCTATCTGGGCAGAGGCTGAGAGAACCTGCCCTCATGCTGCTTGTGGGTGAGTCCTTGGAGGACCGATTGCTGGCTCCTTTGCTGTGACCCCTGCACTGCTGACAGCTGTCCCAGCGTGTATTTGACTTCAACATGTCAAACTGACTATACGTTAGTTCCACTTACTAACATAGCACTTTCTGTTAAGACTTTACATTTCTAGAGCCTTCTAGGAAACGTGCTTAACCATACTACATAGCTTAGTTGATAGACATTTATCATGACTAAATTAACACTGACATTTGTAGAATTCCTAATCTTTAAAGAATTCCTGGTCTTATTTTAGGTCCAGGAGTCCATGTGCGGGACATGTTGTAGGTAAGCTGTGTTGTGGGATTGGTATACAGATAATTGTCACCTGGGTAATACATGTAATATCAATGGGTATTTCTTATCCTCCACCCTCAAGTAGGCCTCAGTGTATGTTGTTCCCCTCCCAGTATCTGTGGTCATCTTGTTTGGCCTCCCATGTAAAAAGAACATATGTATTTGTTTTTTCACTTCTGTGTTAGCACATCTAGAGGAATGGTTTCCAGCTCCATATTGCTGCAAAGGACATGACCTCATTCCTTTCTATGGCTTCATAGTATTCCACGGTGTATATGTACCACATTGTCTCTATCCAGTCTACCATCTGTGGGCATTTAGGTCGATTCTGTGTTTTTGATATTGAAAATAATGCTGGAATGAATAGACACATGCCTGTCTTCATGGCAGAACTGATACAGGACAGGTAAGGCCCAGAATTGGGGCTTAGCCCAGAAGGGGTTTTTGGCTTCATCCAGGAAAGAATTCAAGGGTGAGCCAATGGTATTAGACAGCTACTGTTATGGAGGTGGCAGGATAGGATACAGCAGTGGCAGAGGGTATAGCTCCTGGTGGAGCAGGGCTTATCCCATAGGCAGTGAGCCCAGAGTAGCAGCTCACAGGCACTTCTGTACTCATACCCCCTTTTACTATATGCAAATCAAGGGGTGGATTACACAGAATTTCCAGGAAAAAGGGTGGTAACTTCTAGGTGGTGAGGCTGTTGCCACGGAAGCGGGTGCTAACTTCTGGGCATTGCCTTGGCAACAGTAAACTGACATGGCACACTCGGGGTGTCTTATGGAAAGTTGCTTCTGCTAGCCCTGTCCCTATCTTCAAATTGGTCCAGTGTCTGAGCACCATCACCTGCCTCAGAATGATTTTATATTTCTTTGACATATACTTAAATGGGATTGCTGGGTTGAAGGGTAATTAAGTTCTTTGAGGAATTGCCACACTACTTTCCACAATAAAGTAATTGACACTCCTACCAGCAGTGGATAAGAGTTCCCTTTACTCACAATCTCAACTAGTATCTTACTTTGACTTAGCAGCCATTTTGACTTGACTGGTATAAGATGACATCTCATTGTGACATTCTGACCACAAACCAATGGCCACGGGAAACAACACTGAGACCATGAAGACATCCTGCTTTTCAATAAACTTACCTTTAAGAATTCTTCCCCCAACCTAGTAAGTCTATATCATGATTACAAGCCTTCCAACTCCCTCTGGTGTATTATTTTTTTTTCTCTGGAGGGTGGAAAAATCCCTACTTGTAATTAAAACAATGTTGCAACCTCACTAAACACAGAACAAATAAAAATCAGTTGCAAGAGTGACAGGGCTAGAAATCTAGGAAGTACACAAATCAAACTCAGTTGGATACATCAAATATGAGCAGCTTTGTCATGCCTAAATGAAGTAATTTTAAAAAACAATTCATACTACCAATTAAAATGGACCATGCAAAAGAAAATCATGCTTGCACATGATGAAAACGTTTATATACACACAAGCTACGTATTTGAGAAGCAATCTTAAACACTGAACAGCAGAAATGCACAAGAATATGTGGAAATAGTATGGGTTTTTTTATCCTGAGTCAAACCACAAAGGTTTCAGGTTAGAAATTTTGAAGTGTCTTGAATATTAACCATCGTGTGTTTTGGGTGGGGAGGGAAAGACTTAATAGCTTCTTTATGCCTTGTAAATTTCAAATTGTGATGTATTTTAACTGGAATGGCACAATTCCCACAGTCAGCAGTTTGCCCGTGCTGGTCAGAATATTATTGCTTCATTCCATTCCTTCACAATGCTCAGCTGAGGGAAGGTACCCCCTTAAAAGCCGTTTGTACTTTATAAGTCATTTGTACTTCAGAAGGGGATGTAATTTGAGTGACTTTCCCTGCCTGAATTAATAGGAACTTGAAGTATTTCCATTTTCAAACACCAGTCTGTGTCTCAAACCATAAAGCACACTGGTGGGTTGCAGATGTTAGCCTAAGACCTTCAGCAGTGCCTGTTGCATGGCCTCGTCAGCAGGTCCGTGGTCAGTGGCACCGCAGAATTGACAGCCTTTCTGCCATTAAGTACTGCAGATGGGCCCCTTTTCCTGGGGCTGTGCTCCTGCCGGAGGCTTTCCATTAAGACATCATTCCTTGTACGTTTAGGGCAAGATATACTGTCTTTAAGGTATAGGTGTGGAATACAGGGAACAAGAAGAGTACACTGTTACCTTCCTGTTTCCTGGAACCCAGGCTTGTGCAGCATGAAACTGGAGGTGAACAACCACCTGTGTCTGCAGGGAGACGTCTCCTGTGCACTACACACCCTCTAACACCGTAGGCCTCCTGTGGAGATTCTGCTGTTTCTGGTGTCCAGGTCCTGGCTGATTGTGTCCCAGAAGGCCAGCAAAGCCTCTAGGGCAGAAGTTGTCATGAAAACTGTATGAACCCCCTCAAGGAGAGCAGCAGAATGGTCCAGGGCTGGCAACACCACCTTGAGGAAGAGCCACTTTAGAGAATCCTTTGACCCTTTGCAGGGACATTTCCACCTCATCCATCTCAGACTTCCATAATGACTTCGAGATTCTGGTCTCTTCTGTCCTAGGAACATCCTTTCACCTTTCAGTAGTGAAGACAATCAGGTGTTTATGCATCTAACTTCTGACCTATATCTAGCTCTAAATCTTCATGCTGGGCTCAATGTCCCAGTAAAGCAAGTTAACGGTGGCAATCTTAAGGATGATAGAATTGCTATCTTCCAGGATTTCGGGCTGTCTTTGGCTTCTGCCCTCTTCGGACAGCATTCTGTCACTTGTGACAGATTCTTCATTGGGTCCCCTTTGCTGATTTTTTTGGTAAGGCAATTGTGCTAGGATTAGAAGCCTGCTGTCCTTCAGTTTCTGACATTTGTTTGAATTTTGTATTCCTGTATTCTCCCCTTGATGTGTCTGTTCTGTTCCTTGCTCCTTGCTTTCTCCATACTCAGAAATGAAACTTGAACACCTTTTCCAACTCACCGTGCTGGTAGGTGTATCTGTAGGCATTCTCTTCAAACCTCCAGGTATTGTGTACCACGCAGATGTTACAGCATAAGATAGACCGTAAAAGCCAACCTGTATCTGTCCCAGAAGTCATTGCTAAAGCAGGAAGGCCCACATGGAAAAGATGATGGCAATCCTGGATGAGTGTTTTAGTCTTTTCCAGAGATCTGCCATTAGCTGTGGGTCGATCGTGTCCTATGATGTGCTATAGTGTCCCAGATAGCAGAGAGGCTAGTGTGAGGTGGGTGTGACTGAGTGTGAGTTTCCAGCCCAGGGTGCTGGCAGATCAGGAGTGATGGTGGATGGGCTCAAGAGCCCTATTCATGGGAGTGGACTCTTAGCAGGCTTTCTGCAGAGCCCAAGATAAGAGATGGCCCTGAGCTGACCTCTGGTCTCTCAGTGATGTGTCATACTGTGCCTAATGAATCACTGGATATAAATGTCCCCATGACCCAAATGGATCTTGACATCTTCATGAAAAATTGTTCCAATGAAGTTTGAATACTAAGCTCAACCCAGGAGAAGGATTTGTTCTTGGATGTAAAATGGTTTATAGGGAGTCCTGACTATTCTTGTTCTGTGTCCTTAAATCCTTCAGTCTTCAACTCTTGATACCTGTTAAT
The DNA here is from genome assembly GCF_000001405.40 of Homo sapiens. Taxonomy (NCBI): domain Eukaryota; kingdom Metazoa; phylum Chordata; class Mammalia; order Primates; family Hominidae; genus Homo; species Homo sapiens. The sequence continues at coordinate 10,186,228 of NC_000004.12, forward strand.
CATCTCTGCCTATGCTATAAACATAGGCATGCTCAAGTTAAGTGCCTCTATTGGGGAAAAGTCTTAGGGTTCAAACTTGGTGGTGTCCAGGTAGCTACTTAACTCCCAAAATCTAGACAAAGCACCTAATTGGGAAACACATGGCTCTGTGAATAGCTTCAGAAGACAGTAATGCAGCATGAGCCCCATGGGTGGAAGGCTTAACTCCTGCAGCTGCTTAGCACATTGGTTACTGAGGACCAGAAGGTACTTCTGGCCTTGTGGAACACTTGCAGGGAACTAATACAGTATTACCTGCTTTGATTTTTGTTGTTCTGTTGTGCCCCTGTTCTTAATGCAGGAAGTTGTACAAATGCCTCCACAATGAACTAGTGCTGTAACCTCTCACCATGTTTAAGGTTGCTCAGACAGACTCATATTTGACCTGAATCTTAGAACCTAGCCATTGTGAGCTGTCAAACCAATCATAGGAAAGCAGCAGTGCAGTGGGGGTGACACCCTGTCATTAGGTGGCTGAGTCCAAAATGTCCTCATCTATTGCTGAGAGGAAGTATGTATGTTGGGAGCTTCTGGGCTCCAGGGTGTCTGCTGGAGCAAGTGTGGGAAAGCCAGGACAGCTGTGCCAGAACTGCCCTGTGTGGCCTCTAGATGGTGTCATTATGTGTCGGTTTTCTCAACTATAAAACCACCGTGACCTTGGATTGTCCATATTATCATCCATCTGTTAGGTTTAAAAACTCAAGTTCTTCACTCTTCCACTAAAGGGTTTCAAATGATTCACAAGTTTTCCAGTCATCTTAAGGTTTTAAAGACTGTTGTTAGCATGAGGAATCAGATACAAGGTTTGAGGGGATAAATGGCATAACTGTGTGTAAATTACAGGAGGGACCTTAAATCTGGGATTTGGAGAGCTGGTAATACAAGGTAGCCAGAGGTCTATCTCATTTCCGACTAGATTCAAACATGTTTCCTTTCCTTGGGCTGCAGTTGAGTCACATGTGATACTGTGTATTAGTGATGGGATTTGTACTGTGACTGCCCTGGTGAATGTGAGATGTCTGGACTCCACCGTGTGCAGCTCAGAGTGGCCTTTGACAGCATAAAGCTGTTTCTAAAGCGTATGACTGACATCACTTCCATCATTTTGGACAATCGGTGTTGGAAAAGGTGGTGTCAGTACTTCTGGCAGTGGCTATGTGGTTCATATTGGCTTGTGTGCAGGGATGACTTAAAGGAAGTCTGCCCCCCACTGCCTGTGACTAAGATGAAGGTACCTTCTTAGCGGGGAGGTACCTGGACTGCCCTTAGATGTGGGAAACATTCCTCACCTGGATCATCCTTGTATTCTATGCTTGAGTCCAATGCCCAACACATCAGATCTGGCCCCAGGTGGAAAGAGTGGGCAGGTGGCTCTCTCCAAATGATAGTTTGTAAGATGTCACCATGTGGCTGCTGTTAGTGTCTGCAGTGGGAAATGGTGACACCAAACTCTCAATGTTGCCCTAGTGTCTATATAGACCTTGCAGGCAGAAGTGTGTGGTAAAGGGCCGGGTATTGGGAAGCTGAGGGGACAGTTGGAAGGTGGCTGACTTCTCAGCTCTGAGCAAGGCATTTCAGCAGCCATGGTAAGGTTTTCAGGGCTGCAGCCTGCAGAATCTGAAACTTGAGCATTTACCTGTGTTCCCAGAATCCTCAGGTTTCAAATGACATACATGATGGATGTCGAAGCTGCCAGCTTGGTCAGAAAGTTTCAGCTTCATATTGACACTTCTTGGATGCTTCATTGTAAGAGGCCTGTCCTGTGCACCGTAGGATGTTTAGCAGCATTACCTACCTGTTCTTCTAGATGTCTGTGGCACTCCCTGAGCTGTGATGACAAATGTCTACACATCCTGTCTTCCCTGAGGAGAAAAATCTACCACTTAAAAACTCAGAGTAGGTTCCTCAAAACCTCCCAGGTATGTCTTGGGTCACTTTACAGACTGGATGCCTGTGCATCTTCTCCATGATGTTCAAATGGGAGAATAAACTATTTGGGGGAGAGGGCAGAACAATGCCTCCCCAGAGGTGAAATCTAATTTCCTCAAGGTAGCTCCTAGGGCCTGGAATTTACCTATGCTGTCTTCACTTTGAAGAATTCTTGACCACCGAGTATTGTGATACAGCTTGCAACTCCACACCCTGGTGTCTTCACTGTGCATAACTCAGGACATTGTACTGCAGGAATTGGAATCTGAATGACTATACTTGTAGGTTCCTCTATGTGCTGCTTTTCCAGATCTCATCTCTGATCTTCTAATCACCTCCCAGGGTCTGGCTGGCTGGCCAGCCAGTCCACTTGCTAATGCACGTGACTAATCCTTAGACTGCTTATCCCATAAGAGATGACCAAGTGGGATTGAACTTCTGTCCGGTGGGGGGCATTTTTCCTCAATGACTTCTTAGGGTACCCTTGAAGGAGCTCTTTAGTGTCACAGCAGTCCATATTCAGTTAGCTCTCATATATTCAGTCAATCCATCTGTAAACTAGGATGAGTAGTTTTCCCTTTTTTGCCAACTGGTCATAGGGACCTACCCATGAGGCCATAGGTTTGAGCTGATAAGACATAGAAGTACTACAGAGCTTGGGGAGGATGGGAGCCTGAGTCAACTGGTTTTGTAACTTAAATATGGCTACATGCTCTTGCTTCCTTCATTGTTCTTGTGCCCATGGGAGTGCTTATGCCTTTGTGGTTCTCACAGCACCTAGTGCATACTGAGCAGTTCTAAACCAAGTTCAAGTTACTAGGTTTTCATGGCCATGAGCTCAGTCTCTAAGGCCCGGTAACATGGTTGGAGCTGACTTGGGTTAATTAGCCTTCTAGTTGAAGGTGCAGACTTAGCTGGAGTCTTAGGAGTCTGTAGAACACCTTTCCTATGGAGTCTTCCAGAGACCTTCCACGGCACCCTCCTACCAAGGCTCTTGCATGAAAGGCAAGGCAGCAGCTTAGAAGGCCAAGACTTAGCTGCAGGGCACTCATCTGATGAGGCTTCTTCAAAACTTGTGCCTGTTGGAGCCCACTAAATAGCTTGCAGTAGTCAAGCATGACATACCCTATTTAAAAAAGCCTATTTTGAAAGTACACTTAATTTATGGCAGGAGATAGCAATGCAGAAAGCTGTCCATGAATTTGGAAGTGATGTCCCTGCATGCCCTACATACTTAAGTACCATGGATGTGTATAGGCTCCTGAGTCTTGGTAGGTTTCTCCTTCCCTCTGGCACATAGGTATGTTCCAGACCCCTCCTGCTGTTGGGTCTACCTTGTGTGATGCAAATAATAGTGACCCAACGAGATCTCCTGTGAAATGCCAGCACAATCAAGACTTTAGCCTATGACATTGGGACAGACCAGGAGAGTTAATTAATTACCTGAGGACAAGATATAATGTATACTTCTGGCCTTCTCAGGAGTAAGCAGACTGATTCTGGACCCTCGATGAGGAGGTTTGGAAAGAATGGATTTTCCAGAATGTTGACTCTGTACTTAATGTCAGAAGTGGTGGTGGTTACTAGCAAAGATACCACCTGTCATGCAACATATATGTTAAACATACGGTAGTTCACTGTCGTGATGTGGAACTCCAAAAGGTGAATAAAAACAACCTACTCAAAAAAAAAATATATATATATATATATATACTCAAATGCAGAATGTCATCCCTTCCATACTTGGCAGAAAAAGTGAGCAAGTGTTCAAAAGGTCCCTGTTGATTTCGTTACCTTGAACCAGTGGCCAAAGTGAGGTTTTCTGTGCTGGGAAGCCTTGCTGGCCTCCTATTCAGTTGACATTTGTGCTTTAGGACCATACTAGGATCATTCTGACTCATTAAACATGAGCCCTTAAAGCAGCAGTTGCAATACTTTGGGAGCAGGTTATCTTTATTGGCACAAATGTTACTGATAAATCTGTTGCTCTAGGAGAACTGGAGTCCTAGCCCAGGATGCTGGCTAGGTGGACAGGCCAAGGAGTTGTGACCCATTAGCTTTGTTTTTTGCTCAAGCTTAAGCATTGCTCGTGCATGGCTAAGTCATTAGCTTAACCATTGCTCAGGCATGGGAGTTCCCAGCAGCAACCACAGGGAGGGCCAGTAATGGCAGCTGGACTCCCACTGGACTTGTTGTCGCATGAACATGCCACATCTGTCCACCACCTCCAGTTGTGAGAATTGTCTTCCCAGAAGGGTAGGTCCTTCTGCCTGTATGCATGTTCTCTACAGCTACAATGACTTACAAGATGGGAAGACAATGATGGGGAAAGGTGGAGCCTGGGATTTAAAAGTACCCCAGAGCCTAGGGTTCTGTGAGCCATCTCTACTCAAGGTACCCAAGTTTTAGTGTTAGTAGTATATTCAGCTTCTGGTGACAAAACCCACTGTATGTTGTCTCAACTTCTGTGATCTTTATATTGCCTGACACTTGTATTGCCCCAATATGATCTTGCAGATACGTTGATTTATAACTGAGCATCCAAAAAGATCTTAAAAGTATCAAGTCACCTACTTCCAAATGTGCAGAAGACATGTCAGATGTCAGTCTTCAACTTTAATTTTGTCTTTTGACTAAAGTTGACAGCCATCGAAGTCACTGACTACAGCTGCATTCACACATGTCCCTCCTCACTGGCAGATAGGATGGAGATCAGGTCTACAAAGGTTACCTGGAGGACTGTATGATGCTTGGGAGGTTCAGGATGCAGGCAGCATGTCCTTCTGATCAAGAAGCAGCCCTTACTTTTTAGAGCTAGCATGCTAGTGAGGCTCTGAAGAGCCACTTGGCTTGCCATGAGGAGGTAATCAGAGCTGGTTTAATCACTGCGTGGTATGAACTGTTCCATGCAATGGAATGCTTTCTGGAACTTCTCCGAGGGCCTTGTGTTGCCTTACTCTAATTCTCTCTAGTCTGTGTGAATTTGTGGAAATGTGGATGGTATCAATGTTGCTTGAGATGGGATGCTGTCTTCAGAACTTACTGGCTGTGTCCTTAGTTTACCTGATCTTTGTTGCCTGATGTGAATAAAGAGGACTCCAACACTAATAGAAAAGGAAGTGAAGAATTTTTTAATTGAAGGTCTGTGAATTGCCCTTTATTTAGGGGAAGATTAACAAAATACCTTTGCCTGTTTCATGTTGAACCCTAATGACAGATCCTGGCTTGGCTGGATGGGAAAAAGGAGACCTGTGGTATTTGGGGCAGCTGGTCACTGGTTTGCTACCATTAGGTGCTCTTGGCAGTGAGTTGGCCACATGCCCTATGAAGTCCCAGACAGCACTGTACCACTGAGGTGAGTGGATTGGTTAGTGATCCTATCTGGGTCCTGGCTGATCTGGACTGATGCGAGCTGCATGTGAGGTCTACTCCCAGAATTGGTGGCTTCACAGGCTTTTGGTAGAATCGGGGAAGGGAAAGGGAACAGCCCTTGGTCATTCTGTCAGTGGGCAAGGCTGAGTAACTGAAATCATAGGATGTGTGGTCTATGAGCACAATGAATGTTGGAAGCTTTATTAACAATAAAGCTTGAGTATCGAATGCAATACTGATAAGACTTTCTCTGGTCACAATGATTTAAAGAGAATTATGAACTTCAGCTTCCTCTGATGGTGGAAGTGTGTATGACAGGGCCTCTAGGCTACAGTGTGTCTGCTGGGCAGGCACTGGGGCAGCCAGAACACCAGTCCCTGAGCTCACCTTTGTGTGTTCCTGTTCTTGTGGGACCTCTAGATGACTGTTTCCCATCAATGTCCTTCCTTCATCTTAAGACCACCATGACCTTGGTCCACCTTTTAATCAAGAAAATTCTAGTTCTTGATGCTTTCATTCAAGATGATTTTCAAACTATCATTCACAAGTTTTCCAGCGCTGAGGTTTAAAGGCAATCATTAGCTTGAAGAATCCCAGAGTTCTAAGGGGACAATGACGGGAACAACTGTAAATCTCAAGTAGATAGGAGTGTCTAGAACTTAGGGGGCTGAGATCATTTTGTAGCCAGAGGGTACATCTCATCCTAACAATTCAAGTCTACATCCTCCATATATACCACAGAAATTGAGTCACACATGATAGGGTATGGTTACTGTGAGACTTGTGCTGTGGGAGCTGATGGCCTGGAGAATGAGGGAAACAGACCCCAGCTTGTGTGCTCACGTGGAGACTTTTTTCACTTGACCTTTTGCTTCCTGAAACATGGCTCAAACACTTCCTTAATTTGCAGGAACACTCACACGGCCAGGGAAGGTCTGGGTGCTTTTTCAGTAGCTGTGTACCTCATATTGGCTTGTTTGCAGGGTAGACTTTAGATGGCGCCTCCTCCCTTACTCATGACTGAGATGAAGTATGCCACTGTTAGGGTGGCACCTGGACTGCTGTTAGAAGTGAAAGATATTGCTCACTCTGGACACAATGCCAAATAGCATCCATACTTCTGTCACAAAGAGCCTGGAAAGATCTTGTGTCACTTGGGGGGGATAGTCATTTGTATAGACAGTTTCTCTAGTGGTCACTAAGGACCCCATTTTCTCTAGCCATTAAGCTCTACACAACCCAACATCTTCAGAAACTTTTCTACTCCTGTGTTAAGAGCAATTGGTGAGTGTTGCTCAAAGGACCTGGTGTAAAAAGTGTAAGAGTCTTGGATGTACTCCAAGCACAGTGGCATTTTTCTCAGTGACAGCTCAGAGCAGATGAATCTGTATGTCTGGTCACTTTTAAGCATATTGCATAGGTATATTTTGGCATTAAAACATACAGGTCAGTGGGAGATGGAATGTAACTGTCATGGTAGATGTCGAATTTCCTGGAGTATCTGGTGTAATCTTGACATCTTCATAATAGTTGAACAATTCTTGGGAAACTGATCTTAGGGGATCCAAGGATGCCTGCCACTGACTCTAACTTGGTATAGTGGAAGAAGGCTTTATTTCTAAACTTCAAGGATCTGCTTCTCATTAACTTGATGTAGAACCTGAAATCTCTAGGTACAAAGGTCTGTTTTCAGTCCTACATCGGTATCAGAAGGCAGCCTAACTTCAGTTTGACCTCATCTCTTCAGCATATTCTCTATCTGGACTCAACTGTGGGAACTAGGGTGCTTCCCTGAGAAGAGCGATCTTGCAGAGCTCCTGGTTGCAGTGAGTTAGAGAGTCTGCAAATGCTGGTATCCTTTCAGTCCAGGGCTCTAATGCCAGCTCATGCCTATGGACACCAACTTACTCTCAAAATGGAACACAGTGCTTCATGCAGTGACTTGTGGGGTCATTGCAGAGGGCATCAGTGAGATCCCAAATCAAAGGATATTGACCTTTTCCCTGCAGATGTGAGAAAGGGGGGTACTTGACTGTAGGACTTTTGTCTCCTTTAAGTTCTCTATTTAGTAACTTGGTACAGGAATATACCAAATTTGATGGCCTTTTGGTCCTTGAGGTTAATTCCAAGTTGGATGGTAAGCATGCGTTGGCATAAAAGTGAGGGCTCCATCTCATAATGCATGACATAAGCTTACCAAAAAGAGATGGAGACAGTCCCACAAGTTTACTGTTGGAATCATTGTCAGCGATCTTAGTCTTTCTCAAATGACCAAAGAAATGTGTAGATTGTCTATCACCAGCATCATTCAAGTGATGGCTCTTCCTTCCTCTTTCCTTTCTCCATCTTGCAGAGTTGGAGAAAGGATGCCATACCTATAGAAAGCTTTATCCTCCATCTCCCAGTATCGTGGGTCTTGGAATGTCAAGGAAGCTGGCCTCTAAGGCTCATCAACTCTAGTCTTGCTTCCAGACATGCCTTTAGGAAATGGTCCCAGCCTATGGGGTCTTTACCAATTGAGGTCAGTCGTTTGTGCTGACAGCATTACAAAGTGTCGTCTTGAGGCCAGTATTGAAATTTCTCAGTCCTCCTTTAAGCAAAAGTATGTATGATCTAGGCTTGACAATATGAAAGAACTGTTAACTTACGTAACAGGCTTTAGATTTACTGCATCGGCTTAAAGGAAGTAACCCATCTAATGTACAAAGACATGTACAGGGTGACACAGGGTGTTGCCTGGGTAAGGTGGTATAGTCCCTGACACTGTTTATTGTAGTCAGCTAAAGAGTGTTTACTTGCCAATAATTACATCATATGTTAGTCCTGGTAAATCAAGGGGGTTTACACTAGTTCTCATACTCCTCTAAGATCAAGGATCTTCTATTTCCTATGTCATCTACAATTTGTGATTAAAAAAAGGGGTTTGTGAAGCCTAGAGCCCCAGTTTGGGTTGAAGAGAAGCAGACTGTAAGATACAGGCATTAAAATTTACTAGTTGAGTGAGCTTGGGAATCACACTGGGAAGGGAGGAAAAACATGGTTGGGCAGGGGAAGGTGAATTGTGGGCTTTTTACAGCTGAAGCTTTGACCCAGTCCCACAAAGAACCCTGTAGCTAGGGTGGCCTCCAGGGCTATGAGTTGACCTACCTAGCTGGGCTCTTGTACTCCTCACAAATGCTTTTGGATGTGATTTCCCCGGAGAGGGGACATAACCTTGGCTGAAATGGCTTATGTTGGGACAAAAGCTACCCCCAGGGAAAATGACGGTCTTGGAGTTCATATTCCAGACATTGGTGCTACTGTGCAGCATTAATCTCAGGAAGGAAGGTATCACCTGTCCTCCTAGGAACAGACAGATCTTGGCTGAGGATCTCTTGCTGAAGGTCTGTTATGTGAGGTTACCTGTGCATCCCAGCAGGGCCCTGAGTTCTTTAACTCCAAGACCATAGATCCGTACCAAAGGAAGTTCAAGTGATGAGCCATAGTCTAACAGGAGGCTCCTGGCCTTGGTTCTGCCATCTTTGTGAGATTCACAGAAGCATCCAGCTGCGAAGAAGCTAGTGGTACTGAAGGTGAGGAATGTGTTGAGAGGCTCCCCTGAATTGACTGAGACCTCCAACCTGTGTCCAGATACCCTAATCTGTGTTCCACTCTTGACTTGGGGATTCCTGGTAGCTGTGTGAGCCCCTACTGCCATTCACCTCCTACAGGATTACATGAAATGAACAGGGCAGTGATTCTGTGGGTCAGACACATCCCAGGAAAGTTTATTCTAATGGGTTCCAGAATAAAGGCCCAGAACTCCCATCTTAAAATTACCTTGAAAAAATTTCTAGAACAGTTGCCTACCATCACTTTAAAGTCCAGGTGATTTGGAAGACGATCGCTATAACTGAAATCAGTTTGACCCCACCCCCAAATTAATGCTGAAAATCTGTGCATGCCTTGAACAGAACTCAATGACGTTCCCTTGGCCCTCAAGTTGTGACAATGAGTCGGGCAGGCCCGTCCTCTAATCCAGAAGTCCCTGTACCCAGATGGCATAACCCATTGTCATGGTCTGTGCCAAGGTTGGACACTTGCATGCTCGGTGTCATGGCGTGTCCCCCCAAGGCTTCTAGCACTGTGAGGATGTATCTGTTCATCCTGCGTTCTGGCTGGAAGGCCTGTGCCAGTGCAGCCAACAAGATAGGTAGGAGGCAATATTTCATACATGTCTCCCTACATTGCAAGAAAGAGTGGGGCGGGGATTGGGTTGTGAAGGTCAAATTTCCCACTGTGGTGGGGAGCTCAGTGGATCTCTCCCAGGAGCACTGGAAGGGCTTTGAGCTTCTCCACAGGAGAGAGGTGTGGATGCTGCCAAAGCAATGGTTCCAACTCTCAAAGTGTGGAGAGTCAGGGTAGTTTGGATCAGAGGCCAGGAGAACAGGCTCCCTGCCTCCGAGAACATGTTTCCTAAACACGGAGCTCCGGGGGCTTCTGAGTATGGCCTTTCTTTTCTTTTATTATTGAGGGATATCTTTTTTCCCCCTGTTGAGTTACATCTTGGAACTTGGACCACAGTCATCATGTCCTCATGTGGTACAGCCCAGCATGCGTCTGAATGGTCTTTGTGTGTTCCTGTAGGATGCTATCAGATCATATGTTGCCTGTCTGGGTAGAGGCTTGGTGAGATTCTGCTGATGCTGCTTGAAGGTGAATCCCTGGAGGGCTGAGTACCTGCTCTGACCGATGCATGCATGGCTGTTATCCCAGGCTGCTTGCTTTTCACTTTCAAACATGTCTTCAAGAAACTTGATATATACAATGGTTTACTTGCTGACATAGCACTTTCTCCACTGACTAAACTGTGTGCTAGGAATCTTCTTGGAAATATGCTTGATATCATTGATGGGCATGTAGGTTGATTCCATGTGTCTGCTACTGTTGTAGTCTCAACCATGCACCAAGGTGTAAGAGTCTCTTTTCTGAGAATAAGGCCCTGAGCTCTTTGTCCTACCTCCATGAAGCTTAAGGAGCATGGACACCAGGTGAGGTTGGAGCAAAAGTTTCATAAGTTGAAAGAAAGCCCTCTGTCAGCAGAAGGTGGGGGGTCCTGAACAGGGTGCCCCCAATAAAGCTGGGCTCCAGGGTTTTTATGGACTAGAAAGGGGAAGGGAATGTGCTTAGTCTGTGAGCCATCTTGGAGAACTTATGACTTAGCTTGGCCTGGGACCCTGGCCTGGGACCACTCAAAGCTTGGCCAAAGACCAGTCAGGAGCTGAAGTGATGATTCACAGAGGCTGCTTAGCTTGGCCCGGGACCTATCAGGAGTTGAAGTGATTAATAAAGGTTGACTTTATGGTCCAGAAAAAGGAAAGTAGAGTGCCCACCAGAGCCCACTGTGCCTATGCCCACAAAAACTTTTTCCTGGGAACCTGCTGACGATACAAAGGACGAAAGCATTAAGTTCTGGGATACGTGTACAGAACGTGTAGGTTTGTTACATAGGTATACATGTGCCATGGTGGTTTGCTGCACCCATCAACCTGTCATTTACATTAGCTATTTCTCCTAATGCTCTCCCTCCCCTAGCCTCCCACCCCCCAACAGGCCCCAGTGTGTGATGTTCCCCTCCCTGTGTCCATGTGTTCTCGTTAAACTCCCACTTATGAGTGAGAACGTATGGTGTTTGGTTTCCTGTTCTTGTGTTAGTTTGCTGAGAATGATGGCTTCTAGCTTCATGTCCCTGCCAAGGACATGAACTCATCCTTTTTTATGGCTGCATAGTATTCTGTGGCGGCATATACGTGCCACATTGTCTTTATCCAGTCTATCACTGATAGGCATTTGGGTTGGTTCCAAGTCTTTGCTATTGTAAATAGTGCTGTGATAAACATACATATGCATGTGTCTTTATAGTAGAATGACTTACAATCCTTTGGGTATATACCCAGTTAGGGGGATGGCTGGGTCGAATGGTAATCTGGTTCTAGAACCTTGAGGAATCGCCACACTGTCTTCCACAATGGTTGAACTAATTTACACTCCTACCAACAGTGTAAAAGCGTTCGTATTTCTCCACATCCTCTCCAGCATCTGTTGCTTCCTGACTTTTTAATGTTCGCCATTGTAGCTGGCTTGAGATGGTATCTCATTGCAGTTTTGATTTGCATTTCTCTAATGACCAGAGATGAGCTTCTTTTCATGCTTGTTGGCTGCATAAATGTCTTTTGAGAAGTATCTGTTCATATCCTTCACCTACTTCTTGATGGGGTTTTCTTGTAAATTTAAGTTCCTTGTAGATTCTGGACATAAGCCCTTTGTCAGATGGCTAGACTCCAAAAATTTGCTCCCATTCTGTAGATTGTCTGTTCAGATAGTTTCTTTACCTGTGTAGAAGCTCTTCAGTTTAATTAGATCCCATTTGTCAATTGGGGCATTTGTTGCCATTGCTATTGGTGGTAGTCATGAAGTCTTTGCCCATGGGACAGAGGTATTTCTATGCTAAGCCTTGTTCGTGTATCTGAGTGATTCTGGAGGTTCGTACAAGTGTTTATCCAAATGGGCCCAGAGGTCTTTCTGTGCAGCTGTGGGCATGTCTCCAGGAACAACACCCTGTGCTTGTTCCCTTATCGGTACCTGCGGCTTGAGTTTTTTCCCCGGCTGCTTTTTGTTATGGGGATGAGCCACTGACCCATAGGCCGAGGGCTCTCTGGGGACCCTTCCTTTCCCTTCCCTTCCCTTCACTATCTACCTAAGGCAAGCTAACTCCTTCCACTATGAACATACATACGCATGGGTCCTTATGGTAGAAATGGTGCAGGGCAGATGAGCCCCCAAATTAGGATACAGCCCAGGAAGATTCCTAGCTTCTAGGAATGAATTTGAGGGTGAGCGGTGGTGGTAGTAGATGGCAACATTATTGACACGGCAGTGCACAGCGGCAGGAGAGGTACAGCTCCTTGTGGAGCGGGGCTTACCTTTCAGTGCTGGGCTATTGTCACGGAAAGGGATGGCCACTGCTGGGTGTTGCCATGGCAATGGTAAACTGACATGGCATAGCAGGCATGTCTCATGGAAAGCGGCTTCTGCCCTGTTTCAGCTAGTCCTCCATTAGGTCCTGTGTCCAGGCTCTGCCTCCAGAACTGAGGCCTCCCTCCTACCTAAGAATGACTTGTATTCCTTGGTATACCTGATAATGGGATTGCTGGGTTGAATGGCAATTCTGTTTCCAGTTTTTACGGACTTGACACACTGCTTTCCATAAAAGCTGAAATCACTGAGACTCCCAAAAGCAGTGGATGAGCTCTCCCTTTACTTGGTATCCTTGCCAGCATCTTCTGTTTTGACTTAGCCACTCTGAGAGATGGCATCTCATTGTGACACTGAAATTCTGACCACCCAGCAATGAACAGGGGGCAACAACACTGAGACCATGGAAACGTCCTGCTTTTCACCAAACTTTCCTCACTTTATACTTCTGAAGATTCTTCTAGTCAATATCATGATTACAAAGCTGCTAACTTCACTACCCCTTCCAGTGCGTTACTTCTTGCTCTCATTAGAGGGGCAAAAAAGCCCATAGTTGTCACAGAACAGCGTTGGATATTGACTAAACACAGGACAAATGTGTTCCAAGACTTGCAGAACTATAAATCTATGAAGTACACAAAAAAATCAGTTGAATGCATTAAATATGCAGCTTTCTATGTTAGTCATGCCTAACTGAAGTAGTTTTAAAGCCAAATGAACCAATCCATGCCACCAAGTAAAACAAGTGGATCATGCAAAAAATTGTGCTTGCTCATGATGAAAATGGTTCCCTATATACACTAGCTTAACTTTTACATACACATACTTAACACACTATTTGGGGGAAGCAACCTTAAACACTTGAAACAGCAGAAATAGACAAAACAATTCTAAATGGAAACAAAGTGACTTGTTTCTATCCCAGAGTCAACCCATAAAGGTCTCAGGTTATTAAGAACTTTGAAAAGTGTCTTGAATATTAAAAATTGTGTGTTTGGGGCAGAGATATTAATGATATTAACTGGTATTAATGGTAACTGAAATGTTTCCATTTTCAAACATGAGTCTCTATCTCAATCCACGAAGCAGGCACTGGCTGAGGGTCCTAGGCTAACAATATGCAAACCCATCAGCGTGCATGGCCTGTAAGCAGGGTGAAGATGACCAGAGGTCAGTAGTCAGTGCATTGACAGAGTCTTTCTGCCATTAAGTACCATACATGTGCCCTTGGTGCTGGTGCTCCATTTCCATGGGAAGCTTTATTAGACCTTGTTTCTGTGAACTCACTTGGTGAACTCGATATTACCTTCAAGGTATAGGGGTGGAAAATTGCAAGCAGGGGGCAAGAAGAATGCACTGACGTGCCCTTCCTGCTTTTCTGGATCCAGGCTCTTCTACCATGAAGCTGGAGGTAAACAAAACCACCTCTGCCTGCAGGGAGACTTCGGCAGACCACACACCATCTGACTCCATAGGCTGCCTTTGGAGATTGCACTGTCTCTTCCCCAGCCCTTGCTGTGATTCTGTCCCGGGAGGCCAGCAAAACCTCTGGGGCAGAAGTCATCACTGCAGTTGTGCAGACTCCCTCAAGGACAGCAGCAGACTCTACCCAGGGCAGGCATCCCTTTTCAGAAGAGCCACTTCAGGAGGATCTGTCTCCTCTGAACGTCTCAGACACTTCCCCCCTTGTGCACTACAGACTTCTTTTGTAATGACTTCTGGGAATATCCTTTTTTGATTTGGGTGGCCGAGGGCAAACAGGTGCCTATGCATCTAATTTCTGGCTTTTGATGCTCAGCTGTAACGGGGTAACCGGCCTTCAGTGTCCAGATGAAACAGGTTAACTGGCAGTTTTTGAGGGTCATGGGGGAATTGGAGTCTTCTAAGGTTTTGGGGTACTCACTGCCTTCTGCTTTTGGGCAGAGTGCTTTATCTTGGATGGTTTGTTCTCCTTCACTGACGTTCCTGGTAAAGCAGTTGTGCTTGGTGGATTAGAAGCCTGCTTTTGACCCTCTTTGGTGTTTACTAATACTTGTTTGAACTTGGGATTTGCTTATTCTGTCTCTGGAGTTCCACTTATTTCCTGCCTTCTCTATACTCAAAAGTAGAGCTTGAACAAGAAAGTCTTTTCTACCTCCTAATGCTGGTTGGTGTTTATTTTAGGCATTCTTAAATCTCCAGGTATTGTCCACCACCCAGGTGCTTTTCTTATGACCTGGGGTAGAAACCCCAAAAAGACGTGTATTTATCTCTGAAGTCTTTGCTCATGCAGGAAGGCTTTCATGGAAAAGAGGATGGCAGTGTTGTACAGCTGGTGGTTGGAGTCCTGTCTAGAGAAACCTGCCATTGGGTCTGGGTTAGTGTATTTCGCAGTGTCACAGACAGCACAGTGGCTGTGAGGTGGGTGTGGCTAGGCAAGATGTCCCAGCCCAGAATGCTGTCAGATCTGCAGTGATAGTACTTGGTCTACTCATGGGAGTAGGCTCTCGGGAAGGCTTTTTGCAGAGCCAAGATGGTAGAGATGGCCCTCAGCTGCCTTCTGGTATGTCGGTGATAGATCAGGCTGTAACAAGCAACTCATTGGATAAATGTTTCTTGACCAAAATGGATCTCAGCAACATCATGGAAAATTGTTCAAATGATATTTTAATATAAGTGCAGCCCAGGAGAGGGATTTTTTTCTTGGTCATAAAATGGTCTATAGAAAGTCATAACAATTCTCATCCTCCAAAGCCTTTAGTGTTCAACTCGTCATACCAGTTAGCCATCTTTGCCTATGAGTTAAATGTTAGCATGTTCAAGTTAGGGTGCCTCCTTTGGGGAGAAGTCCTAGGTCTCCCACTTGGTGGTGTTGAGGTAGCTACTTAAGCCCAAGAATCTAGACAAAGGACCCAGATGGGGAAACACATGTCTCTGAACCTGTTTGAGAGTCTGGCAATGCAGCCAGGAGCCCAGTGGGTGGAAGGTTCAACTGCTGCAGCTGCTTAGTGTGTCTGTCACTCAGGAGCAGGAGCAGGGTTACTTCTGGACTTGTGCAGCACTTGCAGGGAATGAATACAGTATTGACTGCTTTGGTTTCCTTGTCTCCTGTTCCTAATGTAGAAAGTAATATGAATTCCTCCATGGAAACACTAATGATCTCATGGCACTTGAGGTCCTTCAGAGACTGACTCCCGTCTGACCTCTGCTGAGTGATCTGGATCTAGAACCCAGCTGTTTGTAGGTACAGAGCCAAACATATGGTAGCAGTGTGCTTGGAGGTGACACCCCATCAGGTGGGTGGGTCCCAGGCATCCTCATCCTTCACTGAGTAGAAGTGCGATATGGGAGCTTCTGGGCTAGTGTCCTGAGGCAAGCATGGGGGAAAGCCAGCGCAGTAGTGCCTGAACTACTCTGTATCTTAGGCTCCTGTGAGGCTTCTAGATTTCATTTCATGTGAGTGTTGTATGACTCAGGGATATCACTTCCATTTTTGTGCACACTCAGTGTCAGCAAAGGCCTTGGTACTTTCTACAATGGCTGTGTGGTTCTCATTGGCTTGTGTGAGGGTTAGACTTAAGATAGAAGAAGGCTGTGCCCCTGCCCATGACTAAGGTGAAGTACATCCTCGGGACACACCTGGACTGCCCTTGACTATGGGGAACATTCCTCACCCGAGTCATACTACTGTGGCTCCTGGTTTTCATTCCAGCACCCAACACATCAGGTGTGGCCCCAAGTCAAAAGAGGGGTCAGATTGGTCTCCCAACCTTAGTTAGCAAGATGTCACCATGTGATCCCTGTATTAGTGTCCCCAGTTGAGAAATAGTAACACCAAACTCACTTATCTTCATGTCTGTATACAGACCCTTGTAGGCAACAGTGGACAGCAAAGGGCAGTGTTTTAGGAGACTGAGGGAACAGGTTGAAGGTGGCTTACTTCTCAGCTCTGGGCAAGGAGTTCCAGCAGCCATGGTGAGGCTTTATGCTTCAGCCAGAAGAACCTTAAACTTGAGCATTTACTTGTGTTCACAAAAGCCTGCAAAGGCTTCATATTACATACATAACTGGTGTCAAAGCTGCTAACCAGGTCAAACTATTTAGCTTTGTACTGAGTTTTTTTTTTTTTCTGGATACTTCATTGTGGGTGGCTGTCCTCATTGTAAAATGTTTAGCAGCATGATTACCTGTTGTATTAGATGTCTTTAGCACCACCTGAGTCGACAAAAATGTCTAGATATGTCATGCTGTTCCTGGGAAGAGAAATCTCACAGTTGAACAGCAAACTAGCTTCCTCAAGGAACCCCCAAGCGTGTCTTGGCAGTTCTCCCATTGGGTGTCTATGGGTGAAGGGCTTGGTTGTCTGTGGGCTGTGCTGCCTCCTGAACATGCCACATTCATCTACCACATCAAGTTGTGAATTTGCAAATTTTCATGTTTTTGTAAGGTGACTTAAAAAATCTCAAGCCAGTAGTAGGGGTGGGGGGTGGACGAGTAGTAGAGCCTGGGCACTGAAAGACTGAAGTTTACCTTCAGTGAGCTGCCTCTACTCTGTGTACCCAAACCTCTTTTTCAGTATTTGAAAGCTGGCTTCAGATGAGTTTATCTACCTGA
Source organism: Homo sapiens (assembly GCF_000001405.40). NCBI lineage: Eukaryota > Metazoa > Chordata > Mammalia > Primates > Hominidae > Homo > Homo sapiens. The sequence goes on from NC_000004.12 coordinate 10,203,175, forward strand.
TCTTAAATGTTGCCTGATTAGAACTGCCCATATGACCTGCAGGAATATTGATAAAATTGACATGGAAAAGTTTGCTGCATACCATTGTATAATCACCTATTCTCACGTGCCCAGCTGTGCCAGACTCCAGCCTTCAACTCTTGTTTAAATTTGTCCCTTGACCGTGAAGGAAGTAAATGTCACAAAATTCCTAACACTGCACTCACTTTTTCTCCTCAGACTGGCAGATAGAACGAAGATCAAGTTCACAAAGGTTCTGGAGGAAGACTGGATTATGCTTGGGGAGGTTCAGGATGCTGGCATGTTCTTTTGATTAAGCAATAGCCCTCACCCTTTACAGAGCTGACATGATAGTGAAGGGTCTCTGAAGAGCAGCTGTTTGTCATGAGGCAGTGAGAGTTGTCAGAACTCCTCCATGATATGACTTGCTCCAGGCCATGGAGTGCTTTTTTTTTTTTTTTGAGCTGCTCTGATTTTCTGGTATTCTAACCTCTGATTGTTCTTCCGTGCATCTGTGCAGACCTGTGGCAATATGGATTGGTATTAATGTCACTTGAGTCAAGCGTGATGATGTCTCCAATACTTGTTCTCTCCTTAGTCCGCCTGACCTTTGGTATTTGAAGGGAACTCTAATACTAGCAGGAAAGACTGAGGAAAAGAGGGAAGTAAGGACTTACTATGGAAGGCTTGTGAATTGCTTCTTTCTTAGGGGGAAGATACAGAATATGTCTATTGGATATTTAACCCTAATGACAGATCCTGCATAGGCAGGGCTGGATGGGGCCCTGTGGAGTCTAGGACAACTGGTCATCAGAAATTCCTGCCAACAGGGTTGTTTCCTGGGCTGTGACTCAATCGGGTGTCCTGCAGTGTCCCCAACAGCACTGGGGCCAGTGTGAGGTGGGTGTGGTTGAGTGTGAGATTCTATCTGGGTCCTGGCTGAGCTGTAGTCGTGTGGGGGCTGGGATGAGAGGTCTACTTGTGGTACTGGAGGTTTCACTGGCTTGTGCTAGAACTAGAAAAGAAGAAAGAGACAGCGATTGGCTAACCCATGGCAGTAGTGGGCCCCAAGGCCCTGAGTAATAAGAAAAAATCATTAGATAAATGTCTCATGACCAAAACAAAGTTCAAACACTAGGTGCAGCACAGAAGGGTTTTCTCTGGTCATAGAATCTCTTAAAAGGGAATCATGACAGATTTTCTTGGCTTTAAGTCCTTTATTTAGTTCCCTCTACCAAGTGTATCTTTTAAAGCCTTGTTAAGGAAGAAAGCCCAGATCTCCTGATGACTCCTTGATGTCCAAGGAGCTACTTACCCCAAGAACGAGAATGTAGACCAGGACAGATGTAGGAGAAAATGACTCAACTGCTCCGAGGTACTGCAGTAATAGAGCATGAGACTTTTGGTTGGAATGTGTCATTGCCATGGATAGTTCGGGCTTCTGCAACACTTGCAGAGAATACTTTTGGATTCTGTGGTTTTTTTAGAATCCTTCATGACTTGTCCCTTCACACAAGTTGTACAAATCTCTTCATAAAAAATAACTGGCACTGTAATCTCACACCATGGGCAGTTCTTCAGGGACCAAGGCTCATGTGTGACTGCTGCTCAGTGACCGAGCTTGTCCTAGAGCCTATAATATGGTAGCAGTACACTTGGAAGTGACACCCCATCGCCAGGTGGCTGCGTTCCAAGTGTTGGCAGCTCACTGACAGTGGGAGTATGGGAGCCTGTGGGTGTTTGCTTGGGGCACGCATTGGGGCAGGCAGGATGACTGTGTCCTGCTTTGTGTCCTCTCTTGTGAGGCCTCTTCTAGGTGGCTCTGTTCCATGTCAACATCTGCCTCAACTTCTTCCGAGACAACCGTAACCTTGGATAGTAAACTACATTACCTCTCATTCTAGTTCTTTACTCTTTCACTCAAGAATGCTTTCAAGTCTCAAGTTTCCCAGTTCTTCAGAGGCTTAAAGGCAACCTTTAGCTTGAGGAATCCAACTTAAGGTTTTAGGAAATGACAGATGTAAATGTAAATAATCCCAAATGCATGGCAATGTCAAACTTGCAGCTGAGATCACCTCACAGTTGGAGGTGTACATCTCATTCCATCTGAATTCAAGCAGACATACATTACATACACCAGGAGAGTTATGTGGAGGTACATACAGAATAGTCAGTGGCACTTGGAACATAATAGCTGACTGTACTGGCAAATATGAGATGGCTGTGTGCTCACACGGACCTGACAGTTGACCTTTCATCTTATAAAATGTATGACTCACAGTCCATCATTGGTCATTTGGACAGTCACACTTGCAAAAAGGTTCTGGGTACTTATTGCCATGACTGTGTCATTGTTGGCAGGTGTATGGGGTCAACTTGAAGGCTTCTGGCCTACCCATGAGTAAGATGAAGTACATCCTTAGGGGGAGGCATCTGGACTACCCTTTGGAGTGGAAACCAATTATTACCCTAGTCGTAATGCCAAAAATCCTTGTTTCCTGCCATATTGAAAAGCCTGATGAGAGGACCTTTCTGTTAGGGAAGGGGGATATGCACTTGTGCATAGTTTTTCTAGTGGGTGACTTAAGTGCTCCATTTTCTCTAGCCATTCAGCTCTGCCTGAGCTGATCTTCAGGAATTTCTATTGCCATGTTAGACCAGACATTGCCACCACAGTTGTATGAACTCCCTCAAGGAGAGAGCACTGAACTCTTCCAGGGCGGACAACTCAGAAGAGCCACTTCAGGAGGATCCATCTCTTCAACCTAGACATTTACCCCTTGTCCACCTGACTCTTTGTAATGACTTCTGGATTCTGTTCTCAGCTGTGCTGGGAATACATCTTGATTTGGCTAGGGTAAAGGCAAGCAGGCACTTGCACGTCTAATTTCTGGCCTCTGGTCAGCTCCAGGTGTTGGACCTGGGCCCTGCAGTATGTCCTGGTGAAGCAGGTTAACTGGTGGCAGTCTTAAAGGTAATGGGGGAATTGGTATGCTAGGTTTTGGGCTGTCACTGCCTTCTGCTCTATTCCCTTGGCAGAGAACATCATCATCACGTGGGACAGTTCTTAGTCCCCTTCACTGATGTTCCTGGTAATGCAGTTGTGCTTGGGAGTTAGAAGCCTGCTGTCCCTGTTCAGTTTCTACTGACAATTGTTTAAATCTGGGATTTCCATGTTTTTCCCCTTGACTTCTGGAGTTCACTCCTTGCCTCTTGGCTTCTTCATAGTCAGAAGGGGAAGCTTGATCAAGAACAGCTTTTCTAACTCCTAGTGCTGGTCAGTGCTTCTGCGGGTATTCTCAAATGCCCTGTATTGTGCAGAATCCAGACGTTTTTCTTACGGCATACAGTAGAAACACTAAGGCCAGAACTGTCTTTGTCCCGGACGTCTTTGCTAACGTAGGAATGCCTGCATGGGAAAGAGAATGGTGTTGCACGGTTGGTGATTAGAATCCTGTGTGTAGAAAGCTGCCAGTAGCTGTGGGATTGAGTATCCTACACTGTCGCAGATGGCAAGGGGCCCAGTGTGAGGTGGGGGATGACGGGAATCTGAGCCGCCTGGTTTTCTAACTTAAATCTGGCCTTTCTGTACAAATACTTTATAACACTGTTTCTGTGCCTACTAGAACGTTTGCCTGGATGGGACTTCACAGCACCTAGCTCATACTGAGCAGTTATAAACAGTTACCTGATGTTTCATGGCCAGGAGCTCACTTTCTAAGGCCCAGTAACATGCTTAGAGATAGCTAGTAGAAGGCTTATCTGAAAAAGGTGCAGACTTAGGCTAGTATATTAGGGGTGTGCAATATACCTTTTGCTATGGAGTCTGCTAGAGAGCACCCGTGACATCCTCTCCTGCCTTGTCTCTTATGGGATTACATCCATGGTAACAGCTTAGACCAAAACTAGCTGTGGAGCCCTCATTTTCTTGGAGTCCTCCTCAGAACTTTTAGCCATTTGAGCCCAGAAAAATGGTTTGGAGTAGTCGAGTGTGACGTATGCTTTCTCTGAAATCCAAAAAATCCTACCTATTTTGAAAGTACACTTCATGGTAGGAGAAAAAGATGCAAGAAATTCTCCCATAATTTCAAAGTTGGAAGTAACGTCCCTGCATTCCTTAGATAACTAAAAACATCAGTGATGTCACTGAGCCCCTGGGCTTATAAGTTTCTCCCTGTCTCTGGCGCACAGGTGTTCTCCAGGGTACTTCCTACTTTCCTGTTGCCCAGGTCTGACTTAAGTGATACCAGTAAGTGACCCAGCAGGCTCTTCTGGGGAATGTCAGCATAATTGAGACCTCTGCAAATGATATTGGGGCAAAGATCAGGAGAGTTACCTTGAGAGTGAGACTGAATGTATACTTTTTCCCATTAAAAAGAAAACTGATAGTGGACCCTCAATGAGGATGAATGAGAGAATGTATTTTTCCAGAATGGCACTAAATGCCAGAAGAGGTAGTTATTCACCAAGATATACCATAAGTTGCATGAAAGCCATAATACATACTTCATAGTACACTCCCATCTGACATGGGACTCCAGAAGATTAAAGACCAATTTCAAAAATGCAGTCAAATATAGAATGACATCCCTTCCATACTTAAAACTCCAGAATAGGCACATGAAAGAAGATCCCTGCCCCACTGATTTACTCAGTTTGAACCAGTGATCAGTGAGGCTTTCTGTGTTTGGCATTCTTCTGACCCCAAGTCCAAGTAACAAGTGTTTCAGAGGGACCATTCTAGGACTGTTTTGAGCCCTTGGAGCAGCTGTCCCAACACTTTGGGGGCAGGGTATTTTTACTGGTATAAAAACATTCACATAGAAATCCAAGTTTCTCTAGAAGTGGTGTCCTAGCCCAGGATGCTGTCTAGATGAACAGTCGAGGAGTGACCCACTAGCTTCCCTTAACCAGTGCCCAGGCCTGTGAGATGCCAGGAGCAACCACAGGGAGAGATGGCAATGACAGCAGCAGGACTTCTTGTTGGGTCTGGTGCCTCATGAACATGCCACATATCCATCCACCACCTCCAGTTGGGAGAAATGTCTTGCCAGAAGTAGGTCCTTCTGCCAGTCTTCACACATTCTTCATAGCTAGAATGACTTAGAATGCTCAAGCCAGTGATGGAGGGAAAAGGCAGAGCCTAGGAATGAACACTCCAGAGCTTAGGTTCAGTAAGCCACCTCCACTCAATGTATGCAAGTCTTATCATAGGGCTTGAAAAAGATAATTTCAGGGGGAAAACTCACTGGATGTTTTTCTAACTTCTATGATCTTTGATGTTACCTGATACTTGTATTGCCCCAATATGATCTGCAGGTGTGTTGATTATACCCTGGTATGCAACAAGATCTTCAAGGTACCAAGTCACCTACATTCATGCCCAGAAGCTGTTGCAGACTCCAGTCTTCAACTCTTCCTTAAATTTCTGTCCCTTATCCTAATGTTGATTGCCACAGAAATCACTGAAGCTCCATTCACACCTGTCCCTACTCAGACTGTGGCAGACAGGAATGGAGATCAAGTTCACAAGTCTACCTGTAGGATTGTATGATGCTTGGGAGGTTCAGGATGCAGGCAGCATGTTCTTAACAACAGTCCTTGCCCTTTACAGAGCAGACAGGTGAGTGAGGCTCTCTAAAGAGCAACTGTTTGCCATGAGGAGGTAAATAGTTGACTTAACCCCTGCAAGATATGAATTGATCCATACCACAGAATGGTTTCCTTAACTCCCTAATGTCCTTGTGTTATATTACCCTAATCTGTGTGACATTGTAGAAATGTGGATGGTGTTAATGTCACTTGCCGTTCTAATGCTGTTTCTCGGACTTGGTATCTCCTTAGTTTACCTGATCTGTTGCTTGATACTTGAGTTAAAGCAACCCTAATCCTAGCAGAAAAACCAACTTAGAGGTGAAAGTTAAGGATTTTTAATGGTAGGTTTGTGAATTTCCCTCTAAGGGAAGATACAGAACTTTTCTGCCTATTTCATATTTAACCCTTGATTACAGATCCTAGGTAGGCTGGGCTGGATGGGAAAAAGAGGTCCTGTGGTGTTTGGGGCAGCTGGTCATTGGATTTCTGCCAGCAGAGATGTGTTCTTGGCTGCGGGTTCATTAAGGGTCCTGCAAAGTCCCAAAGAGAGCACAGGGGCAAGAGGGTGGGATGGGGGCAGCAAGGGGTCCTACCTGGGTCCTGGCTGATCTGGAGTGATGGGGACTGGGATGTGAGGTCCACTTGCCAGGATTAGATGCTTCAGACTTGTGAAGGGAGACAGGATGGGGAAGGGGACCTTCCTTGGCCAACCTGTCAGTGGGTAAGGCTGAATCACTAAAATCACTGGACAAATGTCTCATGATCAAAACGAATGTTGGCAACTTTATTTTTCCAATAAAGCTTGAATATTAGGTGCAATAGTGATAGGTTTTCTGGTCATAGAATGATCTAAAGAGAATCATAACACTTTCAATTCTCTCTGCATCTTAAGTCTTCTGTTCTCTTTATTACTTGGACTTGGGCCGTGGTTGAAACCCAAGAATCCTCCTGTTAGGTGCCTATTTTGGGGAAAAAGGTCTAGGCTTATCTGTTAGTGGTGTCTGGGTAGCTACTTGCCCCCAAGAACAATAATACAGATAAGGGATGTAGACTGGGAAATAGACCCTGCTGTCGATCTTTGAGGAGTTGTGATAGTGCACGGTGAGCCCTGTGACATGAAGCTGTTCTTGCCATGGTGGGCTAGTGTCAGAGGACCAGGGGATACTTCTGGGCTTATCACACTCGCAGGGCATTGATAGGCTTCTATCTTTGTTGGTGTCCTTATCCTTTGTGACCTGTCCCTTGATAGAGAAAGTTGTATAAATTCCTCCATTTAAAAATAAATGATGCTTTAATTTCTCATGACCTGTAATGCTTCAGGGACTAAGGTTCTCATGGCTGATCTGAGTGAACTCGACGTACAGCCCAGCCTTTCTGAGCTGAAGAGACAGTCATTTGATAAGAGTGCACTTGGAGGTGATACCCCATCACCCCCAGGAGACTGGGTCCAGAAGTCTTCAGCTTCCTCTGACAGTGGAAGTGTGTATGATGGGCCCTCTGGGCACCACGGTGTCTGCTGGGCAAGCACTGGAGTGGCCACAACAAAAGTCCTTGAGCTGTGCTTGGCATCTTCCTCTGCTCATGTGAGGCCTCTTGATGACTCCGTTTCCTGGCAATGTCTCCTGTTTTTCCTAGGCCACAATGACCTTGAACGCTCCACCTTTTTATTTGTCAATAAAATGTTTATCTCTGCTTTCACCCAAGGTTTTGAAACCTTTGGGTGTGCCAGCTCTCCTGAAGTTTAAAGGCAATCTTCAGCATGAGGAACACAACATGAAGTTTCAGGGGGATGATGGCAGGCATAACCCTGGGTAGATGGGAGTGTTAATCTTAGAGAGTGGACTTATTTGTAACTAGAGCAGTGTATCATTCTAACTGAATTCAAGCCTACATCCTTCATAAATACCACTGGGGTTGAGTCACACATGATAGGGTAGTTACTATGGGATTGGTCTGTGAAAGCTGAGACCCTGAAGATGAGGGAGTTAGACCCCAGCTTGTGTGCTCACATGGAGAAGAGACCTTTGTCAGTTGATCGTTTGTTGCATGAAACATGACTCGAACGTTTCCTCTGTGTGAACACTCACTGCCAGGAAAGGTCTGGGTACTTCAGTGACTTTGTAGCTCGTATTGGTATGTGTGCAAGCCAGACTTGAAAGGGGAAGGCTGCTTCCCTACTCATGTCTAAGATGAAGTATACAACTTAAGCAGGCATCTAGAAGTGGAAAAAACATTGTTCAACCTGGTTATAGTGTCCAAAATGCTCTTGTCTTCTGCCACAAAGAGCCTGAAAGGACTTTTATCATGGGGAAGATGCCCATTTGTGTAGAAATATTTCTGGTGGTCACTAAGGACCCCATTTTCTCTAGCCATTAAGCTCTACACAACCCCAAATCTTCAGGAACTTGTGTTAATGCATTTTTCTCAGCGACAGAGCTCACAGTAGATGATTGTTTTTTCACTTTGAAGCATATCCCATATATATATATATATATAATATATATATTTTAGGTATTAGAATATATAGATCAGTGGGAAATGCCAATGAAACTGTCATGGTGAATGTCCAACTTCCTTAAATCTCTAATCTGACATTGTTACCATGGTCCAACAATTTTTGGGAAGCTGATCTTAGGGGACCCACCAATGCCTACCACAATTCTGACTTGGTGTAGTTGAAGAATATATCCTTGTTTAACTGAGTGGATCTGCTTTACATTAACTTGATCTAGAACCTGAAATCTCTATGCAGAAAGGCATATTCTGAGTCTTCGGTAGATATCAGAAGGCACCCTAACAACTGCAGTTTGACTTCAAACTCTTCAGAATATCTGGAGTCACCTGTAGAAACTAGGACTGTTTTTCGCAGGAGAGCGATGAGCTCTTGGTGCTTGTAGTGGAGTCTACAAATGCTGACATCCCTTTCGTCCAGAACTTTAACATCACTTCATTTCCATGCGTCCACGGGATGCACGGGAATGAGTTAACCTGGAGCAAAATAGAATGGAGAGCCCTCATGCAGCGACTTGTGGGGTCGGTGCAGAGAGCATCTGTGAGATGCAAGATCATAGTGTTGACCTTTCTCCTACAGATTTCTGAGCTGGGGCCAGGTGTTGGGGGCAGTGTTGGTGCTTCGTGACTCCTTGCTTCCTGTTTCCTTGAAATTCCCTAGTAATCTGGTAAAGGGGCATATGAAATCGTGAAGGTCCTTGTTGATGTCAATTCTGAGGTGGATGGCAAGCATGAATTGAGGCAAAGGTGAGGTTTCATGTCATGGATGACACAAGCTTACCAAAGAACAGGAGATGGAGACCTCAGTCCCACAGGTTTAGCAGTGTTAGAAACATTCCAAGCAGCCTTAATGCCATGGTCAGATGACCAAAGAAAGTGGTGGATGGTTCTCCATCACCAGCATCATTTGAGTGATGGCTCTTTCAGTCTTCTGCCAGGGTTGGAGAAAAGGATGCCATGTCTGGAAAACTTTCTTCTTCATCCCCCAGTGTCCTCAGTCCTGGGACATGGAGGCAGCTGGCCACCGAGGCTTAGCTGTCCACTCCTGCTTTGACATGTCTTCTCAAAATAGTACCAGCCTATGAGGCCTTAGTTGCTTGAGGTCAATCCTTTGTGCTGGCCACATTACAAAGCCTCTGCTTTTTGAGGCCAACATGGAAATTTCTCATTCCCTCTTGAAACAAAAGTACCTAGGACCCAGGATGACAATAAGAACTCATTTTATAACATGTTCTAGATTAACTGCACTGGCTTAAAGGACATAAATCATTCAGTGTACAAAGAAACTCACAGGATGACCCGGGGTGTCTCATAGGGAAGGCTATGAGTAGTCCCTGGAACTTCCTCAGTTTAGTGATTATCAGCTGAATCATCTCTAGCTGCCAATAATTGAATCATTGGTTCATCCTGGTGAACTTAGGACTTATACTAGTTCTCATATTCTTGTAGGATCAAGAATCTTTGATTTCCTGTATCACTTGTAACTCGGATTAAATGTTTGTGAAAAGCTAAGTGTCTTAGTTTGTGTTTGAGAGATGCAGACTGACACAGGCATTAGATTTACTGCTGAGTGGGCTTGGGAACTGCATGGGAAAGGAAGAAAATAAAGCATGGTTGAGAAGGGGGAGGTGAAATTGTGGGGCTGTTGCAGTAGAAGATTTGACCAACCCACAAGAAGTTCTTTAGCTAGGGTGGCCTCTAGAGCTATTAATTGACCTACCTGGCTGGCGTTTTTATTCCTTGATGAAGCCTTTGAATGTGGTTTCCCCATGGAAGTGGCATGAAATAATAGGCTGAAAATAGCTTCCATTGGAACAAAGCCATCCCCAGAGAAGGAGGCATATCTTGGAGCTTGCAGTCCAGGCATCGTCAGTGGCACAGTGTGGCACCCATCTCTGGAAGGAGGTGTTTCCTGTGTTTTTCTAGGAACAGGAAAATCCTGGCCGTGACCTTTCCCTGGGGATCTGTTGTCATCCTCATCATCTGAGGTTTCTGTTGCATCCCAGCAGACTCTGAATTCCTCAATTTCAGTACCACAGATACCTAATGGGAGAAAATGCCCCCAATATTTCAACGTAGGTTCTATTTTCCATAAGTGTCAGCCAGCTGAGAAATACAGTACAAAGAGGAATTTTACAGCTGGGCTGCTGGGGTGACGTCACATATCCGTAGTACTGTGATGCCTGCCTGAGTCTCAGACCAGCAAGTTTTTTATTAAGGGTTGCAAAAGGGGAGGGGGTGTAAGAACAGTAGGTACAAAGATCACATGCTTCAAAGAGGAAAAAGCAGAACCACTGATAAAGGGTCTAACAAAGATCACATGCTTCTGAGGGAACAAGGCAAAGGGCAAAAGCAGAACCACTGATAAGGGTCTATGTTCAGCGGTGCACGTATTGTCTTGATAAACATCTTAACAGAAAACAGGGTTTGAGAGCGGAAAACCAGTCTGACCAAAAATTTACCAGGGTTGAGTTTTCCCAACTCCAGTAAGCCTGAGTGTTCTGCAGGAGACCAGGGCATATCTCAGTCCTTATCTCAACTGTACAAGACAGACATTCCCAGAGTAGCCATTCACAGACCTCCACCCAGGGACACTTTCTTTTCCCAGAGAATTAATATTCCTTGCTGGGAAAAGAATTTAGGCATATGTTTACTACTTGTACGTCCATTTATAGGCCCTCTGCAAAAAGAAAAATAGGGCTCTTTGCCCAACCCTGCAGGCAGTCAGACTTTATGGTTGTCTTCCCGTGTTCCACAAAAATCACTATTTTTCAAGGTGCACTGATTTCATTGTTCAAACAAGTTTTACAATCAATTTGTACAGTTAACACAATTATCACAGTGGTCCTGAGGTGACGTACATCCTCAGCTTATGAAGAAAACAGGATTAAGAGATTAAAGACAGTCATAAGAAATTACAAGTGTTATTTGAGAACTGATGAATGTCCATATTAAGGTGAAATCTTCACAATTTGTTCCTCTGCCACAGCCAGTCCCTCTGTTCAGGGTCCCTGACTTCCCATAACAGATACCTACCAAGGGAAGCTCAGTTTATGAGCTGCAGGTTTGGACAAAGGCCCAACCGTGTATGACTGTGGACTTGGTTCTGCTGTCCATACGAGATGGTGAACAGCTGGCAGCAATGGAGCTGGTTCCCCTCAGGGGTTCCCCTGAGTGATATTCTTGGGAACTCTTGTTTCCATGGATACTCTGAATCTTTTGTGCCCTAATCTTTATCTGGGGACTCTAGGTATGTGAATCCAATCTCCTACTGCCACATTCGAAGTGATTACATATAGGCAACTTGGTGGTAAACCAGTGGATCAGCCAAATCCCAGGGACATAAAACTGCAGACTAGACATTGCTTTTTCCCTTGACTATCCCACAATAGCTAGTGTTTATAGAATTGAAAAATTACTCTTCCTGCCTCGTGTGTTCTAGAGTAGCCTGATACACTGTCTCATCCTTAATAATGTCTTGTAAAGAAAGTGCCTAGAATTCTTTGTGTCTGTGGTCTTGGGAGATGGCTGATGTAACTGGAAAATCAGCATGCCCTCACATCCAACTCATCAATTCTCACAACCCACATTTTCTCTGAACAGCTTAGTGGTCTTCATTTGGGCTTCAAGGTATAAGAATGAGCTATATAGGCCCGTCTCTAATCAAGTAATTCATCTGCAGATACAAATGTCCTAAGACCTCTTCCTGCTTGTCCTTGCCATGGTCAGGAATTTCTGTACTTGTTATGGGATGTTCCTCTTATTCTGAGATTGCTAGTAACAGGTGTACATCTACCCTAAGCCCTGGCTAGAAGGAGTTGTCCATTCTTGCTTATGGGAGAGGTAGCCCTGGTGGCCAGGCTGGCTTGTATATAGGTGTCAGCTTGGAAATTGGTCATAGATCTGCTAAAATCTGAGCTATTTGATCAGGGTATATCCTTGACAAACTAAGTTTTAGAAATGTCTTCTCTTCCAGGAAGACATGGCCATGGTGAGCATTGCCCTTAAGGCCATGGTTTTTTGGTTTCCTTCCTTCTAGTCAATAAATACTTGAGAATCACTATGTGCCTGGCTTTTGCTATAGTTATTCATGGTATTTTAGGTAGAATAAATACTTATGCAAGGGAATCTAAGTGGAGGAGGGAGTTTGTTCAAGTTTGCTTGGGGTAGTCTCCTGCAGAGCTCTGTGGTTACTCCCCTACAGGATGGGCTCTTCCCCATTATCCTGCTGTGTGTTGTGCACGCCTTCTAGCCAGCTTAGCTGCCTGTAAAATAGTCTGAACCTCATTAGGTGTCAGTGTGACATTGTCACCAAGTTTTAGATTATTTGCCCCAAGCAATGCTCCTGTAATCCTGGGCTATGTTGACCAGTGTAGTTCCACTTGGGACACTTCCAGTTGTGAATGTGTCTTGCCTATAGAACTGGCAAGTTACCAGCCACATGGGGACAGCTGAGCTGTCTCCTGCCATAGAGGTACCTAGACCCAGTGTTCTTGGCCTCTGTAAAGGGAAGGAGTTAAATTAACAATTGCAATTGAAACAAAGATCTGAGTCTTTTTTCATGGGTGCCCTGGTCTAATGAAGCTTAGTTTGAATTTACTCCTTTGGCTTTCATCAGGCTGTTCTGCTTCTAATTTGAGTAAAATATGCATGGTGAACAGAGCTTAGCACAGAAAAGGAACCTGGATGGGACCACAGAGCTATAGTTCTGGGGTTTGGGTCTTGTACCCAATGGTCATGTCTGACTTTCAGTGGGAAAAATGATTGGCTTGTTCCTTTCCTGCTTCTAGCTTTCTAAAATCATTAAAACTATGCCCCCGGAGGGAAGAAACAGAAGCCAAGTTGTCTTCACTGTGTACGAATATATTCTTAACCAGCAATGCGTGTGTGAGAAAGTTGTTTGGGGATACTTTGCAGAGAGGTGAAAGATGACTTAGCTCTGAGAACAAGCTCTAACAATGAAGGTAGGGCTTGTTCATCTTGATGTGCTTGTATGTCGTGAAAATGCCTATCTTAAAGGTCTCACCCGTGCTGTTGGAGGTTGTCTCCTTGTGCATCAAATTATATGCCTCCACATGGCATTGTTCTGCCTGAGACTTCTCACCCTAGTGATTACTAGAAGTCTTCATTTCTTACCAACTTCAGGGTGGATGGGAAAGACCAATTTTCTTAATCTCGATGGGACTCTAGTACCATCTTTTTATCAAAAGCAAGATAAAACTTTCTTTTACTTAAATCTGGATAGAAGGCTGGTATAACATTCTGTAGTAAAGGAGACCCTGACTTTTCTGTGGTTCACCATAAGGAGCTTCTATTCCCAAGATCATGCCATGATCCAAGATAGTTCCCTGACCCTTCTACAGGCACATCCCTTATGCTTGGCCAATGAGAAGTTTATCTTTGAATAGTTAAGTGCAGTTTTCCTAGTGAGTTGTCTCTAATCCTGAGCTTTCACAGGAATTCTAATTCCTGTGGTCTCTGGTGGGAAACATATAAAGGTACTGAACAGGATGAACTTGCTGTGAATGCAACTGTGCTGCCCTGGATGGGACTGTGTGGATATCTCTTGCACAGAGAGCTAAGAACGAGTATTAACTTGAAGCATATTGCTATACTTTTTTCACCCTCAGACTATTGAGACAAGCTGTGGAAGGGCCAATGAGTTTTGCCACCCATCCCCTACCTCTAAAATGGGCAAATCAGTGTCTTCATGAAGGAAGGAAGCTTAAAGCACTTAATGTAAGTACAATCCTGAATCACATACATGGATCCCTGGAAACAATTGAGTTGCACACCCACCCCTCTGACTGGCTTCCCCTTGGGATAGACATTGGTGAGCAAGAGCTTAGACTCTCACCAGCTGGTCACCTCCAGGGTTCACAGTCTGAGAAACTGAATCGAGTCATTTTCATCTGTCCTACAGAAGGGCTGCAAATGGGGTCTGGGGTGGCATCTTGGAGGCATCTGTGGAAGGTTCCATAGCTAGAGGCATCCTGTCTTCTGGTCCAAGCTTTCTGGCAGTGTATGGCAGACTCAACAGTTGGATAGGTTCTAGTGTTTACAGCAGTTTAGAGGAAATGTAGGCACACATTTCTGCAGGAAGAAAGCTCAGCCTATTCTGAAAGATGAATGCCCTTCCCCACAACTCCCAGGGTCTGAGGTGCTTCCTTTCCTATGTTCCTGGGGTTTTGTTTTCCAGCCACTGCCACAAAATCAGGATGTCCCATTCCAGTAGATCTACTTCACATCTTACCCCCTCCTCTGTATCCCCAAATATTTGTCTTCTAAAGAGCCAGATCTAAGGAACAAAAGCGTTTTCACAAAACCTAACCAACATTGAGTCTGAATCCTCTAGGTCTGCTCTTGCCCAGGTTGCCAGCCAGAGGGTAAGTCAACCAGGTTTTCTTAGGGTTGCTGCTAGAAAGTTCAATGTGTCATTCCCAGGGTTGGGCTGGGCAGAAACCTGAATTTGCACAGCAGGTTGGTTTTTGGTCCCAAAGGTCTGTGTAATACCATACCCGTCTTATCATTGTCCAGTAAGCTCCCAAGACAAGGTGGTATGGCCCCTCTCCGAAGGCAGCTGTACTTACTGATTTAACAGCTTTACTATGCAGTGTGGACCAGGAGGAAATAAGTGGAGTTGGCCTGCCAGGTCGCTGTTGAAGAGCTTCTGCTGAAAGGGGTATATCACCTTCAGACTGCAAGTAGCCTGGAAAGCTGAACGTCTGACGCTGACCAGTTTCAAGAGCCACGGCTGGAGTTGGGAGATATGTAACAAAGTCAACAGACAAGCCTGAGAAGACTTCAGGAGTTCCCAAGTTATCTGTCAGGAATGTGTTAGGGAGGCCATCCATGCTTCATGGGATATATGCATTTGTCTCACAGCTTTGGGCAGGAATTGTAACATGGCATGCAGGTCTAGGCTCAGCATCAGAAAACAGGTTCCATTAGCAGTTCAATTCCATTTGGTCTGATCAGAAGAGACCATCACCATGGATATTTGCATGAGTTATCCACGTAGTTCACTCACTCTCTGCAACCAGTATCCACAGTACATGGGCAGGTTTGTCTGGAAGAACCTCAAGGGTCCCATTCCAAGATACTGGAGGCCCAGAATCAGCTTAGAAAGTTATTTTCCCTTTTCTGGTCAAGTGAGGTAGAGTGCCAGCTTGTACAAATGGTCTGAACACACCACAGCACAGCTCAGCTTCAGGTAGGGCAGCGGCGGCAATTGTTAGGGTGATGGTGATATTACTAAAATAAGACAAATACTCTAGTGCCATCAAATGATCACAAACCACCAAGAACAAATACTAAGGCAGCATTCAGTGCTGCATGGAAGACTTAGTGTTCCGTGTTCCCGGCATTACCCAGCCCTAGGGAGAAGGATGATTCTTCTCTTTACTGCTATCCAGGCTGGAGAGCATCTCATGTCTATATCAAACTTCTCTCCTTTCTTCCAATGCTTGCTTGATGATTCTTCTACATAGATGTGCTCATGCCAATTTGTGTTCTTTTGTAATGGTTGGACTTGAAACTGTGTTCTCCAACCATCCACTTCCCCACCCAGTTTAATCAATTACTAGGGAACTTCCAGGCACGATGAATTGTGGTGCAGAGGTGGAGACATCTGGCCTCAGTATCCCAGATGGATCCCACAAGGGTCTATGAGGACCTGTGTGGCAGACCTGAAAGTAGTCCAAGTTGCCACTCACCACCCCACAGCCCAGGATTGACAGATCTGGTGCCTGTGTTGCTGGTGAGGCCTGCAGAGGCTCCTGCCTTAAGGCTTGGGTCCTGGTTTGGGCTTATATCGAGTTATTTAACCAGCTTAATGATACCCTCTTAAGTTGACCAATAACTCTGAACGAGTGTTTGGGTTGTTCCCTTTTCTTAACTCCTTACCCAAGAGCCATCAGTAGGATGGTCTTGAGTGTGGGTCATTGGGGAAATGGCATAGGCTTTCCCGTATGCATACAGAGCTGCTTCCTATTTAGCTTGGTGCAGGTTCCACCCATATACTGGGAGTCCCTGAACCTGAGAGGGGGGTGATCTGGATGTTTCCAGAAGTCTTAATACCTACTCTGTAGCTTGTTTGTTAAAACCTAAGTGGCTAAAATCTAAGCCATAGATTAATTGACTCTAGGTGTGACTAGAACACCTGCCTGTCCTGCCCCATAAGAAGCTGCAATGACCTTACAAATGCTAATTTTGAGGGGAAAAAGGACACAGATGTAGACTCCTAGGTCCTTTGTAGCATAGATGTGCTTTGTTTCTGTATCACCAGCAACTAGTGTGCATAAAACATCTTGGTCTCAGGGAAGCGAGGCACAAGTTAACTGGAGTGTTATCCTACTGTTGACATGACCAACAGTTTGAGTAACCAGGTAAATGAGGGTGTGGACTGATCGATGCATTCTCAATACAGCATAGGCAAGCTGGAATAGGAGCTTTCTGGTGTCTCAAAGATGAAAAACACTACCTAGATCCTGACCTTGGCCAAGGTCAGCGTCATGGTTTTAGGCACCCTTGGCATAACTGTAGAGCTACAACACACCAGCTGCAAGTTAGCTGTATCCCTATATGCCTTCTATTGCAGTGAACAAAACTAGGCTCCACTGGTATGGCACAGCAGCAATAACAAGGAAATTCCCGCCTGTGACGCATGAGAAGCATGGAACATGGGGCCTATATAAGGTCATGCTGGGAAGGGCTCACATCATACCCTGGATGTCAAACCCCTTAGTTTATGCAGGCTGTTGGGACAAAAATGCTGTACCTTGAGTGGCTTAAGCAAGTTATTTCTCAGTCTGGGAGGCTGGGAAGTCCAAGATCAGTGCAGCTGCACACGACTGATGTCCAAGCCTGCCTGCCTTCTTAGCTTATATAGACAGCTGCTTTCTTATATCCCCATATGGCTTGAGACAGGAGCCAGTCTGTGGTGTCCCTTCTCATACGGGTGCTAATCTCAAGGCGGTTCTACTCGGGGTCTAACAACCTTCCAAAGGTCTCATTTTCTAACACTATCAGGAAGATGAGGGTTCCCCTCATAAAATTCCTGGGGGGATGAACACTCCATAGCACCCTTTATCAGATGGCTTCTTCCACACCACCAGGCTATGCTGCCTGGTGAATACCTTTTCCACTGCTTTCAAGACCCCACGTTCAGTTGGGAACAGCACGAAGCTTTGGTTTTATAAAGGCCCGATGCTTGTGTCTGGTTCAGGGAGCCTCAGGGGGCTGGGCAGAACCCCAATTCCACTCCTAAGCAGCTACAGCCGAGGGCAACTCTGCAACTATCTGAGTTGATGACAAGGTGTTCAAGGCACAACTGATGGAGACTCTTTCCACATGGAGCTAGGGAGAGATTAGCCCAGTAGGTCGGATAGGTCTTGCCAGATAACAGAATGTGTACCTCATAAGCTGGGGATGGATCTGGCTAAAATAGACCCAATAGAGATGGAGGATAAATAGATTGACTGCCCTTTCATGTCTTAGTATCTAAGGGAGATTTGAGTTTGTGGTTTAGGGGGACAGATGAATGCTGAATGGCGTGGTTTTTTCCTAATGGAAAAACTGGGCAACAGGCCCTTTTAGTCCCTAGGTAACTTCTCAGGGGACAATGGGATTATGAACTAAGCACAGAATGTCTGGGTGGATTAGGTGGTCATTGACGGGTGTATTGGATTCTTTGCACTGGAGTTTAGATATTCTCAAATATGGTCCAACAAAATGTCTACAAAGCACAATGACAGTACAGCAAGTATGTGAATTGAGTTAAACAGTTGTCTTGGGGGGGATAGTTCTGGGTTTATCTGAATACTGCCATTGCTATGGCTATATCAATAGACCCCTCTGTCATATTAAATATTTCCTGGGTCACCCTTATAAAGTGAGATTCGATAACATAAGGGAAAGTTTCTTAGATGCATTCCATGTATTGTATTTGAAGATCTGGAGGACAAATAATGATGTAGTATGTTCCTCAGTCCTTGGCATTATTGGAGCTCTCCAGGAAGTAGACCGAGTGTAATAAGCAGGATGTTTATTGGGGGTGTCCTTGGACCTACATCTGTATGACTGGTAAAGCAGGACTGGGGAGAGGAACTTGAGCTGCAGGGAAGCTCTGATAGCCTCAGATAACCCCACAGGGGAGCTCTGGAGAAATGGTTTGACTTGTGATGAACTGGGCCAAAACCAGGCCTTTTTTTGATACTCATGTCTCCATCAGTCGTTGGATGTGGGCTTCTGCTGGAAAAGCATGACCTAGAACTGAGGTGGTTCTCTAGCTGAGGCCCTTCCAAATGGCTGATTACATGCCCACATGTGGAGACAAGTCACTCAAATCCGTAAAGGGGATCTTGGTGGTGTATCTCCTTGTCTACTAAAATCCATTATTTGGGCCATGTCTGATCTACTTCAAAAACTGTCAATGAAGTTCCTCCATGATTTGGATGGATTCCTCTTCCTGAGGGAAAACTCAAGAGCATGGTTAGGGAGACGAGTATTTTCCAGCTGGTCTCAAGCTTGCCACCAGTAGTCTTGTCTCTTGATCATGATGACTCTTTGCTTACCACCACCATCCTGTCTCAATTCCCATCCCCTTGGCTAGTACTTCTGTTGATCTGGTTGACTTCTGGTGGGACAATGTAGACTCAAATCTCTGGAAAGTCTGCAGTATTGGCCCCCATGTCCTTTTCGGAGAGAGGTTGCTTGCTGCCCTTACTCGTTGACTATCATGACTAGGAAAGAACTGCCCAAGAGGGTTATCTGTGCAAACACTTCTCCCTGTCCCGATCATGGCTCGGTATCCCTAGATTCTCCTAACCACAGTCAAATACTTATGACAAAATGGTGATTATACTTTCCACCTGCTCATCCCTGGACACAAAGAACTCGGTATTCCCTGACACAAGTACTCCCCTTTTGGGCTTTGTGAAGTTAGAGCTCCTGATCCCCAAAGCTGCATGAATAGGAAGTACACAGTCTTCAGGTGGACCACTGGGAGTTTTGGCAAGTGGTCTGTGTTGTGCCTCTTGGTACCAAGTATTCTGATTAGTGACAGTGCCATATAAAATTAGTCGACTCAAAATACATGTTATAATCTACAGGATGGCATTCCATCCATAGAGCATTCTGAGATGGGCCTCTAAAGATGGTTTAAAGATCATTTTAACTCTTTTGGGCCATCCACTGACCAGATACATGCCAGAAATGGTGGATTCCGTGGTTATAGGCCATGCCTGTACCTTAATCACTGAAGTGGATGTCTTGGTCTGATGGTAGTATTCAGTGGAATATCATTGGGGGATGGAATGCTCTAAGACCTCAGATAAAAGTACTGGCTAAGCCCCTGTGGGCAGAAAATTCATGTACTGGGAATGTGTTTCCCTTACTAGAACCAGTCACTGGCCCTTCTAAGATGACAAGATCCCACTGGAGTGAACTTAATAGCGAGTGGCCAGTTGGTTGGCTGCCATGAAGACTAAGCATGGATCCCACTAGCTGGCAAGTGATACGGAAGCAGTAGTAGCTAGATCAGCACTAGCAAGAGCCCTTGCAGTTGTGACCATGCATGACCTTCAACTGCAACCATGGCCCTTGTGCCCTCAGCCACCCTGTGCTGTCGGCATGGACACGTGAACAAAGGCTGGATGATGTCATCTAGCAATGTTTATCTACTTCATTCTTTACGATGACATCTGCAGTAGATGTCCTCTGGGCCTTAATGTGTGATAGATTTTCCTACTTAGTGCTAACTCGTGTCCGCTGATCTTCCACCTCAGACCTCCTTGCCCTGTCTTTCAATCTTTTCTCTTTTGCATCCCTGCCCAGTTGGCCAGGGTATTTGCCACTGCCCATGAATGCATATATATTCTGACCTTGGGACACCCAGCTTTCCACACAAAGTAGATGACCAAGACAATTTTGGAAGTGCAGCCCAGTGGGAAGATCTTTGTCATTGTCTTTCCAAGCTACCCTTGACTGAAGCTCTGGGGCAGTGGGCCCCCCTTTTTAGGCTTGTACTCATTGGAAATTAAGTTTCTTTTACCTCCTTTAGTGATCTTTAATGGATCCTATGCCTGGGCATGAGGCGGTGTAACAGCCACGTGGTATAGCTTAAATGTGTCTGGTCCTGCTCATGCTAGTCCCATGTGGGCAATTTCCAAAGAATAGGTTGCTAGGCCCATCCAACCTTGTCTTGGTGGGTCTGATGGAACCCAGCAGATGTAAAGCTGTGGCTGCATTATCACTTGCTTTGTGGTTGAGCATTCTCCCTCTATGAAGGTCTAGTTGCATGTTAGGCATTGTTTTTACAAAAGGTAACTCTTCCTGGTCATGCTTTGAGCCCCAGAAACGTGTGTGGACTCTGTGTATTTTCCAGTTGGGGTATTTCATAGTGTCCACAGGGCATTTTTTTTTTTAACTACCGATAACCCTAATATCACAATCTGGTAGGTTGTGTGGCCCAAGCTTTAGATGATCCCAGAGGCAGTTCTGGAATTGAAATTGCCTGAGTAGAAGTACAGGCTGAGAGAGCATGGCTTTCATATACCTACACTGATAGGGGCTGGACAAGATCTATCCCCAGAGGGAGTGACCTTGGGTAAAACAGCTTTCTGCAAAGAAATACCTGGAAGAGCTGATGACTGAAGACTGCAGGTGGCACTCCCAGCAGCTGGGACACTAAAGTCCTTCCTAGGTGTAGGGTCAGATAATGCCTCCGTTTTACAACCATGATCGGAACTTGCTATGCTGCTGCCCTCTGTACGTGACATCCTCTGAATCACCAATGAAAAATCATACCTGCAATGACTGACCCAGGGGTAGAAGTTTGGATGTGAAAGTTCAGAATTTTTTTCTAGCTGTCTTGTTCCAGAGGGAAGATGTTAATTAAGTTTTTTTTTTTCCTCCGGTGCTAGAACAGGGCTGCTTTCTAGAGATTCCCTTCCTTCAGTTTGAATTGATCACCTCTTCTAAATCTATATTAACCTTGACGTTCTTCACAAAGATATATATATATTTGTGACATCAGGAGCCTAAGAACAGAAGTCTTTGGATCATGGGTGACCTGGCTAGTGAAGTGGTGGCGTCCATGTGTCCTGGGGCAGTATCTCCAAAAACAACAGGGCTGAGCCTACCACAGAGGAGGAAAGTAAGCCAGGAAAACTCGTACAGCTGTCAGAGTTTTACAACCAAGTCCATGGGAAATCTGGAGGTGACATGGTAAAATACTTTCTCACTACTGTACACGGTGCTGCTTTTCTGTCACTCAGTTGCCGAATGGTGTCTTTTTTCCTTTAAGAGTTGGACATCTTGAAAAATGAGTCTTTAAATCATGTACTGTAGACTGTGTTGTGATGTACCAGGCGACTTTTAAGTCTGATCATACTTTAAGTAGACCTAAGCTTTTTGGTGGTGGCTTTACATCAACCCTGGGGCTGTTACTAGTCCCTCACTTAAACCCTCGCTTACCCCCTCTGTTTCTCTGAGCCCATGCTTGCTCACTATAGAGGCTTTTGCAGTAGGTGTAGTAGCATGAGACAGCTTTCTGGCATTGGACATTTTAAAAACCAAGAGCAAGAATTGGGGCATTTTTCTACTGAGTTATTAAGATTTTCATGTGTTCTAGTTCTATGTTGACTTTGGAGGAAATATTGGGAGATACACAGACTTTGGTAGTTGCCATTGTCTTCAGCTACTCTTACCTTTAAAAGCTGCTTTTAACGTAAGTGTGAAACACAACTTCATAATTTGGTATGAACTTCCTCATATCACAAGACAAAAGACATCTGATCCACCTTACTAGGCCGTCAGTTCTGCTGGAAATTTCCTGTAACACCTTTCTTCCTCTTTTAACACCCTTCTTCCTCAAATAAGGCAGCTTCTAAGGCTTCATAATCCCCTGAGAACTTGGTCCAGCTATCTCTGCTTCCACCTACTTGAGGGACAAGGACTGCCTAGGGTGAGCTTCCTGTTAGCAGGAGTGGCCAAGGGCTTCTTTTTGAAACAGTTGAAAGCTATGGCCTCTCTGTAGCCACACTTCCTCTGCAGGAATGACTTAACAGTGAAACTCAAGACTGGTTCTGTTTCTAAAATTATGTGGTAGGAACTTTTAAAGCAAAAGAATCTGACTTTGTAGCATGTTTATTCTTTTGATTTGCTATATGGTAAGGAGTTCATGATTGGGACTTGACATTCCAATTTATCTGACTTATAAGAACTTCCAGTTGTTAGATCCATTGATTGCCTTAAAACCGACTGACAGCACCAAATGACCAGGTTCTTAATGGAGTTTAATCGCACCCAACACTGAGTCTATTGATGGCTGCACTAATGCTAAGTCTTGTTCATCTCTTCCATATGGCTTCTCTTTGAGGTGGTTTCATCTGAAAGACTTCCTCCTGAGGTCCCTTTGAAATACCCCTTGACTAAGATGACAATGTCAGCTCCATTGAAGTTTCATGACTAAAACACATACCATGGTTATTTCATTGTGTAGTTCAGGAATTGACTCCTTGTTTACCAGGCCTTGTTGACTCTTAATACCCAATGGTCTTCAGGTGTCCTTGAGGTCCAGACTCCCCAAAGATAAAGAAGTCCTGTATCCCCAAGTAGATTTCAACTAGAGAAAAATGCGTGTCCTGAGCAATCTGGGTTCACTGATCTCTGACCTAGATCACTCTGGCAAAGGATGTGAAGTCTGGATTTCTCAGAGTAGGCTCTATCACTTTTTATTCTGTACCCTAAAACATCTCACAAGTTTCCAAACCAGAATCCATAGCTGTTTAAACATTTCCTGTTCACCTCAGGGGGCAATCCATGAGGTGTGTACAACCTTATTTACCCTGGTACTACTTGGCGAGTTTCCAGTCATGGTGTCCTTAATCTCAAGATCGGTCTGATCTATGAACATAGACAAGAGTTTTTAATTGTTTAACCAGTTTGCGGCTCCTGGGCTTATGAACAGATGAAGCAGGATTATTCTCATCCATAATGATGGAAGTGAGGAGAGACCTAAGACCTACAGGCATCATTGGTTTTGCAGGTGCAGGTTCCCCACAGGAGATGGCCTGAATGAGAAAATCTGTGTTCCTCAGGGTCTGGGACAGTTGCTTACAACTTTATGCCTTGTCATAGAAAATGGCTATAGACGGAGAAAAGGCTTCCCCAGAGAGGGCAGTATGAGAGACTGACACTTTCATGAACAAATGAGGAAAAAATGACAGAAAACCACTATTGAGGAAGGGGAGATCATTTTGAAATCATGTACTCCTGTGAAGGTCCACCAAAGTGAGATAGGCTGTGGGTATAGGGGACTATTAGATACATAGGCACTCTATGGCCCAGGATGAAGTCTGGTTGTACAGGAGTGTGAAGCTTCCAGCTGGCAGTGGATTACTTTCTTCTCTACACTCAGGAATTCTGGGACTCCAGTATTAGCCAGGGGCTAGTTGTTTAGGAGGGCAATGGCTTTTAAAGGGCCTACTTGCTCCTCTTCACCACGAGGTTCTGTGAGCATTGAACCTGGTAAGGATGTCATCCCTCTCATTTCCTGATGAATTTTAATATTCTTAAAGTTACACTGGAAAGTAATAGGAAGATTATATCTAGTTCCTTGACAGTATTTTTTTTTTACCCATGAGAAATCTCAAAAGTATTTGAGAACTGAATACCTTCCAAAGAGCTGTTTGCAAGTAATTCCGATGCTCAGCATTTCCTAGCTAAAATGACTTGGCCATTCCTTTGGTGGGTGGTTTAGTTTGGCCAATGAATTGCAGAGATAAACATCCCTTGCTCTGCAGTGCCTCTTCAGCACATGTTTAGGTGGCAATCTTTAGAAGATTAACACTTACCGTGGGTAAGCCTGTATCATTTTTGTGAGTCTTCATTAAAAGTAGGCCAAGTGCTACATCTGTGCATTGGATCTTATAACTCAAGTAGTCAAAAAGTAGAAATGATCTTGCTGCAGATGAAATGACAGTTCTATAGAAGTCTTAGGAAAAAGGGCAACAGAGCAGTTCTGAAGGACTGGTGTGTTAGGAGAGGTTTTTAGATGTTATACAAAATGAAAAAGTGACAATGCCACATGTAGTTCCCCAAAAGTACCTTTTCATCCATGCAAAACTTCAAAAGTATGAGACAATACTTTCCATCTTACTCTAAACGTTTCTAGAAGATGTATGCACATAACTCGAACTTAGATCTTAACAGTGAGCTATCCCATTACAGGGTTTTTGTATGAAATATAGTCCATTTTAACAACTTCAGATATTCTTCTCACGTGATGTGAAAGTTTGAGCATGAGTTCCTCTTCAATATCAGATCAAAATGGTCTCTTATGGGATCAGATCAAAAGTAGACTTGTCCTTATTCAGCGAGACTGAATTCCATGCTTATGGCTGCTAAAACGTCTGGAGCAAAAACATGCAAATGGTACAAAGAAGTCAGTTGTCACTGTGATAGGAAAGTGCCAAGGAGGTGTGATGCCCTAGAAATAAACTCCAGAAAGTGGTTTCAAAGGAAGGAAAGGGTCAAGTAAAACAATAAAGCAAGGATAGGACACCTGGCTTTAGCAGTGCTGAAGAGTTTGAGGTTATAGGAAGAACTGAAGAGAAGAGACGGTGTAATAAATTTCAAAGTTAGGATTGAAATAATCTTTAACAACGTCATTGAGTAGTGCCACAGGGTGCAGTCTCAGGATATTTCTGAGACCTGCAGTGTAGACCCGAGTAGAACATAATGCTGCTGTTTTAAATTCATAAATAACATAAAATCTGACATAAGTGTCCCTGGAATTCTCCCACAATATTTGTCATACTCCAGATGATAGTAGGCTAGTCTTGCAAACAGCAAGACTGGGTCTTTATCTTCTCGCTGGGACTACTCTGAATCTCATGCAACATCATGAGACCATGAATCCCAACAGGGCTTAGCATGGAGGTGGAAAGTATGTGCTGTGTTGAGGCCCACATAATAAGTTTTGTGGTGGGCACAGTGATGTGCTGCCTAGATCCCATGTCAACAGTGGAAGGCTTGTTGCCTCCACCTCTGGAAATGCTTTTAGCAGACAGCCTCAGATGATAACCCTCTATTTGTGCTTGCCTCTGTTCAAAACGGGCAATGACCCATTAGCCAGCACCTACTCAGTGTGGAAATAAGACAGCCTGGTCCTTCCACCCTAACTTTTGGAAGAACCTTAAAGGTCACACTACTTGACAGTGCCCTCCAGGGTTGGCTGAGGCCCTCACACTGCATCTTAGCTCAACTATTACCTCTGCCCAATCTTGCTTGCTTCCCTTCCTCCACAGGTGATCATCCAGAAAGCATGGCCTAATAAACATGCTGCATGAGAATATCCATCTCGGTCTGATTCCTAGGGAACCTACCCTGTGGCAGCCTGCATTCCTGCCACCTTGGTCCTGCCAGTGAGCAAGCATGGGGTGGCTTGTGAGAGTCAGTCTCTGATGTCATCAATCTTGGCTTATGTCTCTAACAGCATACTTGGTGACCACTCATGAAAATGCATACATTGATGTGATAATTCACATATTTTTTAATGCAAAGTAGACAAATGTCCTGTCTGAACGCTTGCCCATTGGGAGGGCTTCCCATTCCCTTTCAGGCTCACTGTTGTATGGGGCCGTGACTGTAACTCTCAATTTCTTAGTATTACAAGCATACTCTGCAGGATCCATCTGTACCCAGGTTTGCACACTTCTTGAGTTAATCAGAAACATCCCTAAAGGCAGCAGGTGGGTTGAGAGTTGGCAAAGCAACAAAATTTACCATGGGATTCTGAGCTGCTTGCTCATGAGATACACTGTGCCTCCCGGAGTTCAGAATTGGTCTTTGTTATTTCATGATGCACTATCATGATGCCTAATACTGTGACCTGAGCTGGCTGTCATAAACTGGATTTTACTTGAGCCACCAAGTCTCTCAGTCATGTGGTTTCCTACAGTCAGCTTCAGTCTCTAGCAGAGCCCAGCAGCAAGCCAGAGACTTTTTCAGGAGAATAGGACATGGACTTAACCACAATCTAGACAGCTAGGATTTTCACGACTGTAAGGCTGCAGATAGCGTAGACAACAGCAGTGTCTCTGAACATGCGACACCATAAGGCCCTAGTAGTAGGGCAGGCTGCATCTGTGGTCAATCCCACTCTTATTCTGGGCTCCACTTCATCTTGGCAACTTATATGTAACCTGGCAAGTGGGTCTGTTCAGTACACAAATAGGGTCTCTGTTGCCTCCAAAGTCGAAAATATGCACTAAGTATTGGGCCACCTACTTCCTGGTGAGTAGGTACAAAATACAATGTAGAAGAGATGTTCTGATGTACCCAGGCCACTGAGGCAGGCCTAACATTTTGAAGGGTAGTTATATTCTAACTTGTGGTACTAACTTCATGGCAGTGCATTTGGCTGTCACCTAGGGTGCTTGCCTCTTTCTGTCCAAGTTTAACCAAACAATGCCTTGAATGTTATGGAACAGTATAGAAGGCCCTAGGATATCAAGACCAACACTTGTGGACTCCATTGTGATGGAGCAGGACAGTTGGTATAACCATGAACTTACTGAAGCTGTGTTGTTGGCCATGCCAGGTGAAAGCAAACTATGTTGAGGAACATCAAACTAACCCTTCATATAGTCCCTTACCTTATTCTGTCTTATAACTTGTCGCCTGGATTATAACGGGTGAGTGAGGTTAAGATTTCTCAGCATTGTCTTAAAGGATTGAGAATCTTTCTCACTTGTGTTCCTTGGCTATATTTAGGAGGTACAATAAGCATCTACATGTCTCTTTAACTCAGTGTTCTCTTGCACTAGCAAGGATAAATACATCAATGTCCTAGGTACACATGTAATGGACCAACTACATGAAGTTCTATCCAATATTAGGTCAACGTGTAGGTTCCTTTCATTGACCTTTTTAAGTTGTGGTAAGAACACTTGTTCTACTCTATCAACAAACTAAGTCCACAATAGGAATTAACTACATAGTCACAAGTTCAGATCTCTAGAACTTACATGTAACTGGAACTTTTGATGCTCATTGAATAGTTCCATTGACTTCCAGTGGTTTCCGGACATACCTCATGGTAAAATGGGATCTAAGGGAATTGGAAGGCCATTGCCTGCTACAAACTACAGAACTTATTGCTGAGTTTACTCTTGCCTCAGAAGGAGGAGCAGGCATCTTTAGTGGGAGCTTCTTGTTGGTCCTGCTTTTGAGCAGGCAGTGGCTACCTGCAGCTTAGACTTCCTCTGGCAGAATCATGCAGAAACCGTAGCTGTGGAGCTAAGAATCTGAACGCTGATCCCAAATTGTTTGTTCCAGAGGTTATTGATGAATACCAGATAAAGGATTTTTCTGAATCTCAAAATGCCAGAATGTCTCTTCCTAGAAGCTAGTATATAATTAAGATTTGGGTTTCCTGGTGATTTTTTTTTTCCTGGTATTTTCCTATGATTTGGTATTCATAGAATTGGATCCATCTCTATTATCTTTTAGAAATACTTTATCTGGCAACCTATGTAATATGAATCTGAGTTAATTTCTATGACTTCTGAAAACTGATCTGTTAAAACATATACAGAAACATTGTCCCAGTGTAAGCCTGAGGGTCTTACCACCTCAGTGGATGTGAAATGTTGATGGGTAGCAGCTGCCAGCATCCTGTCCAGGAATTCTAACGTGGGTTACTTGAGGGTAAACCAGTTTTGCCAAGACAAGTTAATTTAGATGGCTGAGTTTTTGTAGATCTGAGTCAGAGCTTGAATCTCTCAATGAAGATTTGAAATGAGATTCTGGAGATGGTTACAGGACAGCTGTTATTCTAGAACCTTCCATCCTTAATGTGCTGATGATGACGCTGTTGGTGAAGGAGAATATTGAGCAGCTTTGTAGCCATGTAGGAGCACAGATTTCAAGGAAGCAATGGAAAAATGCAGCTCTATGGAGAGTATGTCATCAATTTTTTCTTTTGAAACCAACTTTATGTTCTATGTAAAAAAAAAAAAAAAAAACTCCTCTGTTTCAAAACCTCTCTTCTGAGATGCAAGAGAAATGGATAGCCTCTTGTCCACTAACTCTTATTTCTCTGCCCATCTTACGGTTCATTTACTTTCTTGTACTTCATTTATGCTGCTACTACAAAAGTACCTTAGACTGGGTAACGTGCAAGATCAATTTTTCAGTTTTAGAGATCAGGAAGTCCAAGATGAAGGTGCCAGCAGACTTGGTGTCTGAGGGCTTGCTCTCTTCAAAGATGGTGCCTTGTTGTTCGGTCCTCATGTGTTGGTCTTCATATACATATGTATCTTACCTGGTAGAAGAAACCGCCTCTCTCAAACCTCTTTTTTATGGGCGCTAATCCCATCATGAGGGCAGAGCCTAATCACCTCCTAAAGGATCCCTTAATATCCCATTTGGGGTTAAGTTCTGGCATCTGAATTTCTCAGAAACACTTAGACCAAAACACTGTGGGACCCAGAACTGCTGTCAAAACAGCCCCCTGGGAGCATGGGTCTCTTATAGAAATAGCTGTTTTTATAGGTCACTATGACATTGTTTGGGCTCTGTCCCAAGTACCAGTTGGTCTCCTTGGAGCTCTCAAACATAAACATTCATGAACATAGGTTATGGTCATGAATATTCAAGGTGATCCATAGGTCAAAGTCTACATTGGAATGGTGAGACGTTTCAGTCAGAAAAAACTGTTAGTCAAGGTTCTCCAGTGACACCAAACCAATAGAATACATGAGTTACAAATATTGGCCTATGTAATTATGGGGGCCAAGAGGCCCAAAGACATGCCATTTACAAGCTGGAGTACCTGTAAAGCTGGTAGCGTAATTTAGCCTGAGTCTGAAAACCTGAGCTGAAAGTGAACCTGCCACTCTGAGGCTGAGGGCTCAAGAACTAGGAGCTTCGATTTTCAAAGGCAGAAAATGCATGTCATGGCTCAAGAATTCACCCTTCTGACTTCTTGTTCTGGTACATGTCCATAGATGGAGCCTACTCCCCAGAACACGTTAATACAGTGACATTGTTCCAAACGTAGATTTAAAACTAGAACATGTCCCTTTTACACATGCTTAAAAACATCAGAGCTTTACATGAATTTCAGTTTGGGTTCAGTGAAAACATCTGCCCCATTTGAGCCTTTACAACTGCTAGTCTCTTTGAGTTCTGGCACTGTGAATTGTAATGGCTTGTCATTTTTTGTCTTGGATTTTATTCTTCAGTACTTTTCCATTTACAGTCTACAAACTTCTGCCAACAAACGATGGAGGTTTGGCTGTTCATCTGTTTACCTTTTGCCTCCCATGGGAAGAACAGAGTGGCTGGTCATAATTCTGTTTGTATCAAGGGTATGTCTAAGACATTTCTCAGCCTACCACTGCCCCAGCCCATTTTGGACAGATGTTCTCATCCATCCCTGTATTCCAGGAGTATGATACTGACTTTCATCCTGGCCATAGAGGGCCCTAAGAATGGGTGAGTTACTGCTCACTTATATTTATGTGTAACACTTAATGTCTGTAAAATGCACTTATCAGCAGTCCTCCTCCCACTCCTGCTCTCATAGGAAAGAGAACCAGCAAAAGTGCCTAATAGAACATGTCCCATGTCTGGTAGATCCTCAAAGCAGCCCTTTCAAGTGAAAGGCTTCTATTTTGTAGAGAGGAACCTTACCAGCCCAGATACCATGTTGGGAAAACCACCAGTCCTTTATTGCTATATGTAACTGAAAGCAATAGAATTACATGAAGACTAAAACCCTTCATACTGAATATCATGTGGTAAATAACTCACATTTATTTTCAAGTTTGATTCCATCTAGCTGTGATCTGCTCTTGAACCCCTCTAGTAAATTTTAAATGTGTTACAGTACTTCAAATTCCAGAATTTATATGGGGTTTTGAAAAACTCTATTGGTATTTTTAAGACGTTGTTCTCCATTTCTTCAGTTCCTTTTGACATGGTTTTCTTTACTTTGTAGGTATCTAAAACAACTGAGTTTGGCTAGGCAGTCCAGCTGTTCTGGCTTGCTCAGGGACAGGGTCTATCAACTACTTAGAACCTGTGTTATCGGCCATACTTTGCCATTTCTTTTCATGCCTCACTTTTTGTTACACTGTATAACTGAAATAATTGACAACTCTGGAGTTAGAGATTCCCCTGCCTGACTTGCAGGACTTGTTGCTGGCTGTTAAGTGAGTTCTCTAATGCCATGATCTCTACACTTCATGTGCGGCCACTGAAGCCTCTGCATGGTTATCTTGGTAGTCGATGATTTAGTAGATATTTCCTTCTTGGCCCAATACTTTGAACCAATAAGTCTCAGTTATGACCGAAGGACTCTGTTGGGATGCACCTTCAATTTTCCCTTAGCCTTTTTCTGTGGATCAAGTTCAGCTGGAGATGATACTGGAAGCTTCTCAGGTCTTTCCTGGGCGTGCACGTAGCCATGCACATGTACGTGGCCTTGGAAGGTCCCAGAAATCTTAGAACTTTGCGAAGCTCCCTGTGAACATCTCCTTTCATGGTCTATTTGGTCAGTCTCTCACTTCCCCCTAGTAATAGTAATACTGTCTTGAGCATCTGATGTTAAACAATTGCTGCTGACTTATTTTTGTTGACAAAGTGGGGATTGGGCTGTTGCCAATGAGTGTGCTCTAAGGTAAGTCAGCTAAAGACAACCTGAGAACAGGGCTGCTTCTGGAAGGTGCCAGACAAGTGAAACAAGTGTCTCTGTGGGGGAGCAAGGACTTTTTGAGGAGGTCCAAATTGCCCCCAACAGTGGCTGGTAGGCGGCTTGTCATCACGGCTAATATGGTTGTGAAACTTGGGATTTCAAAGGTAGTAAAGAGCTGGGGAGAGTAAGATTGGAGTAAGACAAGTTAAAATGCCACAAACTTACTGCCCTAAGATTGTTGAAAGTGCTTGGCTGATATCCAGAGTACTGAAAGTTTACTTTTGACAATCTTGTCAGTGTCCTAATAGCTTTTCTATAGGGAGAGACTTGGGAGTTTCCTACTGCCATTCTGGAAGTTCTATAGGGTGAACACTTATAAGGGGAAATTCTTCCAAAGATTTTTCTGCCTTAACTTGTGACCACAGGTCTGTGTACATTGGAGTATGTGAGATGCACATCATCTGAGACTGTACTGGATATGGCTTAGGTAAATGTTTTCTCATCTGCCTCACATTCCTTTTTGTCTAGATAGGTTCCTTGTCACCCCAAAATACTTGGTATGGTGAAGGTATTATTCCACACAGCAGCCATGGAAAAAAGGAACACTCCAATTTAACTTCAGATAATAAACACTAAATATTGACTACATAGAGAGTGGGTCGCCAAAGTCGTCTCCCCAAGGTTCCCTCACTTCTGGTCCTCACATCTGAGGGACTCTCAAGGGCAAGATCTTGAGAATTAACAGAGCAAGTAAAGGACTGAATGCAGAAATCTTGAAACCAGATGTATCTTTCAAGTTCATTTTTTACCTGGATGCTGTTGGTAGAAGTCCCAGACAGACTGAGCGCTAGGCTTACCATAGTCAACACTGATAGCTCTTCCTGGAAGGAGGGGCTCATCTGAGAGACAGGGAAAGAGATCAAGTCTCAATTGTAAAGCCATCACTATGGTATCAACAGCTGGGCTTAACTGACTTTTTAGTGGGGCAGCATCATGAGCTAGAGCTATCTATAGTCATTGAGAATGCAACCAGTGGATCTAGTATATCTCCTTAGTGATGATACCACAGTATATCTGGGGTGCCCCTATGTGCTCCTGATTGCCCCCACAGAAAGTCAGATGAACTGAGCCTGGATAGGTTTGCTCAAGGATTTGAGGTTGCTGTTTAGTCCCATGGGATGAGATTAGAAGTTGAGCTTGGTTCGTGGTTCAGTCCCAATGTTTTTGAGAGATCAGAGCTATAAGCTATGTGGTGGTCTTTATGGTGGGCTGTTTTCTCTGCCTCTAGCTCCTATCAATGGAATCTAGGCTGGTTCAGAGGGACAAACTTTGTGCCTGAGGCTGAGCAGCCTTCAGAGACTTTGGTTGAAAGTCCAAGTGCTGATAAACAGATTGAAGGAGAAGGAGCTTGTAGTGGGATGCAGGGAACTGACATGGTGCAGTCCTTTGCAACTGTGCCAGAAAAATAAGTAGGCACGGGAATGTGGCATGATATGCCCTGCCTCTGCCAGGCTTGCCCAATCATTCCAGAATGCCAGACATCCTGGGTTCTTTTGAGGAGAAAGAAGTGGCTCTGTACCTACTACAGCAAGGCTACCCAGAAGCCACAGCCAAGTTCCCAGCTCCCATCATCTTGTCATGGAGGCTTTTCTGGGAAGAGACTTTCTTAGATGTCATATCCCATTTGGCTTTGTTTCTCCATTTCTGCTTCCCAGAAATGTTGGCTAGAATCAAGTGTCCCCAAACTGATAATGGGAGAATATTCTACTTTCAATAAATTGTTTTACTTTGTCTAAGTCTCATTTCTTAAAACTCCACAAAATGAGTGTTGAAAGATCTATAACTAGGTGTACCTTAGATGTCATGAGATTTAAGTCCTATGCTGGAAGAAGTCCCAACTCATTTGTTCACTGGGACAAAATGCCTGCCCAAGTTTTGGGTTTCTACACCTACTGTATTAGAGTTCTCTAGAGGGACAGGAATAATAGGTTAGATTTATATATGAAAGGGATTTTATTAAGGATAATTGACTCACATGATCACAAGGTGATGTCCCACAACAGGCCGTCTGCAAGCTGAGGAGCAAGGAAGCCAGTCCGAGTCCCAAAATCTCAAAAGTAGGGAAGTCAACAGTGCAGTCTTCAGTCTGTGGCTGAAGGCAAACCACTAGTGTAGGTCCAAGAGTCGAAAAACTGAAGAACTTGGAGTCTCATGTTTGAGGGCAGGAAGCATGCACCACGGGAGAAAGAGAGGCTGGAAGACTCAGCCGGTCTGCCCTTTGCATGCCTGCTTCTATGCTGGCAGCTGATTAGATGGTGCCCACCCACACTTGAGGGTGGGTCTGCCTCTCCCACTTCACTGACTCAAATGTTAATCTCCTTTGGCAACACCATCAGACACATCTAGCAACAATACTTTGCATCCTTCAATCAAGTTAACCCTCAATGATACCATCACACCTATATAACTCATGTCAGTTACTGCACTTGTGATGGTATACCCCTTCCTCTTAGCAATCTACGTGCTCTTGAGGGAACAGTTCTGATGTGTCACCCTATCCTTAGGCTCACATTCCTTGTAGGGACATGTGGCTGCGAACGTGCTGTTTTTCCGTGGAAACCCCCCATGGATAATCATAAAGGAGAGAATGACATTTTCTTAAGCTCTACCTTGCTTTGCAATCCTTGGTTAAGCCTCACCCACATGTGTTGTAGAAACTGTCCTGATCTCCCAAGGGTGGTGCTTCCAAAGCTAGTTTGCTTTTTCCCAAAGGAGGGTGTGAGCATGGGGAGCAGTGGTGGCCACCATCTGAGCTCCTGCTGGATGACCTATGTTGTCCTTTCATCCTCATCTGCCTGATAATGTCATTCCTTTTGTCTTAAGTGTTCCTTCTGAGAACACTTGGGATGATCCAGCTGAAGTCTAAGAATGGTCTAATACTCACTTGTGTATGAGCAACTTAGGCCTCGGTGGAGGGAGGTCTTTTGCCATCTTGACTTCCCGTCTGTAGGCCTGGAAACGCTGCCTTCTCGTTTGATCCTCCCAGTCATAAGGAGGCAGCGTGAGATGTGCCTGAAACCTTTCAACTGTGTTCCTGGCAGTGATGAGCCCTTAGTGCACAGTGGACCTGACACAACACTTACCAAGGTGAAGGGTATCCAAGGCTATCTTGCTTTGACTCTGGCCACAAGTCTGAGGTATGTGATCCTCATCTTGCCTGCCCTTGATAGTGACAGCCTAAGTCATCCTGACTTGTCTGAGACTCTTGTTCCTTATGTTTCAAATGCCCTTATAAGGTATTTTTATCTGCAAGTATTTGAGATAGCTTAGTGATGTTTCACCTCGTGGATGTCCTGGAAGAGACATGCACTCCAACTTATGCTTGCATATGTCCCCAGGATAGTGGGCCTGGACCACTAAGGTCTTCTTTCCAAGGCTCACAGACCAGGGCTCTCAGATCTCAGCAACTTCATTCTGCTTTTCTATAGGAAGATATCCCAGTGATGGTCTTCATGAGCCATGGGCTCACTATCTTAATGTGGTTGACACCTTCTGGAATTGCCTGCCTTTGATCTTTATTCCATTGGTTCTGGTTGCTTGGTCAGAAAATGCCTTTTCAGAGATGTACCTTGAAAATATACCAGTTTTTGAACCTGGCTAAAGTTTCATTCACCTTGGTTGAGTATCCGACACTTGAAGCTGATGCTGGATGCCCTCTTAAGCCATGCTATCTTAGGTGGGCATACAGGAAAGGATGTGTAAGAAGTGCAGAACTGAACGTGGGAGGATTTAAATCTGTCTCCTGCATTTGCACCTTTCTCTTCTCCTTTGTCATCAATTGCCCTTCTGGTGAGTGGAACCCTCTGGATGACACCTGAATACCAGTCAGTTGATTAGCAAACTGTTCTCATAGGTTCCCTTAAATTCCCCCTTGGCATGTCTCTTTACATCTTTATAGGTTCTAAGGATTAGGACAATGGTGTCTGTGTGTGTCAAGAATCTGCCTACTTACCACTGGCACTCTACAAGGAGGTGACTTTTCACACTTGTGTGAATGTTTTAATACATAGCAACTGTTGAATCTTACTACTGTGTACCTCCATACAGCTTAAGGGAAAATGACCTGAAGTCTGTAATTTGTTAAACTTAATTCTTATTTCCTCCAGAAATTGAGCTCTAAGAACAGTCCATGTCTCACTCATTTGAACAACAGATACTTCCGATCATCCCTTCCCCAGTGATGACAATGGTGTTCTGGGCTTTGATTTCTTTCTACCTCCAAAGCATCTGAAATCTTGATCTTCAAAGTCATAGTGACTCTTGGTCTCTGCATTACTCTTCATGCACACACTTCCTCAGCTTTCAGCACCAGAGGACACCTTGTGGCAATGCAACTGCCTCTGAGAAGGGTGACTCCTCCTCACAGCACTTCCAGCATATAGCTTTTGCCTGAAATCTGGTTCCCGACGATGAGGAATAGGTAGGACCAAGTCCTGCTCCACACCCAGGTCCACATAATTAGGTCAATGCATGATGTGCACCTTCTCCTTGCATTGGTTGTCTGTTGTTCTTGGTCCCTTGCCCTGACTTTTGTCACATTCACATCTCCATGTAGTAATGGATGGTTGGATGCAGAAGCTGGATGTTTCTTGACTTGCACTTCAGAATGAACCCTTTCTCTTGCCCTCCTTTGCACATGCTGTCTCCCTTCTGCCATGGGATGACATAGAAGATGCTTGCCATATGTGGGTCCCTGGACCTTGGAATTTCAGTTGTTGAATTCCTAATGCTATGCTTTCTGCTATAGTCCTTACTACTTGAGGGGGAAGATGGTCCGAAGTCCTTACCACCACATAGTTCTTGGGAGCTGCACTTCTGGTTTGTGCCTGTCCTGCTGGGCTGATAACAATTGTCCAGCCATGAGAACTTCTAATCAGACCAAGCATACTAAGAATTTATTTTGGACAGAATTAGCAATACCCTTCTATATAAAGTTACTGCAAGAATATGGTGGCTAAAACACCTGTTCATTTGGAAACCAGTGGTAACATACGTCAGCATCTCATTAGGTCCAGATGAGTCCTTGGTGCTCAGAGCCTCCTGGTGTAGAGTACTGCTCGGCTTCCAGTGAGCAGCTCTGCAGTGAAAGTGTATGTGCTCAGGGCATCCTTAATGTTGCCACTGTTTCACGTTGCTCCAGACATGCAGGATAACTCCACCTGCAGCAGGCTATGTTTGGCAGCCCAGTTCCAGAGAGTGAATCAACTGAAGCTCCACTCCTTGCAGTTATAAACCAAAAAGTATGAGACAATTCTCAGTCAACTTAGTTTATTTTTCCAAGGTTACAAGACATGCCCAGGAGGAAGAAACAGACTCACAGCCTCTGGTCTGTGCCATTCTTGAAAGAGGAAAAGCGGGCTGGAGGGAGAAAGGTGAGGATATTGGTAATCAATACGTTGTAAGAGAAAAGGAGCAGGTAGGGGATAGTCAATGGCACATCCCTCTTGGACTCAGTAAATCAGCACTTTACATATGACAAGACAAATACAGAATAGGTACCTGTGTAGAGATTTACCTTGTTATCTCTAGCTATCTGCTTTTAGGGACAAAAGGAAAGGCAGCTTTGTTCCCGGAACCAAGCTGGGTTCAGCTGCGTTTTCTCATGGCCCAGTGAGAAGCAGACTGACTAGCAAAGACTGGAATTTATTGTTGTAACTGGCTACAGGGAGAAGGTTGGAGATAATTTCACCAGACCAACTCAGTGTTACAATTTTCTCAGCGCTTGTATAGGCTGGGGTTATTTGCCTTCCTGCGGTATGGCATTCACCTAATTCTATGGGTAACTAATTGTTTCAACTAGAAGGTCAGAGGCCAAAAAAACGCTTTCAAGTCTGATCAAGCTGTGAGGGCCCCAGTACCTTCAAGGCCTGTCTCCCTAAATTCTACTTAATTGAGGACCTTGGTACCGGAGTGATTATTTCTATTTTACCTCATTTGCAGTTTGGTCCGGAGAGCTGCCTTAGACTCTCCAATACATCTATTCACACAGCTGCCTCTGTTAACTTGACTCGTCTGATGTCATCGAGCCCAAGACAGGTCCTGGCAGAAGAAATGTAAGGCTGTCTCCATTATGTTGACTTGCTCCTGGTTTGGGAGAAGCCTGTGTAGGGCATATGTTTCATTTTTGGCTTTAATACATGGGCATCCATTTCCCTGGGTTTAATTAGCTTTATATTAAAGCAGTGCTGTGGAAATTTTTAACTGGGGTGTTATACAGGCCTGTCTGCTGGTTGCACAGGCCCGTCCATGTGGCGGTCAGGGAGAATTGGCCTGCCACAGAATCATGCGTGACTTGGCTATTGGCTTAAATTTTTCTGGGGGGGGGGCATAGCAAATTGGGGTCCTGGGTTTTTATTTTCCTTTCACATAGCTTACCTACATAGCTTACAGAGAGGCCGGTACCCAACCCACCCCCTGCTCAATTCTATCAGGACTTGGCAAAGTGCCTGTGCATGAGAAGAGCTGAACAAACCCTTCTATGACTAGATAAGGAACAGCTGCCTTGTCACTATCTGTGTTAGTCAGGGGTCACTAGAGGGACAGAACTAATAGATGTATATATAAAGGGGAGTTTATTAAGGAGCATTACCTCCCACAATTGCAAGGTCCCACAATAGGCCCTCTGCAAGCTGAGGAGCAAGGAAGCCAGTCCAAGTCCCCAAGCTGAAGAACTTGGAGTCTGATGTTTGAGGGTGGGAAGCATCCAGCATGGGAGAAAGATATAGCCTGGGAGGCTAACCCAGTTGAATCTCTTCACATTCCTCTGTCTGCTTTATATCCTGGCCATGCTGGTAGCTGATTAGAGGGTGCCCTTCCAGACTGAGGATGGGTCTGCCTCTCCCAGTCCACTGCCTCAAATGTTCATGTTTTCTGGCAACACCCTTATAGACACACCCAGAAACAATACTTCGAATTCTTCAAGTTGACACTCAGTTTTAACCATCACAGTTATCATAAGCCTGGTACACTGGCCCCAATCCTCTATATGACCTCTGCTCATTGGGACTATCCAAGGCTAAGGAGTACTAAGGAGAATTGTCTCTTTGCCCAAAGACATCAAGACTGAGGACAGTACTCACTGATGCTTAGGAATTGATGTGTCTGCAGTGTTAACTGTGTAATCTAAATTTGCATGGGGCTCTGTTTCTCTCCCTCTAGACTGTTGAGCAGAACAAATTCTATTGAACTGCTACTCACCTTGGAAGGAGCAGGTATCTCCTTCTCGTGACACTTAAATCTGCTCTTGCAGATCCTCAGGTCAATGCAGCATCATCAGCTCACCCAGAGGTAAAAGACTGAATGCAGAATGCATTGAATGCACCAAATGCAGAGTGCTGGGAGCTTCTGCCTTTTCCTCTTCATGGATAAGAACTGAATGTTCTTATCCCAGAACATCGAGAGATAGTGGCAGTGGTCATTGTCAACATGAGTATTAGTCTTGTTATGTAGGATAATTTCGATATAATTGTTGTACTTCTACCTTAATAGCTGTATAATATCCAGTAAGGGAGTTTCCAGGGTACTGAGGATACCACGGGAAGGTTTTTCATTGTATACCTAATTTCTTCCACAGAAAATTGAAGTAAAGACCTACCTTTTGTGTAAGGTTTAATAATTCATGCTTTGGTATTCATGTATTCATTGGAAACTTAGATTGAACACTGGATAATACCCACATCTTTATTTGGTAAGGGTAAGAAGATACGCAGCTGTTTTCCTTGATCATGCTTCCCAGGGAAAGAATACTTCTGAGGCTTCTCATATGAAACTAAAGTGGCTTACTGGATTTTTCTGAAAAGACTGAGAGAACAGAGTATCTGTACAATTTTGTTCCTGCTCTAACAAATGACCACCAAGTTTTAATCAAATCTGTATCTTCTCACAAGTTTGAAGCAGGTCTCATTTGGGTAAGATCATGGTGAGGGCAGGGTTTGTTCCTGTCTTGTTGCTTTGACGACCATTGGATTCTGGACCTTCCCATGTTTATAGGTCCCTTCCATTGCTTGACTTGTGGGCTGTTGGTTCATGTGCAATTTCAGGACCCTCTTTCATGTCAAATCAGCGTACATTTTAAATCACTTTCACCTTTGTTTCTGCTTCTCTTTGTCTATAATTGTTCTGACAGTGGATCCTCCTGGATAAGACCTGGAATCTTAAATTCAGGGCTATGCAACCTTATTTCAATACATTTCCTTGTCTCCTTAGACATTCACATAACAGGTTTACAGGTCCTAAACATTAGGACAGATATATTTTGGGAGGTTATTCATCTGCCTCCATCTGGTACTTCGGGCTTTGAGATCATTTCTAACAGAGGAGGAGGATCTGGTGACAAGGTGGAGAGAGCCATCACTGAAGGGGTGGAACTACAGTGTTCACTGATGGGAGTGTAGGGCACTCAATGGTACTGGGGCCTCAGGAAGTACATAATGTGGATATCAC
This sequence comes from Homo sapiens, assembly GCF_000001405.40. Classification (NCBI taxonomy): domain Eukaryota; kingdom Metazoa; phylum Chordata; class Mammalia; order Primates; family Hominidae; genus Homo; species Homo sapiens. The sequence continues at coordinate 10,242,491 of NC_000004.12, forward strand.
AGAGTTGGATTCTGGGGGCCAAGAGTCTCATTTTGTTCTGCTTGTCTGCCATGATCATTATAGCTTTGTCCTACTTCTGAGGCATCTATCCCTTGTGGTGCTGAGATGCGACTTTGCATGAAAAAGTGGACGAAGAGGATGAGGATGCGGCCCAGGGCAGCCTAATGACTGGAATGTAACCACCAAGACACTCCATTCCATGGAAGTAGGAGCTCCATGCCCACAAAAGCAGTGAGATGACCAATGGAACAGTTGGGAATGGATAACAAAAAATACGGAGCTCTATCCACAGATGACCTGTTACTTTGATCCTATTTCCCTACATAGTCCAAGGATCTAAAATGAGACCTATCTTATCTGCCAAATCTTCCTTACGTGTCATGAGTTGTTCCAAGGTGACTGTTGTGGAAGATAATGACAACCCACACCCCTGAGTACAGTGGAGGTTTAGGAGGTTTGGATCTCCACGTTTAAGTACTGCCAAGTGTGTCCTCCTGTGTTTCATTGCTACGTATCTCACTGTGTTAGAAATGGGATCGAAGATACTTTTTCACACTTGCTTGTGAAAGAGATGCCTTTCTCCTTGAGCTGGTAAGAAGGGTATGTATCTAATTTCAGGTTATTAATGTAACTTTTTGGTGATAGGTATCCATTCTCCCTTCTGACATTTTCCTGAGTTCCTCTGACTTGAGGGAGCCTAGCCAATGTCATGCTACTTCCTCTCATGGAAGCTTTGCCAGCTTCTGTGGGGTCTGAGCCGCATCACATGGGGTAGTGCTGGATACAACCTTGATCAGTTTGACTCTTACCTGTCAGACATTCCTGTTTGTGTCCCTATTGTGTTCATTTTCATGCCAGAGTTTGGGATGATCCAGGTGAGGTTTCTTGCTCTACCTATGGGCTCTGATGGAGATACTCCATTTTATCTGCAGGGAGGTTCCAGTGGGTGTGAATGACATGGGCAATACTTACTGTGGGCCTGGCTCCCGGCAGTCGTCTTTCCCCACTGGCTCCCATATCCACAGTATTGTCAAGTGTTCAGTGTTCTCTGTAAAGTCTTTGAGTAGCTGAGGTTAAGGACTTAGCAACATAAATGCTGTGAGTAGATGTGACCCATTGGTAGTTCTAAAACCACCCAAGGGGTTCACCTTGCCTGCTGCCAGACAGGGGAATTGCAATAGAGAAAAAGTAATTCACACAGCAGACTGTGAGGGAGACTGGAATTTTATTACTCAAATCGGTCTCCCCAAGCATGAGGGGAGCAGAGTTTTTAAGGATAACTTGGTGGATGGGGGGGAAGCCAGTGAGCCAGAAGTGCTGATTGGTCAGAGAAGAAATCATAGGGAGCCAAAGCTGTCATCTTGTGCTGAGTCAGTTCCTGGGTAGGGGCCACAAGATCAGATGAGCCAGTTTATTGATCTGGGTGGTGCCAGCTGATCCATCAAGTACAGGGTCTGCAAAATATCTCAAGTACTGTTCTTAGGAGCAGTTTAGGGAGGGTCAGAATCCTTGTAGCCTCCAAGACCGCTTGCATTTCAGAAGCAAGATGGAGTCAGTTAAGTTAGATCTTTCACTGTGTCATAACTTTGCAAAGGCGGTTTCAGTTCCAATGTAACAGAGGAAGCCTTTCCCCTCTACTGACTTTAGGTTGTCTCTCTATGGTACACTAAGGACAGGGTTGGTGCTCAGTTTCTATAGTTATTGAGCACTGGGACCCATGAGTAGTGAGGTGACCTCTGCCTGTCCTGGACAATCCCATGGGTTGACATGGTGCCAGAATTGGGCCCGTGTACACTTTCTGATACTTCTCCCTAGAGGTTACTGTGTAGTATAACTGTTCCTCGAACAAGCTGGGTCTGGCTGCATGTCTTCATGACCCAATAATGAGAGGCAGACAAGGGAATTTATTGCTGTAACTGGGTACAGGAGAAGGTTGGAGATAGTTTCACTAGACCAACTCAAAGTGTTAACATTTTCTCAGTGCTTACATAGGTTGGGGTTATGTGCCTACGTGGGGTATTGCATTCGCCTAAGTCTATAGGTAACAAATTGTTTTACCTAGGTCAGAGGCCAAAAAAGTCTCCAAATCGAATCAATTTAAGAGGGCCTCAGTACCATCAAAGCCTGTATCCTAAATTTTAATTATTGAAGGTTGTGGTACTGAAGTGATCCTTTCTATCTTATTTATGATTTCATCCAGAGATCTGCCTTAGACTCTCCAATAAATCTATTCACACAGCTGCCTCTGTTACCTTGATTCCTCTGATTTCATTGACCTGAGGGTGGGTCCTGGCAGAAAGAATATAAAGCTGTCTCCATTATCTTGACTTGCTCCAGGTTTGGCAGAAGCCTGAGTAAGATGTATGTTTCAGTTCTGGCTTTGATGTCTGGGTATCAACTTCCCTGGCTTTAATTATCAGTTTAATGCTAAGGCAGTGCTGTGGAAATTCATCTGTGTAGCTGGGGTGCCATGTGGACCTGTCTATGTGACTGTGAGGGAGAATTGGCCTGCCACATGATGATTCAGGCTGTAATTGTAACTGCAGCCGTTTTAGAGCATTAATCTGTCATAAGATTAGAGTTCTCACCCCTCTGAATCTTTTTATATTAGAATTGATCTCCACTTCAACCACTCCGACAATGAGACACTTAACCTTTTTATATTTATCAAACTACTAGAAAGTATCCTCAAAACATTTACCACTATGATACAACTTTGTCACTGTTAAACAGTATTCAGTGATACGCATTAGTGTGCACAAGGAGGACGTTAGTAGGACCACCATGATGGATGCTGGGACTAGTGCAGGGTGTCTCATGGGGAGAGATCAGGTTCAACTTTGAACGCAGCACGTGCCAGTGGGAACTTACAGCTGAGAAGCAATGTGGGGTCAATGGATGAAAAATTACCAATAGGAATCCTCGGAGGTAAAAGGTATTCAGGCTTCACAGATCCAAAAGCATTGCTAAAGACCAGCCAGAAAAATGAGACATCATTTGAGGGGGATGGGAGAAGATGAGGAACATGAACAGATACCAACTCTGGGGACTTCCTGCTGAAGGAACTTAGTTCTTTGCTAAAACAATATAATAAACTACACAGAAGGTTCAGAAGCTTGACTCCAGTTTGGTCAATCCCAAGGATCTTGATCACTACCCATAACTTCACTGTTAGGTTTTTTTGAAGGGATATTGGCAGCATTACCCCATTCTCATACATAACTGCTACCAAAACACCAGGGGTTTGGTCTAGGTCCTGCTGCTTGCAGCACAGAAATCGAATCATTAAGACAGTATTGCCAAGGAAGGCAGATTTATTCAGATGCTACAGCTGAGGAGATAGGAGATAAATCTCAAATTCATCTCCCTGACTAAAACTAGGTTTATATAGCAATGAGGAAATGTAACTGGGTAAAACAGGAACTTGAGAGAAGTAAGGAAGCACTCATGGCTAATTAGGGCGGCTGCATATCTCATTGTCGGGATACAGGGATCCGGTAACTTTCAGTTCCTTGATACTACTTGAAGCTTGAGGCGTCTCTTCATGAGGAAGGAATCTCAGATAAATGTAACTTTCAAGCTTTAAGGCCGGAAGGGTCAATTTATATGTTGGCTCAAACTCAATGGGACTATTGGGTCTGTTTGAGAACCTCGACTAGATGAGATGTGGAGAACTTTCTTTAGATTTGCCTTGGTGCCTTAAGCAGCTGTATGTTTCTAGAAGTCCTCCTGATTCAGAGATAGCTTTTGTTGGCTCCACTTTACCTTCAACCCACCCGAGGTAGAAAATCAGGAGAAGGTACATTACCTGTTAGCTGAAGGCAGTTTGGGGAAGAGACCAGCTCCTTTTAAATAAGCATAGCAGTCCCTCACTGAAGCTGAACTCGTTGTAACCCTTACCCCCAGAACATTGCAGACTAGCATTCAGAAATGTATTCATTATCCCTCCTTGGATTTGAGCTGCCTCTTAAATTAAACACCTATTAAACTGCATAGGGATGCCTGATCCCTAAGCAGGGATATACAAGTTCATGCATAAAGTCTGCATTGATATCTAAACTTAGTGGGGGCTGCAGAAGACTCTTCCTGGACTTACCTCAAAGGGTCATGTCTTTATTCAAGTTGAATGATGAAGAATCATCTGTGTGCTCTTTCACTTGGCTACAGTCATGCAATTTTATTCTGCCCCATAGGTTAGTTAAGTGGAATTGATGAGTGATCTCCAGGTTTATGCTCTTAAAAAGGAGGTAAGTTTTCTTCCCTCTGTCATCCTGATGGGACCAACAGCCCCCCGCCGAACTATCTGGGAATGTTAGAACAAAAGGGGAGGAGTATGACTTTAAGGTTTTTCTTTAAATTACTTCAAGTTTTGGGGTACATGTGCAGAAAGTGTAGGTTTGTTACATAGGTATACACATGCCATGGTGGTTTGCTGCACCCATCAACCCATCTACATGAGGTGTTTCTCCTAATGCTATCCCTCCCCTAGCCCCCCACCCCACAACAGGCCCCAGTGTGTGATGTTCCCTTCCCTGTATCCATGTGTTCTTTGTTCAACTCCCACTTATGAGTGAGAACATGCAGTGTTTGTTTTTCTGTTCTTGTGTTTGTTTGCTGAGAATGACGGTTTCAGCTTCATCCGTGTCCCTGCAAAGGACACGAACTCATGTTTTTACAGCTGCATAGTATTCCATGATGTATATGTGCCACATTTTCTTTAGCCTATCATTGATGGACATTTGGGTTGGTTCCAAGTCTTTGCTACTGTGAACAGTGCTGCGATAAACGTACGTGTGCATGTGTCTTTATAGAATGATTTATAATCCTTTGGGTATATACCCAGTAATGGGATTGCTGGTCAAATGGTATTCCCGGTTCTAGATCCTTGAGGAATTGCTACACTGTCTTCTGCAATGGTTGAACTAATTTATACTCCCACCAACAGTATAAAAGCGTTCCTGTTTCTCCACATCCTCGCCAGCATCTGTTGTCTCTTGACTTTTTAATGATGGCCACTCTAACTGGTGTGAGATGGTATTTCATTGTGGTTTTGATTTGCATTTCTCTAATGACCCAGTGATGAGCTTTTTTTTTCATGTTTGTTGGCTGCATAAATGTCTTTTGAGAAGTGTTCACATCCTTTGCCCACTTTTTGATGGGGTTGTTTTTCTTGTAAACTTAAGTTCTTTGTGGATTCTGGATATTATCTCTTTGTCAGATGAATAGATTGCAAAAATTTTCCCCCATTCTGTATGTTTCCTGTTCACTCTGATGGTAGTTTCTTTTGCTGTGCAGAAGCTCTTTAGTTTAATTAGATCCCACTTGTCAATTTGGGCATTTGTTGCCATTGCTTTTGGTGTTTTAGTCATGCAGTCTTTGCCCATGCCTATGTCCTTAATGGTATTGCCTAGGATTCCTTACACAAAAATTAACTCAAGATGGATGAAAGACTTTGATTCTTGATGGCTCGTTCTATAAGCATCCAGTGGCATGACACATCCAGCAAAGGGATACTTCTCCGTTCATTGCCCTGATCTACCAATGAAGGAAGAAAATGGTCCTGGAATTGAAAAAGGGGTAGGTAACTTGGGTCTGTAACTCCCTAGATGGAAGCCATCTCAGTGGGTATGCATGATGGTCCACCTAGAGTACAATCCACATGTGCTCAGTTGGAGTTCTTAGACATCTACCACCCAGAAGGAAAGGAAGGTGACTCAGCCTTACCTGCAAGGGAGGTTTCTAGACTTCCATAGATGAGACATGAGGGGGCATCTGATCTTTCCTGTGATGCTGAAGTTCTCATATCTTTTAACTAAGATCTAGCCACTGAGCCAAGTTTCTTAGAAGGCATATCTTTTTCTTACCATAAATGATAGGAAGTGTCAAGGCAAAGTGTGGTGGGACAAGATGATGTCCCTTTGCTACATTGAGTGGAATATACGCAGAGGTTTTAATGTTCCCCTTGTGCATGAATATCTCAATTTCTGCATTTTTGGGTAGAAAGATGTTTATTTCATACAGATGAAATATGATTTCCACGTTATTACATATGATACTTGTGTTAAACTTTGGGTTTGTGAAAAGATGTTACAAAAACCATAAAGTGATGCTCCTGTGATGCTTAGAAGTGAATTGGTTTCTGATAGACAATGGAGGAGTTCAGAGAACCACTCTGATGATAGAAAATGGCATCACTCCATATATCATGTGTTTCTGAGGGTGGGCCTTAGTCTTAGTAACAACCTGTGGTAGCAGTTTGATATCACTAAGTACTCATGGACTAATGGATAAGCACAGACTGACTAGAAAGTCTCAATACTAAGCAATGAGGTGTCTGCTGCACTAGTGATCCTTTAATCCACGAAATACTGGAGCCTCTTCTCCCTGGGACATGCTATGAAGATGTAGGTGCTTGACAAAGAGCCCAATTTATGGAGGGGATTTCAGCTGTTCACTCTGAGTTTCTTTTGCTGTGTGGAAGCCCTTTAGTTTAGATCCCATTTGTCAATTTGGGCATTTGTTGCCAAATTGTTAAACTGGTGTTAAACATGGGTCAACTGGTGCCAAGCCTGGACCAGCCATGCAAGCAGCTCCTCCAGGAACTTCAACCTGTAAGTTGTCTCTGGCCCTCCATGAGCCAGAGGTGTCCTGGAGGGGTTATGTGCGTACATGCGGTATTGCATTGGCAGGAGCTACAGCCTGCCCTTTTGCAGCTCCTAGCTATAAGGATGAAGAACTGGATGATCAAAGGGATGTGGCTGGAGAATCTGGTTCCTGCCCCCCTGGTGGTAGGGGATCAGATGCTGAAGATTTTAGCCATGGGGGAGAGTGTCCCCTTTGCATTGCTTCGGATGTGCAGGATGATGATCCCATTGCCTGTCATAGGCTAACCTCTGAGCATCCATGTTGGAGACTGAATTTGCTGTTGGCTGAACTCCCTGTTCTTGCAGGCCGCCTGCACTGAGTCCTGTACTCAACCCACCCTCTGACCTTCAATTCTGTCAGACTTGAGTTACTTGTGCATGAAGAGAGCTGAAAACAAAACCCCTCCTGTATGACTAGACCAGGAGGAGCTGCTTTGAGTAACCCCTGCTTACTGTGGGTATAGAAGGCTAAAAAGCACTGAGGAAATGTGATTTATTCTTAGTAGACCCCACAGGAGGAGGAGACCACTCCCTAATTGTCTGAGAAGTGATGTATCCTCAATATTAACTGTGTAACCTGTATCCTCATGGAGCTTGTCACTCTTCCCCTTGGATTGTTAGATCTTGAACTCTCCTAAATCACCTTTCCACCTGTAAGGATCTAGTAGTTCCTCATAGTGACAGTTAAGTCTGTTCTGGCAGTTTCTCAGAGGTTGGTAGAGCTCCTTGGAAACACACCCAGAGGTGGTGATGAACTGAATAATGAAAGCATGGTGCTGGATTCTTCTGCTTTTATTTTGATGCCTTGGGGGTACCACCCATGGTTCTTGCCCTATAGAAGACCTGCTGGCAGCACTCATCATGGCCACACAGCACCACCTCTGGGCAAGAAGGGCTCAGTCTCCAATGCAGAGCAGGATTCTGAAATCCTAGCCTTTGCCACGGTTCAGAGTGCAGAACCTGCCAGGTGCCTCTGGGCACAGGTGTGAGCCCCAGAGCTCTTCTATGAGATGGAAGCAGGTGCTGATCTTGTGCTTTCCAGGTCTGAGCCCCTTGACACTGGTACTTCCCCACTTGCTTAATTTGAGGAGGTCATTAAGAGCCAATAGGGTAGAGAATGTTCAGAGCTGTTTGTCAGGAAGAGTGTGCTGTCACTCTGTCTCACGGGGGAGTGATGTTGACCTGCAGCTCATGAACAGCCCCAGTGCTCCACTGTGAGTTGTGGAAAAGCAATAAATGTGTCCAGGTCTGAGTCGATTGCATTGCTTGTGCATATGATCGGTGTATATTTATCTGAATTAGTGGTAAAACCAGAATATTTTTGGGAAACGTTTTTAATTGCATAGAGAAAAATTCTGAATATTCTATACATTCTGCTTAAGTTGCAATCTTGAGTATTCCATGGCATTTCTCACTACACATTTGAAACATAAACTCAACACTCTTTAACATCTCTAAGTTGTGATGCTAAGTAGAGAAGCCACTATTCACTACTTTTTTCCATGATTAGAATTACACAGACTAGGAGACCCAACATTTGAAATAAAAAGTAAACCTCTATCACCTAGTCTGTTTTTCTAAATGTAAAACCTGAGAAATCTTGAAATGGGCACTAATTTCCTCTTGCTGCTATAACCAGTGGTTATGTGATATTTTTACCCACACTTGGATTTGTTTTGAACACTTCTAGTTTATCTCCCTGTGTATTATGTTCTAGAAGACTGGAGTTGTCAGTCCTGAGAAGGAATGGCGGAGAGGAGACTGCATTCCTATAATGTAAGGGTAGAAGAGTTGCATGATTCAGACTGAGAAAGTTGATTGCCCTACGGGTCAGTAAGCTAGGGACATAAGTTCTATACACTAAGTTACGAGGTTCAGGCAAAGTGACATCCAGCCTTCAGGATCTTGTTCCCTGACTCTACTGCTGTGAGTGGTCAATGGGATGTCCTGCTGTACTTGGGAAGAAAATCTAGTGCTCCTTTGCAGAGAACCGTGCACAGTTTCTGGTGCCTGTCGGTGTGTAGAGAACATCTTCTAGTCTATAACACAATATACTGTGTGGCTTGTTTTCCCCCCAACCATTTTTGAAAGTGACTCTCCAATGGGATGTGTTCCCTCTCCCCATCTTAGGTTTTAAGGACGACCTGAATCTTGACCTCAACTAGTTGCACAACTAAGTAGTTACTGCCAGTGATGAGCCTCATTTTGTTTTCCATTTTGATGTAGCTGCTCTGCCCCTCTGGTTATAGATGCGCTCTTCTGTGTCGAAAAGAACTGACACCATACCGATGTCTCATGAAGATCACTCCCCTCAATAGGACATGGAAGATTTTGTTGATAGTCCAGGTGGCTGGCCCTAATGGCTGGATGCTCTAGAATTCCTTCCTGTCAGAGACATCTTGTGATACCAGCACCCACCCTGCCTCCCAAACTGAACGAAAAATAACATAGATGAAAAGAGGAGTCTTTTTAGAAGGCCGTATTTGTGAAGAGAACTGTTCTGTCTTCACGCATACAGCAAACCCCCACTAAAGTGAAAAATGAATGGTGTATTAGTTCATTTTCACACTGCTATAAAGAAATGCCTGAGAATGGATAATTTATAAAAGGAAGATTAATTACAGTTTAGCATGGCTGGGGAGGCCTCAGGAAACTTAGAATCATGGTGGAAGGAGAAGCAAAGAACCACCTTCACCTGGTGGCAGGAGAGAGAAGCATGAGGAGAGAAGGGGAAGAGTCTCTTAAAAAACCATCAGATCTCATGAGAACTCATTATCGGGAGAATAGCATGAGGGAAACCACCCCCATGATCCAATCGCCTCCCAGCAAGTCTTGCCCTCAACACCTGGGGATTAAAATTCAAGATGAGATTTTGGTGGAGACACAGCCAAACCATATCATGTGGTACATTTTTGAAATCATAGCAGAGTAGTCTAAGTGAATCCTTAAAATTCAGCCATGACTGCAAGAAGAATGATGGGTGGGTGCTGTCCTAAGATGCCTCTTTGCTCATCTGGCCTCTACTGCCTTGTACAGGGGAGAGGGTGAAGAGGGTCACTGACCTGTGAAGTGGGCAGCAGAGAAGAAGCCAGTATTTCTGAATTTTCCACTAACGGGGTCACACTTCCTTGTAGGTTAATTCAATTAAATAAGATGTGTCTGCTATATTGGATAAGCTATGGCCACATTACTTCTTGATGAAGTATATGCAGAAGTCACGTCTGACCTTTCAGGGTCGTGCCTTTAAATGGGTGAGGCTTCCCCTCCCTGTTAATTTTATAAGGTGTAAGCTTAAGTTAAAATTGACCTTCACGATCTTGTTCCAGATGTACTGCTTATGACTGCTCAACTTAAATACTTTTGTACACTGAAGATGAAGAGTGAATTGTCTTTTGTAGGAAACCCTGTACGTTTCCTGGTTCATGTCAGTGGGTAGAGGTCATCCTCTATTTTGAAAAGTTAATTTCTGCTGGAACCGTTTTTCCAGAGCATAACTCCAATGAGACTTCTTATCTTCCTCCATCTTAGATTGTTGGAGGATCTGAACCTTGATCCCTAGTAGGGGGGAAATTGACCATCTGTCTAGCAACACCAGAGTGGAATGAATGCTGAGGTCTTAGTTTTCTTTCTGTAAATATTTTAATATCATTTAATACACTGACACTAATGAGTAATAGTCTTCACTGTCTTACTGTTTTGGGAAAAGACCTAAACTTCTCACTCCTCCAAAAGACTAAATTGCTCATGTGCAGGTGATACTGACAGCTTGTACAATTTTGAAAGGACCATAGATGGTGTTTAAAAAAAAATGGTAACTTTAATTCTGCCTTCTATATTTCAACTTCAGCTTCATGGATTATAGTGACCCATGAGAACTCCTTCCCCTTGGGGTCTTCCGAGGCCTGAATCAGAAGGAAATGAGATGTATTTGAAATCATCTGTGTGGCCTTGTAGATCTAATCAGAGGTGTGGGGTTGAACTGGACACTGCCCTGACCCACCAAGGCTTCCAAGGCTGTCTCCCATGCCCACAGAAGTCTATGTGGGTTTTCTGCTTCTCATTCTGTGAACCTGTGTAGTAGGTTGCCCTTTAGCTTGTGTGTCTCGTGGTCTTATTGTGTTGAAATGAGTTCATTCCTGTCAAAGTATTTCAGGTTGTCCAGGGAGGTTTTGTACCTTGCTGATGCTCTGGAAGAAATTTCTGCTTCAATTTGCCCTGCAAATATCCATAAGACGATTTAGGTGAATTTAGGCCATGCAGGTTTTCTTCCCATAGCTTTCACACACTGGGTTCTCAGATGTGGACTTTGTAGTCTGCTCTCCACATTTCTGTGAGTGTGCTGAGCTTCAAATCACTGATGAGCTGGACTCGGGAATATGGAGAAAGGGAGAGGCTATGCTGCTGTGTAGAAGCTCAAAACTACTCCAGAGGGGTTTTAGGGCTCTTATTCATGTATCTCAATGGACTGAGATTGGTCCTAATCCATGGCTTCCCAAACCCATTGTACCTGCTCTAGACCTTGCCTTGATCCATCAATATTTAGTTACAAGGGCCTCTCTTCTATACTCTGGGTGGGTCAGCAGCTTTGTAGAGGCAGCTTTGAGTAAAACATACATGTGTACCAATCTGAGGTTGCTGCTTCTCTGAATATACTGTGATACATTTGCATTTCTCCAGTCCCACTCCTGTGCTGCTGGAACGGTCTGTCAGGATGATGTACCTTAGGGAAGAGGCCCTGCATTGGACTTGTGCTTGAAGCCAGAAACACGTAGTTTCTTTCCTGCTCTGTTTACAGCTGATCTTCTGACGCTGGGCTCTGTCGGGAATGTCTGTAGAGCTTGCAGTGACTTGTAGCTCAGCTGGAGATGTGGTGCACTGGCTATGTTAGGTCCTGTTTCCTTGTGGGATCTGGTGAGTTTGATTACTGTTCTGGCTTTGTTCATTTGTTAAATCCGAGTGGGAAAATTATTTAGGCACTGTCCTAGTAACCTCAGCGATTGGCTCTTTTTTTCTGTAACTGTTTATTTCCTCCTTGGGCCATTCAGACCGTCGAGTCTCCTAAATGTCAGTATACTTTGTAAAGTAGGTGTTTCCATGCTGCAAGACTTAAATCTGTTCTGGAAACTTCAGGGAAACTCTGTGGTTGGAGTAGAGGCTTCATAATTCACCCTGAGGAAGAAAATGATAGTATGAATAATCAGTACTATCCACAGACTTTATGATAGAATGTTTGATTCATAGCAAACATATTGAAAGAGAAGCTTACAGCTCTATGGTCAACAATTGCTCCTTCTCCGGCCAGAAAAGGCTCAGGATTCTTCAATCCATGGAACAGAAATCTGAAATCATTCCCATCAGCATGTCTTAATGCAGGGCCTGCCTGGCTACTGCAGGGTAAGAGCATGAGCCGGAGCACTCTTGTAATGTGGAAGCAGCTGCTGGTCTTGGGCTTCGAGGTTTAGTTCCTTTCAAATTCATACTTAAAAATACTTTCTGGTGGAGGTGGTCAGGAAACTCGAACAATGGGTGCTGCTAGGGAAGGGTTGAGGTGGGAACTGTCTGGAATACACCTTACTGTGTCTGGAGGTGAGAAACAGTCTTTCTCTGCTGGCAGCTGTGCTGACCTCAGCTCATGAGACGTCAGCTTCAACTCTTTGTGGTCCCCTCTGAAGCATGGGGCCAGTCAGAACAGCAAGCCTTTCTGGGCTGAGGATGTTGAATGCATGCAATGGTCTTGGTCAATGCAGTTGGCTCCTCAGGAAAAACTGGTGTTTTTCAGAGGCCTTTTTGGGTCAGCTACCAGCCTCTTCATTGCTTTCGGGCAGTTCTTGTGTATCTTGCTAAGATCTAGGAATGGGGGGATACCCCCAGCCTGTCAAGAAGATAATCTGGTCGGGGTTGTTGATGTGGGAGAAAGGAAGTGCCCCTCCCATCAGCTCATAAAATGAGATGCCATAGGCATTGACATGGGACTGGAAGCTGAGTGGGTTTTTACCCTTCGTTCAGATCGCCTCTGGGGCCATTGCCTGTGGGTTTCCTTAATCTGCTGAGAATCACTTCGGTGTGACTTCACTGTTGCCAAACCAAAATGTCTCTAGTTCACACCATGAGGCCTTCATGGAGAAATATGTTGGATTTTATGTCTCTGTGGATGATCTTCTCTGCATGCCAACTAGTCCCTTCCCTGAGCTGTCTACCAGGCAATGTCAATTAGCTGGAATGTCTGAAACTTGGTCTCCTGGACATGCAGGTAGCTGTAGAGGCTGCCTTCACAGCACTGGGTCACAATGCCAGGTTGTCCTGTGTCATGAACCCCAACAAGAGCAGAATGTCCACATGTCCTACACTGCTCAGGACAGCCACCTCATCTCTGAAGGCCTGGAACTGCTCTGGGGGTCAGGTTGACAACCTTGGAGGATCTTGACTGCATTGCCTCTGCCACTTAACCTGAAACAGTTCTGATAGAGCCTGACCTGATCTAAGCAGAGCGTGCCACTATATGGGCTTGTATTTCCCCAGAAGAACATGGATCTGTCCATGAGGTCTAACGTTTTTTTCTCCTGGATCCCAGAGCTCAGTGACTTTCCTTGTGTGCTGGCACAGGGGTTTGGGTTGTGGACCAGCTCACTGGGCTGAGGTGGCTGGAACCACTGGGGTAGGGCTGTGAAGGGAAGGCAGATTGACTGTGACTTGGTGTTGCATCCTCAATCATCCTCCTGTCCACAGGTGTGGTGATGCTGATCACGTGGACATGAAGCGTAGATGTTGACCCCTCTCTCTGGGAGAGGAAACCTTCAGAGGGGCTGAAGGAATTGAATATGAAAGCATGAGGTGTAGAATGTCTGTTGGGAGCTAACAGGCATCCAGGAAAGACTGTCACGTATGATACATTGTCAAAGAAGGTAGTGCTGGGACCTCACTGTAGCCAGTTTGGAAATGAATTGTCCGATATTACTCCAGCCCACGTGCCTAGTGGGTACTTTAGTGCTATAGTGCTCATGAAACTTGTAGCCACGAGCATGATGCTGAAATCCACTTAGCAGGAATTTCTGATGTTACAAAAGGTAAACTTCAGGAGTGTCTTCTGAGCAAAGTTGTGTGTTGTAAGGGGAACATGACTCAGGAAATCTACCTGAAGCTCTTCCCCCATCAGGCAGCATCAGTATTCCAATATAAATGCCTTTTTACCCTCGTGTCCATTAAGTCTGAACACAGCACTGTGGTTGCAGCCTCTCACCTTGAGTGCTTTCACGAGGCAGCCACATGAGCTCCTTCTGCTTTGCACACTGACCACTGTTCTTTGCTTATTGGCAAGAAAACAGTGCTGCCTGCCTTAGAAGAATCTGAATTTGCTGTCGTCTGATGCCTGGTGCTGATAGATAAATGGTTGAACAATTGTAAGGCAGATGTAGCTAGAGCCATAAAACTCCAAGGCTTAGAATACAGAACCCTTGCTGCTTGTTCTTCAAGCTCCATGTGTGCTCCATTGACACTGTTGAAACTATTAAACCTGAAGGAGCCAGGCTATACCAAGTGTCCTGTTGCCTGAGGGCAGCTTTTCCTCCATTCCTTCTCTCCACCATATTGGGGAGAAGGAGGCAGTTAGATTTGGTTTCAAGCCCAGAGGACAGGCCCCTAGGCAGCCCCAGTATCTCGGTACTGGAGCTCCCTGCCTCAGGGCGCAGGACCTAAGGCCCAGCCAACTGACTTCCTGACCTTGAGCTTAGTGAAGAAACCTTCCTCATACTTTCCTGAGGCTAGAAGCTTCTGATCCTCACTCCTGTGATATCCACTGCCTCTTGCTTTTCATTGCCACGTGCCCCACTCTTCCATTACAGAGAAATGGGACTTGAAATTTTTTCTTCTATAGGTAGTTTTGTAAGGGATGCTTCTTGTCATTCTCTGAGCTGGTAAGAAGTATGTGTACCTTGTCTTACTTGGACGATTAATGTCCTATTTATGAAAGGACTTGGTTCTCTGCAGATATCACTTTATCACGATTTGAGGGAGCTTAGCCAGTGTCACACTGCTTCCTCTAGTGGAAGCAGGTGCCAATCACACTGGCCTGGGCTTTGCCTACTTCTGCCATTGTTTGATCACTGCCATCTGGGCCACTGATGGATACAAACTAGGTCACCTTTTGACCTTTGACAGACTCCTTATGGATGCATAAGGAGGTCGTTTTAAATCCAGAGATTAGGATGGTCCAGTGAGATTTGTCACCACCTATGTGTTCTGGTGGAGATTTTTACCCCAAGGGGGATTTCATAGCATGAGTACCATTGATGGTGGACATGGGTTATCATGGTCTTTTCCTCTGGCTCCCACATCCATGGTTCTCAGACCTCAAGATTTCAGTCTTCTCTGTGGGGTCCCTTTTGAGTGGTGAAAACCTAAGGTCAAGGACCTGGCAACATGTGAATGCTGTTGCCACTGGCAGTTCCGATATCTGGCAAGCATTTCCCTTCTGTCCTGATCATAGGTTGAGCTTCAGACATGGTTTCCAGAAGATTGACATAGGTTTATCCTCTTTAGGGAACATCCCTGCTTTTCCTTCCTGTGGTGAAATTGGTGAGTTGAGGGATTTGTCCAACTAGGAGAACTCCTTGATACTTTATTATGCTGCAGAAGGATGGCACATAGCCTTCTAGTTTCCTGACAATCACGGGACATGTGACTATGACAGATGTTGCATGTCATTGTAACTTTCATGAGTGGGTAGTTGCCATATGTGCTGCCCCCCCTTCTTTGAAAGCCATGGGTTCCATCTGAAATTGTTATACTTAATTCCTAAGTCCTGCTGGAGGAAAGATTTGTCTACAAATGAAAATAATATTTAACACTGCCTGTCATTGTGAGCATCTGAAGTTGCTTCAAGATTGACTCAGGAATTCAACACTGGATATTTCTGATCTGTGTTAGTTCTCAGAAATTACGAAGTCCTGAACTTCAGAGAATTCTGGATCAATGTGTACATTCCAGTTAGTAGGGATGATGGATGATACTAATGGAAGTTATTTTAAAAATAACAGAACTATTGCATTGCCTTCTGCAAGCCTTATTGACTTCTGGAGTGAGACCTACTGTGGCATCAGCAAGTCCCATTGCTTGTTTCTCATAAGTTAGAAAGATGAGCTGTTCCAGTGGCAGAGTCTCTGAACCACATGTCCATGATCATGGATGTATCCTGAATCAAAATGTCTGAGCATCTTTTTTTTCCATAGTGCACTTGACTACTAAAATGAGAGGAATGAGTGACGAACACATCAGCCCCTTGTTCCTCCACATATTAGCCTCCCCTTTTCTGTGCTTTTGGGTGTAGGAACTTTCTTCCTTATCTTCAAGCTATTTTTAACCCATTTATCTCATATTTTAATAAGTACCATATCTTAAGCTGAATGCTTTCATGGATATTTTGACTTCATGTTCTTGTTCTGGCCACCATCTGCTGCTTTGTCTTCGAAGTTATCAACTGTCTTGAACTTAATTTCCTTCTTGCTCTATAAGTTTAGTTTTCTGAAAATGACTGTGTACCTTAGGTGACTACCTTATCCTGTGAGTTCTTGTAGTGGCTTTCTTGCCTGAACTTATAAACTGATAGAGGGGCTTTATTGAGAAACAGTTGTTTTTTTAAACTGGCTGAAGTGACCTCCATCCGTGTTGAAGGTCATTATGTACTGAACCTGGATATCCTCTGAAGCTGTGACATCTGTTGTTCAAATTGCCCTGAGGATGCTAAGACCTAAATGCTAGGGGACAAGAGCTGGAACCCCACTTCTATACATCTTCATTGGATGGCTTAGGCACGACTAGAAATGAGATAGGCAGAGAGTGCTTCCATGGGCAACAGTGCACCTTCTGTGGGCAGACAGGTGGAGGCTGGAAACATGGGGCACAATGCTGAAACCATCATTCTGCAGTGGCACTGTCAGATGAGCTAACCTTTGGCCCAAACTTTGAGCCAGTGAAGAGTTCTAGGTGGAACACACAGCTGTTCTTTTCGTCTGGTCTCTAGCCTCTTTGTTTTTCTGGGAAGAAGGCTAAGAAGTCCTGGGGAATGGCTATGAGAAAATAAACCTTGGGCTAGTTTTGTGACCAACTTACTGTTGGTCAGTAGAGTTGCCAGAAGGTGCAAACCCTTCCTCCTGCACTTAGGAACTACATGACAATCAGACCTCGCTGGCCAGCTGTGGAGCCCTGAGGACTTGCATATCTGTTTGTCTTGAGAGTAAAGCTGGTGAGGATTCAATCATCAGACTTGGTGGGGCTACTTCATCCTCAGCAATGACTCCATTGTAGTTTACACCTTTTAGGTGATAGAAAATTTCATACCACAGCAAAAGCAGATTGTCTTCAGTACCTTTGTCTACCAGATGAGTCTGTCAATGTGACTAATGCTACATGTGTCAGGGTCTACCTCCTGAGAAGTGGTTAATGCCTCTGTAGCAGCAGGCTGATTGCCCATAAACCACTCAGGTTGTTGTATTAAGGTGGCCTGTTAGGTGTGTGGGGATCTGATGTGCACATTCATCAGCTCATGACTATCTCCTACCAATTCCTGGTGATGACATTCTGGGCTTTATTGACTTGCTTTCTACTTCCAAAGCATCTGACATCTCATGTTTAAAGTCCTGGTGAGTGACCTTGCTTCTCTGCTCATATCTGTGTACAAGTTTTTTCAGTTCCAACACCAGCAGACATTGTGTGACAAGACCATGCATCCTGGAAGAGCCACTCTCCCCATAGCTTTCAGAATGGGGCTCTTGCATGAGATCTGGTCTTTGACGGTGAAAGTGGGGAAGTTCACATTTTTATGCCTGGAGTCTATGGGGAGTCGATGAGGTCAGTGCAGGCATGTACCTTCTCTACCTCCTGGCTCTACAGGCGGTTCTTCATTTCAGTGTCCCCATTGTTCTCAGCCTTATTGGCATCTCCATTTGGTAATAGAAGGTTGGTTAGAAAAGGTGAATCACCTTTTGAGATTCCCTTCTGGATGAACTATCCTCTAGTAAATCTGGTGAGAAGGCAACCTGTAAACTGAGTTGGCTTAGTTCCCAGGAATGGGCCTGTGAAGACTGATGCACATGGTTTGTCCCTCCAACTCCTTGTTAATGTCTTATCTGCTGATGCTGGCCACTGCCTGGAATGTCTTCAGAACCCAGAGTGAATCTCTCCTGCCTGGCTGGGATGTGGTTGTGTTGTAGTGGGTCCTGTCTGTACACGGGTTCTGGTGTGTTTAATCATGCTTCTGGCCCTGTTGAATTGGTAAACCCCAGAGTAGGGAAATAACTTGGGTACTCTGCTAGGTGCCCCAGTGAATGAATCTTTCTGTCCCTTTGGACTGTTCAGAACATGGACTAAAGTCTTAGTACACCTTGTAATGTGTGGGTATTTCCACGTAGTGACAGATTAAATCTGCTCTGGGAACTTCCCTGAAAACTTGCACAGTGCCATGGCTTAGAAAATTCCCCTAACGATGAGAAGAATGTTTCCAGAATGAATAGTAATCACCCCAGACTTCATGATAGGACATTATTACCATAAGTACCCAAAAAGAAGAGATGCTTCTAGCTCCATAGTCAACAAGGCAGCTTCTCTGGGCAGCAGGTGCTCAATCTGAGGGGCATGATTCTAAAATCCTTTCCATCCCCTTGTTGTCTGAATGTTTGGTCTGCCTGGTCCCTCCAGGGTAAAAGCCACATGAACCAGAGCTGTGACATGGAAGCAGCTGCTGGTCTTGCTTCCCAGGTCTTAGCCTTTCAGATTTGTACTGGCAGATGCCTTCTGGTGGAGGTGGTCAGAAACCAGAACAATGGCTGCCACTAGGGGGGAGGGTTGAGGAGGTTCAGAGCCGTCTGTGGAAAGGCTTGACTTGGGGGTATGTGCAGGTGAGAAATGTCCTGCCTCTTGCATCTGTGCTGACCACAGCTCATGAGAGGCAGGGACTTCGTGGTCCCCTGTGAACTGTGAGGCAGCATCACTGGCCTGGAATGAGGATGTTGCAAATGCTTCTAGTGGCCTGAGTCAGTGCAATGGGCTCTTCAGGGAAGATGAAAATTGTGAGTTTTCCCATCTTTGTTGGCTGGAATGATTTGGATGTGATTGTATTTCTACCTTTTGGTGGATAGAACCAAGTAAACAGTCTTCTGGGCCCAGAGAATACCTTGTAGATTTCAGTTGTACACTTAGTTCCTAAAGCCTTCACTTGTGTACTCGGCAGTTCTGTGGAGGTTATAGTCAAAGCATTTTCTGAAATCTGAGAAGGAGCCAGACCATGTCATCTATGTGCTTCATGACAACTGACTCTTCCAGTGTTTTGCTTTGCTGTTCTATGATAGTCTTGAATATCCTGTGATTCCTAAGTCCTGACAACTTTCATAACATTAATCCTCAAATTCCTATATTTTTCTACAAAAAAACCTTTGATCTTCCTAAACGTTTTCAATCACAGCACTCCATTTGCAGAACCCATTATAGAGATTGCTAAACAGATGGTATTTTCTCCACTAAGGTTTCCTCCCCTTGCACTAAAGCCAACATGTCCTGATCACATGTACTAACTTATCCTAGAGAAGGTTTCTAGGATAAAGCATTAAGTCACTCTTCCAAAAACACGGTCCATTATCCCCATCAAGGAGTTCACTGTGGGAGCAGACTGCTGCTGGCCTCAGAACGTTGCTGGTCCTGTTTCCTCCATTCATGTAGCATCTGGGGACTAATGAAAGTGCTCTGTTCTGGATCATCCCATAAACCCATCATTGAGGTCTCAGGCTAAACTGTCCATTTTCTGGCTCTTACCTTTGGCTGTTGCTGAGCAACTAGGGTAGGTGAGCACCCAAAGTGGTGGTGTACCAACTATACCTCTTAAAGCATGAGCTGCTCTTGAGACTTCATTTCTCACTCCATTTTCAGATTATTCAAGGAGCCCTTTCTTGTGGCCTAAACCACTCCTACAATGACAAGTTAGCACTAGTGATTAATCATTAGCTGCTTTCTCACTTTTCCACCACTTGCTCTTACTGAAGTGCTTCGGTGACATTACCATTGTCTTGCTGGGGTCTTCCACGAAATAGGACTTAGGGATGTGTATGACTTAGCTATTCTGTTTGTGGAATCTTTCTTCAGACACAGCTCATGATAAGCACTTTCCTTTTCCATGTTCTTATGAGTAAAATGAGAGGATAATTCTTTGCAGAACAGTATTCTGAATGAGACCAGTATCTCCTTCACGTTGGCATAACAATCCCATCCTGAATCTCCAGCTGAGAACTTGACAACTGGAAAGTGCTAATAAGACAAATAGCAAACATGAGCAATAGTCAAGTTCTTGAGGCTTAAATCCTTACCTCTGCCTGTTACCGGGATTACTATGTAAAATCTTTTGAGGCCACCATTAACCTCTAACAATTAAATAAGAAACACTCTGCTCCTAAGTCTATTGGTAAATTTTACCAGAATGAGGCTCTGTCTGAGCTGGCAGTTGAGGCATGCTCAGCTTGGGACAGGAGCCCATGTACATGCTTTGTTTCCTCCTAGGCACAAAGCAGCTGTAGCTGCAGCCCTAGGGCCTTGGCAGTTTCCCACTGTCCATTTAGTGTAGACATTGGAAGTGGGGGCATTGTTCAAATAAAGGGTTATAAGTGATACTGACAAAATGTTCTTGGCATATACTGTATGACAACACTGGCTGGAATCTTATCATTTGGCCATTGAAGGGTTGGGCCTTAACTGTATCTCTTTTGAAAAGGTTTGTGTTAGAATTTGCCAGATATGGCCTGCACCACTGCTGGGTGCCACCTCGCAGAACTGCTGCATAAATCATGCCCTGCTCCATTCTCCCCTCACCTGCCACCCATCAGCTGTAGGCCAATGCAATTTTCCCTTTGCACTTCAAGTTGTACGTGAGATGTCCAAGGGCGTAGCAACATTATGAGGATTGTGTGCATCCACTCAAAACACGATAGATGCACATCTGTTTTCTGCTTGGATTTGTCTGGCTGCCTTTAGTTAACCTTTCTAGTGCAGTTTGCTCCAGGAGAAGACTGGAGTTGTCCACGCTGAAGAGGGATGGCAGAGAGGAACTCGAATTCCTGCAACTTGGGGATGGATGAGTCTTCATGATTCAACCTGAAAGCTGATTGCCTTGTGGTCAGTACACTGGGGACAGAAGTTCTGCTTTGGGTTGTGAGGTAGAGCCTTGAGTGGCATTTCATCTTCAGGATCTTGGCCTTGACTCTGCTGCTATGACTGGTCAACATGTTTTGACACTCAGGTTGGAAAGTGAATGCTCCCTTGTAGGGAACCCTGTACACGTTATAGTTCATGTCAGTGTATAGATGTTATCCTCTAGTTCGAAAGACAACCATGAATTTCTACCAAAACCGTATTTTAAAGCATGATTCCCAAGTGGGACTAGTTTATCTCTCCCTTATCTTAGATTTTTGGAGGACCTCCCTCTTTGACCCAAACTTGTCAGTTAGGAGTCAGCACTCAGGATGAGGCTTACATTTTCTTTCCTATTTTGATGTAGTTGCTTACTCATGCCACACTACAGGCTCCCTGTAGTGTGCTACTGGAATGGCCTTGGCACGCGACATGTGTCTTATGAGAATCCCCCCCTAACTATGACATGGAGAATTTTATGCAGGTAGTCCAGGCTGCTGGCCCTAAGAGATAGACATTCTTAGAACTTTCTTCTAAGAGTTGATGATAGCACCACCCACCCCAGCGTCACCCAGGCCAGGGCTAGTTCTAGTGGAAGCTGCCGCCAAGTATGCTTGGCTTTGGCTTTGCCCACTTCTGTGGCTTGATAATTCCATGATCTGGGACACTGCTGGATATGACCCAGGTCATTGAGTCTTGCTTGCCCAGTGTGTTTGTTGCTTGTGAGTCCATATGGGGGATCATATAAAAGCCAGAGTTTGGGATGATACAGATGAGGTTTCTCATCACCAG
Source organism: Homo sapiens (assembly GCF_000001405.40). NCBI lineage: Eukaryota > Metazoa > Chordata > Mammalia > Primates > Hominidae > Homo > Homo sapiens. The sequence continues at coordinate 10,264,090 of NC_000004.12, forward strand.
ATAGTTCTGGTGGACCTGTTCAATCTTACCTAGGGAAGACATATTGGATGTGGATCATATGGGCATTATTGACTGGGGCCCTGGGTCACCATCAGGGATTTGACAGAAAGAGCATAAGGACAAATAACTAACGCCTGTGGGGCCCAACACCTACGCGACGGGTGGATAGGTGCATCAGACTACCATGGCACACATTCACCCATGGAACAAACCTGCATGTCCTGCACATGTATCCCAGAACTAGCTGTATGGCTACTATCTCCTCACTCATGTTCCAGGGCTCTTTCCTTTGCCTCCAAAAAGGTCACCAGGTCCAGCATGGAGATGGCAAGACCCAGAGAGACCATGTTTTTGTAGTCCTCTATTGTTACTTGACTATGCAAAGCCTGCTGAGAAGGGTTCCAGGTATTTCCATTCCTCCAGAGAATTCTATGACCCCATCCCTGAATGTCAACAGTTTCTGTCAGTTTGAGCTTCTTGACCTGTGTACATGTTCTTCACTCAAGTATCAGGAAACTGGAGCAACTCCCATTTGAACATATCGGGAGATTCCTTCCCACTGTGGGCCTCAGATACATTTTGTTTTGCAGGTTCTTGCACTACCTTACTGGGATGGGTTGTTTTCCTTTGGAAAAAATTTCTTCACAAATCTGAAAAAATCCAGAGGGTGGGAATCATCTCTGCCTTTCCTCAATATCAGCATCTGATTTGCTGATAACCAATGTGTCATTTCCCAGCTTCCAGGATGTCCTGGCAACTTAGCTATGCATCTCCCAGGACCTGCAGATCACAGGGCAACAGAGGCTGTGATAAAATCACCGGGAGCTCCTGAGGTGTGGAGGACATGGAACAGGAGAAATGGATCCCAAGATCTCCTGAAATTCTTTTCCACCAACCCATTGCTTTTGTACCAGAACAAAAGTGGTTTGTCAGTTGCCATGGCAAACACCGAGGCTTAGGTGACACACAACAGATTGTGTCTCTTAGGACTAAAAATGTCAGAAGCCTGAGTTTTCCCCAAAGCACAGTCCCAATGCCATAATGCGGGGAGCGTTCAGAGTGGCAGGTGCTTCCTGTCAAGCATGGGGAGGGCAGGGCTGCTCCTTGCTCTTTCTGCAGATGTGTGGAGCACCTGGGACCCAGGAGCAGTGAGATGACCTCGGCTCATCCTGGAGAATCCCAAGTGCCAACATACACGGCATCAGAATTTGAACCTTTTAAATTTGCTGGTACATTTTCTCAGGGGTTACTTACGAGTACTGTGGTTAATTTCTGCTGTAATCATTTTTGAGCATTAATCCATCCCAGGAGTAGAGTTGTTGCATGTGAAAGGGGCTGCCATCTCTACCTCTGCACCTCACACTGTTAGAAACTTGACTGTATTAAATTTTAGTATCTTTAAATTGCCTTTAAAATGTCTGTAAAATACTCTTAATATGATATAGCGTGTTCGTATTTTAACAAGTACTATATCTTAAGCTGAATATTCCAAGTGTGTTATGACTTCATATTCTTGGTCTGGCCACTGTCTGCCATTTTCTTTGAGGTTATTGATAAGAGAGGCTACACTATTATTCATTAGCGCTCATGGAAGCACAGTAAGAAACACTTTGTACGTGATCATTGAGATAGGTAAGGGACTGATGCAACCAGGTTTTGTAATAGAATGGGCTCAAATCTGAACACAGTATAGACAAGTGGGAATTGATAGCCAAGTAGTATTGGGTCAGACTGTGATGAAATATCAAAAGGTAAGAGGTTTGCAAAGCAGACTTAGGGTTCTTTGCTAAAACTGGATTTTACAAGGACGTACACAGATGGGCCTAAAAAGATTTGGTCTGACTCCAGTTGGCCAAGGAAAGAATCTTGATCACTCTACCTGCTGTTCAATTTTTGAAGAATAGTTGTCTTTACCACTGTCTCTTCTGATATTTCCAATAGACGGGATGCAGAGAACTTTGTCCTTAGGTTTGGGTTGATGGTCATAAGCAGCTGTACCTTTCTAGAGCTCTTCCTCACAGACAGCTTATGATGGTTCTACCTCTTCCACTTAGAATTAGGTGGAGGTTGATGAGAATAGGTAAACAGCCTCTTCGCTGAATGCACTTTTGGGAAGTGAACACAGCTGCTGCTTAAAAGCACAGAAATTCCTCAGGCTGAAATGATGGTTATGATCTTTACCCCCAAAGCACTGCAGCCTGGCTCTGAGTAATGTACTCAATATCGGGAGGTCTGCAAGGAGGGAGGGCAGGTGTGGGGTGTGTGTCCATCCTTGGAGTTCTGCTCAAGCTGCCTTTTTATTAAAATGGGGATGCCTGATCCGGACAATGTCGGTCCTGATAGCTGATCTTCAGAAAGAGTGGCAGTAGGAGACTGTTCTCGAACTTACCCTGAAGTCGGTCATGGTAGCTCTGTCTACTCAAGTGGAATCCTGGGAAACATCTGTCTGGTCTACTTCACTTAGCTGTAGTTAACTAATTTCATTCTGTCCCACAGGTCATAAGTGAAAGCGACGCGTGAACTTTGGGATCATGTCCTTAAAAATGTGACCCTCCTCTTCTCCACTGTCCTCTTTATGACTGAGTCCCTCCTCTCTGGGAATAGTAGGACCTCAGAGGAGGAATGTGATGTATGAACCTCCTTGAGGGCACCTGTGTAAGATAAAAGTACTGGTGGGGTATGACGTTCCAGCAAAGAGTACTCTCCCATTAAAGTAGGCCTGGGGTTTGGTAAATGGGTCTGTAGGCCTCAGGTCGAGGAAGATTCAGTGGGTATGCATGTTCCTACAGAGCACCCATTCCCTTGTACCTGGTTGTACAGCCTTCCGACATGTTCCATGCCAAAGGAATGGAAGAAGGCAGCTCAGTTGGCTTGAAAACAACCTCACCTGGGAGAGGCATCTATGCCTGCCCAGACAGAAAGATTGGGTGATGTTCCCCTTCCTGAGATGTTGTAGCGGCTTTATTGCTGCCTTTTTAAGTAAGATCTCGGCACTCTGACCAAGGTTTCCTGGGAGGCATCTTTGTTTCTTTGTTATGCAAACAATGGGATATGAAGCCAAAATATTATGGGTCAAATCTCAACCATATCTCTTGTATACATTGAGTGGAATATTCCAGAGGGCTTCAATTTCCTTTCCTGGAGAACTGTTTAAATATTTGCCAATGACTCATTGCATTATCCTTGGTGTTGTAGGTGTGAGTTTGTTACAAATGGGTAAGATATGGCTCCTAAAAGCATTCACGCACGTGGAACTGATGCCTATAAAACACTGGATATGTGAAAAGATGTTATAAAGGCCAGTAAAATCACCTTCTGTGATACTTAGCAATGAGTTTCTGACAATAGAAGCAGAGAGCTGAGGATAGGAAGAACGCTGAGGTATTCCTTTATGAGTACAAGGGTCTGAGCATAATCTCCACCTCTATAAGCCAGGTCACTGGAATTTTTCTCCTCCAGATGAGCTAACTGCCTTTTGCTGAGATGTTACTGCCTGAAAAACCAGTGAGGGTGAAGGTGTGGCCCCAGGCAGCCCATTCATTCCAATCAAATGTCAGACCACCTGGATGTCTTTAGGTGAAGGATGGGCTCAGTGCCTCCTGAAGCATTGAGAATAATGAGTGCAATAACTGAGTAAGTCAACAGTCAACTGAGGCTAACTTGAACTGAAGGTTTCATCATTTGAAATCTTGGTTTCTCACCCCAAAACAGGTGAGATTGTGTACTGAAGTATTTAAAATAGGCTTATGTAATTTGCCAGATCTCCCTTTCATGTTAATGGATAGTTCTAAGATGACTATGGAAGATATTCACAATTGTCACTCTTCCTTTGAGCAACATGGACGTTAGAAAGTTTTGGTCTCTGCACCTGGCATTCTATCACCACTGATACTCAGGCTCTGGTCATTGATTAACATTACTCTTGGATTCGGCAAACTTTGTTTCTTCCATGCCCTCACCTGTGTACCAGTGCAGGAAGGCCTTGTACGAGAAAATAGCACTAAATTGCTGAGATACACGTGAACTGCTCTAAGATGCTTGAGTATTGTACTGTTCATCACCTGCTGCTTTTCATTGGCATACACCTCACTACATGTTAGGGGAGGAAATGGTATGTGAAATATTTTGTGCACATGTAGTTGATTGAGGGATGCTTTTCTCTATCCTCTGAGCTCATAGGAAAGGTGTGCATCTCATTTTAATTGGACCATTAATGCTTCTTCTATTGAAAGTACTTCTCACCTCTGTCACTTCCTTGAGCTCCCATAATGGGAGGGAGCCTTGCCAATGTCACATTGCTTCATAGAGTGGAAGTTGATGCCAGATGTGTTTGGCTTGGCTTTGCCCACTTCCATGGTGTATGTTGGACCCCCATGCTGGATACAACCTAAGTCATCCTCTGACCCTGGGCTGTGGACATTGTGTGTCCGTATCAGGGACACTTCTAAGCCTGGGATTGGGATGGTCTTTTGCTTGTTCCCACACAGCATGAAAATGCTTTAATAGAGGTTATAATACATAGCAAGAATAGCAAGTGCACACGCAGACATCATAGAACACACTGTAGGTGAATAAAGAATTGATACTCATCATCAGGCACCTGTCTTACAGGTGGGATGGAAGGTGGCACAGAGTGAGCCAGCATAGAGCCTCATCAGAAAAGAAGAGCACTAGGCTTTCCCCAGATAGTGTCAGGGGCTCTGTTCTCTTGTGATCCTGAAGGGTTACAATACTGCTTTTCAGCTAAACAGTATCTCCCCACTCTGAGGAAAGCTTCCTTTCAGGCAAGCTTGTCTGTTTCATCCTGTTATAAAAATGGTGGGAAACATAATGGAAGCAGGAGGAATAAGTCTCTCCTGCCTACATTAGGGTAAAATAAAGGCTGAGGTCTTAGGCTTCTGTTCATGTGACTGTTTTAATGTCTGTTGATATTTCCAACAGTATGCTCATCCCTGCACTTCTCAGTGGGAGGATAATCTAAATGGTACAACTTCTTACCAGCTACCTTTCTCCTAAGTGTCTAAAAACTGGCTTACTCGAGTGTGAATATTGTGTAAAAATGATTAATCTGTCCTCAATATGCCAAATCTTCAGCCCATGGATTGTAGTGAAACCTGACTGGCTTTGCACCGGATCTTCTGTGGATGAAATTGGAAGTTTGGGATGTGTCTGAAACCATCTATCTGTGTTCCCTACAAGGCTAATGAGAGGGACAGGGCTGGACTGGACACTGCACTGTGACCCTCCAAGGGAAAGAATTTGCAGGCTGTCTTTTACCCTTAGTGTGGTATACGTGGGTTTTGTGGTCCTCTTCCCACCAGCCCCTAATGGCGGAGATAATAGGTTGTCTTCCTTCTTGGCTCCCTGATGCTCTTACTCTTTATTCGCCAAAATGGGCTTATTTCTACTAGAAAGCATTTGAGATCATCCGTCTTCCACCATCCAGATATTCTTGGAATTCGAGCTTGTTTATCTCTGGAAACATCTTTTGAGTGGTGACTCCATGGACAGTGTTCCCTGTAAGCCTGGATCTTCCCCCGAGGCCAGCACAACCTGGGCTCTCATATGATTTTTAGTCTACAGGGCATCATCTTCCAAAACTTGTCTTCGTGAGTCATGGGACCAGTATCTTTAGATAGTAGTAGCTTTAGAGACACTTGTTGATCTGTGGGTTTTGTCTGACGGGTTTAGGGTTTGTCTGAGAATACATTTTAGGAGCATGTGCTTCACGCAGAGTGTATCAGATCCCGGTCCTGGATGAAAGGGCATCCACCTGGGTTGGCTATTATCCATAGTGCCTGGCAGATAGGTGGTTTCCTACACTTGGGCATATTTCTGCTTGAATCTTCAAATAGGAAGTGCAAGGCTGAAGGCAGATGGTTTGCAGCCAGCTGCCTCCTGAGCTTTCCTTATTGACACCTTAGGTACCTCTTAGAGATGTGACAGCTGCAGACAGGGTGAGGACAGGGCACAGCATGGCCAGCAGCAGCATGGTCTCTGGGCAGACAGGGCCCATCTGGAGACTGGAGCAGAATTTTGAATCTATTCCAGTCTCTCCCAGTGTCACCCTGCCAGAGATTCACTGACCCTATCAGGTATGGGCAACAGCACAGGGGTGTTAGCATGGTGGAAACTGTTCTTCCCGCCTTCCTGGTCTTAACTCTTTCCTAGCTACTGTTTTGTGTTGATCTGGGGAACGTGTTTCACACATGGCAGAGTGATGTCAGAGAAAACAATTTGCTCAAGCTTTGTATGAAGCAAATTTGGTGTGCGTGGAGAGAAGGGGCCTATCAGGGCGGCTCTGCTGCCGTTCAGTCTGGTGTGAAGCAGGCGCCTCACTGACAGCTCTGAATGTCAGAACTCCCCTCAAGCCTCACTTGTTCTGGCTGGAAAGTTGGTGAGCATGAAACTATGCTGTGGGTGTCTACCTTCCTTGGACAAATGAGCCCAGAGTGCTATGTCAACACTGGATTGAAAAGGGAGTCTGATGTTTTCAGCTTCAGGTCTTATTCTGGGGAAGTTAAAATCGTCGTTAGATGCATGGAAATAGTTTTCCAGATACAAAGGTGTTTTTCCTAAATTCATCTTCCTCTATATGCAGAGGTGCTTTAACGTAGACTGTGATCATATTTCATGTAAATACAGCTCTTAACATTGTAGTCGGCTGGGTCCACTTGACTTTAATTGCAGGCTGTTTCTTCTACCAACCTTGGATCTCAACTGATCAGACAATCGTGGGGATGTTCCGTTCAGCTTTGCTGCTTGTGCAGCTTTCTGCTAATGACTTTGGTCTTTGATTTTGCAGAGAGCATTTCATTTTACATCATTCTATTCATTTTTCCAGTGTGCACAAAAAATGATCATACTCCAAGAAGGGCCTGAGGTTATTGACCTTGCACATCCTATGTCCAGGAAGCAAAGCAAACAGCCACCAAGGGATGAGATGAATTCTTGACTGACCATCACCTCCTTTTCAGGTGGAGGCACTCACTTGGATTGGTACCTGGGCATTGTCTTGCAGTGGCTTCAGGTGTGAAATCTTCCAGTTCCCTTTAGTCCGATTTAGTTGTGTGCGTCTACTCACCTGTGAAAACATGGCCTGCATATGAAACACTCACCTCGCTGTACCTGGAGATCATCTGAGTCAAGATTGCCATGTATTTGGGGATGGCTTGAGCTGGAAGATCTAGGTAGAAGTGAGTATGGACTTCTGTGCTCCTGTGGGGGACCAAGAGAAATGTGACCATATAGAATATTTAAATCTTCCACAGCTATGCCCTGGAAAAGAATGGTGAGAAGTGGGGTATGGCACATTTAGCTTGTGTTGTCCCCATTTTCTCTAGTGTGCTAAGCTTCAAGTCGGTGACAAGGTCAACTCAAAGGATTACGGGGAGGTCTCCGGGCCTCGTATGCTGCTGTGTGGAAGCTCAAGTCTCTGGACCACAGAGGGTTTCCAGGGCTCTCATCTTTTTGTGTGCCCCACCCCCATCCAAGAGACAGAGCTTGGGCCCATCCTTGGCTGATCACATATGTTATACCTGCTCTAGACCTTGTCTCTGTCTCATAAAACCTATGAACTCAACGTCATTTTTTTTTCTACACTTGTGTGTGTCTGTTGCTCTCTAGGGGCCTCCTTGGATGAAGGAGTTGTGTATGTAGACTTGTCTCAGGTTCCTACCTCTCCTGTGGTTAATATACTCCAGAACCTTTGTGTCCCCAGTTGCACTCTGGCACAGTCCATGAGGGATGAAGTACTGTAGGAGAGGCTCTGCACTAGACATCTTTGAAGAGATACATGTGGTTTGGTCTTCTAGTTCCTGCCTGGAATGTCTGTGGAGCCCACCGTGAAGTTCCCCAGCTTGGTTCTGATGTGCTGTATTGGTTGTGTTCTTCCTGGAGAGTGGGTTCTGGCAAAATTGACAAGTCTATGGGCTTTGTTCATCTTGTAAGTCTTAGTGGGAAAAGGACAAGGGCAATGTCCTTTAGAACATCTGTGAAAGGCTCTATCTCTGTTCTTTTCCCTCTGGACTGTTGGGGAGAGCAAGCATGACCTCTCCTGAGTCACAGGATACCTTATAAGAAGCAGGCATCTCTTCTGGGTCACAGTTTGCTATGGAAACTTTTCCACAAATGTGATATTCAGGGCACTGCTTTGGAATTCACCATGAGAGAATAAAGGACTGAATGTAGAATATGTGGTGAGTATGCCTTAGGCTTCTGAGATGTTTCATTTTTTTCAAAGGTAAGAGAGCAGGAAGCTTCCAGCTCCACGGTCACCAATGGCACCTTCTCTGGGCAGGAAGGACTCAGGATTTAAAGGGTACAATTCTGAAAGCATTCCTGTCCCCGTATTGTCTGAGTTCTGGGCCTGCCTGTCTCCTCTGGGGCAAAAGCATGAGCCAGAGCTCGCTCCTTTGATGTGGAAGCAGCTGCTGGGTCTGGCTGTCCAGGTCTCAGCCTACTTCAGAATGCTATATGCAGATGTCTTCTCTTGGCTCAGACCACTTCCAGAACAGTGGCTGCCCATGGAGGAGGTTCACAGCTGCTTGTGAAAAGACTTACATGTACGTGTGTGTACGTGTGCAGGTGGTTAGTGTGCTGCCTCTGCCAGCAGCTGTGCTGACTACGACTCCTGATGAGGAACCTCCTGGTCCCCTCTGAAACGGGAGTCCTGTTGGAGCAGTGTAGCCTCTGGGTGGAGGATGTTGAGAATGCATCCGGGGTCTTGATCAGTTTAGTTGGTTGTTCAGGGAAGGGGCAGTCTGAGAATATTTCTTATATTGGCTGGAATAATTTGGATGATTGTTTCTACCTTTACTGGTGGGTAGCATTCAGTAAAGATATCTAAGTCCTGATAATATTTTGTGGTGAGGTTTTCATTGTAGACTTAGTCTCTAATGTCTTCACGTTTGGACTTGATGGTTCTGTGGAAGCTAAGAAATTATTTTCTGAAACATTTTTGAAAATGAACTGGGCCGTATCCTTCCATGTGTGCTACACATCAGCAGTTCTTACAGTGCTTTTACTGTTTTATGATGGTCTCAAATTGCCTGTGATTCATAAATCTTGGCAGCTCTCTGCCAAAATACTGATTGCCTAATTTCTACAGTTTTTGATATAAAACTTCATAATCTTCTTAATGCAGAACCCATTATGCAAAACAGACGAGTGATTTTTTTCCCCCTGTGGTTTCTTCACCATGTATCAAAGCAATGATGTTGTGACTAAATACGTGAAAGAACAAGCATTGAGTCACTCTTGCCAATAGACAGTCCAGATCACCCTAATCGGTGGGGTTCATTGTTAATCCAGCTGCTCTTCAGTTTCCTCCACTCACACAGCACCTGAGCATTTATGGGATCAGGACACATATTTTCATTGGGAGCAGCAAGGAGCTGTCATCTTTTAGATCAGCCCATAGACACATAGGTGGGGCCTGAGGGGTTTAAGCCCTGTCCATTTCTTGGCTCTTGCCACTGGCTGTTACTTGGTACCTAGGGAGGTGAGCACCCCGGGTCAGTGTCTATCAATTACAAGCAGTTTTCAAAGCATGAGCCTCTCATGAGACTTAGGAATTCTCATTGCCATTTGTTTATTTTTTTCAAGGAACCTTTCACCGAGGCTCAGACCACTTCACAATAACAAGTAAGCAATAGTGACACGTCATATTTCACCTTGTTTTGGTGTAGCTGCTCCCACCTACTTTGATCCTGGCTTCTCTTGGTTGTTGAAGGTATTTTGGTGACATTACCACTCTCCCATTGTAACCAAACACAGATCAGCCACTCACCATTTGCAGACTCCAGTGGCAAGAGTGAGGTATGGTAGAGTGGTTTTTTATTAACCAAAACTAGTAATGGAGAACTGGCCCGATTGCAATCCAAAGTAGCCACTTGGCCTTTCTGGGGAGAAGGCGGTAAGGGTTTATGAAGGGAAAACTTGATAGGGAAGGCATTCATGCAGGAGTTGTGCTGAGTACAAACGCTCTGTCTCATTCCAGTGGCTATCTCAGGCTCAGTCCACCTGGAGCATGGGCTGGCATCATGTCAATGGTGGGAATGCTGAGTAGCTGCCTTGAGGTAATCACAAATTTTAAAGTTGGGCCTCCATGCTTGGCCTGTCTGTCCAAAGATGAGCTCCTGGAACTGCTAAGTAAGCACATAATTAGATACTAGCATATAGTGAAATGCAAAAGAAGAATATGGTGGGAAAGGGAGAGACATGGAGTCTATTTTAAGATTGAGGGAAAAGACTTCTGTAGTTTGCTCACAGGTAACATCTTGAGACTAGGGGGAAGAGGCAAAAAGCTTGTGTTGGAAGTCAACCTGCTTGGTTACATTGTCTTTCTCCAAAGGAGACTCAAAGATTAGTATGCTTTCCCTTCCTTCTTGGTGGTCTGTTTATGGAATCTTCCTTGGTAGACACATCTCATGACCCCTTCCCTTCCTCCACTTTGCATGAATATGAGAATAACTGTCTTTGCAGAAACTATCTGGGAAGAGACCAATGGCTTTTTTACATGAGCACAACAGTCCCATCCTAAATGCCACAGCGGACAACTTTACTGCCAACTAGAAATCGTTGATGAGGTGCTCAAATGGGAAAGTTACAGAACTGTGATGATCTGATCAAAACTCGCAAGGCTGAAACAGTCATCTTTGTCTGTTCTGGGGGTTACTGTGTGGAAATCTGGGGCCATGCTAGACCTACAGCAGTTGAATGAAATATCTCTACTTTTGGGTATAGTTGCAAGTTTTCCAACAATGGGCCTCTGCAGCTTCTTGTCCACATCATGTAGAAGTGAAATGGGGTCTTTGCTCCAATGGAGGGCTGCAAATGTTGCTCGTTAAATGCCCTTGGCATACACTGCAGGAAAACATGGGTTTTGAATCTCTTCATTTGTTTTAATTAAGGCAATGAGCCTTGCCTGTATCTCTTGGGGAAAATGTTTTGAAATTTGGCCGTATGGCCTGTGCTACTGCTGAGTGACACCCTCCAAACATGCCACATCAAGCGTCATTGCACCATTCCACTCTCCCCTTTCCTACCGCCAAGCATCCATAGACTAGCACAGTTGGGTTCCTTTGGTGTAGGCCCTTGTGGAAGATTTCACATACAATGTGGGGTCCAAAGCAATGATGTCTTGTGCCTCTCCTAAAATCAGATGTCAAGCAGTATTTTGTTCTGCATTTGGGTTTGTTTGGCTACATTTAGTTAACCTCCTCTGTAAAGCTTGATCTAGGAGGTACAGGGGTTGTGAACCTGGAGGGAAGAGGGGCAGAGAGGAGCCTGCCCTCTTGTATCGAAAGGCAGATTGAGTCCTCATGATTCAACCTGGGGAAGCTGACTGCCCTGCCGTCAGTAAGCAGGGACAGGAGTCAAGTTCAGCATCTACTGGGCTGAGGTAGAAGCATGTGGCTTTGGCCCTCAGGATCTTACTCCTGACTCCAGTACTGTTCCTTTTCAGTGGATTATCTTGGTGTACACTAAGGTTTGGTGGGGAAAGGGGCCCAAACAGCAAACGCAAATGTGGGAGAAAATACTGACTTGACATCCAATTTTGGGGGAGGCACAGAACATCATTACTTTGGACTTCACATTGCCTGGCTCACCTTAATGTGTAGATTGTATCTGGCTTAAACGATTACACATGGTGCTAAAATACACGAGAATCATTTTCGAAAGCATACGTCCTCAATGGGACTTGAGTTTCTCTCTTTCCATCATCTTAGGTAGTTGAGTGATGACCTCAATAGTGACTTCAGTCAGCCAAGTGGAACTTGGCACTGGTGACAAGCCTCATGTTGGGCTGGCTTTGTGGTTTCTTTCATTCCTGCTGACAGGCTTCTTGTTCTGCCTGATTGAAGTGACCTCCACACCCATACCAGTGCTTCATGAGTATCTTCCCTAAAGAGGACATGTTAAAACTTATGTATATGGTCCATATTGGCAGCTATAAATCTGATTCTAGAATTTCTTTGAGATGGTATGACAACCACTTGCCCCCCTGTTCACAAACTAAATGAATGTAATAAAGGTTGGAAGAGAACAGCCTCTCTGAAGAGATCTGTTCCCTCTCACACAATCCTTTACTGAAGTGGAAATGGGTTGTCTTTATTACCCGCAGTCAGTAGCTTTGAGTGAAACCTTACAATTGAGACGTGTCTGCATGAAAAATGGTAAATGTGTGGTGTCCTGTACTGTGGTGGATTTCTCTCGAACTGCCTGTTGACTCAGCCTCTGATTCCTTATATGGGAGGATCTGGGTGCTACTGACCTAAGGAGTGGGCAGCAGAGGAGAGGCCATTCCTGTAACTTTGACAGGGTTGTTCATCATGGGACAACATCAATACAGATGACTTGTCTGCTATGTTGAGTAAGCTGTCGTCATGGGCTATGTTCTGACCATGGGGTTTAAGCAGGCATGGTGGCTGACCCTCAAGAGCAATGCCTTTCAGAAGGATGTGGCTGGCCCCCGCTTTCCTTTGTGGCTACTGTTCAGTGAGGCCAAGAGAGGGACCCTTTAGAGGCATGGCAGAGAAAGAGTAGCACTGATCTGGAACCTTCTGGTTGTTACACATTCTCAGAGGTGACCATTAACCTAGAGCATGTCACTAATGAGCTGCCCTGCCACTCGTGGGCCCTGAGCTACATTTGAGGGGAGAGAATGGTCAGAAATTGAAGGAGTGAATCTGAATCTTCTGTCAAGGATCCATCAATGGATAAGTGTACTGTTCCCTGAAGGTCACCCATTCTCACCAACCCCAGGGCGTGTGGTTGTCAGGTACCTGCCTTGCAGGTGGGATGGAAGAGAGCACAGAGTGATCCAGCATAGAGCGTCATCAGGGTGTGATGGGGACGGAGAGCTCTAGGCTTTCCCCAAGCAGATAGGGGAGGCTTGTTTTATTCTTGCCTGGGATCCTGAATTTTGTCATGTTGCCCCTCAGCTAAATAGGACCTTCCCGTTCTGAGGAAAGCTTTCTTTGAGGCATGCTTGTTTCATTCTGCTGTCACAAAAAACTGGGAAATAGGAAAAATATCCAGAGAAATCACTGTGGCCTACATCAGAGTGGAATGAATGCTGAGGTCTTGGTTTTCTGTTCATGTGGTTATTTTAATGTCAGTGAATGCGTTTCCAACATTGTGCTTGTCCCTGTGTTTAGGGGGAAGAGGATTTAAAGTCAACTTATTACCATTTTGTTTTTGTAAGCTGTTTGTTTTTAAACTTCTGTCTACATTTCTCATAATCATGGGAGAATTAAACATTTCTTGTGTAAAGATATGCTTAATCTGTCCTCAATATTAAAAATTTTCGGGCTCATAGATGGTAGTGAAGCCTGACAGAGAAACGCCACCTCCCCACTGGATCCTCTGCAAATTGAAACATTAGCACAGAATGTGTCTGAAGTGGTGACCTACCTGCAGGTCTAATCAGAGGTGCACGACTGGACTTTGCACTGATGGACGAAGACAGCCTTGGAGGCTGTCTTCCACGCACACAGAAGTCTAGGTGGGTTTTGTGTGACCTCATCCTGCCAGCTTCGGATGAGATTATAAATGCTGCCAACTGTCTTTCTGGTGCTCTTAATCTTTACATTCCCAAATGGACTTATTCTCATTAGAATGCACTCGGGATTGTTTGTTGTTGACCATCCTGTTTCCCTGGAAGAATTTTCAGCTTTAGTATTTTCTCTGGAAAAATCTTCAGAATATCAACTCCGTGGGCAGTGTTCCTTATGAGCCTGCGTTTATCCCCAAGGCTAGCACAACCTGGGCTCTGAGATCTAGGTTTTGCGGCCACAGAGGATTATCCAATCATTGCTTTCATTAGTAGTGAATTTAGCGCCTTCATGGTCATAACTGCAGACACAGCCATAGCTAACCTGCAGGGTCTTTATTTTACTGCTTTTAGGCTCTCTGCCTGAGAATACGTTTTCTTTTTTAATTTTACTTTTAAGTTCTGGGATACATGTATAGAATGTGCAGGTTTGCTACATGGGTATTCATGTGCCATAGTTGTTTGCTGCACGTATCAACCTGTCCTCTAGGTTTTAAGCCCTGCGTACATTAGGTATTTTTCCTAATGCTCTCCCTCCCCTAGCCTGAGTGAGAACATGCGGTGTTCGGTTTTCTGTTCTTGTGTTAGTTTGCTGAGGATTGCTTCACCCAGAAATGTATCACATCCTGATCCTCGAAGGGTGATCCACCTGGGTTAGTTGTCCTTACCATTCCCCAGCAGACATATGGTCTGTTTGCATGTTGCTGCTTGAACCTCCAAATGCAAAGTGCAGACTTGAAGGCAGGAGGTGGAAGCCAGCTGCCCCTGACCTTGTCTTGTTGCCTTTGGAAACACCAGAGATGGGACAGCCCAGACAGGCTGAGGACAGTGCACATCATGGTCGTCAGTGGCAGGTTCTCTGGGCAGCCAGGGCCCCTGTCTGGAGGTTACAAGAGGATTTTGAATATGTTGTAGTTGCCAATGTCATCTTGCAGACATCACTGAGTGAGATGAAAAGCATGAGGCAATGATCTCTCTGGGTTGAGGGTGTTACTGTGGCTCATGCCATCTTGGTTTTAACCCCTGTCTGGTTCATGTTGATGATTTTCTGGGGAGCATGTTTCAGCTGTCTTGGATTAAAGAGGCTCTTGGATTTTTTTCGTGACCACTGCCTCTGGTCGTTTCTGCTGGAAGTGCCTTAGAGTGAATAGACTGCCCTAAGAATCAAAGTCTGCATATAACAACTTACATGTATTCCAAGAAGGTCATAAGGTTGCTGACCTTAGGCATAATCTCCATGAAGCAAGGCCAGTTGTCAGCAAGGGATGAGATTATTTCTTGTTTGATCACAACTTTTCAGGTGGATGCGCTCACCTGATCACTGCTACCTAGCATTGTCTTGGAGGCTGGGTCCTTTGGTGGGATATCTTCCTCTTACGTCAAGAGGCTGTTTTAGGTTTGTGCTGCTTTCTAGCAGTGACGATGTTACCTGTGTTTAAACACACTGTACCATATCTGGAGACCTGAGTCAAGGTCAACACATATCTCTAGGTAGGCTTATATAATCAGGAAGATCTAGATGGGAGTGTGAGTAAGCATCGTGGTATCTCAGGGGGACCTGGAATAAACAGAAGTTTCCTCAGCTCTCAAAGCTGCATGCTAGGAAGATAAGATGGGCCTCGTGAGCTGAGACAAGGTGCATTCTGTCCATTTCCCTTAGTGTGCTGAGCTTTAAGTCAGTGACAAGTTAGACTCGGAAGTATGTGGAGAGGGAGCAAGGCTTTGTATGCTGCTGTGTGGTAGCTCAAACCTCTGTATTCCAGGGGGTTTCCAGGGTTCTTTGTGTTTTTGTCCTGAGAGACTGGGCATGATTCATGGCTGAGTGGATGACGTACCTGCTCTTGACATCGTCTTGATGCTATACAGCCCATAGGTAGAAGGACCTTTCGTCTACATTCATGGCTGGGACTGCAGCTTCTTTACAGGGGTTTCACTGGGTGAAGAAATAGGCATGTGTAGACCTATTTTGGGTTCGTACCTCTGCTCGGGTTAGTATGCCTCAATGCCTTTGAGTTTCCCAGCTGTACTCCTGAACTTCTGGCACAATTCATCAGGGATGTAGTTTATGGGAGAGACCCTGTGCTGGGACACAAGCTTGAAACCAGAATTACATTGTAGGTCCTGCCAGTTGCTTGTGCATGGCTTATCTTTGCTGTGCACTGCCTGGAACATGTCAGGAGCTAAGAGGGGCTTTCTGTGGCTTGGCTCTGTGGTCCCTTGGCCACGTTGGACCCTGTTGGCAATGTGGGTTCTGGTGAGTTAGAGCATTGTTTTGGCCTTGTTCAGCTCATGTTACTCAGAATGGAGAAATAAGTTGACCCCTGTCCTAGTAACTACGGTGAAAGGGTCTCTGACCCAGGAGAGTCCATGTCCTGCTGAGCAGTCTAGGGAGAAGGACTTAGAATCAGTCCAACCTGTAAGGAGCAGGTATTTGCATTGGGCAGCAGACTTAAATCTCCTCTGGAAACTTCCCTGAAAATGCAATGGTTGGTGTACCTTTTGGGAATTCACCCTGAGGAAGTAAGGGACTGATCGTAGAAAGATCAGTATTCCTCTCAGACTTTCTGGAACAATGTTATTTGTACCAAAGATGTCAAATGAGGAGGGGAGAGACTTCCAGCTCTGTAGTCAATAGGAGCTGCTTTTCTGGGAAGGAAGGAAGGGGTCAAGAATCTTCAAGAAGGTGATGGAAAGGATTTCAGAATCCATAGTCTCCTTGCTAGGCCTGCCTGGCTCCTCTGGGGTAAAAGTGTGAGCCAGAGTGCTCTCCTGTGATGTGGAAGCAGTTACCAGTCTTGCTCTCCAGTGCCTAACCCCTCTCAGGTTTGTACTTAGAGATGTTTCCTTGTGGGGGGTGGTCACAGAACCAGAACAATGGCTGCCACTAGGGGGGTCCGGAGGTCAGAGCTCCCTGTGGAAAGGCCTTGTGGTGTGTCTGTGAAGGCAAGAAATGGCCTGTCTCTTCTTGCTGTTTTGTTGACCTGGGCCGTTGCCAAGCAGGGGCACTGTCGTCTCCTGAAGTGTGAGGTCTCTCAGCAGTTTAGCCCCTCTGGGATGAGGAATGTATCCATTGCTCTTGGTCAGCAAGGTTGGCTCTTGAGGAAAGATGGGCATTCTGAGTTTTCCCAGGTTTCTATGTTGTGTGGAATAAATGGAAAATGGTATGTGTATTTCCTCGTTAATGGGTAGGTAGCATAGCTTTCAGTAAGTAAACTCTCTATGGTCAGGGAACACTATAGGAAGATTTTCAATTGTGTACTATTTTTTGCATAGAAAAATTCATCAACATGACTTCAGACTTCTTGTATACATCATAGAAAAATTCATCAATATGACTTCAGACTTGTTGTATACATTTTAGTAATTCTATAGCATTTGATGCATGTCATTTGAAATTTAAACAACATTTATAATCTTAACCTCTTCATATTGTAAGGGCAAGAAGCATACGCAGCTATCTTTTTTTCTTGATTAGACTTCCCAGGAAAAATATTTGAGTCTTCTCATTTGTAATAATGAGGACAAATTAGTGACTCGGTATGGCTTTTGGAAAAGTAGACCCTGAAGGAGAATAGGATATTTGAAGACATACGTTTTCATTCTTTGAAATGAAAGCCCTAACAAATAATGTTTAGGGCTTACAATTTTATCGTACACTTGGGGATTCCAAGTTTGAAATGGCTGTCCCTTGGATGAGGTCAAGTTGGTGGCAGGGTTTGGGTTCCTATCTTGTTGGTCTGAGGACAGTGGTTCTATGACTTACCTACCTTTCAGGGTCCCTTGCATTGCTTTTCTTGTGGACTTTCAATTTCACCCTCGGGAATCTCAAAATAGCATGTATATTTAAGTCTGTCTTGGACTCTCATCTGAACTTTTGTCCCTCTTTTGATGACAGTCCTCCTGGATGATATCTAAATTATACATTCAGTTGGATTTCAACCATATTTCAATATGTTCCCTAAATGTGCCACTGGCATGTTTCTTAACACGCTCAGAGTCTATTAGGATCAAGACGTCAATTTGCCTACATCTGGTCTTTTTTGGACGTGATCTCTGAAGGCCCAGAGTGGGATGCTGAACTGCTGAAAGGTTAGAAGCTACTGAAAGGGTAGTTGTCACTTGGTCATGTAGACAAGACAGTGGCCCAATCATCCTTAGGTCTCTCTGGGGAGGGGTGGAATGTATCTCACAATGTCTCTCCTTAGGGATAAGACTCTGAATCTTTGGCCCCACCTCTGCCTGCCATGATCATACTGTTCCCCTTCTGAGGCACTTATCTCCTGTGCTGGTGGAATGTGGCTCTGTTTGGAAAAAAGTGAACAAAGGGTAAGAACATGGCCCCTGAGCCCAGTGATCCTAATCAAATAGCAAACCACCTAAGTGTCTCTTTGTGCAGAAGAATGGGCTCAGTGCCTGTTGGCGGCATAGGGAATAATGAATGCAACATTGGGAGTGAATAACATAAAACAGTAACTTTTCTCTGAACACAAGAAAAGTTGACTTGTTCTAAATCTTGAGCTTTTTCTGACAAAACTGAACAGAATGGCATGCCTGTGGTTCTAAAATAAGACCTGACTCATTTGTCAGATGTTCTTTACATAACATGATTTATTCTAAGCTGACTGAGATACTTCTCATTCTTCCTTTTGAGGGTCGTGGAGGTCAGCAGGTTTTGATCTCTGATCAAATGATATCTCATTACAATATTCACACATGGTACGTGTGTGTGAATATGTGTGTGAATATGGTAATGTCTATCACCTTTTGCTTTTCATTGCCACAATCCTCATTATGTGTTTAGGGAGGTAGGGATCTAAAATACTCTATTGCCCCTTACTTGATTAAAGAACCTCTTCATAGTTCGAGCTGGTAAGAATAGTGTTCATCTCGCTTTGATTGGAGGATTAATACTCTTGTTCCTGGTGAAAGGTATCCATTCTCCTCTGAATCACTTTGGCTAGGCTCTCTTGAATCATGGGAGCTCAAAGTCAAGCTGCTTCCTCTAGGGGAAAGCCGCTCCCAGACATGTTTGGATTTGGCTTGGCTTTACCCACTTCTGTCTTTTGATCCCCATGATATGAGCCACTGATGAATATAACCTAGGTCATTTCGATGCCCTTCTACGGACACAAGTAGCCAAGACTCTTGTTACTTCTATCCATATAAGGGTCATTTGAAAACCAGATTTAGGTGGTGGGACACTTTACCTGGACCATCCCAAACTGTTCTTGTGGGGATCATTCATTTAACCCCAGGAGGTTCCCCTGGATGTGGATTACATAGGTAATATTGACTGACTGGGCCTGGGTCACCATGCTCTTTCCCCACTTCCCTGGCCTCCACGTTTATGGTTCTCAGATCTGAGGTGTTCCATTTTCTCTGCCATGGACTCCCTTTGGATAGTGAAGATCAAATTCAAGGGCCCAGCATCCTCTGTGCTGTGTGTAGAGCTGACCCACTGGCACAACCTACATCTGACAAAGTGAGCATGTGCCCTGTGCCCTGCTGGTCTTAGGTTGAGCTTCAAACATGGTTTCCTGGAAGTTGAGACAGGTTTCCTTCTTAGGGAACAGCTCTGAATTAAGAGTTGGTTGATGATGAATTGAGGGATTTGTCCAATCAGAAAGACTTTTTGTTTGATACTTTAGAAGGCTACAGAGTGATTCTTCAGCATAATTTCCTGGCAGCAATCACAGGGCTGGGGCCTGTCAAAAGGTTCCATTTGAAGTTGTTCCATCTGAAAGTGTTAATTGCCCAGTGGTACTGGATTAAAGGTTTGCTTAGAAATAAGCTCGTTAACATTTCCTATTACTGTGAGTTGTCTAGCATGCTTCAAGATTGACTTGATCAGGAATTCAACACTGGATAGACTGCTTTGTTCAAGCCCTTACAACAGAGAACTCTTTGGAAGTCTAGAACCGAAAATAATTCTGTATGAAACTTAATGTTCTGATTAATAAGGATGATATGATAGAAATTATATTCTAAATATGATACAGAAAATAAGTGTGCTGTTAGCTCCTGGTACTATTCACATTTTCTGCAGTCCGTTATGCCACTTTTGCATCATGAGACGCTATTCCTTATGTTGATCTATACCTCTGACAGATGAACCATCCCAAAAGAAGAGTCCATATTTGAACCACGTGGCCTGTGCCATGGATAGTATCCAGAAACCAAATGCCTTAATGCATTGTCTTTTTCTATGCTACACTTGTGGAACCAAAATGAGAACAGTTTGAGTGACTAAAATGCAACTACTTGTTCTGCATTGCAGCATTTCTATTTTCTTTGTGATTCAGAGTATCAGGAAATTGTATCCTACTTCTCATGTAAACGATCTCATATTTTAGAGTACTGTACTTTAAGTGGTGTGGCATGTCTTAACCTGTTTCATGACTTCATTCTTTGATACACTGTTATCTGACACTTGATCTTTGAGGATATGAACTGTATCCTACTTTCTTGATCTTAGTCTCCATTGCAAAGGTTGTATTCTAAAAACCATGGTGCCTTGTAGGTGAGTGTTCTCTGTCCTGTGAGTTCATGTAGAAGCTCTCCTACCTGAACATAGACTGGTGGGGATGCTACTGAGAAGTACTTTGTGTTTCTGGCTAAAATTATGTCCCCCTATACTCAATGGGCTCATGGTATCTTGTACTTAGATATCCCCCAAAGCTGTGGTGTCTCGGATGCTACCCCCAAATTTCCCCTACATAAAGCGAAGACCTAAATGCCAGAAGGTTGTAGCTGGACACTGATATGTCTTCACTAGATGCCTTTAGAGCCACTAGACACAATAATGTCCTAGACAAGTGGAAAGAACACTTGTCATGAGCAACATTGCATCTTCCCCTGAGTATAGACAGGGCCAGTCGGGAGACAGCACAATTTTGAAGCCATTACAGTCTGCAGTGTCATCGTCAGATTAACTGACCTTTGGCTCAAACATGGAGCCTATGTGTTTCGGAGTGGAAAATGTAGCTGTTGGTGATGCCTTCCAGTCATTAGCCCTGTTGTGCTTTTTTCCCTTGATTTACTTTTTTGGAGAGTGGCTCAGAAGTCTTGGAATAATTATACTAAGGGAAATAAGTTATGCTAGGGCTCTTCTTGTGATGAACTAGCTGTTGGTCAGTGTCAGTAGAGCTGCCAATAGGTTCAGAACCCTTGATCCTGCACACTGACAAACGTGAAAACCAGAACCTTATTGTCTAGCTGTGATATGTGACAGTTACTTTGGGAGTAACACTAAACCAGTAGACCTGGTGATCCTATCTAGTCCTCAGTGATGAGCCCATGGCTATTGGTATACCAGGTTTTATACCGCATCAAGGAACTTGACTTTGGCACCTTTGTCCACCAGAACAGGCTTTGTCCAGGTAACTATGGTATTGCCTGCTTTGCTGTCCACCTCCCGAGCCATATTCTAGTGCTTCTGTGGTGGGGATGTCCATGTAACTGAGGGCAGCCACCAAGTGGATTGTCTCCTGCTTACAGAGGTCATCCTCGAGTGCCTTGATCTGATGTGCAAGGTCAGTGGTCTGATAGCCCCAAGCCACTTGACTCATACCAGGAATGTCTAGTGTGGGGAGCTGATCTCTAGACTGATAAGCTCATGACTAATTCCCATCTCTTCCCAGCAATGACATGTTGAGCTTTATTGATTTTGTGTCCAAAACGTCTCTATCTGGGTGTCCTGATAATTACCTTTCCTCTATACTGACATTAATGCAAAAGTGTTTCAGTTTCTGCACCAAAGAACATCTTCTGACAATACCACTGCCTCTAGGAAAGACTACTCCCTAGATAGCCTCCATCACAGAGCTCTGGACCAGGCTCTGATCCCCTTTGTGCAATAGGACCAGGCTTTCCTTCGTGCCCAGGGCTCTCGTGAGTAGATGAGGTCAGTGCAGGTGTGTACCTTCTGTCTGTGCTGGCTGTTCAGGTGGTTCTTGGTCCCTGTATCCTGATTTGTCTCCACCATATCACCATCTCCATATAGTATTTGAGGTTGCATGCAGAAGCTGAATCACACTTGGCAATTTTCGGTTCCGAATGAACTGTCCTCTAGTAAAACCAATGAGAATTCAATGGCTTGGGTGTCTGTTTTTAGTCTTCGAACATGAATCTGTAAGAATCTGGGGTGCTCTGTCCTGTCTACCTTTACTGTTGGGTATGGTCAATTCAGACTCATTAGCTTTGCTAAAGGGGAGTTTAAGTGGCTAGTCATTGTCATGGGAACAGAATTCTGAGCTCATAATTGCTTCCCTATGTACTTTCCAAATTTGGCCGCCTTTCGTAGAAAGCAAAGTGAGTCTGGGTCAACTACAGGCTGTAACAATGAGATCTTGCCATTTTACAGCTCTAATGAATGGTGTCCAGTTTAACATGAAAGTGGGTGCTTTTAGTCTTTGGGTTTTTTTCTGGTAGGTCATCTTTACTTGCCCAAGGAAGGGAACATGTCCAGAGAATTCATTCTTAATATTTCATGTTTGTCATTATACTTCATTGATTGATCCCATTCCTGGTGATTGGTCACCTTGAAATTGTGATACTTTTGAATGGAAACTGTTCTTTTTTTAAAAAATTTATTTATTATACTTTAAGTTTTAGGGTACATGTGCACAATGTGCAGGTTAGTTACATATGTATACATGTGCCATGCTGGTGCGCTGCACCCACCAACTCGTCATCTAGCATTAGGTGTATCTCCCAATGCTATCCCTCCCCCCTCCCCCCACCCCACAACAGACCCCAGAGTGTGATGTTCCCCTTCCTGTGTCCATGTGTTCCCATTGTTCAGTTCCCACCTATGAGTGAGGATATGCGGTGTTTGGTTTTTTGTTCTTGTGATAGTTTACTGAGAATGATGATTTCCAATTTCATCCATGTCCCTACAAAGGACATGAACTCATCTTTTTTTACGGCTGCATAGTATTCCATGGTGTATATGTGCTACATTTTCTTAATCCAGTCTATCATTGTTGGACATTTGGGTTGGTTCCAAGTCTTTGCTATTGAGAATAATGCCGCAATAAACATACGTGTGTGTGTGTCTTTATAGCAGCATGATTTATAGTCCTTTGGGTATATACCCAGTAATGGGGTGGCTAGGTCAAATGGTATTTCTAGTTCTAGATCCCTGAGGAATCGCCACACTGACTTCCACAATGGTTGAACTAGTTTACAGTCCCACCAACAGTGTAAAAGTGTTCCTATTTCTCCACATCCTCTCCAGCACCTGTTGTTTCCTGACTTTTTAATGAGAAAAACAAGCAATGGGGAAACTGTTCTTTTGGCATGGCGGAGGTTTGTGTCAACATCAACTGTAAGGGTTTTAACTGTGCCTGCATTCCACTCACTGGAAAATAAAGGCTTCTGTTTCTTGTCTAAAACTGGAGGGAGTTAAGAAAAACAATTTGTTCTTTAACAGAAGGATGGGAGAGAAGGGAGCTCATCATTCCCAGTCCCCACTTACCACTCTAACCCACATTCCTACACAGGTTTCCTAAAATTCTTTCACCAAACAGATGCTTTTGTCCCAGAACAAAGTAGTCTGTCAATTGGCAAAACCCCAAGATTAGGAGACACATAACAGGTTGTAGGTTCCTTAAAGATAGAACATTTCAGACAGAAGCTGAGTTCTTCCAAAAGAACTCCCATGTCATAGTTGAGTGTGTTCAGAGTTCTGTTAGGCACTGGAGGACAGAGCTGTTTCTCACTGTTTTCTGCAAATGTGGAGCACCTGGGACCCAACAGTAAGGTGATCTCACCTTGTCCTGGAGAATCTCATATAGTGTGACAACGACACAGCCTTGGTTTCCACTGTAACAGTACAAGATTAATAGAGGGGAAGAATTCTTAATTTCATGACAGATTAGTGCCCTCAAATAGTCAAAGGGGATCTCATCTCTAAATCAACTAATACAATGGATTACTTAAAAGTCGAAAGTTAAAATGTAAACTCAAACTTCTACAAAGTGTATTTTAAATACAATTTTGGCTGCCATCTCACCTGTTAAAGTACAGTGTAGGCAAATAGAAATTTATACTCAAGAAATAGTGTGGGGTCAGTTGATGGAAAACTACCCAGATAAACTTCAGAGAAGGGTTTGCTGGCCAAACTGACAGGATTCATGCTAAGGACCAGCTGGGAATATAGGCATCACCTGGGAGATGGTGGAAGAACCTCATCAGATATTGAAAATAATTGGCTGTCAAGTGTGTGGGAGGTTTTTGCAAAATGGCCTTCACAGGGTTGTTCACTAAAGTTGTACTTTATAAGGAAGTACAGAGTGGGGCCTCTCAGAAGGCTAGGAGGCCTTGCAGTTTGGCCAACAAAAGACTCTTGATCACTACCCATGATATCATGCTACCTGTTAAACTCCTGAAGGATAATTGCCATCCTCATCCCTGTCTCATTATGAAACTCTACTAAATGAAATGGGGAGGATATTGCCCATAGGTGGGGGTTCATGGCCCAAAGGAGCTGTATGTTCCTGGAATTCTTTACTCAGATAGCTTATGATAGTATCATTTGTAACTTGAAGAGGTATGAAGTAGAAGTTAAAAGGCCTCTTTGCAGAAGGCATTTGTGAAAAGTGACCAAACTCCTTGAAGAATAGCAGTCCCTTAGTGAAGTTGAAATGACATTGTCTTAACCCTACAGCACTGAAGACAAGCAAGTGAATACGAGGGGTTTTCAAAAGAGGGGATAACAGGTATATAGTGGTTTTTCCTCCTTGGATTTCTGTTGGAGCTGCCTTTTTATTAAACTGCATGGAGATGCTTGATCCCAGAAAATGCCTGTGCTGATAGCTGACATGCGGAGGGGGGGCACAGAAGTTAATCTTGTACTTACACTGAAAAGTCTTGTCTTCATTGAAGCTGAATTTTGAGGAGTTGTCTCTTCCATTTTACTTAGCTTTACTGATGTGCTTTCATTCTCTCTGACAGATTAATAGTAAAAGCGCTATTTCTGAACCTTCCATTTCTCACTGTCTTTAGGATGGAGATTAATAGTTATCCTCTCTGGAAGTAGTTAGAACAAAAGGGTGTGTCTTGAACCATCATGATGCCTTGTATTGTAAGAGGTGTACAGTGGAGTAGTCCATCCCAGCAAAGAGCTACTTACATTCTTTGCCCTCACCTACCATTGAAAGACAAAAATGTTCCTGGAATTGTTTCTGTAACCATCCCACCTCTGGTCAAGGATGTCTGAGTATGCATGTTGCTTCTCCAAGAGCATGCATTTCCATGTACCCAGCTGAGCTGTCTTCAGACATCTTCCACCCAGGAGACATGGGACGTGGCTCAGAGTTCAATGGTGAACAGCCTCATCTGAGAGATTTCTAAGCTTGCCCAGACAAGTATAGAAGTTCTGTCTTGTTCTCTGTCCTGTGATGCTGAACTTTTTGTCATGTTTCCTTCTAAGATGACTCAGTGCTCAGACTAAGGCTTCTTAAATGAACGTCTCTTCTATAGATATATAGATATATATAGATATAGATAGATATATTTTTTGCTATGAAAACAGGAAATATGAAGGCAAAACCTTGTGGGACAAATCTCGATGTTTCTTTACTGGATGGAGTGAAAAATACACAGGTTTCCTTCCTGAGTGACTAATATCTCTCAACCACTGCATTTCTTGTTCTCTTCATGATCATGTATAAACAGATTTATTACAGGTGGTTATAACATTGGCTCCAAGAGAATTCATGCAGGTTGATACTGATCCTCCTGAAACTTTGGTTCATAAGATAATACCAAAACCAGGAAATAGACTTGCCATTCATCAGTTGGGAAGATAATGGGATAATTCAGAGAGCAGGGAGGACTCCGAGGTTTGAAAATCTTTCCCAGTCAGGAGATGATGTTCCAACTATAACTTATGCTTCTGAGAATAGGGCTTTAGTCTTCGTGCTGAAATCAAATTGCTACCACAGCTTTTATACTAATTCCTCAGGGACGAATGGTTAAGTGGAGACTGATAACAGTCCCATTACTATGTTAGCTGTGTCATCAATTTGGAAGAGGGTATGGCACTTCCTCTCCTTGGAGACTTACTGTGGAGATAGAGTGCTGGACAGAGAGCCTAGTTTACAGGGGAATTTGAGTTGGTGTCTATGATAGGATGGCCATGAAAGCCTCTTCTCTGGTAACTTCTTCCTGTTTATGGTGTCTGCTCCTCCAGGGGCCAGCTGCAGATCCTTGATCTGGAGTAGCTGCAGACTGCCCTTCTGCAGTTTTTGGACATGAGAACTACACAATGAAAGGCATGTGGCTAGAGATGCAGTTGCTGCTCTCCTGGTGGACAGGGGATCAGCAGCTGAGATTTCAGCCATGTAAGAGTCTGAAGAAATGGGTTAAAAGAATGGCTTGCTAGATTTTTAGAGCCTTTTCCCTGTATTCTGCTGCTTTGTCATTCTGTGATGAAGTAAAGTCAACTTGATAACTTTCCTTTTTGAATCAATGTCTTCAAAATTAACTTGAGTCTTCAATTTTGGACTTGGCTGCCATACAACAGTTAAAATCAATTTTTTTGTGAAGTATCTATAATGGCAATCCAGACCTTTCTAGTCACTGTGCAGCCTATCAACACTTGGCTCTTCTGCTGCCTTGAACATCATAAAGTAGGAACTCAACTGTAATTCACAAATCCTGGCAGCTCTGTCATGATACTACTGCCTGTTTTCATGTTTGGCCAGAAACTCAAAATGGTTCTCACTTTGATAAAATCAAGATGGTGGGGTTGGGCTCTTATTATTTCTCTAAAGGACACTGTTTCCTTGACTGACTTGTCCAGTGGTTTCTTACACTGTTTGTCTTGTGGCCCCTTTATTGTTCAAAGTTAGAATCGTCATTCATCTCAAAGATGAATGTATATCTTCAATTATTTCACTCACCTGCACTTTTGCTTCCCTCTTCTTAGTCTTTGACTTTCTGATAACATGGTGGCCAATTAGCTGACTTGAAGATACAGAAATCATCCAGGGGAGCATATTAT
Source organism: Homo sapiens (assembly GCF_000001405.40). NCBI lineage: Eukaryota > Metazoa > Chordata > Mammalia > Primates > Hominidae > Homo > Homo sapiens. The sequence continues at coordinate 10,290,657 of NC_000004.12, forward strand.
TTCCATGTGTTCCCTTCATTCCCTCTTGCCATGTTGAATAACATGTTAATAGGTTCTAAGCATTAGCATTAGGAGAAGGATATCTCTAGGGGTCACTTATTTGCCACTACCTGACACTTAGTTAAAGAGATCCCAGGAATTTCAGAGGAAGGTGGTGAACCAGTGTGTGTGTGTGTGTGGGGGGGGTGGGGGTGGGGGTGGGGGTGGTGCAGGGAAGGTAGGGTGGGGCACAACAGCTACTGAATGGGTAGAATCGGAGTCTACCTGGTCACTTAAGTAGGTGAGTGGGCTCCATATCACTGGGTTCTCTGTGAGGAAGTTGTAGAATGTCTCCAAGAATGTCTTCCCTACTTGAACAAGTTGGATAATTTACCCTTAAGCTCTATCTGCCATGATCATTGTTTCTTCCAGTGACATCAATTCCCCTGGGCTGCAGAGATGTGATGTTGCATGCAAGTAAGTGAATCGAGTTGAGGGTGTGGCCTAGGGCAGCCAATCATTCTAATCAAATGGCAAACCACCTGGAAGTCCCTTTGTGCAGACGGATGGGCTCAGTGCTGGCACAGGCAGAGAATAAGCAATGCAGTAACTGAGACTTGATAATGTAAACATTGAATAACCAAGTCTCATTGTTTTCAAGGGATGGCTTGTCTTTTTAAATGTCCTGCCTTTTTTCACTCAAAAAATACGTGGGATTTTAATATATTCAAGGATCTAAAACTAGACCCACCTCTTCTGCCAGTTCTCTACATGTCATGAGTTGTTCTAAGATGATTGTTGTAGGTAATGGGCAAAACTCTCATTGCTCTCTCAAGTGTAGTGGAGGTTAGGAAGCTTGGACCTCCACACAGGGGTATTATGTTTATTGCCTCTTGCTGTTACTTGCCATATACTTCACTGTACTTACATGTTCTGAAAAGGAGAAAAACATCCCTTATAAAACTACATGTGAACAAAGTATTTTGGATCCCATTTCTCAATGTACATCCCATTTTAACTGGACTATTAATGCTGTTTTTTAATTCGCCGAATCTTCTCCTGACATACACCACTTTTTTGAGCTCCCATGACTTGTGGAAGCCTGGCAATGTTATGTTACCTTCTCTAGTGGAAGCTACTGGTAACTTGGTTTGTAGCTTGGCCTACTTTGGCCACATGCAAAAGTACGGAGCCAGTGACCCATTTTAGATGGGAGAAGTGGCTCTTGGTGATGTCTGCCAGTCATTAACTCTTCTGTTTCCTGGAGATGTTTTTCTAGGGAGAATAGCTTAGCAGTCCTGGTGGATGGCTCTAAGAAGAGAAAAATAAGCAATATGGGGGCTAGTTTGTAATGAATTTTATGTTGGCTGTGGAGCAGATGCAAAACCCTTTACCTTGCACAGTGACTGATAGCAGTGTGAAACAGGGACCTCATTGGCTAGCCTTGAAGTTTTCAGACTTATGTGTCTTAGCCTGGCAGTAAAGCTGGTGAGAACTTAGTGGAACTCCCGAGTTTACTTGGTCCTCAGCAGTGAGCCCATTGGAGTCAGCACCTGGGTGGAACGCCAGGGTTCATATCACATGAAGGATCTTGTATTTGGTACTTTGGCTGCCAGATCAGGCTTTGTCAAGATTATTGTGGTGCTATCTGTGTTAGGGCCTACTTTCTGAGCAATTTTCATCACCCCTATGATGAAAAATGTCCATGTAACTAATGACCACCAAGTGGATCATTTCTTGCTTGTGGATGTGCCTCTTGATGAGTGCCTTCCTTTACCACTAAATGTGAGCAGGCTGAATGAATAATACACTCCTTGTACCAGGAAGGTCTACTGGATATGTGAGGACCTATCTTCAGTAGGATTAGCATATGACTGATTCATATTCCTTTCCTAGCAATATTGGGCTTCAGTGACTTTTTTTCCTTCCTGTCTCTGAAGCATCTGAAATCTGGATCTCAAAAGCCAGTGACTGACCCTGTCTCTTCACCTATCATCATAAACAAGTTTTTTCAGCCCCAATAATAGAGAACATCTTGTGACAATGCCACTGCCTTTGGGAAGGGCAACTCCTTAGGGTTTTCAGAATGAGATCTTGCCCACGCTCTGTCCGACAGCCATGGTAGGCAGGACCATGTTCACTGTATGTCCTGAGCCCTCTGAAAGTTCGTGAGGGCAACGCAGATGTGTACCTTCTGTTAGTCTAAACTGCACCATTTTGTAAGCTCCCCGCTATTTTGCAGATCTTGGTCAAAGTGAAGTAGTTCATGGGGGTTTGGGGAATGAGAAACATCCTGCCTAACCACTTGACCACAAGGTGGACAAAGGCTGAACTAAAGAAACATCGCTATCATTTCCTGCTGGACAAAGTTCCAAGGAACATCACGATGACATCCCAATGAAACAAGGACCAGAACCGCCTCCTCATGGGAACATCTTAACAATATCCTGCTGGTCAACAAGCCATATTGCTCAGACCTCTCCTGCCCATACCTATAAGTACCCCCAGCCTGTAAGCAGTCGTGGGATCTGGCATTAAGCTGGTCCCCGACTTCTGTAGATTTTATGCTGGACATAAAGCCTGCATTTCCTGTTGAGCCACCCTCTTTCTGTGTGTCTTTAACCCTCACCTTCCCTCCAAAACCTAACACCTTCTGCTCATACGGGCTGTACAGGTTGTTCCTGATCTGTTTGATTTTTCTCTGCCATAATAGCAAATTCGTTTAGTAATGGATGATTGGGTGCAGAAAATAAAACACATCTGGATTATTTTTCCCTGTCACATGAACCATCTTCTAGTAAATCTGAGTATTCAATCAGCAGATGTGGTAAATCTACCTGGTCTTGAGGTGAGCCTATGAGTCTAGGCTGCTCTGTCATGACTGCCACTAAAGGGAAGTGGTCATCTCAGCCTGGACAGTTGGGCTGAGGGATTTTTAACTTGGTTATTCCCATGGAAACAGATTTCTGAGTTCATAATGGTCTCCTTATATATGTTCCATTTTTCCCCACTTCATACAGATCTGAGTTGTCATGCAGCTTGTGTTGTCTTTGGTAAGCCATCATAAAATCTTGACATGTGATACCTCTAATGGTGTCCAGCTTGGTACGAAGATTGTTTTTATTGAGCTTTCTGGCACGTTATTCCTTGTCCAAAAATGGCAGCATGTTCAGAAAACTCATTCTATTTCACTTTTGTCATTTTTTTTCTTGCTTGATCTTTCTGCTGGTTGAACAGTCTTCTTGAAATTGACATCTTCAAATGGAAATTGTTGCCCTCTTCTACAGGGTGAGTTCTTAAAGTCAACGTGAAATGCAAAGAGTTTACTTTGCCTTCCTTGCTCTCTGAAATCCCTTATGGAAAATAAGGGGCCTTGGTCCTTCTGAAACTAGAGCAGGCTATGAAACAGTTGGTCCTTCAGCTGAAGGATGAGAGAAGAGAAATCTCATTCCCTGTCCCCACTTGTTATCACTCATTCACATCCCTACAAGGGTCTGCAGAAATTCTTTTCCACCAATTTGATGCTTTTGTACTGGAACAAAAGTGGTTTGTCAATTGCCATGGAAAAACCTAGGTTTAGGTGACAACAGGCCTTGTATGTCTCTTAAAGGTGAAAAATGTAGAAGTCTGTCTTCAAGAGTCTGTCATAGTTGGGGAGTTGTCAGTGGCAGGTGCTTCCTGTTGCACATGGAGAGGATAGACTTTGTCCTCAGTGTTTTCTGTAGAGACGTGGAGCACCTGGGACCCATGAGCAATGAGATGTCCTCAGCTTGTCCTGGAGAATCCTATGGGCCAACACGAGGTTGTACATACGATTGATGGCCTGATGGTAGCAGATAGAGTGCTTACAGATTCCAGTTATGGAAGAATCTGCCTTAAAAATGAAGAAACAGATTTTTTCTTGGTCTTTTCCTTTTGACTTTCTGGAATACAGAGGTAATCTCACAACAATTTTTCAGCTTGTTCACGTCTAATGGCTTGGACTTTAGACTTGGAAGTTCTATGGAGGTTAAAACCTTTTTTCTGGAATGTTTGTGAAGGTGAGTTAGACCCCCTGTCAGTCAGCATGTATAGCACATCAACAGCTGGATCTTCCAGTGCTTTGATTTGCTGTTTTATGGTAGTCTCTAATGCCCTATGATTCACAAGTCTTGGCATCCTCTCTGTGAAGATGTTGATTTTCAAACTGCCAGTTTGTTCCATATACAGCCTTATTACCTTCTCGGAAAATATGTTCAATTACAGTACTGCATTTGCAGAACTCAACTTGATATTTGCCAAACAGCCAAATATCTTCCTTCCCTTTTACTTTTTGTATTAAAGCAATAATTCTGTGATAAATGCGTTAATTCTACCAGATCACTTTTCAAGTTTATCGAGTATGTTGATGCCCAACTTAGGACTCTTGTTATATTCCGGTGACTGTCTTTGTTTCCTAATGAGGGCAGAGATTCATAAACATAATAAATTTGCTCATCTTCCTGCAAGGAAGGAAACTAGCCCTTCTCCCAGAAGATTCCTGAAGGGTGGGTGGCAATAAAATTCTGCAGAAACTCAGCAAGGCTGAACCAGTCCTGGGTATCCTGATGACTTGGGTGCTTGTTGAGAATCATGGAGTCCTTCAGGTGGCTCAGGAGGTTTGGTACCATGCGAGTGATCTCACGCTGAGTGCTCTTGTCCACCAGATCAGGCTTGGTCAAGACTCCTGTGGGCACTGTCTTGGAGTCCACCTCCTAAGTGATGCTCAGTGCTTCTATCATCTCAAAGTCCACGTTACTGGAAACCACCACCAAATGGGTGGTTTCTTGTAGATATACTGCTTGATAAGTGCCTTGATCTGCGTGCAATGTCAGTGGGCTAACAGCTCACAGCCACTGTGGTTATACCAGGAAGTTCTATTAGTCATATGGAGTTGAGGTCCACATGAACTATTAAGGCAGATTCCCATCCCTTTCCGGTAATAATTAATGTGGCCTTGGAGTATAAGCAGATGTGGTGTTTGACCTTTAGGAACCTACCTTTTAGAAGGATGAAGCCTCCCCTCCCTCTTCCTCTGTGGTTATTTGAGTCAGAATTCAAGAGCAATCCCTTAAAGGAATGGCAGAGGAAAGGTAGAGCCATGATCCTTGTGCATTCTTACCGCTGTGTCCTCTAACTGGTGACCGTTAACTTAGTACGTGTCATTAATGAACTGCTTTCCTATTTGTGTCCTAAGCTATATTTGAGGAAATGGTGATGGAGGTAGGAGGGAATCTGTAACCACATGTTCAAGAACCTCTCAGTGGATAGTCTATTGGTCTCTGAAACTCACCCCTACCAACCCCAAGTTGTGTAGCTTTCGGGCACCTGACTCACAGGTGGGATAGAAGGTGGCTCAGTGAGTCTCTGAGCAGCAGCATCTGAGAAAATCAGCTCTAGGCCTTCCCAAGACGGGGAAGGTTGGGTCTGTTCTCTTCCCTGTGATCCAGAAGTTGGTCAGTGTTGTCTTTCAGCTAAATATCTTCCCACTCTAACCCCAGCTTCCTTTAAGGCACACCTGAATTCTGCATTTCTTTTCCTGTGAAAATGATGGTAAATGTCATGGAAAGACAGTGTGGCAGAAACGAACCTGTTATCCCACATCAGACAGGAATGAGTCCAGAAGTCCTAGGTTTCTATTGCTGTGGGATATTTTACTGGCAATTAATGCTTTTCTGACAATACACTCATCATTCTATTACTGCTCAGGGGAAAGATTATCTAACATAATACTATTTTATTTTATAAACTAAGTTTGCTTCTAAATGCCTAAAATAGTATAGCTCTCACTTGAATGTGAGCAATTTAATCACTTAGGAAGGATTAACCTTAATTCTGTCTTGCCATTTTAACTTCCTCCAGTTCCATGAATTGTAACTACCAAGACCCAGCTCAGTCATGGAGACCCCAACCCAGTGGCGCTAAAAACACAGAAATAGTGCAAAGTGGGATCCAGGGGGCTTGACCCACATATTTATTGACAGTAAGCCAGTGATAACCATTGCTTCTATAGATTATAGATTAAAAGCATTCCTTATGGGAAACAAAGCATTCTTAGCGAGGAGCAGAGGAACAGGCTGTAGCTGATTGTCTGCAGCCAAAACATGTTGTTAAGGCACAGGCTGCTCATGCTATTTGTGGTTTGAGCAGTTTTCTGCTCCGGGCATTCCTTGCCCTGCTCCAGTAAACCAACAACTAGCAGTGTGCGTGATAGCCAACATGAGCATGTCACATGGCTGCAGAGATCCTGTTTGTGGCCAGTTTCTTTAAGGCCTGTTTATGAAGGCTTAGGGCTTGTTCCCAGCATGTCTCCCTTTCTGCTTTTGCAAAGCAATTAAGACAAAGGCAGCTTTGTCACAGTGGGCTACTTCTCTCAGGATTCTGGATCCCATCTGCAGACTACACAAAGACGACATAGATTAAAAGCACAATCATTGAAATCACAAAGCCTCCAAGTGTCTTGATCCATTTTAATTGGTTAATAACTGCTAATCTGCCTGCAGCTCCTTCAAGCACTTCCCTTCCTGGCGTTAGGGTCAGATGTGCCTGAGAGGCTTGAAATACTTGTTCCTTCAGTTTTGGAATATCTAAAGATAAATTTCTAGTATGACCCTTTAAATGTCTCTTAACTGTTTCTTACTCATGTTCTGTTTCATTATACAGACGAGAAGTAATGCAAAAATCAGAAGTATTCCAGTCACATTGTAACCATTCTATACTCTAAACTAGTTACTAGATCTCCTAGCCACATTAGTTTGGTGGAGATCATTGATTTGATTAGCTAGTTTCTGGTCTATATTAGAGTAGAATTTTTCTGCCAATTATTTACATAGTCTGCTGTTTGTACTGTGGAATGCAAAGCAACTCCGGCTACTGCAGCAGTAGCTGTGACAGCAATCAATCCCATAATGATTTTAAAGTGGCAACGAAATGCCGAGAGCACCTCAAAATCTTTTGAAGAATTTCAGTAATAATATGCACAGGAGAGGCTTCCTAAGGACGGGAAAGCTTTACATGTATCTGTACTCCTTCTTGGGCTCTTACCACTAAAATAGAATGATCAGTATTATACAAGGAAGAATTCACACAAGAAAACAATCTACATCCTTGACAAGTCACATGATTAGGGAGATCAAGTTTTAAATCACCTACTACAAGCAGGAAAGGAGGACGGACACAACTCTATATCCAGACTGAATCATGAGTCAATTCTAACATAATTAGGATTACACTGGGTTGGCTTTAGTATATCTTCATTCCCAAATCTTTATCCTTTTTAGTGCCATGAATATTTTCTACACCTCCTTATGTTTAGCTCCTACAGCAGGCCATATCATTTGGGGTTGAGGTGCCACTATACCACCATATGCCAAAATAATAGGAACTCTTGCTGTACTTCTTATAGTGTCCACCATCTGATTATTTTGTTTAGATGCAGGGTGAGCATTACCTGCAGATTGAGAGGTGAGCCTCATAAATGCACCTTTAGGTAGGGGATCAATCACTAATGACTCCATATGAACCATTACCACAACACCTCTGCCTGCCTTGCTATACAATCTTCCCAAGCAAATGCCTTCATTTTTTCTGACCATGTCCAATCCACTTTATCAGATAGGTTTTTGAGGGTGGTAAACTTTGGCTACAGGAGCACAATCATTGTAATAAATACTAAGACCAGAAAGCATATGTGATTGTGCCACAAAGATGTTACGTTAAGGTACTGTTGCCTGCCAAGATTGAAGACTGGGAGGTAAACACCCATTGGCTTTTCCCATGCAAATGGGTAGATGATCAAATCCCAATGAGATTTTCTTAATTGTTCCTTCCTCTTGGGTGTGAGATGGGCCTCTATTATCTGTAGAACCAGGCATCCAAAAACTATCATTAGTGTATACCTCTGCTGGGGGGTCTAACCATGTTACTGGCTGTAGAAGTGGTGGAATATTTGCCCAATAAGCTTAATTGTTTTTTGTTTCAGCAGTTACTGGGGGAATATGGCAATGGTGAGCACAGCCATCACAGCTACCATTAGGTTACTCATTGTAACTGGTTGTCCCACCTTCAGATTTTTTTCTGCCATCTGTGTCAACTTTTTGATCTGACCTCAGATGGGTGGCTGTGCCACCATAAGTGTTGCTCGCCAGGACTGGTGTCTTCCTTATTGTCAGTCTAGACATGGCTGCAGTCCTTGGGTTCCTCCCAAAGTCTCTTCCTCAGCATCTGGCTCATAAGGTTTCAGGTGTCTCGATGGTATCCAAATCAGCTGCTGATTCTGGCCTGGAGAAACACAGGTATAACCTCTACCCCAAGTTATTTTACATATTTCCCAACTTTGTGTTATCGGACCTCTCCACCAAACCAGTTCTGCTTCTGTCTTTGCCACTGGTTTCTGTAGATGCTGTTCAGCTGCTGATAGCATCTGGCCTTTAGGCAGGCTCAAAAAATTTAAAATCAATAATGCTAGATTCAATTGCATATGTGGGGTCCCGTAGTCACTATCTCTCCCTTTGTTTTTGTAATTGCTCTCTCAGGGAGAGAGCCATTCTTGCCACAATGGCTTGTCCTTGTGAATTATATGGGAAGCCAGTAATGTGTTTAATATTTCATATAGAGAAAAATGTAGCTAGAGCTTGGCTTAGTATAGCATGGGGCATTATCTGTTTTAATAGAAGCTGGAATGCCCATCACTGCAAAACACTGCAAAAGGTTCTGCCTGTGCAGTGTTAAACATCAAGCAAGAAGACTCTCCTGATTGGAATGTAGCCCAAAGTGAGAAAAGGTGTCCACACATGTACATAAGCTAGCCTCCCAAATGAGGGAACATGTGTGCCATCCATTTGCCAAAGAGAATTAAGTTCCAATCCTCGAGGATTAACTCCTCCTGTAAAAGGTGAGGAATGTACCTTTTGGCAAGTTGGGCGTCGCTGGATAATAGCTTTAGCTGCTTTCCAGGTATTGCTGTATCTGCATTTGAGACCAGAGGCATTAACATGGGTTAAATTGTGAAAGTGTCTAGCATTAGATACTGCAGTAGCAACTAGACGATCAGCCATTTGATTCCCTGCAGTCAAAGGTCCTGGAAGAGGTGTATGAGCTCTAATATGAGTAATGTAAAAAGAGTGCATTCTATTCCTAACTGCGGTTTGTAATTGGGCAAATAAAGTCATGTTGCTCATCTGTGTGGAATCGTAGCTGAGCATTTTCAGCTATGTAGAATGGACCACATCTGAAGAATCAGAAATTACATTGACAGGCATCTCAAAAGCAGCCAGCACCTCAATTATAGCTACAAGTCTCTGCTTTTTGAGCTTGAAGTATAGGGTGTCTGAAAAACTTAACTTTTTTTGATCCAGAATAAGAAGCTTTTACCATTACTAGACTCATCTGTTAAAAATATTTTCAGCACCTTCAATTGGTTTAAATTTAGTTATTCTAGGGAGAATCCAATTTTTAATATCAAAATTTTGTTTTCAGAAAGTGATGATCAAGAATACCTATGAAATCAGCTAAATGGGTTTGCCAAGTAAGACTATTTATAAAGGCCTGTTGTATTTGTGCCTTTGTAAGAGGGACAATTTTTCCAGGGTCATATCCATGTAATTTACCAATTTGAGTTCTCACATTTCCTATCAGTAGCAATTTGATCCAAATAAGGAGTTAGTCCGTGAATTAGCACGTGGAAGAAAAAGCCATTCTACTAAGTCTTGCTGTTGAACAATAACACCAGTAGGTGAATGTTGAGTCAGAAAAACTAGCAAATCTAGAATCTTCTCTGGATCTATTCTATTTGAGCCTTATGCACTTGCTTTTCAATTAGCTGTAACTCTGCCTCAGCCTCCTTTGTTAATTGCAGAGGGTTAGTTGACAATAGGATCTCCTCTAAGGATAGAAAATAGATTACTCATGGCATAGGTAGGAATGCCTAGAACAGGTAGTATCCAATTAATGTCCCCTAGTAATTTTTGAAAGTCAGTGTTTTCAATTGATCCTTACATATGGTTACTTTCTGTGGCACTATTGCAATGTCATTTACTGAGGTTCCCAAGTAGCGCTAAAGAAGAGTAGTCTCAATTTTGTCGGAAGCTATAATTAAACTAGCACAAGAAATAGTTTTGCAAGTGATCATAACATGGGAGTAATATTTCCTAAGTGGAGGCAGCACAAAAGAATATCACCTATATAATAATGTAATGCTGTGAAAATATTTTATGAGTAGGTTCAATTGCTTGCCCTACATACGTCTGGCAAATTGTTGGACTGTTTAACATGCTTTGTGGCAACACTTTCCAATGAAAATGCTTAGCAGGCTGCAGGTTGTTTACAGCGGGAATTGTAAATGCAAATAGTTCAGTCTTGCTCAGCTAAGGGGATAGTAAAGAAACAGTCTTTTAAATCTATTAAAGGCCAATTTTTTGGAATCATAGCAGGAGAACGCAATCCTGGCCGCAATGCTCCCATAGGTTGTTTAACTGAATTAATGGCTCTGAGATCTCTCAACACCCTCCATTTACCTGATTTTTTAATAACAAAGACTGGAGAATTCCTGGGGGAAAATGTTGGAGCTATGTGTTCTTTTTCTAATTGTTCAGTAAGTAAGTTCTCAAAGGCCTCCAGTTTCTCTTTACTCAGCGGCCATTGCTCTATCCAAATTGGCTTATCTGTTAACCATTGTCAAGGTACAGGTTCTGGAGGCTTAACAATGGCTGCCATCAAAAATGATATCCTAAACCTTGATGAGAATTCTGTCCTTCCACTTGAAGCAGTTTCTTTAACGCTTGTAAATTTTTTCCTAATCCCATGCGAGTCCCATACCCCATCTCTTGCATCATATGCTGACTTTGAGGGCTGTGTAATTGTTCGGAATTAACACTTGTGTTCCCCATTGCTGTACTCTCTTCCCCATAAATTTATAGGTACAGAAGTTACAATTGGTTAAATAGTCCCAGATTGTCCATCGGGTCCTTCATAATGCAAAATATAACTGCTTTGATATGTCAGGGGCTTTACCAACTCCAACTATGTTAAATTGAGTGGGTTGAATTGGCCACATGGACAGAAAGTGCTGTAGAGAAATGATTGAAATGGCTGCTCCTGTATCTATCAATCCTTTAATTTTTTTTCCCTGAATAGCTATTTCGCAGGCAGAACGTTTATCAGTAATTTGATTCACCCAATAAGCTGCTTTGCCTTGTTGGTTTGTTCTTCCAAATCCTCCTTTTCATTTAGTTTCACTTTTCCCAATTTCCACATACAGCACAATCAGGAGCTGTGCTATACACTCTCCCGGCTCTGCTTTCCGGGGAACAGAAGTAGATATATAACAATTTGAATTTCCCCATTGTAATCTGAATTAATGACTCCTGTATGTACTTGTACTCCTTTTAAATTTAAACTAGACCTACCTAGAAATAATCGTACAGTCCCTGCTGGCATCATCTGACTGGAGACAGCAACATTCTTTAACGGTCCCATTACAAAAGAACCTGGTCCATATTGATAGCTTGTTTAAATTCTTTAAGTATTTTAAAAGGAGAAGGCTCAAATGTAGCTATGATATTCTCCTGTTGATCAGGTGGGTGTATTCTAACAGGGAACTGCCAAGCCATCCATGTCACCCTCTAGTCTAGCTTGCTGGATTCTTGTGTGAGTAGAACTGGGAGTGGTTGCTCGAGGCACTGCTTGACTACTCACTGGGGCAACTACTTTTTGCCCAGTGTCCTCTGGAAAAGAAAGATCTGGAGGGTCAGGCCACTCTTTTTTTTCCAAAATAATGAGGGGGTACAGAGGGTAGGGACAAACCTCTCTCTCCTTTGCCACTTTAGCTGGCAAGCAAACCTGCTCTGCACCTCTTCTGTTACTTCATTAGACTCTCCTCCTTCCTCTAATTCTTCCTTGTCATCTGTGTGGAAAGGCTCCAGGGTGGAATGAACCAGAGCCCACACTGACCAGACAGTTATAGGAATATCCTCAACACCATCCTTATGCCTTTTTCAGTGTGCTTGCCTACCTTTTCCCAGATCTCTACGTTCCTAGTTCCTCGGTCCAGAAACCAGGGGCAGTATTTCTCTACCACACTAAAAAGCTGCATAAGTCAGCTGGTGCTAACCTTCACTCCTCCTTTTCTGAGGAGATGCGGAAGCAGACTCAAATAAGCTTCGTGCCTGCTCAACTCTTGTCCCATTGTTACCCTGATGCTTCTAGGCTCGCCTTCTTACCACGAGGATTGCTTAAGAGTACTCGGGTGTCCTCCAGCATAGTTCTATGTTCTCCAACTATCACTTTGGTGACCCTTTGACCCAGGTTTGAGTCCCCACGTTGGATGCCACTTACTGAGACCAGCTCCAGTCATGGCGAGCCCAGCCCAGCAGGACTAGAGGAATTGAAGACAATGACACACAAATTGAGTGCAAAGTGGGATCCAGGGGGCTAACAGCCTTCAGAGCTGAGAGTCACGAACAGAGTGTGAGCTACATACATATTTACAGTAAGCCAGCGACAAGCATTGCTTCTGTAGATTATAGATTAACTGAAAGCATTTCTTACAAGAAACAAAGCATCCTTAGGGGCAGAGAAACAGGCTCTGGCTGATTATCAGCAGCAAAAAGGCACATGTTAAGGCACAGGATGCTCATGCTATTGGTGGTTTGAGCCATTTTCCGCTCTGGATGGGCCAGGCGTTCCTTGCCCTGCTCCAGTAAACCAACAACTGCTAGTAGTGTGCGTGAGAGCCATCATGAGCATGTCACATTGCTGCAGAAATCCTGTTTATGACCAGTTTCTTTAAGGCCTGTTTATGACAGGCTTAGGGCTTGTTCGCAGTAGTAACAAGGCCTGATAAGGAAACACTGCCTTCCCATTGGATCCTCCAAGAGCTGCATGAGAAGGAAGCCAGGGATGTGTTGGAAACCCTCATCTACCTGGGTTCCCTGCAGAGGGACAGGGCTAGGCTGGACACTGTGCTAATGCACCAAGGCAAAAGCTTCCAAGGCCATTTTCCATTACCCACTGTGTACATGGATCTAGTGTGATTCTCATAATGCTGCCTCTGTGTTGAGACTACAAAGAGAATTCTTCACCTTGTCTGCCTGATGCTCTTATTCCTTCTGTGTCAAAATAGGGGTCCATTCCTGTTAAAAGTATGAATCGTGCAGTGAAGTTTTTCACATTTCTGATGCCCTGGAAGAAACTTTATCAGTTTATCCTAAATGATCGTAGGATGTTGACACACAGTGATAAGCCTGGCCACACTCTCCCCAAGTGGTTGTACACACTGGGCTGAGATTTCAGGCTCTTTAATCCACTTTGCACAAGAGATCATCTTCTAACCATTGTCCCCGTAGGCTCTGTGTCTTTATATGGTAGTAACTTGTGAGGGATAGTTTTCCTTGGTCTGTTGGTTCTTTATATCCTGAGTTATGATTTCTCTGCCTGAGAATGCATTTTGGGAGACAAACTTCATCAGTTTTGTGTGATGTGGTATGCTGGCCATGTGAGTTCCTGTTCGTAAGTGGACTCTTTTGCTCCTGTTTAGTGGGGAAGTCTGAGTGGGAGATGATTTGGGCACTGTCCTAGGAACCTGAATGAAAGACTCCTGTTTTCTTTTGCCCTGGATTGTTCCGCATAAGTGGAGTCAATCCCTCTGTGCTGCTGTATATTGCTCTGAATGAAAACAAGTAACCCAAGAGGTTGAGGGTGTGACCTGGGGTAGTTCAGTCATTTTAACCAAATGCCAAGACACCTGGGTGTGTCTTTGAGCAGGAAAGGGACAGGATAAGAGTGTACTGCAACGAGGAGCTTTTTCTTCCATTTTCTGTGATGGAGATGCTTTTCTTCGAGGAAGGAAATCTTCCTGATCGATCAGGAAGCCAAAACTCTAATAATGTATTTATGAAGGATGTGCCTTTTACATCTCATACATTCCACCACAAATGTTGAGTATGTTTAATGATCTAAAATTTGACTATATATCAGCTCTATGTAATCCTGAGTTCAAAATATGATAGTTTAACACTGTGCCTTATAGGGCAGTAAAGAATACTGGGTTTAGATCCATACTTCTGTGGACATTTTAATATGTTAAGTAGTGGATTTCATTGCTATATACCTCTGTACAGTTTACAGTAAAATATGATCTGAAGTCTTTATTTTCTCTATATTTTTGTAAGAGATCCCTTCAATTTTTTACTTCTAAAGTGAATATAATCTCCTTTGACTTTGAAAAATCGGTGCTCCTTAGTGTGAAGAATTTGTTCACACTTCAGACATTCTGCTTGTAGTCTTTCATAAATTTTAGGGAACCTATTTTAGTTGACACTGCCTATGCATTTAAAACCCCTTTGAGTGCATGAGAAAAATGACAGTGTTGGAAACCCTCCTGCTTGCACTTCTGGCAGCTCTAACCCATGTGCCTGGATTGATAACTGTATTGACCTTAAGTGAAAGCTCCTGGCTCATGTTTAGCTTTGACTCTTCCCAACTCTGTTGTAGGGTCTGATCCTTATTGTTTCTGCCCCTTGGACATGGAAGGGTCAAAACATGATGTAGGCTGATACTCCTGTTCCTTATGAGTCCACATGAGTCGTTCCCAAGCCAGAGTCATGAAGATCCTCACTACCTAAGTGTTGTGGGGGAGATGCCCTCTGTTTGACCCCCAGGGAAGCCCCACTGGGTACAGATCACATGGACAATGTCTGTTGTGAGCCCAGGTCACTAAGGTGTTTGTCCCCAGGCTCCATGGTTCTCATATCTAAGGTATTCAGCCTTATGTGCCACAGGCTCCCTTGGCTGTGAAAGGCTGAGCTTAAGAACTCAGTGACGTCCATGGTGTGTGCAGAGCTGACCCTCTGGTAGATGGTACAGACAATGGACAAGGCAAGTGTTTTCCCTTCTACTCTGACCTTAGATTGAGCTTCAGACATTTGCCCAGGGGTCTTAACATGGGTGTAGCCTCTTTACGGCACCAACCGTTACATTCTTTGAAGTGAGTTGTTTGAAGGCAAATCAAATTGTCCAGATCAGAAGACACCTCACTTGGGGCTTTGCAATGATGTATAAATCTAGATCTGTAAACTACTGGCCTCCAGAGTATGCAGTTTGTGCCTATGACCGGTGTTACAAATCTGTATCTTAAATGCATAATCAGCCTGTTGGCTCTTAATGTGCTTTCTATTAAAGGCAATGGGTTTCATTTATACTGTTCCCTCTGAAAGTTTTACAGGACAGATTGCATGAATAAAGGTTATCTAGAGAAAATAAAACCTATTTTAGCATTTCCTGATCCTGTGAACTCTTTATTAACAAGGCTTAGCATTGACTAGAACAGGAATTGAATTCAGGACATTCCAAGTCCACAGAAAGCAATCTTGATATCCTGAATTCCTAATTGAAACCAGATGAAAATCAGCATTCCAGTTACTGAGGATACTTTATGCAGATAGAAATTTACCTTCTAAATAATAAAGTGTTCTCTTACCTCTTGCTGATCTTTGACTTCTGTAACTCAGACCAAACTGTCTAGGCAGAGCAGGGTACACAGATTATTTTTGAACCACATGTCCATAGGCAGAGAATACTCTGAACCACAAGGTCTGGAAGTCCTGTATTTCACTTCACGTACTTTGAGGGCCCCGGGGTTCAAAGATGTTGGGAAACAAATACACTGTGTCTGTCTTATTTTAGTCTGTCTTTTCCTTTGGTTATCAAAAATCTGCTTGTGATCTTCTGCCAGTGATTTTTGCCTTCTGTTCATATATAGTACTCTTTTCTTGCCAAACATTTGTCTGCTTTATTCACCGATACCTTCTTCCAGAGTTCATCAATGCCGTTCGTATATCTGAAAAAAACTTATTAATTTTATTTCAGTAACTTCATTGAGTGTAAGTTCTAATTTATTAAGGTAATGGTTCCCTGTAGGTGACTGCTCTTTGTCTTGTGGGTTCTTACAGTCGCTGTCAAGAAATAATTGTACATTAACTGGCTGAGTTGATGGCCACCTGGTTTGAATGTCATTCTGTAAGATAGGTGGATGTCCTCTGAACCTGTGAAGCTCGAGGTGCTGCTCTTAACATTTCTCCAATGGGAGCTAAACTGAAATGCTAGAAGGTTTGAATTAGAATGCCCCCTTGTAGCCTGTCGTGTGATGCCTTTGGCACTAGTAGAATTTTGATTGCCACGGAAAAGTGGGGAATGGTGATCATCATTGGGAGAATTGTTCTTCTCTGATCAGGTAGAGACTGTTTGGAAGACAAGCAGAGAATTTTGAAACCTTCAGTTGGAAAGCATCCCACTGGCAGGATTTGACTGTTGGGCAAAAACTGATCCAGAGACCCTTTTTGGGTAAGGGAGGCAGCTGTTAGTCATGGTTTCTAGTCATTCTTTGCCTTCTGGTTTGTTCTTGGCAACGGTTTTTTGCAAAGGATGGCTGAGGGTCCTATGCCATGGCTGTAATAAGGAAAATAAGTAATTCTAGAGCTTTTCCCCCCCCACAAAGAACTTGTCAGTGTGGGGGAAAGCATTTTGCCTCTTCTAGCAGCTCTGCTGACAACCACATGACAAGCAGGGAGCTCATGGACCAGCTGTGGATTCTAAGGACTCATGCATCCTAGTTACTCTGGCAGCAAAGCTGTTGCCAATTCAACCAGTGGACTCAGTCTATTGGGTCCTGAACCATGAGCCCATTGCATGCTCTATGGTGTCAGGATTACTGTGACTGGAGGGGTGAGGTCAGTTCAGCCTGAAAAACCTTGGAGCAGGAGTTTAACTTCTCAAGGGAACAGATTTCTGAGCTTGTGATGACTTGCTCACGTATTCCAAATGTTTATTTTTTTTTTTTTTTGAGAGCAGAGCGTTTAAGCCTTTTGGAACACTCTTCTGTGGTGGCTTATTACAGTGAAGCCTCAGCAGGGTATAGCACCAATCAATGGTGTCCAGCCTAGATCAAAGTAAGGTCCTTTAATGTGACTTGCTTCTCTTTGCTACAAGCTCATTACTCTTGAAGGGATGGAATCAGGTTCAGACTACCCTGAGTCTGGCTGTTTCATCTTGGTCATTATTTGCTTTATTACTTGATCCTAGAGCTGGTAACTAGTCACCTGAACAGTGTGACATGTGAAAGATTAAAAGCTAATCTTCCCTTGGTACTGAATGAAGAAATTCTTAAAAATGAACTGGAAGTTTGTGAACCTTTTTCCCATTTCATTCTCTGTAACTTGTGAGGGGGCTTAACACCACCTCATTCTCCTGAAAGCTGGTGATGGCAGGAAGTCTGCTTTCTCCTTCAGCAGGAAGGTAGGAGAGCAGGGAACATGTTTCCAGTTTCTAAATATCACTACCCTGCACTCCTAGGAGTGTCGGCTGAAATGCTTACACTGCTTGAGAGATATTCAATACTGGACTAAAGAAGGTCTGTGAGTTACTGTAGAAATAACCCAGTTCTAGAACACTCCATGATTGTTAGTTACAGGGAAGAGGCCAGCGATAGGAGCCTGCTAAACTCATCCTTCCATAAATGTTAAAATCCCTATCATCCCAACCAAAAAGGAATTCACTGTGGGAGCAGATTCCCATTGGTCTCTACAGAACATAGCTAGTCCTGTTTCCTCTATTCAGCATCTGGGGAGTCATGCCGCCTTGTTTTGGATTATCCCATAGACCCATCAGTGGGGCCTCAGAGTTTTAAACTCTGTATATTTCTGGGCTCTTGCCATTGGCTGTGGCTTGGCAGCTAGTTAGGTGAGCACCCAAGCTGATGGTGTACCAACTACAGCTCTTTTCATAGCGTGAACCTCTCCTGAGGCTTTAAAAATTTGCTGTCCTAACTATCACAAGGACAAACAAACACTGCATGTTCTCACTCACAGGTGGGAACTGAACAATGAGAACACTTGGACACAGGAAGGGGAACATCACACGCCGGGGCCTGTTGTGGGGTGGGGGGAGGGATAGCATTAGGAGATATACCTAATGTAAATGCTGAGTTAATGCGTGCAGCACACCAACATGGCACATGTATACATATGTAACAAACCTGCACATTGTGCACATGTACCCTAGAACTTAAAGTATAAAAAAAGCAAAAAAAGTATGCTGTCCTCTGCCGTTTTATATTGTTAAAGGAGCACCTCACAGAGACCTTCATTTCCAAAGACAAATGTGCACTAATGATCAAGAACATTTTCTTACACTGATATACCTGGTCCCTCTCAATTTTCACTCTACCTGGTCTTGACCATAATATGTTGGTGATATCCTTGTCATAGTAGGGTCCTCCACTAATAAGACATGAGAATCTTACGCTTTTAGCCTCTGGTGATCTGTTGGTTTCTGGAATCTTTCTTGGTCTTACCTAGATTATGATGAACCTTCTCACTCCCCTCATCTTCTATGAATATAACGTAGACACAGGGAGAGTAAACAGTCTTTTTGAAAAGTATTTGCGAAGAGACCAATTTCCTCTAAGCACCATGATCCCACATGGTCAGATAAATGAGGGTTATGTGTCGCCTCATAAATTCTCATAGCAGTTGACGTTTGTTCCACAGTGGGATTTCTGCTTTGGCTGCTTTTAGCCAACCTGCCTTGAGAATCCTGACCTAGGAGAAGACTGGAGGTTGCTGGTCTGTGGAGAGGGCCTCAGAGGAGCCTGTTTTCTCAAGTTTTCTTGCATGGGCACATGAGTCTTCATACGTCAACTTGAATAAAGCTAATTGCCCTGCTAGCTCTGTATGTAACTAAGTTCTATCTGCACTAGGGTTCTGAGGTGTGTTAAGTGACCTTGGACAAACAATCTTATTGCTTCATTCTCCTGATAGTGATGAGCCAACTTGATATTTTGGAACACTTGGGAGGAATGTTAATTCTTCTGTGTTATAGAACCCTTTACATTTCCTCATGCCATCTTGTAGAGGTCCTACTCAAGTTTGAAACATTATACATGGAATAGCCATCTTCGAAGCATGACTCTGCATTGGAACTTGAGTCTGCCCTCGTTCCTTTTCTTAGGTTTTTGAAGGAGAACCTCACTTTTGAGTTCACTCATACATTTTAGCACTAACGATAAACCATATGTTTGGCTTATGTTTGGAGGTCATTTTTCTCTTATCCCTGATTATACCCTGCCTGTTCCCTATTGAAATGACCCTGGCATCATTACTGAGGCCTCATGAAAATCTTCCTCTGAATAGGACTGGAGAATTTTGTGTATATAGTCCACATTCTTGGCCATAAAGAGCTCTTGGTCAACTTTCCTGTCGGCCTGCTCCAGAAGAAAAATGTGGAGGCACCTTATCTATAGAGGGGGACATGGAAAATGAGGTCTATGCCTGCAAATAACTTCTCCAGGGTCACCTTAATTTTTCATGAGTCAACTTCATATGAATTGATGTTCTTGCTGTTCATTAGCTGGGATCAGGCAAATACGTTGTGACTACGGCATTTGAGAAATGTGACATTGATACATCAAGATCTTGCCCTTTAAAAGGAGATGGCCTTCCCTTTTATTTTCCTGAGCTCCTCATTAACACTGAAACCAAGCGTGTGAACTCTTGTGTGAATGCATGGCAGTGGGAAAGCAGGAGTGTAGCTTGCATGTTCTTGCTGGTGCATTGCTAGTACACTTTCTCTAAGAGGTATTGCATTGGCTATAACATCTCAGAAATACCCTCCCATTTAGGAGTCTCACCTACCTTTGTGTAGGGAGAAGATAGTCCTGAAGGTAGAACAAGGGTGTTCATAACCACTAGCTCAGAGACCTGTTTATGGGTAAGTCTACCTTGGTCCCTCTAGAGCACCAATTGTCACGTGCCCAGTATGCATGGTCTTCAGCCACCTGCCATGCTGGTATGGAAGATGGTCAGCATTAGCCTATGGGTTTCCATATCTGGGAGAAGATGTGTGCTTAGACAGGTAGAGAGGTTTGTCTTCTTCCTTCCTTTCTTTAGATCTCCATTACAGTCCCAATATGTCCTTTACCTACATATTACCTGACTGCCCTGATCAAGACATTTCTTGATGCATACTTGATTTTCTATATCTCCTCCTCTTGTCCCAAAAATGAAACGATCCTAGGACAAAAATTCAATACAGGCTTGAAAAGCAAATTGATCTTCCGGAGCAGAAATCCTGCTGTGTCATCCCACTATTGCTTGGTGTGAACAAGCCTGAGTTCGCTCAGCCTTTCTTTGCCTTAAGTACCGGAAGCTGAAAAACATCTCAGTATTATGCCTTCAGTTGACACACCTGTACATGGAGAGACACATCTTCCATTGTCTGTGGTTAATCTAGGTATTCTTACCACCATCAGTAGTAGAGAAGTAAAGAACAGTGAAGTAAAACTTTGGGATTGTGTGGATGATGCCCAGGACTGAGACTGGAATGTGTTCCCACTGAGACTGGAAAGATAGTGCAGATGAGCACTTTGGGTATGGCAGGATCATTTGAAAGAACCAGTTAAGCATGTTTATAACACAAACATAAACTTACTAGTTAGAAATCGTCAAGGATTTCTAGTGTGTTCAGATTCTATTGTCTAGGGCTTATGTTAGATTTTATAGGCTGAGATCTTGTTCTCTAACTGGAAGGCAGCATCTGCCTCTTTCCACTTGAACTCTGGCAGGAGGTTTGTTCCATTGCATGTGGTTCTGAGTTGTTCAGTCTAATGGAAGAAGCACTAGAGAAGAGCTCAGAACGTTTGGTTTTAAAGCAGCATCGTCAATATCTTTGAGTCCAACAGTCAAATTCAAATATACTCCAAGAATGTTACGAAGTTGTCGTCGGGAAGCATGGCAAACTGATACAGTGAAAAGAGAAATTCTTGAGTCAGGTGTTGACCACTTTAAATCTCAGGTAAGAGGCATTCACCTGAGGAGTACTGGAAATTCTCTCACCTGCAGAGGCTTGCTAGGTTTGTGCTTGTTTCCATGTGAAGAGCCATAAGTTATAACCCTCCTCATACCGTGTGTGGAGACATGCCAGGCTCAGATCAACACATACCTATGTAGGGATGGGATGAGCAGGAAGATCTAAGTTGGAAGCATCAGAAAACTTATGGGGTCAGGAGAAGTGTGGGTTTGTATGCTACTCTGTGGAATCTCAATCCTCTGTCCTCCAAAGGGTTTCTAATTCTCATTGTCTTGTGGTCTTTGTGTGATTGCCATTATCTTTCACACCAGTGGTGTGGAAAAGTGGTCAATGTTAGCCTGAGTCTCCCTATCTGAGCTGGTTTGGTTCTCATTCCTTTGATTCCCCAAGATAGTCCCAATGCCTCCTTTTAACCAAATATTCACTGACTACTCTGACCACGAGATCTTTAGATGTGTATCTGCCTTTTATATATTTCCTTATATTGCCCCTGATACAGTTTGGATATCCCTTCCAAATCTCATGTTGATATAATCCCACTGTTGGACAGTAGGGCCTGGTAGGAGGTGTTTGGGTCATGGAAGTGGGTCCCTCATGACTTGGTGCTGTCCTCACCATAGTTCTCATGACAGCTAGTCATTCGAGTATGTGGCACCTCCCCCTTGCCTTTCTTCTGCTTGTACCATATGACTTGCAAGCTTCCCCTGTGTCTTCCACTGTAAGTAAAATCTTCCTGAGGCCTGTCCAGAAGCAGATACCAGCGCTATTATTGCCATACATCCTGTAGAACCGTGAGACAGTTAAATCTCTTTTCTTATAAATTACCAAGTTTAGGTATTTATAGCAATGCAAGATATGGCCTGACACCACCCCTAAAATGATATTCTGGGACAAAAATTCACTATAAGCTTAAATCTTGCAGAGCAGAAACCCTAATTCTTGGTTATCCCACAGTTGCTTGGTGGGAACATGTCTGATCTCCTCTCAGCCTTTCTTTGCAAGCATCAGAGTTTGGAAAACAATCTCAACTATGCCTATATTTCACACACTTGTGCATGTAGACACACATCTCTAACTGTCTTGGTGGCTGATCTAGGCATTCTGACCACCACCTCTACAGAAGTAAAGAACAGTGAAGGAAGAATCTGGGATGGTGTGGATGATGTCCAGGACTGAGACTGAAGTACGTGTTTAACTGAGATTGCTCATTTGCAGTATCTTCCCAATCAGGTTGTGTGGGCTCATTTGGAAAAACCAGTTTACCATGTTCATAACACCAATGTTGTAACTGAGAACACAAATCCTCCTTGTGGACTTCTAAGTAGCAAGTGTTAATCTCTATGGCTTATGTTGGATTTTTAAGGCTGACACTTGATCGCTAACTGGAAGGCTGTATTTCCTTTATTCCTCTCAAGCTCTGGAAGGAGATCTGTTCCATTGCATGTGGTTCCGAGTTGTCTTGCGGTTCAAGCACTAAGGAGCACAGAGCATTTGGTTTTACAGTGGCATCATGGGTATTTTTGAGGCCCAAACTCAACATGCTTGGAGTATGTTTGAATTCAAGTTGCTGGCCTAAAATATCACCTATAGGAAGCATGGCAAATTGATACCATGGAAAAGGATCATTCCTGCCTCAGGTTGACCACTTAAATTTCAGGTATGAGACATTCACCTAAGGGGTGTCACCTGGGCATTGTCTTGGAGGCCACAGCAGCCTTCCATGAAAACTCCTACAGAGGCTTGGTAGGTTTGTGCTTGTTTCCACCTGAAGAGCTATAACTTTTGTAACACTCCTCATGTGTTGTGGAGACATGCCAAGCCCAGATTAACAATACCTAGGTAGGGATGGGATGAACAGGAAGATCTGGGTTGGAATTATGAGCAAATTAAGGGGTTAGGAGATGAAGTGAGGCTTTGTGTGCTGCTCCATGGAAGCTGAAGCCTCTGTAGTTTAAAGGGTTTCTCATTCTCCCTCCCTCCTGTGGTCTTTGAGGGATTGCCATTGCCTGCCATGCTAGTGGCATAGAAAGTGGTCAATATTAGTCTGTGAGTCTCCCTATCTGATAGGACTCTTAACCACGTGGGGAGAGGTGTCTCACTCTCATTCCTTTGATTCTCCATGGTAGTCCCAGTGCCTCCTTTCAACTAAATATTCACTGACAACTCTGACAAAGAAATCTTGAGATGCATATTTGCTTTTTATATTTCCTATATCGCCCTGATACAGTTTGGATATCCCCACCAAATCTCAAGTTGAGATGTAATCTTCGATGTTGGATGATGGGGCCTGGTGGGTGGTATTTGGGTCATGGAAGTGGATCCCTCATGGCTTGGTGCTGTCCTCCCCATTGTGAGCTCTCACAAGATGCAGTCATTGAAAAGTGTGTGGTACCTCCCCCTTGCCTTTCTTTTGCTTTTGCCATGTGACATGCAAGCTCCCCCTTTGCCTCCATAAGCATAAGCTTCCTGAGGCCTCCCAGAAGCAGATGCCAGTGCTGTGCTTCCCTAACAGCCTGCAGAACCATCAGATGATTAAACCTCTTTTCTTAAGAATTACCCAGTCTTAGGTATGTCTTCATAGCAATGTAAGAATGGCCTGATACAGCCCTTATAATAATAATCTGGGACAAAAATCTAATAAAAGCGTAAATAATCTTGTAGAGCAGAAATTCTAATGCTGTTATCCCACAGTTGCTTGGTGGGAACACGTCTGATTCCTCTCGACCTTTCTTTGCCGTAAGTGCTAGAGTCTGAAGAAAAAAATCTCTTATGTCTGCATTTCACACACTTGTGCATATTGGAGACACATCTCCAGCTGTCTTGGTGGTTAATTCTTACCATCTCTTGTAGTGGGGGAGGTGGAGGACAGCAGTGAAGCCACGAGAGTTTGCGGTGGTGTGGATGATACCCAGGACTGACACTGAAATGTGTGTTTGAATAACTGAGATCGCTCATCTGCCAGGCCTTTCCAGGGTCAGTTCATGGGCTCATTTGGAAAAACCAACTTACCATGTTAATGCCAACATAACTGACAACACACTAGAAATCCTTCTTGTGGATTACTAGTAAGTTTTATTCTCTGGGGATTATATTGGATTTTATAGGCAGAGACTTGATCTCTAACTAGAAGACTGCATTTGTCTTTTTCCACTTGAGCTCTGGAAGGAGATTTGCTGCATTTCATGTGATTCTGAGTTCAGTCTTGTGGAAGAAACACTAGAGAAGAGCGTAGAGCATTTGGTTTTAAAGGAGCAGCATCAATATCTTTGAGTTCAAACCTCAAATTCAAGTATACTCCAAGAATGTTAAGTTGCTGGCCTAAAATGTCACCTGTAGGAAGCATGACAAACCAACACCATGGAAAAGGATCATTCTTCACTTTTGTTGGCCATTTTAATCTCAGGTAAGAGGTATTCACCCAAGGACTGTTATCTGGTCATTGTCTTGGTGGCCACAGTGGCCTTTGGCAATTCTCATCTTAACTGCAGAGAATTGCTAGCTTCTGTGTTTGCTTTCACCTAAGGACTCATTACTTGGAACATAGGCCCCACACTGTGGAGATATGCCAAGCCCAGATCACCACATATATATAGGTAGTGATGGGGATGAGCAGGAAGATCCAGGTAGAAAGGAGTTTTTGGTATGCCAAGTGGAACCTGAAATAATTCGATCAAACATAAGTTTCTAGATCTTTCAATGCTGTGTGCTGAGGGAGATGAACTGGTAATGGGAAGTTGAGGTGATTTCTTCTGATTCTTGAGTGTGCTGAGCTTCATATTATGGCTATTTAAGAACTAACTGAAGTGTCTAGAGATGGAGTCAGGCTTGGAAGGCTGCTCTGTGCAAACGCAACCCTCTGTACTCCAGAGGATTTCTAATTAGATTCTATCTCCTTTTTATGTGCATGATCTCAGAGGCTCCAGCTTATTCCTGATCCATAAGTGATCAGAAATTCTCTACCTGCTGTAGAGCTTGTTTTTAACTTGTAAAATATGCAAACCAAAACATTTCATCTGCTCTTGGGTGGTGGCCAACATGGCAGGGTCTTTTTGGTGAATGAATGGGTGTGTGCAGACCTATCTCTGGGTTCCTACCTGTATTCGAAAGGATGCATGATCCTGCGTGGCTGGCACCATCCATCAGGGACAATAGGCTTTCAGGGGTAGGCACTGCTGAGGGACAATGCTTGAAAATGGACATGACCTTTCCTTCACAGCTCTTGGCTCATGGTTGTGATACTGGGCCCTGCCTGCATCTCTGAGAAAAAAGTTTCTCCAGCTTGATCCTGTACGATGGGGCCTTTTGGCGCCATATTTGGTTAGGTTTTTAGGTCTATTCTCAGTTCCCTTTTCAGGCCTTTTTCAATTGATGATTCTCAGAGTCGGAGAGATGGTTTGGACAGCTTATCAGGATCTGAGCAAATAGCATGAGTGAGGCTGCTTCTGTGTCTTACCCAGAGATTTGCTTCTAATCCCAACGTTCCAGTGGAATGTGGTCTCTCCCATAACAGTTGAAATTCTTTGACCACTTTTCGTTGGAAATTTTTGAACAATGTGCATTTCTTTGAATTGAAGTTCTTTAGTATAAAAGGGGAGACGGTGATGGCCTGGGGTGCTTTTTCTTATACATTTAAGGGGTACAGTGCAATTTTGTTACTGGTATAGTGATAACCTGTGCTTCTAGGGTATCCATCTCCCTAGTAATGTGCATAGTATCCATTAGTTTTTCATGATCCACTCCCATTACCCCTTGACCCATCACCCATGACCCTTCTGAGTCTCCAATGTCTGTAATTGCACACCCTATGTCCATATGTACACATTATGTAGCTCCCATTTACAAGCGAGAACAGGTATTTGACTTGCTGTTTCTCAGTTGTTTCACTTAAGATAATGGCCTCCTAGAGTGCTCTTGCTGGGAGGTTTTAATTTTGTATTCATTTGGTTCCCTGGGCCACCTGTATATCTTACACCTACTTCCTGCGATTTCAGACAATCTTGATAAGAACATTGAAAAAATGGATTAATTGAATGGAGTTCATAATATGCACTTCCCCTAGAGACTGTAAAACAAGTCCCACCTTTATTCTTGATAGAAATAATTGGGCATTTTCAAATGGATGAATCATGCCAGTAGAAGAATAGTTAAGATTCTTATCTGAAGTGAGACCCAAGTATCTGCATATGGATATCCTAAATTCAGATACTGAGACCTATGTTTGAGGTAGAAAGGCTTGTGAAAGTGACTCCAGGAAACATGGAGGAGTAATGAAGACAGGGTAGGAAGAGCAGCCAGAACTGGGAGAGCATTGAAGAGGTCACCTCTATGCTGTGTGCAACTCAGTCTCCCTGGGAATCCTCTAAAAACCCACATGGAAAATGATGTCCCAGAATCTCATTCCTAGGATTGCCTACCACATCCAACCTACATCTTTAAGGGTAGTATTCTTTTTGTACTGCAGACGTGTACCTTGGTGCTTGAGGCTGATGTGCCTTGGGTGATTTTAGAGAGCCAGTACAGTGAGAATTTTGATAGACTCAGCAGTTCTACCTGAAGCATGATATATATTTTGGCAACTAAACTATCCTGCTTCAATAACGAGTGGTAACCCACGTTGGGATCTTATTAGGGCCAGGTGAGGCTTGGGGCTAAGAGCCAGCCTGATGGCACCTCCTCAGGGTCCTGCTGAGTGTTGCCCAGCATCCAGTGAGCAGCTCTACACTGGCAGGTGCTTCTGAGGTTTCATCCTGAATGTTCTCATTCTTCCAGGCTGCTTCATCTATGCAGGATAATTCCACAGCGTGGGGCCAGGAATCTAGCACCGATCCAGAGACTGAGTCCACTGTAAGGATAACTCACTGCAAGCTGCCGGTGCTGTGAGGCCTGTACCTAACCCCAGCCTCTAACCTTCAGCTTCATTTGGGCTGGAAGTGGCCATTTGTGGTGAGAGCTGAAAACAACACCCTTCCTTTATGACTGGACGAGGAGCAGCTGCCTTGTCAGTGTCACTAGGGCTGGTCCACTGCTTATCTAAGGTTAAGGAGAACTAAAAATGGGATGTCCTGCACATCTGGACCTCATGGACTCTAGAGGAAAGCCAGACACTCCTTTCATGCCTGGAGACTGTTGTGACTTCAGTGTTACTTATTTGACCCATGCTCACATGGAGTGGCTATCTGATTCTGTTTCTTCCCCACAGACTGTTGAGCAGAACACATTTTCCTGAGTGATTTTTCACCTTGAAAGGAACAAGTAGTTCCATCCAGTGATTTAAACCTGCTCTGGCAGTTTCTCAGAAAGGTCAATGATAGATGCGACAGCTTAAACTCACCCAGAGGTGGTGAAGGACTGAGCGCAGAATGCGTGGTGCTGGAAACCTTTGCTTTTCTTACGGCTTGTGCAAACCATTGAAACGTGCTGTTCCGCAAATTCTGGGTGCAGTGCTGATTGCGGTCATGTCAGCAGCTTTGCTGCACAAGAAAGGCTCAGTAGTCTTGAATCCAAGAATCCTGTTTCTGACTCCATGCCCATCACCAGGGTGTGAAAGTGCTTGGCTGTCTGGTTCCTGGGGCCCAAGAGTGAACCAAAGGGCTCTCTTGATGTGGAAGCAGCTGCTGGTCTTGCTTTCCAGGTCTTAGCTATTTTCAGGTTCTGGGTAAGTGTTTCACAGAGCCTGGAAGGTGGCTGCCACAGGGGAGGGTGGAGGAAGCTTGGAGCAGTGTGTCAGGACAACTATCCTGTGTGCTGGGTGAGGAATGTTCTGCCTCATGGGAGCTATGCTGACTTTACAGATCATGGACAGCAGGGACCTCGTGGCCCACTCTGAAAGGGGATTCTCTCTAGGATGGAGAATTTAAGCACCCAGTTATCTAAGTCCACCTAGTTAGGAAAGAATGCCGTTTTTAAGATGTCTGACTTGGATTTGAAACAATCTGCATATTATATATTTCTACCTTAGCTGGTGGTAGAATCTAGTGTGGAAATGGCCTGGGCCTAGAGCAAACTTGGAAATTTTGATTTAGCTTCCGTCGTTGAAAATCTGTTCTCTTTTGTTTGAATCTGTATCTTTTAAGGCATTTCTGTTTGACACATTTGACAAATAAATGGCTACTCTAAATTTTTCCAATATCTCTACCCTGGAATGCTAAGATTCATTACAATTTTCTTTGCCTGCCTTTCTTGATCCAGGGTTGCCAGAGAAACAGATCTGAGGGCTCCTATATAAAATACAAGGAAAAACAAAGACGATTCTGGATTTCCATGAATGTTGAAACTAAATTTGACAGGTGCTATATTTTGTATGGTGTTGCAAATGACTTAGGAGCTCAAATCAACTTTCTTACAGTTTTAGAAATCAGAAGTTTGAAATAGGTTTCATTTAGAGAAAACAAAGTTGTTAGCAAGGTTGTATTTCTTTCTGGCTGCTTCAGAGATCACTTTCCTCACTTTAGACCCCATATAAAACATGACTTGTGGCTTCTTAGTTAATCCTCAGTCAGGACCTTCATTGGTGTTGAGTCAGCACCATGCTCTGATTTTTTTCTTCTGACTCTTGCCTCCAATTCTCAGTCTTCCTCTTTATCATGTTAAGCTAAGATTACCCTGGGTTTGGCCAGGGGGCCCACTGTCAGCAAGGTGATTAAAGTCAGCTGACTACAACCCAATGCCTTGGGTCCTAATTCACCCTTGCTGTGTAGCATGTATTCACAGGTTCCAAGGATGGGGACATGGGTATTAGAGGACTGTCTCTGGCCGCTTTCCTTGGTACTTCACCTGGAAGTGATGCCGTGAACACCAGAGGACAATGGTGAATCCGTGAGTGGGTGGCAATAGCAGCTTCTAGTGGGATAGGATTGAGCTGGTCACTTAGCGGTGACCAAGGCTCAATCCTGATGGGGGGGAACCTGCAGGAGCCATGAATACTGCATGCAGAATATCTGTCTTGGGGCTAAGAGTCTGTTACCCACCAACTCTGTTGAAGCTTCCCCTTGACCTAGGGTAACACTTTCCCCTGAGCTACTGAGCTATGACTCTCCATGAAAACCATGGACCCAGAGGGTGAGGGTGTGGCCTGGAGCAGCCCAGTCATTCAAGTAGAATGGGATACAACCTGGGTCTCCCCGTTTTTTAAATATCTCAGGATGCAGAAAGTGAGAAAGGTTAACTTGTTCGATGAATGACTTGTCTTTAAATCTCATACTTTCTCCCCCCACAGAAAATAGGTGAGATTATATAAATAGAGCTAAACCTTCATCTACCTCCTGTTGTGTGTCATGTTGCCAATGTGACAACTGCTGTAGAAATGTGCAAAACTCATTGGGGGTATAATGCAGGTTATCGGTTAGACTGCCACATGGAGCATATTGTATGTCACCTATTGCTTTTCATTGCCACATACCATACCTTGTTTGAGAACAAATACGATCTAAACTGTTACATTTTCTTAAGATGTGCTTTTGTCCTGTATTTGAGCTTCTAAGAACAGTTGGCATCCCATTTGAATTAGAGCAACTACAGCTCTAGTTGTGAAGAATTTTTCTCCTCATCCAACATCGTAGATTTTTCTGCTCCCTCAGATTGTGACCCCAGCCAAACAGAACTCTGACTTCCAAGTAAAATTTGGGGGACTGAGAAGGAAGAATGAACTGATGTGCACCCCTTCTCTTGCCTGCAGTTCTTGGCAGGCCTAAGCCACGTCCCTGAATTTCCCATACTCGATGCTGTCTGCCCTTGGAAGCTGCTGGCTAATGTTTGGTTTTAACTGTGCTACCCTCTGCAGGTGGCTTTTTACTTCAATTACCTCAGCCTCTCCACGCAGCCTAGGTTGTCCTTTGACCCTTGTATGACTGACACTGCTGTTCTGTCTGTGCACAATGATGGTCATTGTCAAATGAGTATTTGGAATGTTCCTGGTCAGGTTGCTCACCACTGATCACCTCTGCTGGAGATTTGCTCTGCTTTACACACAGGGAGGTTCCACTGGATGTGGATGGCATGGGCACTGGCTCCAGGCGTGGGCCTGGCTCACTGCAGTCTGTTCCCCTGGGCTCTAGGTCTGTGGTGTTCAGACTTCTCTGTCATGGGCTCCTTTTGCTGTGTTGTGGGGTGGAGGTTATGAGGCCAGAAAAATACCCATGCTGCAGGACTGGCAGTCCCATCTCAATGTTTCCCTCCTCCTGATGACGGCAGGCTGAGCCCCCCTGGTCTTGGCAATGTGTCCTCGTTATGTACCAGCTGATGCCCTTCAACCTATTCACCCCAAGAAAGAAGAGGTATCTGGCTAGCCAGGGAAACTTGGCTTCATGTTTTTCTAGGATGCCAAATCAAGGTCCCTAGAGTTGTAGCCTCAGGACAAGTGTCACACAGTGTGTGGTGTGGCAGGTCCGTTCCCCTTGTGATGCCTTTTGTAAAAGTGGATGGAGAGACGACTTAAACTTGTTCTATCTGCAAGTCCATCATACAGCCCCACAAGTGCAGAGTCCTGCCAAGATGCCAAAATGAGCTGTTAGATGCACCTGGATTCTGGGAGTGGCATGGCATGCTTCAGTGCTGACCAGACCAAACTAAAACCCTGCATATTCTAACTTATGGTGCTCACAAAAGCCAATTGTAGGTAGTCCGGAATTCTCAACTTAATCTGGATTAAGATTATATTGTGTTTGGTAAGGATGATGTAGTCATAAATACCCTACATCAGTAATGCAGAGAACTGTTCAATTCACCACTGCTGTTCTTCGTGGTGATGTCTGTAAGTCACACAATTGGATGAGCTGTCTGAGCGGGGGAGGGGGTCTATAGATGAAGCTCATGTCTTGGGTTGTGGAGGGCACCCTGAACCCAAATGCCTAAAAGTCCTGTACCTCTCAGCTTGCATTTTGGAGTCGAGGTGAAGTATATTTGATATAAGACAATACTCTATCTCCTTATCCTCCTGTTAGCCTTGGTATTTTCCTCTAATCATCACGAAGTCTCCAGGTGATCTTCTGCCATTCATTCCAGTATTTGTCAGGTTTATGATACACTGTATGCTGGCTGCACATTTTCACCTGTGTTAAGACTTCAGGGTGCTCCTTTGTTTGTCTAATGTCTGCTCCCTTATCTTGAAAGGTATCAATTCTATGTAAGTCAGTTTCTTTACCTTATTTTTAACAATTCTCTGTTGAGTAAAGCTTAAAGGGACGGTGCCCTTTAAATGACTAGGACTTTATAGTTCTATGTCTTACTGTTGCTACACAACAGTGTCCTCTTGGTAGGAAACGTCTATCAAGGATCACTTTTGTACTCTAACTGGCTTGAGGCAGGAGAAACGGCGTTTGCAGGCAGGTAACTTAAAGTAATTTATGCTAAATTGAGGAAAAACGCCAAGGTCGTGGGGGCAGGGAACCTGAGTTCAATCTGTGCTGACTTCCCAAAGCTACATCAAAAGGAAAACATCTGGGTCTGGGGTCAGGGAACCTAGGTCCCATTAACCACTTCCTAAAGCTAAACCCAAGGGAAAACCCCATCTCCCCCACAAGAGTAGCAAAGGATCCAAGGCTATTCTCCCTCTATCTTCCCCTGTCCACCACGTGGCAGAGGAAAGGAAGTGTGTGTACTGGCTTGGATGCAGGTTATGCAGGGACCATCTGTTTATCTGCAGAGGGTGCCAGTTCACCTCAGTCCTTAATTAGCCATGGACCAAATCCTTTATCCAGATAAGGGGTAACAGATGGGGACCTCAAAAGGAGAACTTAAAACCCAGAGAACTTTGTAACCCGGCTCTTGTGCCACTTGCTGAGGCCCACTCCCACCCCATGGATGCTTTCTCACTTTGATATTGGCTTTTGCTGCATCGTTTGTGTTTCATTCCTTTGTTACTTTGCTTCTGTGTTGTGTTAAAAACGCCAAGGACCTGGACAGTTCACTCAAGGCCCTCCTTCCAGTGTAACAGGCTGAGGGGACATTGACCAAGGTTGAAGGTTTTGACATACATCTGTGTTTTCTCCGAAGCTGTTAGGATTCAGGTACTGCTCCTGAAATTTTCGTCAAGCCATCTGAACACTAGAAGCTTGGGGTTGGATGTTCCCTGTAGTTTCTCTGGATGCCATTGGCACCAATAAAAGTTGTTACAGACAGGGGACAAATGGGATGATGGTCATTGTGGACAATGCTGTGCCTTCTCTGGGCACCCAGGACGACTCTGGTGGAAAGGCGTTGATCTCTGGAACCTTTACAGTCCCACATGATTGCACTGCTGTGGTGACCCGACCCTGTCCCCAAACTGACAGCCAGCTCTGTATCACCGTATTGTAGGTGGGGGAGGCAGCTGTTGGTCATGTCTTGCAGGTATTCTCTCTGATCTGGCTTTTTCTCAGAGATCCTTTCCTGCTGCTGCTGGGTCACAGCCCCCCTGAAGGTTGGCTACAGTAAGCAAGCAGCAAGAAGGCTGCCCCTTAGAAGGAATTAGTGTATTGTCTGAGTGGCTGACCCTGAAAGAAGCATTGTTGGGCAGCAGAGCTGCAAGAAGATGCAGGTCCACTCATCCTTGATGCTGAGAAACAGCTCTGTGAACCTAGGGAGCTCCCAGGCTGGGGATTCTGAGGACTCAGGCATCTTGGTTACTCTGCCAGTGATGCTGGCAAGGATGCAGCCAGGGGACCCACTGAGGTGTGTTGGTCCTTGGGGATAAGTCTGAGTCCAGGGTGCTCTGTGGTGAGTACTTCCTGCTCCAGAGGTGAGGCCGATGGAACCTGGACAGCTATGCAGAGGAGGATAGCAAGCTGCTCATCTCCATAGGGACTGATTTTTGAACTTGTATCTTCTTCCTGGTCTGTAGTAGGTATTCCATATCTTCCTTCCTTAGGAAAGAGCAGTGAGCCTGTTTGTGTCAGGTTGGGCTCAGTTGATGATAAAATGGCCCAGACTTGATGATAGCCTCCCATTGGGGACTTCAACATAAAGTTGTTCTGACTTGATTTTCTACATGGATACCTGCTGGCACCTCATTGGTCCTGCAACAATTGGGGCAGGTTCAACTAGGTTCACCCTGGATTTTCATCTTCCTCACAACCTCACTTATTCTTGGATCCTATTTCTGGTGACTGTTGATCTTGATGTTCTGGCACATTGAGGGTGAAACTAAGTCATCTCCTGCTATAGGGTAAGAAAGTCCCACAGGGAAAACTAACTGGAAGTTGGGTCCTGCCCCATCTTGGTCTCTGAAATCTGTTTTTCAGTAGCAGACAAGAGTCCTATTTCTTAGTTTAAAGCTGGCAAAGGAATGGGCCTTTGGGACCTTTCAGCAGGAAGTAGGAGAGCAAGGAGCACATCCCCAGTTCCTACACAGAGGCAGGAATCTACATCCGCAGAATAATGTAGGTCTTACTGCCCAAAACAGGTTTGTTTTTTGGTTTTTGCTTATTTTTTGTTTGAGACAGTCTTGCTCTGCCACCCAGGCTGGAGTGCCTTTGCACAATATCGGCTGTCTGCAACCTCCACCTCCTGGGTTCAAACAATTCTTGTGCCTCAGCCTCCCAAGTAGCTGGGAGTGCAGGTGCATGCCACCATGACCAGCTATTTTTTTTAATTTTATTTTATTATTATTATACTTTAAGTTTTAGGGTACATGTGCACAATGTGCAGGTTAGTTACATATGTATACATGTGCCATGCTGGCGTGCTGCACCCATTAACTCGTCATTTAAGAGAGTCTTGCTCTGTCGCCCAGGCTGGGGTACAGTGGCTTGATCTCGGCTCACTGTAAGCTCTGCCTCCCGGGCTCATGCCATTCTTCTGCCTCAGCCTCCCAAGTAGCTGGGACTATAGGCACCCACCACCAGGGTTTCACCATGTTGGCCAGGCTGGTCTTGAACTCCTGACTTTAGGTGATCCGCCCACCTCAGCCTCCCAAAGTACTGGGATTACAGGTGTGAGCCACCGTGCCCAGCCTCAAAACAGTTTCCTGAATATTCCTATCAGAGGAGTCCATGGGAAGCAGATCCATGTTGGACTCTGAACACAGCTGGTTTTCATTGTTTCTACCAGTCTTGAGCATCTGGGGACTTCTTCCTAGGAGATGTGGCTGTGTTGGGAGAAGTGAGCTGAAGTCATCGTGTCTTGCATCATCCCTTGGGCTTGTAGATGTAGCCTTAGAGTTCAAACTCTGTACATTACCTGGCATATGACCTTGGCTGTTGGACCCCCCAACTAGTGAGAGATCTCTTAAGTCTCTTGTGTGACTCATGCACTAAAAAGAGCTGTCGTGGAATTGAATACCTTCTTGGGTGCTCCTCTATCTCTGACACTTGGGACTCTGAAGGAACATTTCCTGAAAAGCTTAACCACTCATGCAGGGAAAAGTTAGCACTAGTGATGTTTCTCCTCTTTACATGGATTCAGCTGCTCTTCCGTACCTTTCTCACCCTACCTTCTAATTATCATTGAAGGTACCTTGGTGACATAACTACAGCCTTAAAAGGACCCTCCCCTCAGTCTAGGGAGGATTTTGTGCTTTCATTTCATGTGAACAGTTTGCTGCTGCTTGAAATCCCTTGGTCAAAGAGAGCTGATGACCATTCCTCCTTGCCCATCTTGCATGAATATGACATCAATGATGAAAGAATGATCTCTTTGCAGAAGACTGAGATGAATTTCTGCCTTTGAGGACAAGAATCTTACATGAAAGTAGTGATGAAGGTCCTGTTTCTCCCCACAAAGTCTAAGTGTGTGGTTTCCTTCCTAGTTGGATGTCCTTTAGTAGCTGGTAGTGATTTCAGGTCCCAACCTGAGCGCTGAAGGTCATACTTGCTTTCCATTTAAAGTGTTTCAACACATTGAGTTGATATCTACAGTTTTTCAGCAGGTACAAGGGTTAAAGGGTATAGTCTAGGAAGAAAATTCTTCAATGAAACAAACCTGTTTCACTCAATATACCTACAACCCACAGAAAATTTCATGCACTAAAGAGAGCTGTAGTGGAATTGAACAACCCCTTGGGGGTTCCCTTATTTCTCATTGCCACTTGGGACTCTGGAAGGAAACTTCGTGGAAAGGTTAACCACTCCCACAAGGAAAAGATGGTCCTAGTGACAAGTTACTTATCTGTATCTCCACACAGGAGACTTAAGTGGTCTCTCACTAATGTAGTGGGATTGAACACCCCCTTGAGTGCTCTTCACATACATCTGCCCTGGACAGGCTGATTCAGGAATGGACCTACAGCAGGAGGCAGCCTGAGGATGGGAGGGGCTGCTAAGAGAAGTCTGTATTTCCAAAACTTAAGAGAGCACATGGGTCCCCATGATTCATAAGTGAATAACGTTGATTTCTCTACCTCCCAATTAGCTGGATCCATCTCTATGTACTGTCCTGGGGTGGAAAGGTACTAGGTTAAGTATCATCTGACCTTTAGATCTTTGTTCTTTGATTCTACTGCTTGTGACTAGTCCAGTTTTAAACCCTCAGAATAAGATGAGTACCTTTGCCTTGTATTGCAAGGGATTAATTCTAGGACCTTCAAGTGCTTAAGTCTCTTGTATAAAATGGCATGTAACCTGTGCACATAATCCTACATCCTTTAAGCTATCTCTGGATGACTTACAGTCCCTAATACACTTTACATGTTTTGAACATAGTTGCTTCATTTAGGGGATGAGGACGGCATAGTTCCTGTGACGTCAGTGTATTCAGTACAGCCGTAACTATCCTAGACATAAATATGTAGTTAATGTCGGCAACAAGGGGAACAGTTCCTTTATCGACACATACAGACTGTTTTCTTCTAGTGATCTGAGAGTTAACACTGACAAAGGCCCTGGCTGGTCTGTCTTGATAACTTTTGTGGGATAAGGATGATTACTGTATGGGGCCTACTGTGCCCATGGGGTAATATGACTAGCTTCATTGCACTGTAGTGAGATGTCTGCTTAACATGAACCTTCCAGAAGGATGTCAGAAGGATCATCTATCTACCTTGGAAGAACAGGTTTCTATTACAGTTGTTAATGCTTTAGGGGGAGACTTGGCTGAGGATCTTCAACCATGGATGTTTGAAGCCAATGTTCTGGCAAGAAAAATTGCTACAGGAAACTGTTGCTCTTCATCATGAAATTTTGTGGGGGTTGTAGGCATATATATTGAGTGAAACAGGTTTGTTCCATTAAAGAATTTTCTTCCTAGACCATTTCCTTTAACCCTTGTATCTGCTGAAAAACTGCAGACATCAACTTGATATTATCGAAACACTTTAAATGGAAAGTGACAGTATGGTCTTGAGTGCTCAGGCTGGGACCTGGCATCACTTGATAGGAGAAAGTTTTGACATTTTCTGAAGGCTGTGCTCTAGGATGATGAGGTGGGAATTGGGGAAGTATAGACTGGCTCTGTCTTTCGCAGATCCTTGACCTGAAGCCCAGGAAGCTCATGGATGAGGAGCTGAGTTGTGTATGGGGAGAGAGTGAGGCTTGGCCTGCTGCTGTGGGGAAGCAAAACACCCTGCAGTCCAGAGGGCTTCTAATTTTTCCCTTTGTCTTTGGTATTTGTGTATTCACAAGGAATGCGGGTTGTTCCTGATCCACGTGCAACCAATCAATTCTACCTGCTAGAGTGCTTGCCTTTAATTTATAATGCTATACTGGGTGGGTCTTCTGACTTGCAAGGTCTTTGAAGGAATGGGTGTGTCAAGGACCTGTCTTGGGCTCCTACCTCTACACTGAAGGATGTGCCTCAGGGGCTTTGTATTTCAACAATCTTAATTCTGTCTGTCTGGCACAGGCCATCAGGTACTGGACATCATCAGGGACAAGCCCTGCATGAACGTTTGCAGATGGACATTGCAAGTTTATTCTGCACAGCTCCTTGCTCGTGGTTAGCCTATGACACCGGGCACTGCCTGTGTCTCAGTTTCTCTCTCCTGACACCTGGTAATATGGCATCTTGGCTCTATTTTGTTCACAGATGTGTGCTTAGTGAGTTTTTCTCTTCAGCCATTGTTCAGCTCATGATTCTCAGGGGAGATCATCTGGACAATGTCCTGTATACTTGGGAATCACCATGAGTTAAGGCTCTTCCTGACCCTACCCTCAGCTTTGCTCTACATAGGAAAATGTTCTCATGCAATGCAGAGTTTTACAGCAATTTTCATTATTTTAGTTTTTTGTGTGTATGGGAGGCCAGGATGAGGACATGGGCATGGTACTGTCCATGGCTGTGTTGCTTTTACAAGGTGGCCTGGAGCAGGTCGCTGAGCTTCCCAGCCTCTGCTATGCTTGCACACACATTCTGCAAGATGACTGATGATCCTGAGTGTTGGCTTCTGCAGGACAGTCTCAGCCCTTCTGCTATAGGGATCATCCAGATTCCATAGCTGAAGCATTCCACATGTATCTTATGGTGATCTTTACCTTCTCCCTTAGCCCCATGGATTCTCATGCAGGCCGACCTGGGAGGGGAAGTCTTTGCTTTTGAAACACCCAGGGCTGGGTCAGATGAAACAGAGATGCATTTGAAAGCATGGGTCCTGTGTTCATTCAAACATCTCACCTTGGGTCTAGGTTAATACACCAATGATGTAACATAAATGATTCCAAAGCTACTTTGCTTTCATGTCACCAGCAGGTGCATATGTGGAGTTTGTGACATCATCCTTCCACCCCTCATGGTCACAGCCTAGGGTGTCCTTTAGCTTGTCTGCCTGATGTTGTTCTTCCTTGCGTATCATGAGTGGGTCCCTCTCCTCAGAGTACTTCAGACAGGCCTAGTGAGATGCTCTCCCTCTGGATGTTACAGAGCATATTTTACATCTGATTTATCTCCAGACATGTCCACAGGCTGTGACATGAGCAGTGTTTATCTTGAGCCTGGTTTCTCAGATGTTCTCTGAATATTCACACACCTAGGCTGTGAAATCTCTGGCTCCTCAATATATTGCCATGGGATCATTTCCCTGCCTTAGTCTTAGAGGTTCTTCCATCAGATAGTAAAAAGATAGAAGCATCAGGTGTCAGCTGCGTTAGATCTGTTGACTATTTCCCATTGGTGGTGGTGGCTCTGAGAATGAGGGCACAGAGGTTTCTGAACCACAAGTAAAAAGGGCATGGAGGTGACTCTGAACCCAAATGTCTGCAGTCCTGATCACTCTCCACCCTGCTCTAAGGGGCTACTGCAATTGCGGTGGGTAAGTGAAAAGCAGGCATTACTCCCTTTGGTTTACCTCCTCACTTCTGCAGCTTAGAGGCAGTAAGAACACACATGGCTAGGAAAGCAGTGCTTTGAGCAGTCGAGGTTATAGCTGCTCTCTTCCTCTGAGTGTTCTTTGTTGTAAAGATCCTTAAGTCTGTCCCTAGGTTTCTCCAAGTTGACTCAGTCATGCCCCTTATGGAGCCTGTGTCGCTGGCTGTTTCCCCACCCAGAGAATGTGTGCTGCAGCTCTGAGGGCCTCCTGTGAATCTCACACTTGATGCCTAAGGGAATGTTCTCAGGCATTGGCTGGTGGCTGTGATTCTGATAGCTGTGGTTGATACCTTCCCGTAAGGTAAACACTCAGTCTAATGAGATGGCAGCCCACCCTCCTGGATTCTGTCCTGTTTGTGCCTGTGCTGTTGGGCTAAGTACCTTCTCCCAGGCTGTGACAGCTGTCAGTCTGCTCCAACTTACTAAAGAAACTTTTACAGAATTGGCTCTGTGCTGTTTCACGTGAAGTGACACCAATATGATAGGTGGTCAAAATTATGTCTTTGCAGTAATTGGTGACAACACAAGTTGGGATCTCATAAGGGCCAGTTTGGGGCCTGGATCAAAGAGGCTTATGGAGCTTCCTAACGGGTCCTGATAGAACTGCCAGGCATCCAATGAGCTGCTCTGCACTGACAGGTGCTTCCTTAGGTTCTATCCTGAATGTTGTTTCCTTCAAGCTGTACCATGTTTAGAGTAATTCTGTAGCTTGGAACCAGGAAAATTCTCAGCTCAGTTTCAGGAAATAGGGTCTACTGTAAAGACAAGTCATTTCAGTCTGTTGGCTTTGAGTTCTGTACCCAGCCTACCCTCTGGCCTGAAATTCCATCCAGCCTTGGCAGAGTGCAGTGCATGCAGAGAGCTGAAAAGCAAATTTCTCCTTTTTGACTAGACAAGGGACAGCTGCCTTGTTAGATTCAATAGAGCTGGTCCACCAACCCAATCCTTTTTGGGACCCAGCTTACCATGGGTGTTGAAGGCTAGGGAGCACTGAAGAAATGTACTTTTCTCTTTCTACCTCCTAGACTACACAGGAAGATGATATATATACCTCCCTGATGCCTGGGAAGTGCAACCTGTATCCCCACGGAACTCTTCTCATTCTGTCTCTTCTCCCTGGATCATTCAGCAGGTCAGGGAGTCTCCTGAGTCACCGTTCACCAGCAAGTAGTTCCTTGTGACAGATTTAAGTATCCTGGCAGTTTCTCAAGTCGGTGGTAGGTGCAGAACTTTAAGCTCACCTAAAGGAGAAGGACTCAATGCAGAATACTTGGTGCTGGAGGCTTCTGCCTTTTTTTATGGTGCCTGTGGTAATGTCTGAACGTTGTCCCGGAAAATTTACAGACAATGTTGATCATAGTTGGCAATAGCACCACCTCCTCTGGGTAACAAGGGCTCAGTGGTCTCCTATCAAAGGGGCAGGATTTTGACATCATTCTCATCCCCATGGGTGGGTGTGCTGGGCCTGCCAGGCCCCTGGGGGCACAAACCATGAGCCAGGGTTCTCTTAGATGTGGAAGCAGCTGGTGGTCTTGCTTTCCACGTGTAGGATTCTTTCAGATTTGTAAGGTGGTAGTTTTGGGGGGAGGTGGTTCTGACAGCTGGGGGTAGAGGCTACCAATAGGGAGGGTGGAGAATATTCGGAGCCATCTGTGAGAAAGACTCACTAATGGTCAGTCCTTAGTGAGAAATTATCAGCCTCTCCTGGTGCTGTGCTGACCTGCAATTCATGAAGAGCAGGGAACCTCCTGGTCCATCTGAATGGGACCTTCCACATAGTTTAAGGTGGAGAGAATGACAGTGCTTTTGGTTGTTCTAGCCTGTCAGTCGTGGTAGAGTGACATTTTGAAGACTATTTCCATCTCTTTATGTTTGGAACAACTGATAAGCAACTGGTGTCATATCTGAACTGGTGATAGAATCAAGTGGGGAAGTTATTTGGGTAACAGAATACCTTGTAGAAAGTTCTAAATCGTATATTTAGTACACTTCATAGAAAACAAATAATCAGGACCTACTCTTGTAAATTTTAATCTGTCTTTCATGCCATTTGTGCCTATACATTTCCCACGTAAATTGAACAAACACATCTATTTATCACACTTAAACACTGAAATGCTCAGGATATACTATACGTTGCCTTTAATTTTGTTCTTCATTGATTCTCAGGGTAAGAATAGTTACGAAGACTCTTAGAGGAACTTTCAGGTGAACATCAGTGACTGACTCCGGATCCCCCTGACAAAAGAATATTAGGAATGTTGGACAGGTCTTACATTTCTTTCTCTTTCTGCTGTACTAAATGGACATCAAGTTAGTGCTTAAGTAAAACAGGTTTTTTGTTTAATTATTTAAATTTTAGGGTACATGTGCACAACGTGCAGGTTTGTTGCATATGTATACATGTGCCATGTTGGTGTGCTGCACCCATTAACTCATCATTTAATACTAGGTATATCTCCTAATGCTATCCCTACCCCGTCCCCCCACCCCACAACAGACCCCAGTGTGTGATGTTCCCCTTCCTGTGTCTGTGTGTTCTCA
Source organism: Homo sapiens (assembly GCF_000001405.40). Classification (NCBI taxonomy): domain Eukaryota; kingdom Metazoa; phylum Chordata; class Mammalia; order Primates; family Hominidae; genus Homo; species Homo sapiens. Next base: position 10,331,265 of record NC_000004.12, read on the forward strand.
TTGTTCAATTCCCACCTATGAGTGAGAACATGAGGTGTTTGGTTTTTTGTCCTTGTGATAGTTTGCTGAGAATGACGGTTTCCAGCTTTATCCAGGTCCCTATAAAGGACATGAATTCGTCCTTTTTATGGCTGCATAGTATTCCATGGTGTATATGTGCCACATTTTCTTAATCCAGTCTATCGTTGTTGGATATTTGGGTTGGTTCCAACTCTTTGCTATTATGAATAGTGATGCAATAAACATATGTGTGCATGTGTCTTTATAGCAGCGTGATTTATAATCCTTTGGGTATATACCCAGTAATGGGATGGCTGGGTCAAATGATATTTCTAGTTCTAGATCCCTGAGGAATCACCACACTGACTTCCACAATGGTTGAACTAGTTTACAGTCCCTCCAACAGTGTATAAGTGTTCCTATTTCTCCACATCCTCTCCAGCACCTGTTGTTTCCTGACTTTTTAATGATGGCCATTCTAACTGGTGTGAGATGGTATCTCATTGTGGTTTTGATTTGCATTTCTCTGATGGCCAGTGATGATGAGCATTTGTTCATGTGTCTGTTGGCTGCATACATGTCATCTTTTGAGAAGTGTCTCTTCATATCCTTCGCCTGCTTTTTGATGGGGTTGTTTGTTTTTTTCTTGTAAATTTGAGTTCATTGTAGATTCTGGATAGTAGCCCTTTGTCAGATGAGTAGGTTGCAAAAATTTTCTCCCATTTTGTAGGTTGCCTGTTCACTCTGATGGTAGTTTCTTTTGCTGTGCAGAAACTCTTTAGTTTAATTAGATCCCATTTGTCAATTTTGGCTTTTGTTGCCATTGCTTTTGGTGTTTTAGACATGAAGTCCTTGCCCATGCCTATGTCCTGAATGGTATTGCCTAGGTTTTCTTCTAGGGTTTTTATGGTTTTAGGTCTAACATTTAAGTCTTTAATCCATCTTGAATTAATTTTTGTATAAGGTGTAAGGAAAAACTCTCAATAAATTAGGTATTGATGGGATGTATCTCAAAATAATAAGAGCTATCTATGACAAACCCACAGCCAATATCATAATGGGCAAAAACTAGAAGCATTCCCTTTGAAAACTGGCACAAGACAGGGATGCCCTCTCTCACCACTGCTATTCAACATAGTGTTGGAAGTTCTAGCCAGGGCAATCAGGCAGGAGAAGGAAATAAAGGGTATTCAATTAGGAAAAGAGGAAGTCAAATTGTCCCTGTTTGCAGATGACATGACTGTATATCTAGAAAACCCCATCATCTCAGCCCAAAATCTCCTTAAGCTGATAAGCAACTTCAGCAAAGTCTCAGGATACAAAATCAATGTGCAAAAATCACAAGCATTCTTATACACAAATAACAGACAAACAGCCAAATCATGAGTGAAATCCCATTCACAATTGCTTCAAAGAGAATAAAATACCTAGGAATCCAACTTACAAGGGATGTGAAGGACCTCTTCAAGGAGAACTACAAACCACTGCTCAATGAAATAAAAAAGGATACAAACAAATGGAAGAACATTCCATGCTCATGGGTAGGAAGAATCAATATCGTGAAAATGGCCATACTGCCCAAGGTAATTTATAGATTCAATGCCATCCCCATCAAGCTACCAACGCCTTTCTTCACAGAATTGGAAAAAACTACTTGAAAATTCATATGAAACCAAAAAAGAGCCTGCATTTGCCAAGTCAATCCTGAGGCAAAAGAACAAAGCTGCAGGCATCACGCTACCTGACTTCAAACTATACTACAAGGCTACAGTAACCAAAACAGCATGGTACTGGTACCAAAACAGATATAAAACCAATGGAACAGAACAGAGCCCTCAGAAATAATGCCGCATATCTACAACTATCTGATCTTTGACAAACCTGACAAAAACAAGAAATGGGGAAAGGATTCCCTATTTAATAAATGGTACTGGGAAAACTGGCTAGCCATATGTAGAAAGCTGAAAAGTAAAACAGGTTTATCTCACGTTACAGTGGTGATCAATAGACTGAAATTGCTCTCACCTAGACAAAATGAGGCTGTCTACATGGTTGGCTTGTTTTTTTCTAGAGGACTGTCTGTTTCCTTGACTTCCTTTTCAGCAGCCCACTGCATTCCTTGACTTCTGGCCCCTTTTTCTGGGCTTCACATGGAGGGATTCCGCCCTCAGCTTCAGAGCTGGGAGTGCCTCTTGAGATCTGATTCTCATTCTGCTTCTGTCTCCTTCTTCTGCTTAATTTTTTGAATCACCTTTGATGACAAGGGACCCTCCTGGAGGATCCAGGGTGATCTCTGCACGTTAGCTGATTAGCAACCTCAGTTCTGTCTCCCAAATACCCCCTTGCCATATCAAAAACATGTTCCCAGCATCTAAGGATTAAGACTTACAAATCTCAGGGGGTCACTAATCTGCCCATGTTATTGAGTACCTAATTTCAAAGTGTCCTGAGGAAGCCCACAGGAAGATGCTGAACTGGTGAAAGGGTGGCGAGAATAACCAGTGAAGGGGTCGGGGGGGTGGGTGGGGAGGGAATTGAGCTTACTTATGGAGGCGACTGGGACTCTATCTTGCTGTATGTCTTCAGCCAGGGATAATGCATCTCGATCGTCCCTTTGGGATGATGTTCTGGTCACCGTCAACCCTATCAGACATGTTCCTTAGTTTTTCCTTTATCCTGAAGGCCATGAATTCTTGTCTGAAAGGTGGCTCTGCCTGAAAACAAGTAGACTAAAAAGGTACAGGTGTAGCCCTGAGCAGCCCAGTCATTCCAGAAGAATGCTAAAGGCTGGGATCACCCTTTCAGCATGTGGGGGATGGGCTCAGGATCCACTGCAGCAGGGAGCTTTCTACTGCCTTCCTGTAATAGGGACACTTCCCTCTCCTAGGAAGAGATTCTTAACATACCCTTGTATGTCATTCAGCTTTCTGTGCCTCACACAGGATGTAAAAAGTTGCATACAAAAATTGACAAGTCATCCTTTTAATAACTTCTAAGTCTCCTACTTTCTCTTCCACAAAAATGAGATTGTATGCTTAAAGATCTAAAAGTAGTGTTCCTTTAAACGTCAGCTCTCTGTTATATACCATGAGTTCTAAGATGAACTACTAGAAGGAAGTTACAAACTTCATTCCTTCAGTGGGATGTGAGAGATTTGAGTGTGCAGATTTCTCATTGTGTATGCATATGTGAATGTGGCATTTTATTGCAATATACTCTAAGTTTAGGTGTAAATAGGATCTAAACTGTTAACACATTTAGTTTTTTTAAAGAAACTTTTGCATGTGAGCTTTTAAGTCTGCATCTGTTTTTGTGCAACTGGTATATTTTGAAGGAAGAAATGTATTCCTTCCAATGTCCCACATTGTTCGGATGCATTGAGTCATAGTGAGAGAGACCAAAGTCACTGCCTCCCAATTACAACTTTTAGGATTGAATGAGCAGGAGTGATGAGATCCTTTGAAACTTTTATACTAACTGTCCCTGGCGGGACTAAACCATGTCCCTGAGTCAACCAGAACCTGTGCTGATTTCTAGTGGAAGCTGCTGCCAAGAGTGTCTGCTGTAACTTTGCCCAGTTCTTTATAAAGTGCTTTGACACCCATCATCTCTGTCTCTTAGACACAGCCTAGGTTAGCCTTTGATCCTTGTCTGCAGGGTGCTCTTGTTCATTTTGTGTTTGTGAGAGTCATTCCCAAGCCGGAGTGCCTGGAATGGTCCAGGTAAAGTGTACAACCACCTGACTGCTCAGAGATTTGACATTTTACTCCCAGGAAAGTTCCACTGGGTGTGGAGTTTGTGGGCAGTACTGATGGGGGTCTCGGATGTCATGGTCCTTTCTCCTAGTGTTCTCGCTGCTGGTCTTGCTTTCCATATCTTAGACCCTTTCACGTTTGTGTTTTGTGTTTCTTTCTTGGAAAGTGATTCTAAGAGCCTGGAAGGCAGCAGACATAGCGGGAAGAGGAAGATGATTTAGAGCTGTCTGTCAGGAAGAGCTTGCTGTTGTGAGTGTGCAGTGAGAAATGTGCTAGTTGGGAGCCATGCTGACCTACAGCTTGGGAAAGGCAGGGACCTCGTGCTCTCCTGTGAAGTGGGAGCCTCTCTGGGACGCAGAACTTCAGGAAGCACTCGGTTGTCTGTCAGTCTACTTAGTTGCTTGGAAACGGGCATTTTGAAAATGTTTGGTTTTTGTGTTTGGAATGATTTATATATGATTTCTACTCTGATGGTAGAATCCAGTGAGGAAGATGTCTTGCTCCATAGAATAGTTCATTAATGTACTGTGCTGTATATTTAGTTTCCTCCATAGAAAACCAAAATACCGATTTCTTTCATGTTTTAATCTATTTCAAAGCATTTGACACTCACTTGAAATGAGAACCATCTGTAATATCACTGCAAAATCTCCCTCCTGGGATGCTAAGAGGATGTGTGGCCATTCTTCTTGCCTGTTTTCTGGATTAGGGTCACCAGAGAGGAGAGTTCTAAGGCCTCCTAGTTGAAATAGAAGGTGAAAAGCAGTGACTTCTGGATTCCCCTGAATGTTGAAGTAAGAATTTTGGACAGGTGCTATATTTCCTATGGTATTGTGATAAGTAATCAGTGCATTAGGAGCTTAAATGTAAATAAATTTATTCTATCAGAGAGATGAGAGGTGTTTAGAATGGAGTCACTCGGAAAAAATGAAAATGTTGGCAAAGTTGTCTGTCTGCTCCATTGGGCAATTTGTTTCATGCCTTTAGCTATCTTTAGAGACCCCCAGCATTCCTTACCTTGTTTCTTCTGTAACCTTCAGTGTGGGGACCCTTTTCTGCCTCAGATGGGACCACCTCTGTCTGCCCAGTGTGCACCCACATCTCGAATTCTGATTCTCCCCTCCAATTCTCCCTGCCTCTCCCACTTTCACACTTGAATCACTTTCCTGACATTGCTCCCCCTGAGCAATCCCGGGAATCTCTGTACCTTCAAGATGATGAGCAACCTCATTTCCGTCTCTCCCCTTCACTCCCTGCCTGCTGTGTAGCATAGCATATTCATGGGTTCTCGGGGCTTGGAGGAGGACTTAAGAGGGACCCTTCATCTGCCTACTTTATTGGTCCCTTATTTGAAAGTGATCCAAGGGAGCCCAGAGGAGAGTGAAAGGGGGTGGCAATGTAGAGAGGGCAGCCACTGAAGAGGGGTTAGGATTGAGCTGGTCACTGATGGAGGTGACTGAGACTCAACACTGCTTGGGGACCCTGGAGGAACCACGAGCAATCCATTTCACAACATCCCTCCTGGAGGGCTACAGTCCGGTTTAACCCGCTACCTCTAACATTCCACCAATTTTCTCTTTACCCAAGTATCTATTCCCCTGAGCTGCTGGGGTGCCTCTGCAGGAAAATGAGCTAGCTGAGAGGATGAGGGCATGGCCTGGGGCAGCTCAGTCATTCAAGTAGAATGTGCAGCTGCCTGTGTTTCTGTCTCAGCAGAAGACAAATGACCTCAGTGTCTACTGCAGCAAGGAGCTCCCCACTCTTCCTTCCTGTGATGGGGACTTTCTCCTTCTCCTGGGAGAGCTGCTCACACACCCCTGTCTTTTTCACCCTTGTCGTGTAACTATCTCCTGCAAAGTCTGTTTCTATTAAATTTATCAGAATGAGAATAAAAAATGGAGATGACTGATCATTATATTCAAAGGATGTTTTGTCTTTTAAGTCTCATGCTTTCTACCACAGCAAAGAGGTGAGACTGTTTCATTCAAGAGCTAAAATGTCATCTACCTTCTATTTTATGTCACTTGTCATATGCTGTTATAATTGTTGACGAAATTTGCAATGCTCAGTCCTTCATGGGGCTGTAATGCATACTTGTAAGAACACGTCAACTTTTGCTTGTTATTGCTATAGAACATACTACTTAGGAGTAAATAAGATTGCAACTCTTAACATTTAGTTTAGGTGTGCTTCCACATGGTCCTAAGCTGCTAAGAACAGTCAGCATCCCATTTGAAATTGAGCCATTGATGATCTTTTCATCAGAATTTATTTTTCCCTCCTCCAGCATTTCCTACTTTTTCCCTTGAGTAGGGGGTGTGGGGTTGAATTGTGATTCCAGCCAAAAGAACTCTGGCTCCCAATTGAAATGTGTAGGGTTGAATAAGCTGGTGTGGACCCCTTGTCTTGTTTGCAGTCCTGGCAGGATTAACCCAAGTACCTGTATCCACCGTACCTGGTGCTGTCTTCCCTTGCAAGCTGCTCATAAATGTGCTTGGGTTTAATTTTGCAATCCTCTGTAGCTTTTCACTTCTATTACCTCAGCTTCTGGACAGTTCCTAGGTTGTTCTCTGACTCTAGCGTGACTGGCATTGATACTGTTTCCACATGAGGGTCATTATTAAACCAGAGGATTTACAGTGCTCCTGGTGAGGTTTCTCACTACTTTTCTGGTGGAGAAATTCACTCCATTTCATGCCCATAAAATGGACTACATGGGCAGTATTGATTGGGTCTGGGTCACCAGAGTCTTCCCTCACTGGCTTCTGCATCTTGAGACCTCAGTCTTGGGTATTAAACCTTCCTTGCCATTGCTCCCTTTGCTGTGGTCAAGGGTAGAGGTTAAAGGCCCAGCAACATCCATGCCATAGGACTGGCCCTTCCAAGTCTCACAATCTCTTCTCTCCTCTCCTCCCAATGTTATTAGGTTGATTCCAAGTCTCACAATCTTTTTCCCTTCTCCCAGTGTTCTTAGGTTGAGCCCCAAATACAGCTGCCCATGGTCATAGCAGTCTGTCCTCTTTATAGACCAGCTCTGATTTTCTTTCTTGGTGTGAGTGGGTTGATGAAGTATGTGGCTAGTTCGGAAAACTCCTTGGTTCATGCCTTGGACACAGAATCAAGGTTTGAGTTCTGGCTCCAGGACACAGTTGCACAGCCTATGCTGTGACAGGTGTGGCAGGTCAGGCAGTTCCCCTTATGATGCCTTCTGCAAAGGTAGATGGGATCCACTTTGATAATGTTCTATGTAAAAGTCTTAATACCCCTGTCCTACTGGGTTAAAGCCCTGCCTACAAGAGAAAAATAAGCTGCATTTTTAGCTAATTTGGATTCTTGGCATAGTACAGCATGCTTCGGGATTGGCTAGATCGAGTCTACCTCACTGGATCTTCCAGATCTGTTTTAGTGGTCACAACACTAGTACCTATGTGGTACTGAATTTTCAGATTAATAGGATTCAAAATCTACATTTCAACAGATTTTATTCTGATGGAAATTTTTCTAAACATAATGCAGGGAAGTATTGAATTATCTGTTGCTGTTCCTTATCATCGCTGTAACTCAGACAGTGGAATGAGCATTCTGAGCAGAGTTCATAGATATTTGAACACCATGTCCGGGTCCATGGAAGATACCCTGAACTCAAATGCCTGAAAGTCCTGTACCTCTCCAAGCTTGCACTTTGGGGCCCAGGAAGAGGGGGATGTCCAAATTAGTGGAGCAAATGCGTTCTGTCCATTTATCCTCATTTTAGCCTTCATATTTTTCTCCCATCATCAGAAAAACTCCTGTGATCTTCAGACACATTCATTCTAGAATTTATCTCATCAAGTACTATCTTTTGCCTGTATATTTCTATTTAAGTTTATATAACCTTGTCTGCCTGATGTCTGCTCCTATTCCTTTAAGGATATTAACTCTCTAAATTTCTTGATCATAGGGTCTTTACTCTGTGAAGTTTTCTTAAAATGATGCCCTTCAGATGACTAGTCTTTGTCCTGTGGTTTCCAGTAGTGGTGGTAAAGCCTGTGCATCTGTATTGGTGGAAAGGCTCAATCAGGAAACATCACTGTTCTGATAGAGACGTACCCCAGGGTTAAAGGTGATAATGTATATCTCTGTTTCCTCCAAAGCTGTACCATGTGAGTGCTGCTGCTCAAATGTTCCCAGCAAAATCTGAATTGCTAGAAGGTTGGGGATGTGCATTCCTTGTAGTTTATCTCTGGATGTCTTTGGCACCAATGGAGATAAAATATTTGCAGATAGGGAACAGACATCATCTTTGGTAATACTGTGCCTTTGCTGGGCAACCAGGGTCCATCTGGAAGACTTGGAAGTGAATTCTGAAACCTTGACAATCATGCAGTGTCACACTGCTCCAGTTAGCTGACCCTTGGTGCAAAACCGGGAGCAAGTAACATTTCCTGAGAAATGGCAGCTGTTGCTCATGCCTTTTATGCATTCATCCTTGCTGGCTTTTTCTAAGATAATTTTCTGCTGGCACCGGGTCCAGAGTTACGTCCTGGGGGTCAGTTGTAATAGGAAAATAAACCATGCTAGGACTTTTCCTCGTAATGAATTTCTTAGTCCATTTGTAAGCTGTAGCTTCTGACAGGAAGAAGCACTGTTGGTCAGCAGAGCTGCAAGGAGATGTGAAACTCCTCACCCATCATACTGAGAAATGATATCAAACATGTTGAGCTCCCGGTCAGCTTGGAAGTCTGAGGACTTGGGTATCTTACTTCCTTTGGCAGTGAAGCTAGTGAGAATTCAAGTTGTGAACTGCCTGAGTCTTCATGGTCCTCGGGGATGATGAGCCATGTGAGTCCAGGGTGGTCTGATTGACTACTGAAAAGGTGAGGTCAATTCAGCTAGGACAGATTTGCAAATTGCTAATTATCAAAGGATGTGAACAGACCCTCCTCAGAGGGAAGACATTTATATGGCCAACAAACATATGAAAAATCACTGATTATTAGAGAAATGCAAATCAAAACCATACTGAGATACGATCTTATGCCAGTCAGTGGTGATTATTAAAAGTCAGGAAACAATAGATGCTGGTAAGGCTGTGGAGAAAGAGAGATGCTTTTACACTGTTGGTGGGAGTGTAAATTAGTTCAACCATCGTGGAAGGCAGTGTGGTGATTCCTTAAGGATCTAGAACCAGAAATACCATTTAATCCAGCAATCCCATTACTGAGTATATGGCCAAAGGATTATAAATCATTCTGTAAAGACACATGCACATGTATGTTTATTGCAGCACTATTTACAATAGCAAAGACTTGGAACCAACCCAAATGCCCATCAATTATAGCCTGGATAAACAAAATGTGGTACACGTACACCTTGCAATACTATGCAGCCATAAAAAATGAGCTCTCCTTTGCAGGCCCATGGATGAAACTGGAAGCCATCATCAGCAAACTAACACAGGAACAGAAAACCAAACACCGCATGTTCTCATAGTGGGAGTTGAACAATGAGAACACATGGACACAGGGAGGTGAACAACACACACTGGGGCCTGTCGGGAAGTGGGAGGAAAGGGTAGGGAGAGCATTAGGACAAATACCTAATGCATGTGGGGCTTACAATCTAGATGACGGGTTGATAGGTGCAGCAAACCACCATGGCACTTGTATACCTATGTAACCTGGACATTCTGCACATGTATCCCGGAATTTGAATTTTTTTAAAAAAAAAATGCTAATTTTCTCTATAGGAACAGATTTTTGAACTTGTACTTTCATGTACAATACTCAATTAAAATATACCCAGACTCAGTCATGACAGCCCACCAATGAGGAGCACTCCAACTTAGATGCTTCTAGTTTTTCTTGTTGTTGTTGATTGATCACTGCTGGTGTCTCATTAGCTGGCCAACAGAGCAGGTTAACCTCCTTCCCCTTCTGGTTTCCATCATTACTTGTCTCATGATCCTTAATTATATTACTGGTGACTGGTCACCTTGCTGATGTGCCACACTGAGAAAGACAGTTTTTTTTATTGGCATAGGGTGGAGAAAGTCTTCCAGTAACAATGAACCAAGGTTTCAGCCACCCTATTTTCTCTACGAAATCATTCAGTACAAGATGAGTTATTTTTCTGTTTAAAGGTGAAGTAATGCAGGTTTGGGTTCCTTAAGCAGGAAGATAGACCGAGGAGCTCATCTGCAGTCCCTACACATCAGCATCCCCAGATGGGGCTCCTGAAACACTCAGGGTCAGGTGAGCAATGCTCAATACCTGGCTCACTGGGGGTCTCAGTTACTATGGGAAAAACCCTGGTTTAGAAGACATTCAACAGATTGTGTGACTTAAAGATTAAAAAATTAGAGACAGGAGCCTGTCTGCATAAAAGACAGATTTCTGAAAATCCCAGACAGGAATCTGGGGGAACAGATTTGGGTTACCCTCCGATAGAACACAGCTGTTCTTCCCAATTTCATCCAGTCACAGGGAAGCTAATGATTCAATGCTCAGATAACAGGAGTGCGCTGGGAACAGTCAGATATCATCTTGTTTTAGCTCATTCCATGAACCCATAGAGATCTTTGAGTTCACACTCTGTGAATCTCTTGGCATATGACATTGGCTGTTGGTTCTCAGCTTAGAACTAGTAAGTCTTGAGCATGGTCTATTCATTAAAAAGGGCTGTAGTAAAATATATCCTTTGGTTCTGACCTCTCACTGCCTGTTTAGGTTGTGGAAGGAAGCACTTTATTGGGAGCTTAACCTATCATATGAGGACAAGTTTATGCTAGTGATAAATGTCATTCTTGCTTGTCATGAGAAAGTAGCTGTTTTCCCTCACCTAGTTTTATCTTCTCTGCTAATTAGCATTGAAGGTACTTTTGGGGACATTACTATGGTCTTAGACGGATCCTCCACTGAATACTATATGGAGAATTGTCTGCTTTAATTTCCAGGTTAGTAGTCTGCTTGTTCTTGGAATTCTTCCTTGGATGAGGCAGGTAATGGCTAGTCTCACATGAGGCTAATGTGAACCTTCTCCCAGATATCACAAGGATCATCTACATTGGAAGACTCAAGTTCATTGCAGATGTTGGTGTTGTGGTGGAGATCCAAGAATATTGTCAGGATCTGGAGAGATTGGGGGATCTTCAAGCTTTAAAAGTCCAGGCTTTGTAATCGCTGATACTTTTAGATACGTTGTTATAGCAAACTGTCTTTGTATATTTATAAATCTTACAATGCTTGTAGGCCTATTACTTTCCCTTAGTTTACAGAACCCTTGATCCACAAAGGATAGTACATCAGGATCATACCCTGTAACACTTGTGCCTCTTGCAAAATGGCTACAAAGATCATCTGGATACTTCGAAACACTGCAAATGGAAAGCGTGAGTGTGGCCTGGAGTGGCCAGGTGGGGACCTAGAATGATGTGACAAAGGAAGTTTTCGTATCTTGAAAAGCCTGTGTTCTGGAGAGAACAGAAGAACATAATTGTATCCTCTCCAGACCCTTGACCTGAAACTCAGAATACTTGGGGCTGAGAAGGTACTGACACTGGTCCCAGGGGAGGGAGCAAGGCTTTGTATGCTGCTGTATGAAAACTCTCTACTCCAGAAGATTGATACTTTTTTTTTTCTTTACATGTGTCCTGAGGGGTGCGGCTTGTTCCTTATTGATGCATGCTACTTGATGTGGAACTATTGTTGAATTCCTTAAATCTATTGAACCAAGGATGCATCTTTGGTTCTACTAGCTGTGTCAGCAGCCTTGCAAGGTATTTGTGGGGGGAATGAAGGAATGGGGTGCGTACAGACTTATCTGGGGGTTCTGTCTCTGTTCTGATAGTCACCTCAGTGTCTTTGCATCTCAACAGCTCTAATCCTGTGGTTGAGGCACAGGTCATCATGGGTGTTAAACCTACAGGGAAGACCACTGCATTAGGGAAAAAACTTGAAGAGGGACATGGCCTGTCTCTCCTTCATAGCTCTCTGCTTATGGTTACCCGGTGTTACTGGGCACTGCCTAACATCTCTGCTGACCCATGGTGAATTTCTTTGGCTTGACTCCTGGTGAAACTCCTCAGGGGGTTTGTTTCCACTTCAGGCCTTGTTCATCTGGTGATTCTCAGAATAGCGGATTTGATTTAGTGTCCTGGAAATTTGGCAATCACCATGAATGAGGCTGTCTGCTTCTAGCCTGAGTTATCCTTCAAATCTGAAAATGTGTCAATGAAATGCAGCCTACTGCAACAATTTCTGAGTTGTTTTTCTTAGGGGATGTCTAGAATAATTTGCAACTTTTCTGTATAGAGGAAGAGAAGAGGCTTTGGCCAGTACTGGTGCTGGAAGGATTAAATTACAGAATCACTGTTACAAAGTTAACCTGTAAACATCCCATATCTTCTAGAGAAAAGTTTGCTAAGCTGTCTTTCACGTATTAACAAAAATAACTTTGGAATGTAAATTAATGAACAGAGCTTATTATGTAGTTGTAATTTCAATTAGAAATGCAAAAATGTGCCTCGATTTATTTGTGACGTAAGTAATCTGGCACTTACATCTTGACCATGCCAGTGAAAGAAGAGTTAAGGTCCTCTCCTTTTCAATATGAAGGGAAATTACGGTGTTTTAGTTTAGACTTCCTAAATTCCAAACCCAAGTGCTATATGTCTTAGGTAGATGATACTGTGGAAGTGATCCCAGAAACCCAGAGCATGAAATGGTGAGAGACACGGTGAGGACAGTAGCCAGAGGTGGGCAGAGCACTGAGTTGATCACAGCTAGGCTGCGTGTGGCTCAGTTCCTCTGGGAATGCTTGACAGAACCACATCAAATGCATCTCAGAATGCCCTAGCTAGAAACAGGTGGTTCCATGACTCACTCTCCAACTTGGTCCATCCTGATGATGATTAATGTCTACACACTGAAATGTCCCCTTGTGCCCAAGGCTGGGCTGCCTTTGTTGAATTTGGAGAAAGCTCTAGGGCTCTCACATTGAGGAAGGGTCATAGGAAAGTTTTCTGGTGGGATAGGGCTGCAAACCTGATGCCATTCTGTATAGCTGTGCAGATAACGTGGAGGTCACTAAGATGTCACTGAGCTCCCCAGCCTCTGCCGCACCTGCCTACACATTCCAAAAGATTCCCAATACTCCTGGGTTTTCCTTTAAGTAGGAAAGGGACAAAATTAGTCCTTCTATAGTATGACTGTTCATGTTACATAGCTGAAGACTGACATCCATCCTCTTGTGAAGGGTTGTTACCTTGTGTCAAGCCCTGTGGATTGTAATAAAGGCTGGCTTTGGGATGTGACATCTTTAGAAACACCCAAGACTGCATCAAAGCAAAGAGGTGTGTTTGGAACCATGGTCCTGCATTCACTGCAGTGTCTAACCTTTGGTCCAGGTTGTTTTTGACACAAAGGTCAAGGTGGTTTTAGATGGAACAAGGAGAGGGATTCCAAGGCTACTTTGATTTCACTTTCCAGCAAGTATTTATTGGTTTTGTGTAATCTGGATTCTGCCAAACCCTCGTAGTCATAGCCAGGATGTCCCTTGTCTGCCTGATACTCTTGCTGCTTATGTTTTGTCAGGGGTTCTTCCCTTCCCTGGGTATCTGACATGGTCCAAGTGAGGTTCTCACCCTCTGGATGTTATGGAAGAGGCTTTGGTTCTGATTTCCCTCTAGGTATATCTGTAGGGTGTGGTTACAAGGTCAGTGTTGGTGTGAGCCTGGCCTCACAGATCTCCACCCAAGACTCACATGGGTTGTCAAATCTCTGGTTCTTCCCTAAGTTACCACAGGGTCATCTCTCAGGGGCTGTCTTCAAGGTAAGTAGATGGAGTCCCTTAAAGTAGCAGATCCTTCAGGTGATAGTGCTTTCCATCTTTTAATTTCCCATTGGTTGTGGTTGTTTGAGAATGAGGACGCGTGTTTGATGCACAAGTACAGTGTAGGGATTTAACCCTGAGCCCAAATTCTTTGAAGTCCTGATGACCCTCCACCCTGCTCTGAAGGGCCCCTAGGAAGAATGTGGTTGAGAAATTGAAATGCAAACACTTACCCCTTTTGATTACCTTGCCATTTTTTCTGCAATTACAGAGGCAGTAGGAATGCCAATCATTAGGAAAAGTGCTTTTTATCTTCCATGTTGTGTAGTCATCCTTCTCCCTGAATGCTGACGTTCAAAGATCCTCTCGCCTGACCCTGGGTTCCTCCCTGGTTGACCCATAGTCAAGCCCCTCATGGAGTCTGTCACTGGAATCCCCCCAGCCATAGGATGTCTGCAGCAGCTCTGAGTGGCTCCCATGAATCCCATGCATGTATCAGGCAACGTTCTCAGGTACTGGCCTGTGCGGCTGTGACTCTGATGGCTATGATTGATATGTTCCTGTAAGAGCACCACTGAGTCCAACCAGGCAATTGCTTTCCTGTAGTGTCTAATTTGTGCCTGCTCTTCTGGGCTTGAATTTTTATCTAGGCTGAGAAATATCTGAGCCAGCACACTAAAGGACACTGACAGAATCGGCTATCATATGCTGCCTTGTGTGAAGTTACCATGATACAACGGACAGATAATAAAATACCTTATCTATTCAGTCACCAGAAGAAACATGTGTTGCGATCTGATAAGATCCAGGTGAGGCCTGGGGCTGAGGCTGATGGAGCTTCCTTAGAGTCCTCAAAGTTGCCCAGTGTCCAGTGAGCAGCTCTGCAGTAACAGATACTACTTTGGATTTCATGCTGAACATTCTTCTGCCTTCAGGCTGCTTCATCCAAGCAGGTTAATTCCACAACTGGTGCAAGGAGAGTTCTCAGCAGCCCAGATTCGGATACCGGGTCTTCTCCAGGGAGAACTTGGTTCAGGCTGCCTGCACTGTGGTGCCTGTGTCCAACCCACCCTCCAGCCCAAAAGTCTGTCAGATCAGGGGAAAGTTTTGGAATGTGTAAAGAACTGAAAACCAAACTGTGCCTTTCTGGCTAGCAAAAAGAACGACTGCTTGGTCAGTTTTAGTAGGGCTGGTAAACTGGCCCTATTCCTCCAGCATGAGCTCTGCTTGCAGAAGCATCTAAAGTTAAGGAGCTCTAAGGGCATGCGATGTCCCCTGGCTACTTCATAGTCCCTAGAGAGGAAGATACTTGTCCCTCGTGCCTGAAAACTGAAGTGTTCTGTTAAGTATATGCCTCACATCTACATAGAGCTCTTCAGTGACTGTCTTCTCTGGAATGTTCAGAAGAGCCTGAATTCTATTGAATCAGTGTTTACCTTGAAGTGAGTAGGGAGTTTCCTGTGATGACAGCTTTAAATCTGCTGTGGCAGTTCCTCAAGGCAGTAGTAGGAGTAATATTTTAGAAACTAACCCAGAGGAGATAGGACTTAAATACACAATACATAGTTCTAGAAGCTTGAGCTTTGCTTTTCTGGTGCCTTGATATCCACAGAAGCTTGTTTTCTCAGGGAGTCTGGGGATGGTGCTCATCAAGGCAACATAAGCACAGTCTCTTTGGGGAAGGAAAAGCTCAGTAGTCTCTGATCCAATGGGGCCTGATTTGAAATTATTCTCATCCTTGTGTTGTCTAAATGCTAGGGCTGCCTAGCTCCTTGAGGCACAAGCATCAGCCAGATTTGTCTTCTGTGATCTGAAAGCAACTGCTGTTTTTTGTTCTCCAAGTCTGGAACCCTTTTAAACGTTTACTTGCAGATAGCTTTTTTGAGAGGAGGTGATTGAGGCAGCCATATAATGGCTCCATAAAGGGAGAGTGGAGAGGTTTAGTGTTTGTGAGAAAGACTTGCTGGTTACCAGTCCGCAGTGAGAAAGGGTCTGCCTCTCCTGGTGCTACACTGACCTGCACCTCATGAAGAGCAGGGAGCTCATGTTCCACTCTGAAATGTGATCATCTCCTAGTCCTAGCCTCTCTGGAGTGGAAATGATGAGAATCCTTACTGCTGTTTTAGTCCGCTTGGTTGTCAAGACAGGGTGATATTTTGAGAAATGCTACCATTTTTTATATTGTCTGGAATAACGGGTTATCTTTTGACTGGTGGAATCTAGTGAAGTTATTCCAACCACAGAATTTTTTTTTTTTGGGGGGGGGGATGGTTTTTTAAATTATATATTGAGTTTCTTCCATAGAAAACAAATAATCAGAATCTATTTTTCTCCTGTAAAATGTAAGATGTATCCTTCATGGCATTTATGCATGTTTATTTCAAATACAAAATTACATGAATGCATTTAATGCATAAAACATGTCTACTGGGATGCTAGGAAAATGACACTAATTTTACTGCCTTCAAATTTTTCCTGATGAGTTTTCTCAGGGAAGGATGAGTTATGGGTACTTAGATAGAACGGAAATATCTATGACTTATTCTGGTTACCTTCAAAGTAGGTTATAAAATAAGTATTCTGGACAGGACTTGCATCAACTTCCTATTTCTGTGGTAACAAATGAGCACCAAGTTACGTGCTTAAATTAGAGTGGTAGAGATCCAAAGATAGAAGTTGATTTCACTTAGACAAATTAAGGTGTAGTCATAGTTGGATCTTATCTGGCCTTCCAGTGGACAGTCTGTTTCCTTGGCTCTTCTCCACCTTTTAGCAGCCCTTGATTCTTGGCTTTTGGCTCCATTTTTGGCTTCAGAAGCTGGGACATCCCGTCAGCTTCAGAGATGCTCTGCGTCTTGAAATCGGATTCTCATTCTGCTGCTTCCTCCATCTTCTGCTTTCTCAGTTGAATCACCTTTGGATGACAAAGGACCTCCTGTGTAATATAGGAATAGTTCTGCATCTTAGCTGATTAGTGAGGTTACTTCCATCTGTCCCCTGACTTCCCCCTTGTTATGGCCCAAAACATGTTCACAGCTTCTAGGACTAGCATATGGAAACCTTAAGAGTTAATGAATTTGTGGCATTCATTGCCTCATTTGGAAATGGGCTGAGGAAGTACAGAGGAGGAGGGATGTGAAACCGAGGACATGGAGAGAGCAGCCATTAGAGGGGGTAGGATTGAGTTCCTCCTTTGTGGAGGTGACTGAGGCTCAACCCTGCTGGGGACCTTTGAGCCAAGAGTAATGCAACTCAGAATGTCCTTCTGGGGTGATATTCTGGTCATTGACCATCAACCTTACTAGTCATTTTTTCCCTGCCCCAAGCCATGAATTTTTTTTGCTCAGCCAAAATATGGCTCTGCATAAAAGCAAGTGGACCTAGAGGATGAAAATATGGCTTGCGGCAGCCCAATCATTCAAGAAGGCAATGCCTGGATCTCCCTCTCAGATGGACAGGCTCTTCCCTACTCCATCTTCCTGGGATGGGGGCTTTTTCCCTCTGCTGGAAAAGATTTTCTTTCTGAGCTGGAAGAGATTCTTTACACACCCCTGCATTTCATTTACCCTTAACATCTCTCCCTCCCACAGGATGAGAAAAATCTGAGGATAAAAAAATCAACTCATTCTTTAAATATAACAGAAGTTCATTTAAGTTTCATTCTTTCTCTCACACAAAGGGAGATTGTGTCTTTAAAGATCTAAAATTAGTGTTCCTTTGAATGTCAGATCTCTCATGTCATGAGTTCAATTGTAGAGGGAATGTACAAATCTCATTCCTTCAAGGGGATGTAGTAGAGGTTAGGGTGTGTTAGTACTCCATGTACATGTGAGTACTATACGTCAACCATTGCTTTTTTATTGCTGTATGCCCTCTCTTGCTGTAGCTTTTTTATTATTTTTTATTATACTTTATGTTCTGGGGTACATGTGCAGAACAGGCAGTTTTGTTACATAGGTATACACTTGCCATGGTGGTTTGCTGCACCCATACTTGTCACCTGTATTAGGTATTTCTCCTAATGCTATCCCCACCCCCTGACAGGCCCCGGTGTGTGATGTTCCTCTCCCTGTGTCCATGTGTTCTCATTGTTCAGCTCCCACTTATGAGTGAAAATGTGCAGTGTTTGGTTTTCTGTTCTTGTGTTAGTTTGCTGAGAATGATGGTTTTCAGCTTCATCCATATTCCTGCAGAGGACATAGAGTTTTGTTACAATATTCTTTCTGTTTTTTGAGCTTTTGTGGACACTCTGTCATTTGTTCTTGATCAAATGGTGTTTTCTGTTGAAGAATTTATTTCTTGAACACTCCATGTCTTTTCTGCTGACTTGAATTCTAGTAACTCTAGCCAGTGTGACTGCCTTTCGATTAAACTTCTTAGGATTGAATGAGAAGAAAGGAAGAATGAGATTGTCGAAAACGTTTCTCCCATGTGCAGTCACTAACAGGACTAACCCGTGTGCCTGGGTCAACCAGACACAGAATATTTACCTGTTTTGATTTCATATTCTTAAATCCTCTTGCCAGTGTCCTCACTATATCTTTGAGGACATCGACCCGAGCTCATTCACCTCTGGTGAAAGCTGCTGCCCAAGGGTATTTGGCTTTGACATTGCCCACTTTCTTGTATAGTGTTTGGCTCTCATTATTCCAGCTGGACACAGCCTGGGTTATCCTTCGAGCCTTCTCTGCCTGACTCTCCTATTCCATGTGTTCCTACGGAATTCCTTCCTAAGCCAAAGTATTTGGAATCGTCCAGGTAAAACGTTGCTCAACCTTATTGCTCTGGGGGTCATTGCCTGTATTTTTACCTTCAAGGAAACCCCACTGGATATAGATTATTCGGGCAGTAGTTATGGGGGTCTGGGCTGTCATGGTTCTTCTGAGCACCCACATCCATGGGTCTCAAGTAGTCAATCTTCTCTGCATTGGGTTCCTTTTGTTATGATCAACAGTTTAAGGAATTGGCATCCTCACTGCTGTGCAGGGCTGGCCCTCTGGTAGATCCTATTTCTGATAGACAAACTGTTCCCCTCCGCCCTAGTGGCCTCTTAGGCTTAGCTCCATATACATGGTTGCCTATAGGTCAAGACCCAGGTGCTTTGTCTTTGTGGAATCGCACTGATTTTCATTGTTGGAGTGCGTTGCATGGTGAAACTGAGGAATTGATCCACTAGGAAAACTTGCTCAATACTGTATGTTATAGGAATAAGGTCTGTAGCCTTCTGACAAGTCACACTGCAGGGTGGCTATAACAGGCATCCTATTTCATTCTTTCCTGTCTCGGTGGCTTCCTCTTGTGCTGCCTAAGATTTGAGTTCTGTTTGGGGTTTATTCTCCAAGTTTTCACATTGTAGTTGTTCTGCATTCAGGGTCTTCCTAGAACTGAAAAGCAGATATGAGCATTTCGTGACCCTGTGAGCTGTCTAGCAGGATTCCAGATTTACTAGATGGGAATTCAACACTGAATATTTCAAGTCTTCTTTCAGTCCTTATGAAAGCCAATTGTCTTAATGTACTAAATTCCCCATTGGATTTGGATTAAAATTTGCATTCTATTAGACCCAATATTTTAGTTTTGAGAATTATCTAATGTAGAGATTAACTTGTCTGTTACCTAGTTCTATTCCCTATGATGTCTTCTGTGACTAGGATTATGGGATGTGCTCTGTGAGCAGGGTCCACAGACAATAGAACCACTTATCCAGGGCCATGGAACATACCTTAAATTCACATGCTAAGATTCTTATGCTTCTCCTTTCCATGCATTCATGCAACCCAGGAGGATGGAAATAGTTGACTGACTAAAATGAATGTTTTGTGTCTTTGCCCTTTAAGATTTTGACTTTTCCTAATGCTTTCAGGTATTAGGAAATCTTCATTTTATATCTAACCACACTTTTTGTCCCATATATTGTTACCCACTACTATGTTACATGCTGACTTATTTGTTTTGGTTTCATATCCTTATATTGTCTTGCTAATGTTCTCACTATATTTTTGAGGACACCAACCACGTATTTAATATTATTTGATACTTGCCTTCAATTAGCATATCTTCAGTTTTCTTAGATTTTTCCCTTGATGTGACATTCTGCATTGTATGAGTTCATGCTGTGGCTATTTTCCTTAAGCATAAATATGTATGGTCAACACCTGAGAAATATTTCAGTATTTGAAATATTTTTACAGGTGGCATCTACCTCAGCTGAAGAACTTTTGTATTTAACTTGATTTGCTCTTATAGCTATGATGTCTCTGGCATTGGTCCTTAAATTTTCTCCATATAAGAAGTTTAAATGTTGAAGTTAAAGTTGAACTTCCCGTGCAGGTTTTTCTTATAGATGTACTTGGCACCAACAGAAATATGATTTATCAGAAGGCTGGGATTCTGTGCTTACTGTGGGTGACATGGTACTTCTCCTTGATATCCAGTGCCCACCTGGGATTTACCTTCTGCCCAAAGCCTGAGCAAGAGATTTTATGGGATTGAAAAGCAGCTGTTGGTTGTGTTTTCTAGACATTAGTCCTCTTTGCTTTGTTTTTGGAGATGTTCAAATAATCTTTGGAGACTGAGTTTTGTTGCTGTGTACCAACCCATATATCAAAGGGGAATACCCTCTCAAGCTCAACCACTCTTTTAGCAATAAGTCTAAACGACTTACCATGTCTTGCCCTTCTGTAGCTACCTTCTGTCACCTATGGTTTTACTCATAACTCTGATTTTGAAAAACGTTGCCATCATGACCCTTGTCCTTGTTAGGAATTTCCATCAGTGTATGGAGAATGTCAACTCTAGATGTGGGTTGGTGGCCATAAGAAGCTGTGTGTTTATAGGATTTTTTTTTTTTTAAGAAATGGTTATAGAATTGACTAGGAGTCAGTAAATTCTCTTTGCAGGAAAAGTGAAAAGTCTTTGTGAAAAGTCTGTCCTCTTCCATATAAGCCAACAATCCTGCCCTGAAGAAATGAGGGTTATATCTCTCATCCCTACTAAAAGTTAGTAATACTCATATTAGACACTGGTGTGACCTTAATACTGACATGTCTAATGAAGGGATGCACAGGAATGTCGTGCGTTCTGCAGTGGATTTCTCCTTCAGCTGCTTTGTTGCTCATCTTCCCTGTGCTGCCTAATCCAGGAGAGTCTACAGTGGTAGCTGATCTAGGGAGCATGCTGTAGAGATAAGCCATAATTATAAGCCAGTGTTCCAGTGATAATTCTCTTGGGAGATTGTTTCTGAGGTCTTGGAGGCTTGATGCTACAGGTGGAAAACAAGAGTAGAGTCAACCTTTGGTTTCCATGGGGGACTGGTTCCAGGATTACAGGCTGATATCAAATCAGTGGATGCTCTAGTCCCTTATGTAAAGTGTCATAGTGTTTGTATATAATCTATGCATATCCTGTTGTATACTTAAGCTCATCTTGATATTATAATACCTACTAAATGTACATGCTCTGTATGTAGTTGTTATACTGTAGTATTTAGGAAATGACAAGGAAAAAATTTGCATGTGGTCAGTACAGATGTAACTATCCAAGGTCTGACTCCATAGTACATATCAGCACCAACATAGCATTTTCTTTAACACTTAGACAACTTTTATTTAGTGACATGGATGTGTGTGTTAATACTCACCAAAACTTTGGTTCTTCCCTCCTGTTGCATCATGATGACGATGAATATTGTATGATGCCTACAGTCGCCATGTTTTGTGGTAAAGTGATGTATGGTACTGTAGTAAGCCATAAGACAGTAGTCTAACTGGAACCCTGACATGACAGGGACCATCTATATCTGAAGAAACAGGTTCCAATTGCAGATGCTGATGGTTTATACGAGGCTCGATAGTACTGTCCATTTGCATGGAATATCTTTTTCCATCCCTTTAACTTTACGTGAGTCCTTATGTGTTAGTTCACCAAGTATCTTGCCTTCAAGAGACTCACCTATCTATTGTCATTCTGTATCTCTTAAGTGAATCATTTAGATCATTTACATTCAATGTTTTGAGATGTGAGGTACTATTCTATTCATCATGCTAGTTGTTGCCGGAATACGTCTTTTTTTCATTGTGTTACTGTTTTATAGGCTCTGAGATGTGTGCTTTAAAAAGGTTCTGTTCTGGTGTATTTCAAGGTTTTGTTTCAAGATTTAGACCTCCTATAGCAGTTCAATTTAGCTGGCTTGGTGGTGGCGAGTTCTCTCAGCATCTGTTTGTCTGAAAAAGACTTTATCTTTCATTTATGAAGCTTAGTTTTGCTGGATACAAAATTCTTGGCTAATAATTGTTTTAAGGATGCTAAAGATAAGACCCCAGTCTCTTTTAGCTTGTAGGATTTCTGCTCAGAAATCTGTTAATCTGATAGGTTTTCTTTTACAGGTTACCTGATGCTTTTGCCTCACAGCTCTTAAGATTCTTTTGTCTTGACTTCAGATAGCCTGATGACTATGTGTCTAAGTAATGTTTTTGTGATGAATTTCCTGAGCATTCTTTGAGCTGCTTGTGTTTGGACATCTAGATCTCTAGCAAGGTCAGTGAACTTTCCCTTGATTGTTTCCTCATAAGTTTTCCAAACTTAGATTTCTCTTCTTATTCAGGAACACCAATTATTCTTAGGTTGGTTGCTTAACATAATCCCAAGCTTCTTGGAGGCTTGCTTTTTTGCTTTTGTCAGATGGTGTTAGTTTGAAAGCCTTGTCTTCAAGCTCTGAAATTTTCTTCTACTTGTTCAATTCTGTTGTTGAAACTTCCCAGCATAATTTGATTTAAGAGTATCTTTCATTTCCAGAAGTTTTGGTTATTTATGCTATCTTTCTCCAGAGATTTTTTGTCCATATCCTGTATTTTTAACATTTTTAAGTTTTCACCTTTCTCTGGTACCTCCTTGAGTAGCTTAATCAAGCTTCTGAATTCTGTTTCTGACAGATTTTTTCTTTGATCAGATCCATTGCTGATGAGCTAGTATGATCTTTTGGGGGTGTTAAAGAAACTTGCTTTGTCATATTACCAGAATTGCTTTTCTGGGTCCTTCTCATTTGGGTAGACTTCTCCAGGGAAGATCCTGGGGTTCAAGGCTGCTTTTCGGATTATTTTATCGCATGCAGTGCTCCCTTGATGTGATGCTCTTCCCTTTCCCCTAGAGGTGGGGCTTCCTGAGAGCCGAACTGCAGTGATTGATGTTGCTCTTCTGGGTCTTGCCACCCAGTGGAGCTACCAGGCTCTGGGCTGGTACTGAAGAGTGCCTGCAAAGAGCCCTGTGATGTGATCTGTCTTCAGGTCTCTCAGCCATGGATACCAGAACCTGCACCAGTGGAAGGAGGAAGCAGGAAGGTGAAATGGACTCTGTGGGAGTTCTTGGTGGTAGTTTTGTTGAGTGTGCTGATTCTCTCGAATGCTGGTTATGCTAGCAGTGAAGTTGTCATGTGGACGGACTCAGAACCTCTGGTTAGCCAGGATGTTACGGGTGGTGAAATCAGCAGTTTTCTCCTTTCTTGGAGTAGGACTGTGCTGAGTTGCTGTAATTGCTTGAGTTGGTTGGCCTCCAGCCAGGAGGTGGCACTTCCAAGAGAGCATTAGCTGTGGTAGTATAAGTAGTTACAGGGGGAATACAAGCTTGCCCTAAGGTTGCCTGGATAAGTGTTTGGGTTTCTCAGGTGATGGGCAGGGCCATAAGGCTCCCAAGAGCTTCTGTTTTAAGCTACCAGGGCAGGTAGAGAAAGAGCATCAGGTGAGTGCAGGGTCAAGCATGTCTGAGCTCAGACTCTCCTTTGGCAGGACTTGCTGTGGCTGCTGTGGGGGATGGGGGTGTGGTTCTCAGGCTGATGGAGTTATGTTCACAGGGGGATTATGGCTGCCTCTGCTGTGTCATACAGGTCACCAAGGAAGTGGCGGAAAGCTGTCAGTGACAAGCCTCACCCAGCCCACATGCAGCCACCAACTCCAGTCTCATTCCCACTATGCCCCACCAACAGCACCAAGTTTATATCCAGGCCCCCAGTGTACAGGGCAGAGATCTTGCTACAGGCTACATGCCTCCCCACTGAGAAAGCAAGCAGGGCTTTCAGGCCCCACCCCTCATCACCTTCCCAGGCTTCTGTGTCTGTATTGTTACAGGTAATGAGACAGGCATGAGCAGAGCAGGAGAGGCCTCTTCCACCCAATAGGAATGTCAGGTAATTGTTTGGCAATGATCACATCACCACTCTAAAAGTGATAAATTGGCAGCAGGTGCCAGGAAAAGGCCATTTCCTGATGGTCCACACCTGTTGCACTAAAGTGTTAATTGAATGCAGGAACCAGGGAGAAGCAGATTCCCTGTGGCATATGTATTAGGAGACAAAATGGTGGACTAGGACCTTCTGGGATGTCAGGTTCACAACTACACAAAAGGTCATGTTGAGGTCTGGAGGGGGAGTGGGTGGATGAGCAGAAAGAACACTCGGGGCTGTAGACAGGTGAAGGATTTTATTCAGTAGTAGCTCTCATCAACAGCTTTCTCACATTAGCTGTTTTACTCAGCTTACTTAAACTAGCTCTCTCATGAGCAGCTTTTCTTACACTGCCCACTTTTATCTTGGCTGTCTGCTCTGGCTCTGAGGTTCCTGCTGCCCCCATACCTGCAGCTGCATGGCCACCTCTCCCTTGCCTTCAGGGTCAGCAGTTTAACTCTTTACCTCTTTGGGCAAAAGCAAGCCACGCTGGGTCCTGTCTCCCTGCTGTCCATCTACAAGATGGTTCTCTGTCCATCTGCAAGATGGTTCTCTCTCTCTCTCTGTGCATCTACAAGCTTTGGTTCTCTTTCTCTGGGGGCCAGTACTCCCACCATGTCAAGCCATGTTGAGCTGAGCCAAGCCCCCAAGGACCCCCTGGGCAGCATCAGCAGGACACTTATACCTTCTACAGACAATACTGGCTTTGAGCCAAGTATGAACTTACACAAACAGGTTATATAACAAATGGAGATATGCGCTTGTGCACCAAGCTCACTGAATCATGCAGGCCTGGATATCCACCTTGA
Organism: Homo sapiens; assembly: GCF_000001405.40. Classification (NCBI taxonomy): domain Eukaryota; kingdom Metazoa; phylum Chordata; class Mammalia; order Primates; family Hominidae; genus Homo; species Homo sapiens. The sequence goes on from NC_000004.12 coordinate 10,355,852, forward strand.
CTTACTCCTTGACCAAATCACAGCCATTACCTTACACAGGGGTATACCACTGGAAAAGGGAAGAAAGCCTCAAGTGGGCGCGCATACAACTTCTGAAACGCACTGTGCATGTTCACAAGGGTAAGGAGGGCCCTGTGCATGCGGGCAGCCCACCCTAAGGGGAGAACCATGGGAAAGGGGCCAGCCTACAAAGTCTTAGGATCAAGGTTAAACACAGCACTTGACCTTCACGTGCCCACTTGGGTCTCTTCCAAATGAACTTTTTCTCTCCTGCTCTAAAGCCTTTTTAAGCTGTCATTCCTGTTGTGAAAATTTTCCTCAGTCTCTTTCTGCCTATGCCCCTCAGTAGAATTCTTCTGAGGAGGCAAGAACTGAGGTTGCTGCAAACCCATACAGATTTGCCACTGGTAGCTCAGATAACTTCCATAGGTAAGAGTATCTGTACTTCCCATTTGCCACCCTCAGCCCCCTGATTCTGCCCAGGAAAATGTGTGTGCAAAGTTATCACAAAGTTCAGTTGGAAGTCTCCTTTTCCCTGCGGTCCTTCCCCAATTCTGCTGGTAGCCTTCCCCCAAGGAACCCTGTGAGATAAAGTCAGAAATGGCTTCCCTGGGGACCAGGAGTGCCCACAGGGCTCTTCCCACTGCTGCTCGTTTTTATATTTTGCTCAGCTCTATTTTAATTCTAGGTAAGGTTAAATCTTTCTCCCATGATCTGTATTTTCTGGTTCTGCAGTGAGAGTGTGTGTTTGAAGGTGGACTTTCCCCATTCACACTTTAGGCACTCAGTTTTTCAGTTGTCTCAGAGTTTGCAGTGAAGAGCCACTTCTTTCAAAGGGTCTGAATTCTTTTGGTTTTCCTGGTAGATTCTGCAGTAGTTCTTGGAGCAAAAGTTCATTATGTGAGTCTCCACACAGTTTTTTTAAATAAGATTTTTATATGCATCTTAGGCATTTTTAACCTATTTGTCACCTGTGCTTTTGCGTATACTTTTGGAGTACTTCAGAGAACTCATGTTCAAGAATGAAGTGATACCAAAAGCAATTGTTTCAATACTCCAAGAAATCAGGCAACCCAGTTAATCATTTAGGGAAGAATCAAAAGATATGTATTTTATTTTTTACAAGTTATGGGGGTACAGGTGGTGCTTGGTTTCATAAGTATTTTAGTTGTGATTTGTGAGATTTTGGTGCACCCATCACCCGAGCAGTATACACTGCACCATATTTGTAGTCTTTTATCCCTCGTCCCTCTTCCATTTTTCCCAAGTCCCCAGAGTCCATTGTATCATTCTTATGCCTTTGCAACCTCACAGGTTAGATCCACACACTGTTCTCTCAATCCAAGTGGGAGCTGCAAGTTAGGATCTTCAAATGTATGAGATTGAAGCTTCATAATTGAAGATGCTGTAATTAGAAACATTGCCATAGGAAGCTGTTTTGCATCATCAACCAAATCTTGCCCTGGTCATTGGCATGTCGCTATCTCTGAGGGGACATGGAGGCTTCCTTCAGTCGAAGGATTTTCCTCCTGGATCATACCCTGCTAAACTTGCAACTATTGAGAAAATGCAAATATCAACTTGATATATGGAAGAGCTTTAAACAAAAAGCGTGACTGACTATGGCTTTTAGTGTGCAGGTTAGGATATGGAATCCAAGGATAGAAGGAAAATCTTGCATGTGTTTAAAAGCCTGTGATCCTAGAGAGGTGTAAGTACTTGGGAAAGGCTAAGTTTAGACTATGTCTTTCCCCCTATAGAGCCTTAACTTTAAGTTTAGGAAACTCAGGATTAAGGAGGAATTGGCAGTGGTGTCCGGGGAGGGAGTGAGCAAGAATTACACAGTGCTGTGAGGAAGCTCAGCCCTCTGCATTGCACAAGATTTCTAATTTATTTCCCTTTGTATTTGTTTGCATTATAAGAGATGGGTAGGTAGCTTGTTCCTGATATGTGTGTAACTGGATACCTTCCTATTGTAGATCTTGACTTGAGTTTATAAAATATTACCAAGGACCTTCTATTAGATGGACCTGCAGCCTTGCAGGGTGTCCCTTGGGTGAAGAAATGAGTATGTGCAGCCCTATCTTGGAGTCCTCTCCTTAGTCTGAGGGACACATTTCAATGGCCTTACATTTCTCCATCCCTAGAACTGTATGGTTGGCACAGTCTGTCAGGGATGACCACTGTGCTGGGACTTGACAATTTGAAGATGGATGTTGTCTGTCTCTTCTTCACACGTTCTTACCACTAGCCTTTGATAATGGGCACTGCCAGGCATCTGAGCCACAATGAGTTTCTCTGGCTTTCCCCCGCATGACATTATGTAGCATACTGACCATGTGTGGTTATTTATAGATGTGTCCTCCATGAGGAAGTTCTACCTTAAAGCCTTGTTCAGTTGGTGAATCCCAGAATAGTGGGGGTAAGTTGGATATTGTCCTGAGACCTTGACAATCAACATGAATGAGGCTCTGTCTGCTTCTACCCTGAGCTTTGTTTCAAATCTCAAAACATGCCAATAGAATGCAGCCTCCTGCAAAAACCTGGAAAGCAGTATTTTTTGTCTGAAAGAATTTATAGTTCATTAGTATAAAGATAGAAACAAAGAGGCATTGGCCTGTGGTACTATTGGTGGGAGGTTTAAAATGATGAAAGCCTGTATATCCCATATCTGCTTTTTGTGCAAGGTTTGCCAAGTCATTTTTTAGGTATTAGCACAAATAACATTAGAATGTAGATTAAGGGAACAAAACTTAGACTCATATTAACTTGAATTAGACTATAACTTCAATTAGAGACTCTATGCTCCAACTTTTCTTCCTGATATGAGTAATTTGGCATTTTGATATTGGTCATTTGTGGTAATGAAAGAATAGTAGAGAGTTACATTGAACTATGAAATGTAACTTGTATATCTTAGTTTGGGTTCCCTGAACTTAGAATCTGAGCTCTATGCTTGGGTGTGTAACATTTTGGAAGTGGTATCAGGAAACCAGTAGCATGGAACAGTGAAAGATGGGGTGGGGATAGCAGCCTGGAGATGGGCAGAGCGTTGAGCAGGTCACTTCTGGGCTGTGTGTGGCTGAGTCCCGCTGGGAAAACTTACAGGAAATATTTCAAAATCACCTGAGAATGTGCTTCCTAGGAAACGGTTTATTCTGGGATCCACTCAAACTCTGATAAACCCATAGGTTGAGGTTATTCTTCTCTCTGAAAAGCTGAGTTTCCTTTAGTGCCTTAGGCTGAACTGTCCCAGTATAATTGACAGAAAGCTCTAGGACAGTAACCAAGTGATCACGGGAAAGGGTCTTGGTCAGGTGGGGCTGCAGGCATGGTTCTGTCCTCCCCAGCTATGCTGAAAACATCAGGTTGGCAGATGTTGAGCTCCGAGTCTCTGCCACGCATGCCCACTTTCCAGAAGATTCCCAATGTTCCTGGAGACTCATTTTCACTGGAAAGGGATGGCCTCAGTCCTACTGCAGTAGTCATGTCCAAAGAGTTCCATAGCTGAAAACCATGAAACATCCATTATCTTGTGATGGTCTTTAGCTCCTTTCAGCCCTGTGGATTCTAATGAAGGCTGCTCTGGGAGGTGATGTCTTCTCCTTTGAAGCAGACACACCTAGATCAGAGGGAAGAATGAAATTTGTTTGATACCATGGTCCTGCTGCATTCGTTGCAAAGCCTAGCCCTTGGTTAAGCCTGTTTTAGAAACTAATGCCCAAATAAGGTGAGGGATTCCAAGGCTACTTTCTTTTCACTTTGTTGGCAGGTATCCATGGGTTGTATGTGATCCTCATCCTGCAAACTCCTCATGGTCATAGCCAGGACATCCTTTAACTTGTCTGCATGATGCTCTTGTTCCCTATATGTCGCAAGTGGGCCCTTCCCATTGGAGTATTTGAGGTGATCCATGTGAAGTTGTTGTATTCCGAGTGTTGTAAAAGATACTTTGATTTCACTCCAGACATATCCACAGGCTGACGTTCATGAGCAATGCTTGAGCCTGGACTCTCATCTCAAGATTCATACATCTGGGCTCTCTCATCTTTAGCTCTTCAATATGCTATGGGATAATCTGCTGGGATAGTCTTCAAGTTGGGACTTCCGATCAGTTTTGACAGAGGTAGAACCTTCAGCTGACAGCCTTCTTTGACCTGTTGATTTATTTCTTTGGTTGTGGTTGCTCTGAGAATGAGAACACATAGGTGTTTGAACCACATGTAAAGGGCATGGAAGGCGGCTGAGGCCAAATGTCTGAAGTCCTGACTACCCCCTACCCCCTGCTCTGATGGGCCCCTTGGAATGGGGTATTAGATTGAAATGCAAACATTCTGTCCCTTTTACTTGATCTTTTCTTTGACTATAGAAGCAGTAGAAACACACATAGTTAGGAAAGCAGTACTTTGTATAACCAGTGTTATACCTGATCTTCTCCCCTGAATTCTGTGTCGATTCTCTGGTCTGCCCCTGGGTTCCTCCCAGATTCAGTCAAAGCCTTCATGGAGCCCATCCCCCTGGAGGCTGCTACATACTCCCCACCCCCAACAGAGCATGTGCACACCAGCTGGGTGGTCGCTATGTTCCTGTAAGCACTGAGCGAGCCCTGTACCCAGCCCACCCTCTGGCCTTCCAATTGCATCAGGACTTGGCAAAGTACCTGTTCATGAACAGCTGAAAACCAAACCCTTCCTTTACGACTAGATGAGAGACAGCTGCCTTGTTAGTAGGGCTGGTCCACTGGCCCAATCCTTTTTGAGACCCTGCTTTTATCTGGGTATTGAAGACTAAGGAGTCCTTAGGAAATGCAGTTTTCCTCCTCCTACCTCTTAGACCACAGGAAGACATACCTCCCTGATGCCTGGGAAGTGAAGTTTCCTCAGTATTAACTATGCAACTTGTATCCTCATGGAATTCCTTCTCCTTTTGTCTCTTCCCCTTGGATTGTTCAGCAGGTCATGGACTTTCTTGAGTCACTTGTTCACCAGCAAGTAATTCCTCATGGTGGCAGATTTAAATCCCCTGGCAGTTTCTCAAGTCAGTGATAGGTGGCAGAACCTTAAACTCACCTAGAGGAGGTGAAGGGCTAAATGCAGAACACTTGGCGCTGGAGGATTCTGCTTCTCTCTTTTGGTGCCTTTCGTAACAAGTAAATGTTGTCCCAGAAAATCTAGAGACAGCGTTGATTATGGTGGCAATAGTACCACCACCACTGGGCAGAAAGGGCTCAGCTGTCTCCCATCAAAGGGATGGGTTTCTCATATCATTCCCATCCCCTGGTGTTGCTAGTGCTGGGCTTGCCAGGCCCCTGGGATGCAAGTATGAGCCAGGGTTCTCTTCTGTGATGTGGAAACAGCTGCTGGTCTTGATTTCCAAGACCCTTTCACATTTGTGTCACTTTTCTGTGAAGTGCTTCAAAAAGCCTGAAATGCAGATACCATGAAAAGAGATTGGAGAAAGTTCAGAGCTCTTTGAGACAAAGCTTAGTGTAGTGGCTATTTGGTGACTTGGGAGCTATGCCGACCTACAGCTCATGAAAAGTGGGAGTCTTGTGCTCCACTGTAAGATGGGAGTCTCTAGGATGGAGAATTTGAGAATCCACTCATTTGTCTAAGTAAATCCATTTAGTTGATCGGACTGTCATTTTTAAAAATGTCTGGTTTGTATGTTTGGAATAATTTGTATATGGTTGGTATATTTCTACTTTGGTGGTAAAATCCAGTGTGAAAGTTATCTGGGCCCATAGAATACTTGGAGGGAAGATATTTTGTTGTCTTAGTTTCCTTCATAGAAAACTGAAAATATCCTATTACATATTTTAATCTACCTCAAGGCATTTGTGCCTATATGTTCAACACAATTTAAATGAGCATTGTCTGTAGTGTTTCTAAGTCTCAATGCTGGGATGCTAAGAAGATATGTGGCCTTTTTTGTTGCATTTATTTTATTCTGGATTAGGGTTTCTAGATATGGGATAGTTCTGAAGACTCCTACTTGAAATACAAGACAAGCAATGTGATTTATACTGTATTTCCCCTAAATGTTCAAACTTGAAACAAGAATTTTGGATGAGTACCATTTTTCTAAGATGCTGTGATAAGTGAACAATGAGTTAAAAACTTTTATAGTTCTAAAGAAGTAAGAAGTTTGAAATGGGATCACTTCGAGAAAAGGTGTTGGCAATTTTTTTTTTTGGTCGGGGGAGGGCTGCTGTACTGGACACTTTGCTCCCGCTTTTATTTTTTTTTTATTTTTATTTTTTGAGATGGAGTCTTGCTCTGTTGTCCAGTGCAGTGGCGCGATCTCAGCTCACTGCAAGCTCCGCCTCCCAGGTTCACACCATTCTCCTGCCTCAGCCTCCCGAGTAGCTGGGACTACAGGTGCCTGCTACCATGCCCAGCTAATTTTTTTGAATTTTTTTAGTGGAGATGGGGTTTCACCATGTTAGCCAGGATGGTCTCGATCTCCTGACCTCATGATCTGCCTGCCTCAGCCTCCCAAAGTGCTGGATTACAGGCGTAAGCTGCCGTGCCTGGCTGCTCCTTCTCTTTAGTCACCTTTAGAGACCCCTGCACTCCTTGACTTGTGGCTCTTTCTGCAACCTTTAGTGTGGGGACCCTCCTCAGCCTCAGAGATGGGGGACCGCAGAGTTAGCAATTGTTTTTGTTCATTTTCATGCTGCTGATAAACATACCCGAGACTGGGAAGAAAAAGAGGTTTAGTAGACTTACAGTTGCACTTGGCTAGGGAAGCCTCACAATCATAGCAGGAGACAAGGAGGAGCAAGTCATGTGTGTTACATGGATGGCAGTAGACAAAGAGAACTTGTTCAGGGAAAGAAAGTCCCCCTTACAAAACCATCAGATTGCATGAGACTATCATGAGAACAGCATGGGGAAGACTTGCCCCCATGATTCTATTACCTCCCACCAGGTACCACCCACAACACCCGGGAATTCAAGATGAGATTCAGTGGCAACATAGCCAAACCATATCAGCAGTACACCTTAATCTTTTTCTCACCTCTGATGCTCCCTCCCTCTCTCACTTTCTTTTCCGACAGTGATCCCTGGACCATCCACGGTAACTTTTGTGTACCCTGAAGTCAGCTGATTATCAACCTCAATTCCATGTGTTGCCCTCATTTTCCCCTTGTCATGTAGTATACCAAGTTCATGGGTTCTAAGGATTAGAATGTTAGAGGACCATTAATCTGCCTGCTTTATTGGTTTTTAATTTGGAAGTTGTCCCAGGAAACCCAGAGGAGGAAAGTGAACAGGAGGTGGGGTGGAGAGAAGAGTCACTGGGTTGTTCGGATTGAGCTGGTCACTTTACAGAGCTGACCAGGGCTCAGTCCTGATGGGAACCCTTGAGCAGAATGAATAATACGTCTTAGAAAATTCCTCCTGGGAACAAGTCTGTTTTTACCCACCAATTCTATTTCCACTGTCCTTGAATTTTCTCCAAGACCTCACTTCCCCTGCACTGCTGAGATTTGCCTCTGAAAATAAGCAGGCCCCTCTGCAGGTGGAAGGTGTGGTGTAAGGATCCCAGTCATTCTAGAACAATGTTCAACAGGCTGGGTCTCCCCATCAGCAGAAGATGGTTGGACTGAGCACCTACTGAAGCCAGGATCTCTCTACTTCATCTTCCTGTGACAGGCACTTTTCTTCCTCTCCTGGAATGAAATTGTTTTCACACCCCTGTATCTCAGTCAGCCTTGTCCCTTGTCTGCCTCCTGCAATGTCTGTTTCTATTAAGTACCTAAGAGTTTTTAAAAAACACTGAGAAAAATAGAGCTGAACATACTTTATATTCAAAGGAGGATTTGTCTTTTAAATCTCATGCTTTTTTTTCTTCCACAAATATAGGTGGAAATGTATGCTTAAAGAGCTAAAACTTCATCTACCTCCCATGTCAAATCACATATCATATGCTGTTTTCATAACAGATGTAGAAGAAATTTTCAACACTTAGTCCTTCATTGCGATGTAATGCAGGATGTAGGGTTAGATTCCCACTTGGGGGAATATAGTACATCACACATTGCTTTCTTTGCTACTTAATCTATGTCCTGTAGGGATAAACAGGATCTAAACTACCTAAACATTGAGTATTGTTCAGGTGTACTTCTACCCTGTTCTTGAGCTTCTAAGAACGGTCAGCATCTCGTTTGAAATTGAGTGATTAATGCTTTTTTGGTGGGAAGAACTTTTCCCCTCCAACGTGGTATTTCTGCTCCCTTGAAATGGCAGTGACTCTGGCCAAAAGAACTCTGGCTCCCAAGTCAAATGCATAGGGTTGAATGAAGAAGGAAGAATGAGCTGGTGTGCACCCCTTCTTTCTTGCAGTCCCTGGTGGGAATAACCCAGGTGCCTGGATTCCCCCCCCCCCCCCCCCATACTAGGTGCTGCATTCCCCATGGAAGCTGCTGGCTAACGTGATTGGTTTTAACTGTGCTAACTTCTGTATGTGGCTTTTTACTTCAATTACCTCATCCTGTCCACACAGCCTAGGTTGTCCTTTGATCGCTGTCAGATACAGCTGTTCTGTGGGTGCATGATGGTAATTATCAAAGGAGTATTTGCAGTGCTCTTGGTGAGGTTTCTCACCACCTAACTGCTCTGCTCCATTTTATCCACAGGGAGGTTCCACTGGATGTGGATGGCATGGGCAGTATTGACTGAGCCTGGATCAGTGCAGTCTTTCCTCTCAGGATCCCACATCCAAGGCTCCAATCTGGTGTTCAGGCTTCTCTGCCATGAGCTCCCTTTGCTGTGGTGAAAGTAGAGGTTGAGGGCCCTGTGGCGTTCATGCTATAAGACTGACCATCCCAAGGCCCTCAGTGTTTTCCTCCACCTCTCAATGACCTTCAGTTGAGCACCAGACACATCTGCTTGTGGTCTTCAGAGTCTGTCATCTTTATGGGCCAGCTCTGATTTTCTTTTGTGGGATGAGCTGGTTGAAGGTAACATATTTGGCTAGCTCACAGGACTCCTTCATGTTTTCTGTGATACAGAATCAAGGTCTGTAGAAGCCTGGCCTCAGGATAGTCACACAGGTGACTGTGACAGGTGTGGCAGGTCAGTTCCATCCTTTATGACTGGGCAGTTCCTCTTGTGATGCCTTTGGGAAAAGTGGATGAGATCCACCTTGATCCTGTTCTGCCTGAAAGTCTTAATCCCATAGCCCTAACTCTTTAAAGTCCTGCCTAAAAGAGAAAATAAGTTATTCTTTCAGGTATCTGAATGTTGGGAGTGGCATAAAATGTATTAAATTTGACTACATCAGTAATACAACACTGTATGTTCCAGGCCTATTTGTTAGTGCTCGCAAAAGCCAATGATTAGGAAGTCCTGAATTCTCAATGTAATCAAGGTCATAGTCTATGTTCCAATTCACAATATTTTATACTGATGGAAATAATTGTTTCCTATATACATAATGCATGGAACTGTTATCTATTGTTCCTTGTGATTTTGATAAATCATACAGTTGGATGAGCTGTCTGGGCACAGCAGGGTCCGTAGGTTTGAACCTCACGAAGAGTGCTCTGAACCCAAATGCCTGGAAGTCCTATTCTTCTCTCTCCTTACACTTTGGGCCCAAGGAGGAGGGCAATGTTTGAATGATTGAAGTAAATAAGTTCTGTTTCCTTGTCTTCATTTTAGCCTTTGTACTTTCCTCTGATCATCAGGAAATCTACCTGTTCTCTTCAGCTCTGTTCTAGAATTTATCCTACCTATTTTTAAACAGTAGTATTTGGCTTAATATTTTTCTGTTATGACTTCATGTTGCTTTGTTTGCTTAATGCTTGCTCTTCTTTGAGGATGTCAACTCTATATGCCAACTTCTTGATCTTATTTTCATAATTCATTAAAGTTTTCTTAAAATGTTTGTCCCCTTTAAATTACTCATCTCTTTATCCTGTAGTTCTGGTAGTGGCTACAAAACCTGTCTGTATGTATTGGTGAGGAGGCTCTTTCAGGAAAGGTTTCTGTTCTGTAATTGAGGCGGCATTCATCAGGATGGAGGGTCTATAACCTACATCTGTGTTTCCTACAAAGTTGTAACATTTCAGGTGTCGTTCCCAAAACTTCCCTAGCAAAATCTGAGTGGTGTAAGTTTGGGCCTGAATGTCCCCTGTAGTTTATATCTGGATGCCTTTGGCACCAATAAAAACATGACTGTGGCCCAGGCAAGGGAAGGTTTTCATCATGGGGCAACGTTGTGCTGAATTCTGATACTTTTCTAGTTCCACGATGTCGTACGGCTGCAGTTAACCCTTAGGTCAGAACTGGATCCAATGGTGTTTGCTGGGTGGGAGAGATGGCTATTGGTCTTCCAGGCCTGAGATTTGGTCACTTTTTTCCCCCAAAGAAATTGACATACAGAGTTGATAACCTCCAAGACGGGGGAGCAGACATTAAGCAAACGAAGCAACAATACAAAGTCATAACACAGATGACATGATGAATTTGTCTTAGTCCACTTGTGAACTGAGACAAGTACCCTTGGTCAGCAGAGGGTTCAGCAAGCATGAGACCCTTCATCTTTTACACTGACAAACTTCCCTGTGAAGCTCCAGGAGCTTCGTTGCCAGCTGGGAAGTCTGAGGATTTGGTGTCTTAATTCCTCTGGCTGTAAAGCTGGTTCAAGCTGTGTACTTACTGAGTCGTCTTGGTCCTCAGGAATGAATCCAAGTGATTCCAGAGTGGCCTGTGTTAACCACTCCTATTAAAGAGGTGAGGTCAGTTCAATCTTGACAGTTTTTCAGAGGCTGATATCATGTTGCCAATCATTTCTGTGGGAACAGATTTCTGAATTTGTGCCTGCTTCTTTGGATGTATTGTATATTCCAGATATTTCTTCCTTCCTTAGAAAACAAAGCTATAAGCCTGTTTGATTCAGGCTGTACTCAAATGATTGGTGGTAAAATATGCCCAGACTTGATTATGACAGCCTAGCACTAAAGACTACTCCAGGTAAGGTGCTTGCAGTTGTATTTTTTGTTATCTTTGCTGGCATCTCATTAGTCATTCAATACTTGGGGCAGGCTCAACTACTTTCCCTTCTAGTTTTCTTCCTTCATTAGACCTGTCTCTTGCTTTTTGATCCTAGTGCTAGTGAATGGTCACCTTGATGTTGAGATGCATTCAGAATGGAACTTAGTTCTTTCTTGGTATGAGGTAGAGCAAGTATTGTAGTAGAAAAAGGAAGGTTGTGGCTGCCTGAGTCTATTCTCTGAAAGCTTTCAGTGTAAAACAAGTCTTCTGTCTAAAGCTGGTATGCAATGGGGGCTTGGGTCCCTTCAGCAAGTTATGAGAACAAGCTCATTCCCACTTACTATGCATCATCAATAACCCACATTCCTAGAAGGGTCTCCTGAAACACTCGTGGTCAGGGAGTGCTGTTCAATACTGGGTCAATGGAGGTCTCAGATTGTGAAAAAAAATCCAGGTTTGGAAGACACTCAATAAACTGTCACTTAAAGAGAAAATATCAGAGTGGGCGCGGTGGCTTATGCTTGTAATTCTAGCACTTTTGGAGGCTGAGGCAGGTGGATCCCTGAAGGTCAGGAGTTTGAGAGCAACCTGGCCAACATGGTGAAACCCTGTCTCTTTAAATACAAAAATTAGTTGGGCATAGTGGCATGCACCTGTAATCCTAGCTACTCAGGTGGCTGAGGCAGGAGAATTGCTTGAACCTGGGAGGCAGAGGCTGCAGTGAGCCGAGATCATGCCACTGCACTCCAGCCTGGACAACAGAGTGAGACTCTATCTCAAAAAAAAAAAAAAAGAAAGAAACAAAAAGATCAGAGATAGCCTTTTTGCCCAAAACACACATTCCTGAAAATCCCCATTAAACAGGAGTCTGTGGGAGCAGGTCTGGGTTGGCCTCTGCGGGAACATAGTGTTTCCTCCAGGCACAGGGCATCTGAGGACCTACTGCTCAGGTGACATGGGTGTGTTGGAATCAGTGAGATGTCACCTTGTTTCAGATCATTCCATGGACCCACTGATGGGACCTTAGAGTTTAAACTGTGTATACATTACCTGCCATGCCATTGGTTATTAGTCCCCAACTACATACATCTCTTAAGTTTCCTATGTGGTTCATGCTCTAAAAAGAACTTTAGTGGAATATAACACCCCTTTGGGTGCTCCACTATCTCACACTACCACTTTAAATTGTCAAAGGAGCACTTCCCCGGAGGCTTAACCACTCATGCAAGGACCAGTTAGCACTACTGATAAATTACATTTTTCCTTGTGTGGATTTAGCTTTCTTTCCTTGCCTCTTTTTACTCTACCTGCTAATTATCATTGAAAGTTCCTTGGTAACATAACTACAGCCTTAAAAGTGCCCTCCACTAATACTCTATGGAGAATTTTGTGCTTTTGAGGTTAATGGTTTGCTGCTGCTTGGAATTCTTTGCAGGTCAACTGTGTTGATTAGAGTGATCTGAGGGATGTCACTGAGGTGGGATGTCAGCTTATGGTGGTTATTCCCCATTTTGCATGAATATCATGTCTTGTCAATGAGAGAATAAGTTGTCTTTGCAGAAGAATAAGAAGAAATTGATTTCCTTTTTCATATGAAGACAATAATATACTAAGGTAGGAATGAGGGTTATGTGCCTCCTACCCCAAAAATCTTAGAAATGTGTCGTTCCCTTCCAGGTTGGACATCCTGGTCCATTAGCTTGAGTTGCTGTATCTGCCCTGGGCAGGCTGATCCAGGAGTAGATGGTGATGGTAGCTGGCCTGAGGAGGGGCTGCAAACTTCTAAAAAAATATAGGTTCCTTTGATCCTACAGGAGCTGAAGTCCTCAGGATTCATCTGGAATAAAGTGATTTCTGTGCTAACTCCCAATTAGTTGGGTACATCACTGCCCTTTCTGTTCTGGGGTATGGAGGTATTAGCTTGAGTAACAACTGACCTTTAGGATCTTGTTCCTTTGGTTCTGCTATGTGTGACTGGTCAACTTGATAGTGTGTAACATTCAGAATGAAAAACGGGTACTGTTGTCCCTTTATATGTGGGGTCTATTTTCAGGACCCTCTGCAGATGCTCAAATTCCTTACACAAAATAGCTTAGTGTTTGCATACTATAACCTATGCACATAATCCTGTGTCTTTAATCTCTAGATTACTTATGATACCAATTGCCATGTACATGTGATATAAATGGTTGTTACACTGTATTTATGGAATAGTGACAAAGTCTAAAGTGCTTACATATCCCATAGATAGGCAACCATGCTAGCTGAAAGTATGTAGTATACATCAGCAGTAATGTAACATCCTTCAAAACTCTAGCTGTTTTTATGGAGTTACCTGAGAGTGTGTTAACACTCCCCAAAACACTGGTTCTTCTCTCCAAGTAACCTTTTTGTGATGATCCTTGCTGTATGGTGCCTACAGTGCTCACAGTGAGGTGACAAGATGTGTGTTACTGTACAAAAGCAATGAGACATCAGCCTAAATTGAACCTTCTAACAGGACACGAGAAAAATCACCTATGTCAGAAGACCCAGGTTGGGGTTGCGGACGTCGATGTTGTCGTTGGAGATTCCATAATACTTAATGTGAAGATAGGAGGAGGAGGGCAGAGCATCTTCAAGTACTGACTGTTGAGGCTTCACAAATGCTGAGACTGTCGTTAGAAATGTGGTTATGGGAAGCTGTTTCTCTTCCTTGCAACATCACAGAAATCCTTCCGTGCTTATAAGTACATTCTTCCTCAGATGACAGAGGCTTCCCTCCACTGAAGGATGGTGCTCAAGAATCATACCTTCTAACTCATGTGCCTGTTGAAAACATACTGTAAATATCAATGTGATTATTTTGCAATGCTCCAAATAGAAAGTGCAAGGTGTGGTCTTGAATGCACAGGTTGGGACCTGAAATCAAACAGGTAAGAAGTAAATGTTGATGTGTTTCCAAACCTGTGATCTAGAGAGGTAAGTTTGAAGAGGAGGTGGGAATGGCTAAGTTTAGACTAGGTCTGTCTTGTCCATATCTTTGACGTGAAGCTTCAGGAAAGTCATGGGTATGGAGAAACTGGCAACAGTGTCCAGGGAGTGAGTGAGGCTTTCTATGTTCCTGTGTTGAAGTTCAACCCACTGTATTCCAGAGGCTTTCTAATACTCTCTACCTCCTCTTTGTGTGTTTCCTAAGGGTAAGGATGGAGCTTGTTTCTGATCCATGTGTGACCAGATCTATTCTACCTACTTTGGACCTTGCCTTCAATTTATAAAACCCTGTGTTAACAAGGACTTTACTACTCTAAGTCTTGTGGAGTCTTCTTGGTAAATGAATGGGGGTATGTAGACCTATCTTGGGGTCGTACCTGGACTCTGAAGGATACAGTTCAGTCTTTGAGTTTCAACAGCCCCAGTCCTGTGTTTCTAACAGTCTTCCAGGTATGAAATACCATCAAGGGATAACCACTGCCCTGGAACATAAATGCTGGGAGAAGGACACTGCCTGCTCCTCCTCCATAGCTCCTTGTTCATGGTTGACATTTGGTACTGGGCACTACCCCCATATCTGCTGAGACAGTGAATTTCTCTATATTGTCCCCTCATGTAGCATATTGGTCACATCGGCCTGTTTTCACAGCTGTGTTTTCAGTGAGTTTGATTCTTTAGGCCATGTTCAGATGGTTTTCAAAATGTAGTTGTCTTGAGGAATGCCTTGAGAACTTGGCCATCATCATGAGTGAGGCTTTTTCTACCCCTATCCTGAGCTTTCCTTCAATGGGAATATATTTCAATGTAAATGCAGTGTTCTGCAGGAATTTCGGTATGGTTTCTTTCATAGTATTTTATAGTCAGGATGGGGCCACAGGCATGATGCTGACCTCAGCAGCTGTGTTGATTGTTGTGATCTGTGGGATGTCACTGAACTTCCCAGACTCTGCTTCACCTGCCCACACATGGCAGAATAAAGAATTCCATGGCTCCTGAGGTTTTTAAATAGCAGGAATGGGACAGGATTAGTCCTTCTGCAGTGTGTTGGAGTGATATGGGGAATGTCACTGAACCACCCAACCTCTGATTCACCTGCCCACACGTGGCAGAAATAAAGAATTCTATGGCTCCTGGGGCTCTTAAACATCAGGAACCGGGACAGGATTAGTTCTTCTGCAGCAGGACTGTTCATGTTCCATAGCTGAAGATTCTTCCTTCCATCATCTTGTGATGGCCTCTACCTTCTTCACCCGTGTGGATTCTAGTGAATACTGTCCTGGGAAGTGATATATTCTCCTTTAGAACAGCCAGGACTGAATGAAATGGAAGAGAAATGTGTTTGACATGGTCCTGCTGCATCCATTGCAATAAATCCTTGGTTAAGGTGGTTCTAGAAACTGATGGGACAATGTGAGCGATTCCAAAGCTATTTTGCTTTTGCTTTGCCGGCAGGTATGTATGGGTTTCCTGTGATCCTCATTCTCCCACCCAGTCATGACCACAGCCTGGAACTTGCTTTAATGTGTCTGCCTGATACTGTTGCACCTTAGGTGTTGTAAGGAATCCTTCCCTGGGTATTCGAGGTAGCCTATGTGAGGTTCTCAGCCCTAGATATTGTGGTCGAGACTTCAGCTCTAATTTATCTAGACACGTGCACAGAATATTGTCACATGGGCAGTGTTTATTTTGAGCCTCATTTCTTAGATCACTGAGTGTCAATATTGAGCCCACATTTACACACACGACCTCTGTTCTCTGGCTCTTCAATAAGCTGCCATGAAATTAACTCCCAAGTGGTGTTTTCAAGGCACACAGATTTAGTATTTAAAGTGGTGGAACTTTCAGATGACAGCTTTTAAGAAATCTGTTTCCCACCCTGCTGTTGGTTTTGGTTGCTTTGAGAATGAGGATGTTGCAGAATTTTTTTCCTTAGTTCAGCTAAAACTAGGTTCTTTTTACATGACCAGGAAAATTTAGGCATGCAGACACACTGAAGGGTGAATAGGGCAAGATTTTATTGGGTGAAAAAGGAAAAAAAGAAAACTCAGCAAAGCGAGATGGAGTCCTGCTAACAGGTCCCCTGCCCCCACCCCACAGGACACACCACAGGAACTGCAGAGGCCAGGCTCCTCCCTCTGCCTGTGGCTCCACCCCAGTCCCCCAGTGCGCATGTGGGCAGGCTCAGACAAGGCCCTGGGCAGGTTCCCTCATCTGCACAAGAGCATCTGATGTAAACACTTGTGGGGCAGGTCAGAGATTTGCCAGGGACCCCTTAGTATCTACCTAAGCATTTGGTTGTCTCAAAGACACATGGGTGTCTGAGCCACAAGTAAAGGGCAAGGAGGTGACCCTGATTCGAAATGCCTGAGGGCTTGACCTTTAACCCTGCTCTGAGAGGCCTTTGGGAACAGGGTGTCTGAGTGAATGACATGTTAATTTCTTTCCCATTTGTTTACCTTGCTATTTTTTCCATTACGGAGGCAGTAAGAATGTCAGGGATTAGTACAGTGGTTTTTATCATTCATGTTATAGGCATTCCTATCTCTGAATACTCTGTGGCTTGGAGATTCTCTGGCCCACACAGCTGCAATTCTGACTCTGTGGTTCATGTTTCCATAAGATCACCCTTCAGTTTCATCAGATGAGAGCTCTCACAGTGTCTAATTTATGCCTCTGCTGTTGGGGTGAGGAACTTATATCCAGATTGAATTGTTGATCTTATCCAACATACTAAGGGGATTTTGACATAAACAAGTATTCTCTTCTTGATGTAAAGTTATAACAATAAGATGAATGTTAAGGCACCCTACAGAATGGGCAAAAATTTTTGCAATCTACTCATCTGACAAAGGGCTAATATCCAGAATCTACAAAGAACTTAAACAAATTTACAAGAAAAAAATCAAACAACCCCATCAAAAAGTGGGCAAAGGATATCAACAGACACTTCTCAAAAGAAGACATTTACGCAGCCAACAGACACATGAAAAAATGCTCATCACCGCCCATCAGAGAAATGCAAATCAAAACCACAATGAGATACCATCTCACACCAGTTAGAATGGCCATCATTAAAAAGTCAGGAAACAACAGGTGCTGGAGAGGATGTGGAGAAATAGGAACACTTATACTCTGTTGGAGGGACTGTAAACTAGTTCAACCATTGTGGAAGTCATTGTGGTGATTCCTCAGGGATCTAGAACTAGAAATACCATTTGACCCAGCCATCCCATTACTTGGGTATATACCCAAGGGATTATAAATGATGCTGTTTAAAGATACATGCACACGTATGTTTATTGCAGCACTATTCATAATAGCAAAGACTTGGAACCAACCCAAACGTCCAACAACGATAGACTGGATTAAGAAAATGTGGCACATATACACCATGGAATACTATGCAGCCATAAAAAATGAGTTCATGTCCTTTGTAGGGACATGGATGAAGCTGGAAACCATCATTCTCAGCAAACTATCACAAGGACAAAAAACCAAACACCGCATGTTCTCACTCATAGGTGGGAATTGAACAATGACAACACATGGACACAGGAAGGGGAACATCACACATGGAAGCCTTTTGTGGGGTGGGGGGAGGGATAGCATTAGGAAATATACCTAATGTAAATGACAAGTTAATGGGTGCAGCACACCAACATGGCACAAGTATACATATGTAACCTGCATGTTGTGCACATGTACTCTAGAGCTTAAAGTATAATAGATGAATGTTAAAATATTATGTCCATTCAATATCCTGTCTATTCAAGAACCAGAGGTAATACATGTTGGGTTTTCATAAGGGCCAGGTGAGGCCTGGGGCTAAAAGGCTGCTGGAGTCCCCTAAGGGGTCCTGATGAGTTTCCCAGCATCCAGTGAGCAGCTCTGCAGTGACAGGTGCTTCCTCATGTTTCATCCTGAACATTCTCCTTCAAACTACTTCATCTCTGCAGGATAATTCCACAGCCTCAAGCCAGGAAACTCCTCAGCAGCCCAGTTCCAGTGACTGAGTCCACTTTGAAGACACCTTGTTGTGGGCTGCCCATACTGTGAGGCCTGTACCCAACCAGCCCACTGGCCTTCAGTTCCATCAGGACTGGAAGCACCTGCACACAGAGCTGAAAAGCAAACCTTTTTTATGACTGGACGTGAACATGTGCCGTGATAGCTATGGTAAGGCTGGTATGCTGACCCTGATTAATGTGCCTGAGCCCTGTGTACAGGGGCTTATAGGGTTGAGAAGCACTAATGGACTAATATTTTCTATTTCCACCTCAAAGACCCCAGCCAGTTAGGAAAATACTCCTCCCCAATGCCTGGGAACTGATGTTAATTATGCAACCTACACTCACATGGAGCTCTGCCCGGATTCTTTCTCTTCCCTTGGACAGTTAAACAGAATAGACTCTGCAGAGTCAGCTTACCCTTAATGTATCAGGTAGCTGCTTGTGGTGACTGAAATCTGCTCTGGCAGTTTCTCAAGTCCATGGTAGGTAGAGCTCCTTAGAAACTCACCCAGAGGAGGTGAAGGAGTAAACGCAAAGTACATGGTGCTGGAAGCTTGTCATTCTCTTTGATGCCTTTGGTACAAAGTGAATGCTGCCCGAGAAAACTGAGGGGTATTGCTGATTATGGTCACAACCACACCTTCTCTGGGCAGGAAGGCTCGATAGTATTTAAGAATGAGGATTCTGAAATAATTCCCATCATCACCGGTGGGAGTGTTGGGCCTGCCAAGCTCCTAGGGGTCACAACTGTGAACCTTCCAACATTTGTACTTTGTGTTAATATATATATATTTTTAAGCAAGTGTGACTCTAAGAGCCTGAGAGATTCACAGCTGTTGGTGACGAAGAGCTTGCTGTAGCGGGTGATTGGTGAGAAATGGTCTTCCTCTTGGGAGCTGTGCAGATTGACTGCTGATAAATAGCAGCAATCTCGTGCTCCACTGTGAAAGAGGAGCTTCTCTAGGATGGAGAATTTGAGAATGCGCTGGGTTGTCTAAGTCAATCCACTTAGTTGATTGGGAAGAGTGTCATTTGGAAAAATGTGTTTTTAAAATATTGTTTGGAATAATTAGCATACAATTGGTGTATTTCTCCTTTAGTTGGTGGCAGAATCCAGGAGGAAGATATTTCATGGTCTATTTCATTTCCTTCATAGGAAATCTATTTTGTTTCTTTCATAGGAAATCTATTTTTTCTTTATGTATCAGTCTATATTAAGGCAGTTGTGCCTATGTATTTGACACTTAAATGTGTACAAATGTGTCCATAATATGACTCGCACATGTCTGCACTGGGATGCTAAGAGGATATGTGGGGATTTTTATTGTATTTTTCTTCTCACTTAGTGTTTCCAGGTAAAGTTATGAGGACTTTTGTTAGTAATACAAGGTTAAGAACACCTTATTGTGGACAACCCTGAATGTTGAACTTAGACTTTCAATTTTCAAACAGGTAGGTTCTTTATTTCCTATCGTGCCATCATGAATAAGTATTGAGTTAGGGGCATAAAATTAATTTTCTTAATTAAAGAGGTTAGCAAATTGGAAATGGGGTCACTTGGAGAAAACGAACGTTGTTGGCAAGGTGGTGTTTCCTTCTGGCTGCTCTATGAATTGATTTGTTCCCTCTCTTTACCCAGTTTTAGAGACCCTTGCATTCCTTGCCTCATGGCTCTGTATGTATCTTTCAGTGTGGAGACCTTGTTCGATGTCAGTGAGAGGCAGGACTCCCTTTGGCTACAGAATCGGCTCATGTTAATCTGATTGTCATCTCCATTTCCCCTTCCCTGTTCTTTTTTCTCTTTAATCACTTTTCTGACAGTGGTCTCCCTGGACAATCCAGGATAAGGATGATATTTTATATTGATTGTAACAAATTATTTTCTAAATATGCAATGAAGAGAACTGTTTACTGCCATTTCTTATAGTGATTTGGATAACTGCGACAGTTTCATGGGCTATCTGAGCAGGGCAGGGTCTATAGGTGTTCAAACTCCACGTCCAGGGTCATGGAGGGTGCCATGAACCCAAATGCCTGAATGTCCCTACCTGTACTTCACAGGGCCAGGAGGAGGGGCTTGTTGCAATGATCAAAGCAAATACATTCTGTTCTCTCGTCCTCCTTATTTTAGCCTTTTGATTTTTCTCTGGTCATCAGGAAATCTCCCTGTGGTCTTCAGCCATATTCTTTATAGCATTCATTTCACATATTTTTATGTAGTATTTTTTGGCTAAATATTTGTCTTACATTATTTGCCTAATGCCTGCTCCCATAACTTTGAGGATATGAACTCTATATACATCAGTCTCTTGATTTAAATTAACACTTTTGATTGAGTAAGATTTTGTTAAAGTTACTCTAAGTGGCTAGTCTCTTTGTCCTTTGGGTTCTTGTAGTGAATATAAAACATGTCCATATGTATTAAACAGGCTCTTTCTGGAAATGTTTCCGTTGTTTACTTGGTGGGGATGTTCAGGATTGAAGGTCATAATGTATATCTATTTCCTCCCAAGTTCTGATGTCTTTGGTGCTGCTCCTGAAAATTTCCCACAGGAATTTGAATACTAGAAGGTTAGAGGTGGAGGTATGTTGTAGCTTATCTCTGGATTCCTTTGGAATGAATAAAAATTGTTGCAGACAGGTGCGGGATGGTCATCATCATGGGCAATATTGTGCCTTCTTGCTGAGTATCTAGGGCCCATCTAGGAGGCCTGGAGTGAAATTCCAAAACCTTTATAGTTGCATGGTGCCACGCTGCTACAGTTCACTGATGCTTAGCTAAACACTGTAAGCCAGTGGCACTTTCTGGGTGGAAGAGGCAGCTATTGATAATGCTTTCCAGCCATTAGCTTTGGTTTTGCTTTTTCTTGGAAAGCTTTCCTGATGGCATCAGGTCAGAGGTTGTAGGAGATGGTAATAAGAGGAAAATAAACAACTCCAGGTCTTCTCATAATGAATTGCTTTCTTAGCCACCCTGCAGCTCGCAAACGGACTGACTGAAGGAAGCTCAAGAAGACATAGAACCCCTCATCCTTCACACTGAGAAGCAGGCTTCCGAAACACACGGAGCTCCCTGGCCAGCCGGGAAGTCTGGGGATGTGGGCATCTTATTCTGGCAGTAAAGCTAAGAATTCAGGGTGTGTACTTACAATCTTCATGGTCCTCACGGATGAGCCCATATGACTCCAGGGTGCTCTGTGTGGTACTTTCTAGTAAACTGCTTGTAGTCTTTTTATGTTGGTCTTTGCTGCTATCTCATTAGTCATGCAACAATTGGGGCATGTTTAACTTCCTTCACTTTGGGTTTTCATCTTCATTACTTGTCTCAATCCTTGTTCCTATTGCTGGTGAATGGTTGTCTTGATGCTGTGACAAAGTGAAGATGAAACTTCGTTCTTTTTTGGTATAAGGGTGAAGAAAATCTTACAGTAAAAATGAACAGGAAGGTTGTAGCCATTCCATCTTGCTCTCTGAGCTCTGTATTTGAACAGAAGAGTCCTATTCTGTCTAAAACTGGGCATGGGTACTTCACTTCAGCAGCAAAGTAGAAGAGCAAGGAGCTCATTCCCAGTCCCTACACATCAATAAACCACATCTCCAGTAGGATCTCTTGAAACACTTGTGGTCTTGTGAGTGTTGTTCAATAACTGGCTCAAAAGAGGTCTCTTGGTTACTGTGGAAATTCTAAAACTGGGAAATTCTAAAACTGGGAAGACCCAGGTTTAGAAGACACTCTATATTGTGTGTCTCTTAAAGATAAAAAAAAACATCATAAAAGAGCCAGTTTGAATCTTTCCTCCCAAAACACACATTCCTGGAAATCCCAATTAGGAGTGTATTGTGGGACAAGATCTGCGGTAGTCTGGGACTATGTAGCTGGTTTCCCTGTTTCCTTCAGGAACACAGCATGTGAGAGTGCTAAGCACTACTCAGATGATGTAAGTTGGAAACAATTAGATGTCACCATGTTTTGAATCATCCCATGGTCCCGTAGATAGAGCCTTAGTTTACATTACCTGGCGTATGAAATTGGATGTTGGTCCTCAACTTGTTAGAACCCTTAAGTCTCATGTATGGTTCATGCATTAAAAGGGCGGCTGGGTACGGTGGCTTACGCCTGTAATCCCAGCACTTTGGGAGGCTGAGGTGGGTGGATCACCTGAGATCAGGAGTTACACACCAGCCTGACCAACATGGTGAAACCCATGTCTACTAAATACAAAAAAATTAGCTGGGCAATGATGGCGGGCTCCTGTAATCCCAGCTATTTGGGAGGCTGAGGCAGGAGAATCACTTGAATCTGGGAGGTAGAGGTTGCAGTGAGCTGAGATTGAGCCGTTGCACTCCAGCCTTCACAGCAAGAGCAAAACTCTATCTCCAAATAAAAATAAAAAGGGGTATAGTGGAATATAACACCCCCATTGGAGCTGAAGGGCATTTCATTGGAAACTTAAACATTGATCCAGTGGCTTTGGGAGGCCGAGGTGGGCAGATAACGAGGTCAGGAGATTGAGACCATCCTGGCTAACATGGTGAAACCCCGTCTCTACTAAAAATACAAACAAAAATTAGTTGGGCATGGTGGCGGGCACCTGTAGTCCCAGCTGCTCGGGAGGCTGAGGCAGGAGCATGGCGTGAACCTGGGAGGCGGAGCTTGCAGTGAGCCAAGATCATGCCACTGCACTCCAGCCTGGGTGACAGAGTGAGACTCTGTCTCAGGGGGGAAAAAAAAAATTTATCCAATGGCAAGTTAGCACTAATGATAAATGTCATTTTTCCTTGTTGTATGGATAAAGCTACCTTTCCTTACCTGTTTTTACACTACCTGCTAACTAGCATTGAAGGTATCCTTGGTGACCTTACTACAATCTTAAAAGGACCCTCCACTAAATATTATATGGAAAATTGCATGTTTTAATTTCCTGGTTAGTAGTCTGCTTGTTCTTGGAACTTTTCCTTAGTTGAGACAGATGACTAGTCTCACACCAGGTTAAAGTAGAGCTGCTCACAGATGTCACAAGGATCATCTACAGTGGAAGATCAAGGTTTTGATTGTAGATGTTTTAGCTGTGGTAGAGGCTCGTTAATACTAATGTCAAGATCTATGGATGTTGAGGGCTGGAGATCGTAAAGCTTTCCTAGTTGATGCTTCATAACTGCTGATGCTTTAGTCAGAAAAACAGTTACGGAAAAGTTTTCCTTTACATCAAATCTTGCAGTAGTGGTAGGCATGTTACCTGTAAAATGACACAGCCTTCTTTCCATGAAGGGATAGTACTCAAAGATCATACTCTTTAAAACTTACACCTGTCATGCAAACTGCAAATGTCAGCTGGATATTTTGAAATACTGCAAATGGAAAATGTGTGGTCTTGATTATCCAAGTGGGGACCTGGAATGATGTGACAGGAAATTCCTATATCGTTAAAAGCCTGTGCTTCAGAGAAGTATAATACAGAGGGGAAGAATTATATGGTTTGACCCTGTCCTCACCCAAATCTCATCTTGAATTGTAATAATCCCCATATATATATATATATGTATATGTATGTATGTATGTATATATGTGTATATGTGTGTATATATATGTGTGTGTATGTGTATGTGTGTGTATGTGTATGTGTGTGTATATATGTGTATATATGTATATATGTATGTGTATATATGTGTATATATGTGTATATATGTGTATATATGTATATCCTGAGATGATTCTGAAATATTTCCTGTCGGCATTCCCAGTAAGACTGAACCACAACAGCCTAGAGGCAAGCAGCCCAAGGCTCTGCATATATATATATATATATATATATATATACACACACACCCCCATATATTTATATATACACTCATATGTACACATGCGTGCACATACGTACACATACATACACATACGTACACATATACACACATACATACATATACACACATATACACACATACACACATATACATATATACACACATACATACACATATACATACACATACACATACACACATATACACACACACATGCACACACATACACATACACACACATACACACATACACACACACATATATACACATATATGCACATATATACACACATATACACATATATACACATACACACACACATATATACACACATACACACATGTACACATATATATACGTATATAATATATATACACATATACACATATATACACATACACATATATACACATATACACATATACACACACATACACACATATACACACACATATACACATATATACACACATGTACACACATGGGTACATACATATACATATACATATATATGTATATACATATATACATATACACATACACATATATACGTGTACACACATACATGTATACATACAAGTGTATATATACACATACATGTATATATATGCATGTGTGTGTATATGTATGTGTATGTATATATATACACACACACACACATATATATATATATTTGGTATTTAAGCATGTCCCAAGGATGCAGCTTATTTCTGTTGATGTGTGGCTAGATGTATTCCACTTCCTATGGATTTTGCCATTATTTTATAAAATCTGTTGTCCCAAAGACCCTTCTTCTGCTCTATTGTGTAGGTTTTACAACCTTATAGGGTTTTTCTTAGATGAAGGAATGGGTATGTGCAGACCTATTCTGGGTTCCTACCTCTATTTGGAACACATTTCAGTGTCTTAGCATTTCAAAGCCCCACTCCTGTGTTTCCAGCACAGTACGTCAGGGATGATACAACATCACAGTAGGCACTGCACAGGGGGCATAAAGGCTTGAAGGTGGACACTGCCTGTCTCTGCTTCGCAGCTCCTTGTTCACTGTTGCTCTGTGATACTGGACACTGTGTCTCTCTTGGGCCACAGTGACTTTCTCTCTTGACTCCTTGTGGTGTGGAATATTGGCTGTTTTTGGTTGTGTTCACAGGTATCTCCTTAGGGAGTTTGTTTCCACTTCAGTCCTTGTTCAGCTAGTGATTCTTAGAATAAGGAAGCTGAATTGGACAGTGTCTTGAGAACTTGAGTCATCATGAATGAGGCTGTGTCTGTGCTACCTTGAGCTTTGTTTCAAATCTGAAAGTGTTTCAATGGAATGCAGTTTTTCACAATAATTTAAAGATTGCTTATTTTTTGGTCTAGAAAAACAGGAAGTTTTTCTCGTGTAGAGGAAGCAAGGAGCCCTTGTCCATCTGTGCTTCTGGTGGGAGGTTGAAAATTAGAGAATCATTTTCTTCATAGTCAACATGTATATCCTATATCTACTTGTTGGAAAAGGTTTGCTCAGTTGTCTCTCAGGCATTAGCACAAATAACTGAGATTTAAATTGAACAACGCTCATAATTTTATCTTCAAATAGAGACTTTAAAATGTATGCCTCATTTTATATTCCTGACTTAGATAACTTGATACTTTCATATCAATCAAATGAGAGAATGCTTATTCTTTGTCCTAATTGAAGTATGGAAGAAAATGCTGACGTCTTAGTTTGAATTCACTAAACTCATAATCTGAGACCTGTGCTTGGAAGATTTGTTTTAAGAAGTGATCCTGGAGCCCCAGAGGATGGAGCAGTGAAAGCAGTGGAGATGGGCAGAGCGTTGGGCTGCTTGCCTCTAGGCTGTTGTGGTTCAGTCTTACCGGGAATGCTGACAGGAAATATTTCAGAATCATCTCAGGATGTGCCTCCTAGGAAACGGTGTTCTGGGATTCACTCTCAAACTGACAACCCATTGATCAAGGTTAATCTGCTCTCTGCACAGCTGAGATGGCCCTTAGTGCCTGAGGCTGAGCTGCCTTGGGATAATTTTGGGAAAGCCTTAGGACAATGACCTTGAAGTCATGGGAAAGGGTCCTGATGGGATGAGACAACAGGCATGGTGCTGTCTTCCACTGCTGTGCTCAGAAAAAGGGGGTCTAGAGGATAACACTGAGATTTCCAGTCTCTCACACTTGTCCATACTTCCCGGAGGGATCCCAATGTTCCTGGGTGATATGGTTTGGCTCTATGTCCCCATCCAAATCTCACCTTGAATTGCAATAATCCTCACATGTCAAGGGCAGAACCAGGTGGAGATGATTGTATCATGGGGTTGGTTTCCCCCATACTGTTCTCATGAAAGTTCTCATGAAATCTGATGGTGTTATAAGGGGTTTCGCCCTTTGGCTCTCATTCTTCTCTTGCCTGCCACCATGTAAGATGGGGTTTTTGTCTTCTGCCATGATTGTGAGGCCTCCCCAGCCATGTGGAACTCTGAGCCCATTAAACCTCTTTTAATTTGTAAATTACACAGTCTCGGGTGTGTCTTTATCAGCAGTGTGAAAACAGACTGATACAGTAAATTGGTACCAGCAGAGTGGGGTACTGCTATAAAGATACCCTAAAATGTGGAAGTGACTTTGGAACTGGGTAACAGGCAGAGGTTGGAACAGTTTGGAGGGCTCAGAAGGCAGGAAAATATGGGAAAGTTTAGAACCTCCTGAAAACTCAGATAGCTTTGACAAAAATGCTGACAATGAAATCTAGGCTGAGGTGGTTTCAGATGGAGATGAGGAACTTGTTGGGAACTGAAGTAAAGGTGACTCTTGCTATGTTTTAGCAAAGAAACTGGTAGCATTTTGCCGCTATCACAGAGATTTGTGGAACTTTGAACTTGAGGGAGATGATTTAGGGTATCCAGTGGAAGAAATTTCTAAGCAGCAAAGCATTCAACAGATGACTTTGGGTGCTATTAAAAGCATTCAGTTTTATAAGGGAAACACAGCATAAAAGTACAAAGAAACTTTGCAGCCTGATGCGATAGAAAAGAACCCATTTTCTAAGGAGAAATTCATGCTTAAATTTGTATAAGTAAAGAGCCAAATGTTAATCAGCAAGACAGTGGGGTAAATGTCTCCTGGGCATGTCAGAGGTCTTCACTGCAGCCTCTCACATCTCAGGCCTGGAGGTCGAGAAGGAAAAAACGGTTTCATGGGCCAGTCTCAGGGGACTCTTGCTGTGTGCAGCCTAAGGACTTGGTGCCCTGTGTCCCAGCTGCTCCAGTCTTAGCTAAAAGGGGCCAAGGTACTGTTTGGGCCATGGCTTCAAAGGGTATAAGCCCCAAGCCTTGGCAACTTACACATTGTGTTGAGCCTGCAGGTGCACACAAGTCAATAATTGAGGTTTGAGAACCTCTGCCTAGATTTCAGAGGATGTATGGAAATACCTGTCCAGGCATAAGTTTGTTGCAGGGGTAGAGCCCTCATGGGGAACCTCGGCTAGGGCAATGCAGAAGGGAAATGTGCAGCAGGAGCCCCCACATAGTCCTCACTGGGGCACTGCCTAGTAGAGCTGTGAGAAAGAGGGCCACTGTACTCCAGCCCCCCGGAATAGTAGATCCACCAACAGCTTGCACCATGCCCCTAAAAAAAAGTCAGACACTTGATGCCAGCCCATGAAACCAGATTTGGATGGGTGGAGGGGCTATACCTTGCAAAGCCATAGGGGCAGAGATGTCCAAGACCATGGGAGCCCACCTCTTGCATCAGCATGACCTGGATGTGAGACATGGAGTCAAAGGAGATCACTTCAGAGCTTTAAGATTTGACTGTCCCACTGAATTTTGGACTTGTATAGGATCTGTAGCCTATTGGTTTGGGCCAATTTCTCCCATCCATCTGGAATGGGTGTATTTACCCAATGCCTGTATCTAGGAAGTAACTTGCTTTTGATTTTATAGGCTCATGGGTGGGAAGGACTTGCCTCATTTCAGATGAGACTTTGGACTTGGACTTCAGGGTTAATGCTGGAATGAGTTAAGGCTTTAGAGGACCGTTGGAAGGGCATGATTGTGTTTTGAAAAGTGAGAACATGAGATTTGGGAGGGGCCGGGGTGGAATGATATGGTTTGGCTGTGTCACCAACCAAATCTCATCTTGAACTGTAATAATCCCCACATATCAAGGGTGGAACCGGGTGGAGATGATTGAATCATGGCGTTGGTTTCCCTCTTACTGTTTTCATGATAGTGAGTTCTTATGAGATCTGGTGGCTTTATAAGGTGTTTCTACCTTCATTTGGCTCTCATTCTTCCCTTGCCTGTTGCCATGTAAGACATGCCTTTGTTCCTCCTTGCCTTCTGCCATGATTATGAAGCCTCCCCAGCCATGTGGAACTGTGAGTCTATTAAACCTCTTCTTCATAAATTAACCAGTCTCAGGTATGTCTTTATCAGCAGCGTGAAAATAAATTAATATACTTGGGTTGCCCTTTAGTGAGAAAGGAACGGCATCAGTCCTATTGCAATAGGACTGTTCCATAGCTGAAAATTCTGACATTCATCATCTTTGGATGGTCTTTATCTTTGCATTTAGCCCTGTGAATCCTAATGAAGGCTGGCTTGGTGGGTGACATCTCCCTTGAAACACTCAAGTCTGAATCAGACGAGAGTGAAACGTGTTTGAAACTGGGGTCCTGCTGCATTCACTGCAGTGTTTTACCTTGGTTCCAGGTTATTTTCAACACCAATGATGAACACCGTGAGGAATTCCAAGCCTATTTTGCTTTTGTTTGACAACAGGTGTCTGGGCTTTGTGTGACCTCATTCTGCCAAATCCTCAAGGTCTCAGCATACAGAATTCTTAAACTCATCTTCCTGATATCCTTGCTGCTTATTTGCCATAAGCAGATCTTCTCCATCTGAGTTTTTTTCATGGTCTATGTGAGATTTTCTCCCTCTGGTTACTTTGGGATAGACTTTAGCTCTGATTTCTCTCTAGACATGTCCACAGGCAGCTGTTACATGCACAATGTTTACTTTAAGCCTGGTTTCTCAGATGTTGCCCCAAGAATCACGCACTTGAGCTCGAAAATCTCTGGGTATTCAATATGCTGCCATGGGATTATTGCTTGAAAATTGTCTTCAAGATATATAAACTATCTTAAAGTGGCAGAACTTTCAGGTGACAGCCTTTTCTTTCCCATTGGTTGTGGTTTCTCTGAGAATGAGGACACAGGTGTTTGAACCACAAGTAATGGGCACGGAGGTCACCTTGAACCCAAGTGCCTGACGTCCTACTTTCCACCCTGTTCTGAGGAGCCCCTTGGAACGAGCTGTTTGAGTGACTGAAATGTAAACATTTCTTTTGGTTACTGTGCCTTTTCTTCAATTGAACAGGCAGTAGGAACATAAGTAATTAAAGCAGTTATTTTAATAATCTAGGTCATAGCTGCATCTTCCCTGAGTGCTCCAAGGTGTGCAGAATCTGATATGACCACAGGTTGCTCTTAGGTTGACTCATAGTTGAGCACCTCAGGGAGCCCATCCCACTGAAGGCTGCCCCACCCTGGAGCATGTGTGCAGCAGCTCTTAGTGGCTCCCACAAATCCCTCATGTGATGCAGCAGGGGATGCTCTCAGGCATTGCCATATAAGATTGTGATTATGACTGGTTATATTTCTATAAGATAACCACTGAGTCTGACCAGATGATAGCCTTCCTGCAGTATGTCCAATTTGTTTCTTGTCGTGTTGGGCTGGTGAATACATATCTAGACAGTGGGAGCTCTGTCTGATCCAACATACTAAGGACATGTTGAAAGAATCAGCTGTACCCTTCACAGAAACTTAATCCAATGTGATGTTAAAATATCCTGTCACTTAAGTTACCAGTGGTCACACAAGTTGGGATCTCTTAAGGGCCAGGTGAGGCCTGGGGCTAAGAGTTTGATGGAGCCTCCTATTGGAGCCCTAATGAGAATTGCCCAGCCCCAGCATCCAGTGAGCAGCTCTATACTGACAGGTGCTTCCTCAGGTTCTATCCTGAAAATTCTTTCCTTCAATTGGTTCCATCCACCCAGGATAATAGCACCATTTGGAGATGGCAAACTTCCCAGCAGCCCAGTTTCAGAAACTGGGTCCACTCTCAGAACACCTCATGGCAGGCCGCTGACACTGTGGGGCTGGTACACAGTCCATCCTCTGGCCTGAAATTCCTTCAGGACTTGGCTGAATGTCTTTACCTCTGAATAGAACTGAGTACCAAACTCTTCTGTAAGTGGATGAGGAATAGCTGCCTTATTTTTAGTAGGGCTCATACACTGACACCTTTGTGCAAGGGCCCTGTTTCCAGGGTCACCTCAGGTTAGAGAGCACTAAGGGAATGATTTCATTGGTCTACCTCAAAGATCAGAGAGGAAAGGGTGTCTCCTCTCTCATGCCTGAGTACTGATGTGTCCTCATTGTTAATGATGTGACCTATATCTGCTTCAAACTCCACTGTTTCTTTTTAGAAAGTTTAGCAGATAATATTCTTGAGTCACCCCTTATCTTATAAAGAGCAGGCATTGTTGGTGAGAGATGTATATCTTTGGCAGTTTCTCAAGTCAGTGGTAGGTGCAGCATCTTGGAAGCCCACTCAAAGGAGGTGAAGGACTGACAGAACACACGGTGCTGGAAGCATCTGCCTTTCTCTCTTGATGCCTCTGGTCGCAGGTTTTCACAAATGCATGGAACGATCTTGGTCACCTTCACAACAGCACCTTGCTCTCTGGGAAAGAAGGGCTCAGTCTCTGATCACGGGAACAGAATTCTGATATCCCCATTCCCTGCTGTGGGGAGTGGTGGGTCGGCCAGTCTCCTTGAGTCACAAGTGTGAGCTGGGGCTCTGATGTGGAAGCAGCTACTGGTCTTGCATATCAGGTCTAGGACTCTTTGAGGTCTGTACTAGACATGGTTTTTTGGGCTAGGTGGTTCTGACAATTGGAACAGAAGTAGCCATAAGGGAGGGTAGAGAATATTCCAAACTGGGGAAGAGAACTTTCTGTCAGCAATCAGTGAGACTTAACCAGCCTCTTGTGATACTATTCTCACCTGCAACATGCACCTAATGAGTAGAAACCTCATGGCCACTCTGAGATGTGAGCATATAGTCTCAGTCTAAAAGAGATGGTGAGGATGCTGCCTCTTCTAGTGAACCCATGGGGTTACCAAGGGAAAGCAACCTTTTGATAAATATTCCCATCTTTTTATGTTGTCTGGAATAATTGGTGTGTGACTGGTGTCATGTCATAACTGGTGGCAGAATCCAGTGGTGAAGTTATTTAGGCCCGTCGGATACTTTGTGGGAAGATTTTTATCAGTTTCATTCGTAGAAAACCCAAATAATATCCTCCTTTGGAAATTTCAATTCATGATGTTTATGCCCATATTTCAAATTGATTCATTCTTGCCGTTTTCATCTCGGACAGAAGTGCTTACCCTGAGGACTTTTAACTGGGCATTGTCTTGGCCATTATTGGCCTCCAGTGGGAATTCATCCTCTTAGCTGCAGGGTCATACAGGTTTGTACTCCTTTATTCTTGACAAGGGTTGACTAGTACAACACATACCCTGATACCATGTCTGGAGACCTGATTCTAGATCACCATATTGATTTAAGAAGGTATGGGATGGACAGGGAGACCTTGGTCTAAGTGAATAAGGTGTTCAGTGCCCTGGAGTGGACCAGGAATCACTTGACAGGAAAGTTTGCATATCCTTACATTTGGGTATGTATTTAAGAAAAGTGCACAACAGCTGGGTGCAATGGGTCATACCTATAATTCCAGCACTTTGGAGGCCAAGGCAGGTGGATCATGAGGTCAGGAGTTCGAGACCAGCCTGGTCTCGACATAGTGAAACCCTGTCTCTATTAGAAATACAATATTAGCTGGGCGTGGTGGTGTATGCCTCTAATCCCAGCTACTCAGGAGGCTGAGGCAGGAGAATCACTTGAACCTGGGAGGTAGAGGTTGTGGTGAGTTGAGATCATGCTATTGCACTCCAGCCTGGGCAACAAGAGTGAAAAACAAGAGAGAGAGAAAAAAAAAGGATGAGTTCATGTCCTTTGTAGAGACATGGATGAAGCTGGAAACCATCATTCTCAGCAAACTATCGCAAGGACAAAAAACCAAACACCGCATGTTCTCACTCATAGGTGGGAATTGAACAATGAGAACACATGGGCACAGGAAGGGGAACATCACACTCTGGGGCCTGTTGTGGGGTGGGGGGAAGGGGGGGGATAGCATTAGGAGATATACCTAATGTTAAATGATGAGTTAATGGGTGCAGCACACCAACATGGCACATGTATACATATGTAACAAACCTGCATGTTGTGCACATGTACCCTAAAACTTAAAGTATAATAATAAAAAGAATAACACATTTTCTTTACTGTAGCTTTCATGTGCCTCATGACTCACTCCAACCTCTCTTCTCAAAATGCATCAATTAAGTTTATCAGCTTACTTTTTCTAACACATGCAAATCTAGCACTATTTGCTGAATGTGAGTATATTTTTTCCTTCTAGTACTCCTTTGATTTTGTTTTTTTAACTCGATTTTTTTTTTTATTGCTTGAGTGTTCCAGTGTTGGGATTATGTATCAGTCCATTCTCACACTTCTACAAAGAACTACCTGAGACTGGGTAATTTATGAAGAGGTTTAATTGACTCACAGTTCTGCAGGCTTAACAGGAAGCATGACTGGGAGGCCTCAGGAAACTTACAACCATGGCAGAAGGTGAAGGGGAAGCAAGTGCCTTCTTCACACGGTGTTAAGCCCCAAAAGAGAATCTGGAGGATGTTGGAAAAACAAATCGGAATACAGTTCCCAAAGCATCTACTGTTCAAACAAATCCTACTCCCAGATGGAGTACAATTATCAAGCCTAATTTCTTTTCTCTAATTCACCAGGCTTCTGTTACCTGGAGGTAATTATTTTTCTTAATTGTTAACTTTACCTTGATATAATTGCAAATGCAATACACATACATGCATACATATAGTCGGAAGTCAATGGTATGCTGATTTTAATCGTCTTGAGTGTTATGAATTTATATGTTCACAAGAAACTAGAAAATCATACATGGAAGTAATGTGGACTATCAACATTATTTCTTAGAATTACTTTTCTAGAAATGCCCAGAAAACTAGTTAAACTATCTTAGTATTATATTAGTCTGGGTCAATTAGGCATTTTAAAAAACACCTTGATATAAAGGATTTGTCAGATAAATTTAACACTCTATTCTAGTAAAGTTTTAAGGAAAATGGAACAAGTTGTAGAGCCACAGAGTTTGCAATATAGTATGAGTTTCCGAGAAATAATAGATACTAGGTTTAATTATGTTCAATTTAATTGAACATCTGTTTGCACTTATATAATCTTAGATTTGTAGGTTACAGTAAATTACCTGCTCTATGAGGCAAATGTTAGGATTTAGGGGCATTTCATTTAGGCATTGTTTAAAAAACCAAAAGCCAAAATCTTGCATGAAATAAAATCTAACATGTTGGGTTTGCATTTTCATTTCACTTGATAGAATCAGGGAGAAGCTACATAAGTATCTTTGAAATCCCCAAATAAGGGCAATTTAAATTAATGTTTTAATTGGATTCTGTTATTATGTGAACTAGAATTAAAATGTAATTATTTTAAGTCATTTTACCTCATAATCTTCAAACCCTCTGAATTACATTCAGAAGAGTTCCCTACAAGTCTTTTAGGATCTCTAATACTGGATCTAATGCCAATTTGCATATTTTTGTTTTTCTGTAACTCGGCAGGGATGCTGAGGATTTTACACTTAGATATTTGCTTTTCTCATGGAAAAGCTTTAGAAAAAGAAACAAGGAATTTCAAGGCAATTCCATTAACTTGCACCAAGAGGGAAAAGAAGCTATGAGACGCTTACAACTTGGAGTAGTATTAATAGCATTATTAGGTAGAATATGAATCATGTAAATTTCACACCTAAAGTAATCTCCAAATAGGGTTTAGTGCTGACCAGCATTGGACAGGTGGGTGAGGGAAGAGAGTATCTTATAAATGTAAATATTTTCTATCTTACAAAAATTTAAGTGACGATAGCAAAATATCAACAATGCTTAAGTGTTTGTTTTGAAACAATTTTTAAAATGTTAATAAAGGGTTCTCCCTATTTATAAACAAGCTTTTCCTACAGGTAGACTGGCCCTTAAGTTCCTGGAAAACTTCTTCAGGGGCTGGAGAAGGCAATGGTTATAACAGCCTCTTACATACCCTTAGTACCTCTTTTCTTTTAAATATCATTGTTCCTTTTTTAAAAAATTAAGTTTTATGGGTACATATACATATCAGGTACATAAAACATTTTGATACAGGCATACCATGTAAAATCACATCAAGGTAAATGGGATATTTACCCCAAGCATTTATCATGTTTTTGTGTTATGAGCTTTCCAATTATATAATAGTTATTAAGTGTACAGTAAATTATGCTGTTGTGCTATCAAATACTAGATCTTACTCATTTAACTATATTTTTGTTCCCATTACCCATCCTTACTTCCCCTACTCTCTTCACTATCCTTCTCAGCTTCTGGTAACCATCATTCTACTCTCTACCTCCGTGAGATTAATTGTTTTAATTTTTAGCTCCCACAAATGAGTGAGATCATGTGACATTTGTCTTTGTGCCTGGCTTATTTCACGTAACATAATGACTTCCAGTTCCATCCATGTTGTTGCAAAAGACAAAATCTCATTGATTTGTACGGCTAAATGGTCCTCCATCGTGTATATGTACAACACTTTATCTATTTGTCTGTTGATAGACACAGGTTACTTCCAAACCTTGGCTATTGTGAATAGTGCTGCAATAAATGTGGAAGTGCAGGTATCTCTTTGATAGACTGATGTCCTTCCTTTGGAGGTATATACCTAGCAGTGGGATTGCTGGATCATATGGGAGTTCTATTTTTAGATTTTTTTTGAGGACCCTTCATACTTTGCTCCATAGCACTTGTAGTAATTCACATTCCCACTAACATTATGTAAGGACTCCTATTTCCCTACACCCTTATCAGCATTTGTTGTTGCCTATCCTTTGGATTAAAGCCATCACAACTGGGATGAGATGATGTCTCATAGTTTTGATTTGAATTTTCAGATGATCAGTGATGTTGAGCATGTTTTTCATATACCTGTTTGCCATTTGTGTGTCTTGAGAGATGTGTATTTGTATCTTTTGCCCATTTTTACATTGGATTGAGGTTTTTTTTTCCTTGGGCCGTTTGAGCTCCTTATGTATTCTGATTATCAATCCCTTGTCAGATAGGTAGTTTGCAAACATTTTCTCTTGTTTTGTGGGTTGTCTCTTCACTTTGTTTCCTTTGTTGTGCAGAAGCTTTTTAACTTGATGTGATCCCATTTGTCTTTTTTTTTTTTCTTTTGGGTTGCCTTGCTTTTGGAGGATTATCCAAGAAACCTTGGCCCACACCAATGTCCTGGAGAGTTTCTCCAGTGTTTTATTTGAGTAATTTCATGTCTTATATTTATTTAAATATTTAATACATTTTTTGCATATGGTAAGAGATAGGGGGTCTAGTTTCATTCTGCATATGGATATCCAGTTTCCCCAGCACCATTTATTGAAGAGACTTTTTTTTCCCCAATACAGTATACGTTCTTGGCACCATTCTTGAAAATGAGTTCACTTTACATGTGTGGGTTTATATCTGGATTCTCTCTTCCATTGATCTATGTGTCTGTTTTTATGCCAATACCATGCTGTTTTGGTTACTGTAGCTCTGTAGTATAATTTGAAGTCAGATAATGTGATTTTTCCAGTTTTGTTCTTTTTGCTTGAGATGGCTTCAGCTATTCTGGTTTTTTTGTGGTTCCATATAAATTACAGGGTTTTTATTTCTTTGAAGAATGTCATTGGTATGTTGATACATATTGCATTGAATCTGTAGGTTGCTTTGGGTAATATGGACATTTAAGCAATATTCATTCTTCCAATCCATGAACATGCAATGTCTTTGCATTTCTCATGTCCTCTTCAATTTCTTGAATCAATATTTTGCAGTTTTCATTGTAGAAATTTTTTGCTTCTTAAGTTTATTCCTAGGTATTTTATTTCTAGCTATTGTAAATGGAATTACTTTATTTTTTCCAATTATTCACTGTTATATAGAAATGCTACTAATTTTTATATGTTCATTTTTGTATCCTCCAACTTTGCTGAATTTAATTATAAGTGCTAATAGTTCTTTGGTGGAGTCTTAAGGTTTTTTTAAATATAAGATCATATGATCTGTAAACAAGGATAATTTAACTTCTGTTCCAATTTGGCTGCCCCTATTTTTTTCTCTTGTCTGATTGCTCTAGCTGGGACTTCCAGTATTATGTTAACAATGGTGGAAGTGGGCATCCTTGTCTTGTTCCTGATCTTAGAGGAATGACATTTTTTTTTTCCTGTTCAGTATGATACTGTGGATTTGTCATATATGGCTTTCATTGTACTGAGGTATGTTCCTTCTATAACCAGTTTTTTGGTGGATTTTATCATGAAGGAACGTTGAATTTTATCAAATGCTTTTTCAGCATCAGTTGAAATAATCATATGATTTTTGTCCCTTCTGTTAATATGATATATCACATTGATTTCCATATGTTGTACCATCCTTGCAACCTTGGGATAAATCCCACTTAGTAATGATGAATGATACATTTAATGTGTTGTTGATTTTGGCTAGCTAGCATTTCGTTGAGATTTTTTGCACCTGTTTTCATCAGGGATATTGGTGTGTAGTTTTCTCTTTTTGTTGCATCTTTGCCACATTTTGGTATCAGAGTGGTGTTTCATAGATTGAATTAGGAGTATCTCCTCTTCAATTTTTTGGAATAGTTTTAATAGAATTGGGACCAGCTCTTCTTTGTATGTCTAGTAGAATTTAGATGTGAATTTAGCTGTGAATCCTTCTGCTCTGCTGTCTTTTTTGGTTGGTAGGTTTGTAGATTATTGATTTAATTTCAGAACTCTCTTGGTCTGTTCAGGGCTTCAGTTTCTTTCTCAATCTATCTTGGAAGGTTGTATGTTTCCAGGAATTTATCAGTTTCCTCCATATTTTGATTTCTTTTTTTTTTTTCTTTTTCTGTTTTTTTTTTTTTTTTGAGACGGAGTTTTGCTCTGTCGCCCAGGCTGGAGTGCAGTGGCACAATCTTGGCTCACTGCAAGCTCCGCCTCCCGGGTTCACGCCATTCTCTTGCCTCAGCCTCCCAAGTAGCTGGGACTACAGGCACCCGCCACCACACCTGGCTAGTGTTTTTTTTGTATTTATTTTGTATTTTGTTTTTTTTTTTTTTTTTGTATTTTTAGTAGAGATGGGGTTTCACCGTGTTAGCCAGGATGGTCTCGATCTCCTGACCTCGTGATCTGCCTGCCTCAGCCTCCCAAAGTGCTGGGATTACAGACATGAGCCACTGCGCCCAGCCAGTTTCCTCTAGATTTTCTAAGTTGTGTGCATAGAGGTGTTCATGATAGTCTCTGAGTATCTTTTGCATTTCTATTGGATCAGTTGTAGTGTAATCTTTGTCATTTCTCATTGTGCTTATTTGTATCTTTTTCTCTGTTAATCTTGCTAGCAGTCTATCGATCTTGTTTATCCTTTCAAAAAAGCCAACTTTAGGTTTCATTGATCAGATATTTGGTTCTCAATTTTGTTTTGTTCTGATCTAATTTTAGTTATTCTGCTAGCTTTGGGGTTAGTTTGTTCTTGTTTTTCTAGTTCCTCTAAGTATGATGTTAATTTGAGATCTTTCTAACTTTTTGAGATAGGTGTTTAGCACTATAAACTTTGCTTTTAACACTGTATGTGCTGCATTCCAGAGATTTTGGGTATGTTTTCTCTGTTTTCATTTATTACACAGAACTTTTAAATTTCTGCCTCTGTTGTTTACCAAAAGTTATTCAGGAGCAAGTTGTTTATATTTCTATGTAACAGTGTAGTGTTTGAGAGCTCTTCTTGGTATTTCTGTTCATTCCACTGTGATCCAAGAGTATATTTGGTGTTTCTTTTCTTTTCTTTTTTTTTTTTTTAATTTGAGACTTGCTTTATGGCTAAGCATGTGGCCAATCTTCGAGTGTGTTCTAGGTGCATATAAGAAGAGCGTATATTTGGTTGATGGATGGCATATTCTGTAGATGTCCATTAGGAGCAATTGGTTAAGTGCAGAGTTTAAGTCCAAAATTTATTTATTAGTATTCTGCTTCAGTGATCTGTCAGTGAGAAGTCAAAGTCCCCCACTGTTATATTGCTGTCTAAGTCTTTTCATAGGTCTAGAAGTACTTGTTTTCTTAATCTGGGTGCTCCAACATTGGGTGTATACGTATTTGGAATAGTTCTATTTGGAATATTTTTCTTGTTGAATCGAACCCTTTATTGATATGTAATGCCTGCCTTTGTCCTTTTTCACTGTTGTTGGTTTAAAGTCTGTTTTATCTGATATAATAGTGATCCCTGCTCTGTTTTCCTTCTCCAACTTTTTACTTTGAGCCTATGGGCTTCATTATGTGTGAGGCAGTTCCCTTGAAGACAGAAGTTGGATGGGTCTTGGTTTTTTATCCAACTTGCAACTCTGTGCCTTTTTAAATGGGGTATTTAGACTGTTTACAATAAAAGTTAATATTGACATGAAGTTTTGATCCTATCATGAAGTTTGTTAGCTGGTTGCTTTGTAGTTTATATTGTGTGTTTCCTTTTTAGGGTCTGTGGGTTATGTACTTAAGTGTCTTTTAATGGTAGCAGGTATCATTCATTCTTTTTCATGTTTAGAACTCTCTTAAGGATCTTTTGTAAGGCTAGTTCAGCTGTAATGAATTCCCTTAGCACTTGCTTATCTGGAAAAAATTTTATTTCTCCTTTGCTTATGAAGCTTTACTTTGGCAGGATATGAAATTCTTGGTCAAAATTTCCTTTCCTTAAGAATACTACAATTGGCCCCCAGTCTCTACTGGCTTGTAAAGCTTCTGCTGAGGAGTCCACTGTTAACATGATGGGGCTCCGTTTGTACGTCATCTGACCTTTTATCTAGCTGCTTTTAAGATTTTTTCTTTAGCATTGGCCTTAAACAGTCTGGTGACTATATGCCTTGGTGATGTTCATTTTGTATGGTACCTTGCAGGTGTTCTCTGTATTTCTTTTGTCTGGATGTCTACCTCTGTAGCAGATTAGAGAAATTTTCTTAAGTGTTTTCCAGATTATTTTTCTCCTTCTCTCTCAGGAATGCCATAATTTGTAGGTTTGGTTGCTTTATATAATCTCATATTTCTCAGAATTTGTTCATTTTTTTAAATTCTTTTTTAAATTTTTGTCTGCCAAGGTTAGTTCAAAAGATTGGTCTTTGAGCTCTTAAATTTTTTCTTGTGCTCAGTCCAGTCTATTGGTAAACCTTTCAATTGTATTTTGAAATACCTCAAGTGAGGTTTTCAATTCCAGAAGTTCTGATTGATTTAAGATTTTTCTTTTCCTTCATTTCTTGGATTGCTTTAGAAGTTTCTTTGTGTTGATTTTCAATCTTGTCTTGGATGTCATTGAGCTGCCTTGCAGTCCATACTTTAAGTTCCTAATCTGTCATTTCTGAGTTTGCATTTTGGTTAGGGACCATTGCTGGAGAGAGCTAGTGTGATCAGTACATTTAGACTTTTTGTGTCACTACATTTAGACTTTTCATCATGCAAGAATTCTTGTGCTGGTTCCATCTCATCTGGAGATGCTGGCACTTGTAATTTTTGCAACTATTTTCATGCAGGTAAGATTTTTAAATTTTAATTTCTTAACCTATAAGATTATTTTTCCTTTTTCTCTTTCCTACCCTCATTTAGAGGATGTGACTGTAGAGAATGTTGAGTAAGGTCCTTTGGCTTTGCTTCTATAGACCTGTGCACTTGTGTCAGCAGGTTTTATATTAGGCTGTGCAGTTTGACCTACAAGCCAGGAGAAGATGCTTATGGGTAAAAGCCAACTGCAGCTAACATAGCTGGGTATATACTTGATCCCCTTTTGCTGGGAGAACTCTGTTGCCTTGGACAGTGGGGTGATGTGTAGAGTACACAGTGGCCTGAGCTTTCTGATA
This sequence comes from Homo sapiens, assembly GCF_000001405.40. NCBI lineage: Eukaryota > Metazoa > Chordata > Mammalia > Primates > Hominidae > Homo > Homo sapiens. Next base: position 10,395,789 of record NC_000004.12, read on the forward strand.
AGACTTGGGAGGGTTGGAGGCAAGATGGGTGGAACCAGACAAAGAAGGTGAGGCTGGACTACCTATAGGTCCTCCAGTGGCCAGCACAAGGGAGAGTCCATTGGGTGGCCACCAAGTGCCCAGATGTGTGCCTAGGCATGGAATTGGGAAACTTCTCAGCCTCAAGTTTTTTGTACAGGTAGGAAGGGAAGCCTAAACTGCTCATCCAGGAGAGGGGTACCCCAGGGATGCCTAAAGATCTGCCTGGGCATAGAGTATAGAAGGCCCCACGAAACCACAACCTCTACATAGAGAGGGTGGGATGGCATAGGCTGCTAATCCAGATGAAGGAGTGCTCCAACTGCCTGGAGATATGCCTGGACATGGAGAGGGCCCTGCTTCACCACAATTTCTGCACAGGAAGGGTGGGACAGCTCAGGCTGCTGATCCCAGTGAGTGGGTGCTCTGACTGCCAGGAGATTTGCCTGGGCAGGAAGCAGAGAGGGCCATCAGTATCTCTGCACAGGAAGGGTGGGGTGACTCAGGCTGCTAGTTCATTCAGGTGGGTGTTCCACACACCTGGAAATCTGCCTGAGTGTGTAGCAGAGAAGGTCCTGCTGCACCACAATCTCTGTACAGGAAAAGTGGGCAGCTCAGGCTTCCAGTCTGGCTGAGCAGGTGCTCTGAATGCTTAGAGATATGCCTGGGCATGAAATGAAGATCCCCTTACACTATGATCTCTGCACAGGAAAGGTGGGGTGACTCAGGCTGCTGATCAAGGTGAGCAGGTGCTTCAAATTCCTGGAGTTCTGCCTGGGTGTGAAGTGGAGAGGCCTTCCCCTGAGCCCCCTGTACTATGATCTATGTCCAGAAAGTGTGGGGCAGCTCAGGCTGCTGGTCCAGGCAAGCATGTACTTCAAGTGCCTGGAGTTGTGCCTAGGGTAGAGCAGAGAAGGTCCTGACATACCACAATCTCAGGGGAGCAGGCTGGGGCACCCAGAAATGACACACGCAGAGTAGGTACCTGTCACAAGTAAGTCTGGTTGCAAGTCTCATTGCCCAGGAGAAACCATAGCTGTAGCAGCTCTCCTCCTGCCCCAGACCTGAAACAGGAAAGCACAATTCCAGCACCTGCTGCTGAGGTGCTTTCCACCATTCTGGCTGTGGAAGCCACTAACCTGCTCCAGTGCAAATGCTTGAGTCTTTGGCCTGAGACTCAAATGCCTGCATGGCCATATTGCCATGTCACTAAAGAATGACAGACTTCATATGTGCCTGGGTTAAAATGGTGTTCTGCTCTCAGTCCCTGGTCTGGGAAAATGCCTGCAATTTTTTTCCAGTGTCTTGCCCTCTCAGTGCCTCTAAGCCTCTCCCCTAGTTAGCTCTAGGGCTTGGGAGAAACAAAATGCTCTCCCTTGGCCTGGGTTGCTTGGCTCGGCAGTGGAAAGTTAAATCACAGAGGAAGGTTCACTGCCTTTCTCATGTACTGGGGCTTCACTCACTTTTACCAACCAGACACCATCATGAGAGTTATTTGCCCATGTTCTCCTCTCTGGGATCTGGGGTGTTCATGATTCCAGTGGATTCTTGTCTTTCTTCTTGAGTTAAAGCTCCCAGAATTGATCCTCATTCCCTATCTTGCTATTTCCAAGTGGGTGATGCATGCTAAGCCAAAGAATTTTTGCAGGGAACAGGGGAAGGTTGGGGTGTGGAGGGGAGTCCCCTGTAGGGGCATGTTACTGTGTGATCACAAAATGATTTATAAATAACAAAATGTTTATAAATAACAAAAATGATTTATCTGTGGTGTTTTTTAAAAGTGAAATAATGAGAATACATTTACTATATTATAGAAATCAGGGAGTGATTGGACTTCAGATGTTCCCTATGCCTTTATGTTCCAGAGGAAGATAAAAGTAATAATTGACTTTAGAGATGTTCATTTAAATAGGCACATTAACATTTCTAGCCACATGTGATGCCAGTAGATTCTATACATATGTGGATTTTTCTCCCAGATGTGATAAATCCATAATGACAGAAATAAATTTATGAAGAATTTCCCTGTTAAATGCTTTTTAATGTAAGTCTATTTGTGTAAGATGGAGGGAGGTGGGGAAACGATATTCCAGCATTTTTAAGTTAGCATCTGCCTAGAATCTCTTTTTCAATCTTTTTACTTTTTACTGTGCCTGTTTTAGGTGAATCTCTTATAAGTGATAAATTTTATTTTAAAACAAGTCTAAGAATCCTTGTTTAGAGATTTTACTCCTTCATATTTGTTGTGATCCACTATGACTCCTATCTTATTGTGCTTTATATTTGTCTCAATTATTTTTAGTTTCCCTCGCTTGATGCCTTTTTCTTTACAGACTATTGTATTCTCTCTACCAAGAGCATGATATTCTATTTTAATTATTTCAGCCCAGAAATGTTAATGTGCCTATTTAAATGAATATCTCTAAAGTCAATTATTACTTTTATCTTCTTCTAGAATATAAAGGCATATGGAACATCTTAACTCCAGACACTCCCTGATTTCCATAATATAGTAAACCTATTCTCATTATTTCACTTTTAAAAAACACCACAGATAAATCATTTTTGTTATTTTACATGGTCAATTGTTACCAATATGATTGCTTGCATTACAGCCCATGCTTCTGTCACTATTTTTTTTTTTGAGGTGTATCCTTTAGAATTTGTCCTAGGGAGGTTATGTTGGTGGTAAATCCTTTTTGTCTAAAAAATTTTTCAATCCTACGTTGCTTATCAGTTTGGGTATGCTTTGAGAGATGTGTCATTTGGCAATTTCACTGTTGGGCAAACATTATAGAGCATACTAAAACCTGGATAGTATAGCCTAATATAGATCTAGGCTGTGGGGTATGGCCTATTGCTCCTAGGCTACAAACCTGTATAGGAGGTTACTGTACTGAACACTGTAGGCAATTTTAGCACAACAATAAATATTTGTGTATCTAAACATGTAGAAAAAGAGCAGCAAAAATAAAGTATAATGGTACACCTGTGTAGGGCACTTGCCATGAATGGAGCTTGCAGGGACTGAAAGTTGATCTGTGTGAGTCAGTGGTGAGTGAATGTGAAGGCCGAGGACATCAGTGTATATCCTACTATAGGTTTTACAAATACTCTACACTTAGGCTACACTAAATTTAGTAAATATTTTTCAATAATTAGCCTCAGTTTTCTGTAATTTTTTATTCTGTAAACTTTTAATTTTTAAAAACTTTTTTTACTGTTTTATAATAACAGCTTAGCCCGGCGCAGTGGCTCAGGTCTGTAATCGCAGCACTTTGGGAGGCCAAGACAGGCGGATCACTTGAGGTCAGGAATTCGAAACCAGCCTGGCCAAAATGGTGAAACCCAGTCTCTAATAAAAAAATACAAAAATTAGCTGGGTGTAGTGGCACATGCCTGTAATCCCAGCTACTTGGGAGGCTGAGGCAGGAGAATTGCTTGAACCCGGGAGGCGGAGGTTGCAGTGAGCCGAGATTGAGCCACTGTACTCCAGCCTGGGTGACAGAGTGAGACCCTGTCTCAAAAAAAAAAGCACTTAGCTTAAAACACCTTATATGGCTATACAAAAGTATTTTCTTTATATCCTTATTCTATAAGCTTTTTTCCCTTTTTTTATTTTACTTTGTAAAATGTTCTTGTTCAAGTCAAAGAAAGAAACACACATTAGCCTAGGCCTACACAGAGTCATGATCATCAATAACTTTATCTTTTACATCCACATTTTGTCCCACTGGAAGGTCTCCAAGGGCAATAACATACATGGATCTTTCATCTCCTGTAACAATGTTTTCTTCTGGAATAGCTCCTGAAGGACCTGCCTAGACTGTTTCACAGTCTACTATTTATAAGTAGGAGTATAGTTTAGCAATAATAGTATAGTAAAAAACTGGTAACTGTCATTTATTGTATAAAGTATTAGGTATTGTACATTATCATATGTGCTATACATTTATACTACTGTCGGTGCAAGTTTGTTTAGACCGACACCATCACAAACAGAAAAGTAATGCATTGTGCTACAACATTATGATGGCTATGCCACCAGGTGACAGGAAGTTGACAGCTCCATTATAATCATGGGATTGCTATTGTAAATGCAGTCCATCATTAACTGAATTTTCATGATATGATGCATGACTGTATTATAAATTTTCCTCATCACTTTTAAGATACAATTTTACTGCTTTGTAGCTTTCATTGTTGTTGTTACTCACTGTCAACTTATATTTCCTAAGTAAGAATGATTTACTCTGTGGCTGCTTTCAAGATCATGCCTTTGTCTTTACAGTTTCATTAGGATGTGTCTTGGTAGCTAATTTCCTTTTGTTGTTGTTTTTTGTTTTTTTTTTGTTTTTTTTGTTTTTCTGTTTTTTGTTTTTTGAGACACAGTCTTGCTCTGTTGCCCAGGCTGGAGTGCAGTGGCATGATCTCGGCTCACTGCAACCTCTGCCTCCCAAGTTCAAGCGATTCTCCTGCCTCAGCCTCCTGAGTAGCTAGGATTACAGGTGCACACCACCATGCCCAGCTGATTTTTGTATTTTTAGTAGAGATGGGGTTTCACCACGTTGGTCAGGCTGGTCTCGAACTCCTGACCTCATGATCCACCCACCTTGGCCTCCCAAAGTGCTGGGATTGCAGGCATGAGCCACTGCGCCCAGCCCGCTAACTTCTATTTTATTATTTGGCTTGGGATTTGGTTAAGCTTCACAAGTCTGGATTGGTGTTTTGTTTTTTTTTTAGTTTTGAGAATTTTTGGTAATTATCTCTTCAGTCTCAAATAGTATTGCCTTTGCCCTGTGTTTTAAGCTGTTTAACTCCAAATAGACATTTAAAGACACTCTTACTCAGTCTTCCATGTTTCCCAAAGTCTCTCTCCTGTTTTGATCTGTCTTTACACTGCAATTTCTTCAGCTCCATCTTCTAGCTCACTATTTCTCTCAGCCTTATTTAATGTTATTTAACCCAATCCCTGAGTTCTAACTTTGGTAATCCTATGGACCAGAAACTACTTAGCCACTTCAGATCTGCTCTACCTCACCTGTGGTTTTTTTTTTTGTTGTTGTTGTTCTGGTTGTTGCTTTAGTTTTATTTGAAGGCATGCAGATGCAAACTAACAGTACCTGAACCCATCCCCAGTGCTTGCCTTTTATGCCAATGCATGAGTTGCTCTAGGCCCACATGCTAGTAGAAACTGAGCATGGTACATGGCATCGTGGTACTTGAAATGACCATGTAGCCTGCCATGATCTCTAGGGGTCTTGTTTAGATTCTCTTACATCCAGGCTCACAAGACTTTGATAGGCCACATTTCATACTGACTCTGGAGAATGTGGACTAGCAACCACAGTTTGCTGATGAGGCAGTGTCAGGAGTTCTCCTTCCAGTATAATTCCTTTTAATAGTCTATAGAGTAGCTCATACAGCTCTCTGGGGACTGGGGTGGGGAGGGATTCCCTGTAACCAGCTAATAGAGGAAAAAAAAACTCACCCTTTGGATAATTTGGCTTGGTATGTGGGTACCAATTACAAATAGACTTCTGCAGCCCTGAGACCCCTGCTCAGAGGTGGCCTGAAAAACAGTGGAGCAGAGAATTGGGTGATATACCTGGTTAAAGACATAAGTGGCCTGAAGTAAGAATATACATGGACTCAAGGGCAGTGGAGAATAACTGGGCCAGATTGATCAGGGACCTAAAAGGAGGACCACTAGAAGTGACTCACCTCCATAAGACTTCTAGCATAGGCTATAAACACTAGAAGAAACATCACATGCACCTACTTCTCATATAATGCTAAGTGATGGCTAAAGGTAGGAAATGGGTGAGCTTGAGAGAATGCTTGGCCATAATGGGGCACTAAAATGCTTAGAAAGTGCGCTGACAGAGGCTCAATGAGAAGTGGAATGCCATTAGTTACAGGGGCCTTCAAACAGAAAATTTCTGGAACCATATATTCTCCCCAAAATCTAAACTGGATGAATCACTCTTCTGAGTCCAGAGAGCAGCCCAGTCCTACTAGTCTGTTGTAAAGGGAGAATCCAGAGCAAGACCATGGAGGGTGCAAAGATCTTGTGTCTCCCATCCCCATCACCAGGATCTTATGGACATTTCATTGGAGTCTTCAGATTCTCTTTTGGAGAACTTGAAGAGGTCAAACTCTGTAAGAGTGAGAATTCACTGAGTTATCAAAGCAGCAACTGAGCTAAGTAAAGAGACCATTTAAATGAAGAGGTGGCAAGTATACTAGATTATGTGAACTCAAGGTTTTCTTTTTCACTGCCCAGTGGAAATAAGGCACTTGAGAGGCTCTGTAATTGGGAAACTGCTGCAGTCATGACTGTGATCTCCTTGAGAATGAACTTGTAGGTCATCTTTAAGTTTGTGAATAGCTTCTGCTATGTATTAATTTGGTACTTGGTTTGGTTTTCTCCTGATATGAGTCAATGAGGTCTTTGGAAATAGCTCCTGACAGCAGCATAATGGCCTGGGCCCATGATGGGTCAAGGGGTCAAGACTTTTCCATAGAATTGAAGACCTGGTAAAGCTTCCAGAGAAAAAGAAAACTCCTGTAAGCAATAGGAGTTGATAGCTTCTAGGATAGAATGATAGAATTTATCGAACCTGAAGAACAGGGAAAAATATTGGAAAAATGAAGAGCCTCGGGAACTTGTGGAACAATATTGAAAAAGCTAATATCTAGGTAACAGGAATTCTAAAGAGAAAGAACAGAGAATTGCAGGTAAAAATATTTGAAGAAATGACAACAGAAACATTTTCAAATTTAGGGAAAGATATAACTGTACAGATCTAAGAAGCTCAGCAAACCCTAAATAGGATAAACACATGAAAATCATGGCAAGGCACATCTTAGACTGGGGAACGCCAAGGATAGATGTAATCATACAGAGAAAAACATGCAATATATAGGGAGCAATAATTAAAACTACTACCAACTTCTAATCAGAAACTATGGGGGCCAAAAGAGAAGTAAACAGTGTTTTAAAGTGTTGAAAAAACAACTGTCAATCCAGAATTCCATATCTAGCAAAATTGTCCTTCCAGATGAAATAAGGACATTACCAGATAAAAGAGAACTGAGAATTTGTTGTCAGCATCCCCATACTATAAGAAATGCCAGCGTAGTTTCTTCAGGTTGAAGGGAAAGAATACCAGAGGAAAACTTGAATCTTCAGGAAGGAATGGCATCATTGGAAATGGTAAGTATATGGGTAATTAGATTGTTATTCTTAATTGACAACTAAATGGTAAAGACCTTTTCCTCTTCCTTTAAGATACACAATACTCTTTAAAGCAAAAATTATTATTGTCCTATGAGGTTTATAATGTATATTGATATTATACACATAATAAATATATCAAAAAAGATAGTGGTAGATAAATGAATACATATTTACAAGATTTCTACATATTTTGTAATGGGCCTAAATATCAACTCTAAGTAGATTGTAAAAAGTTAAGCACAGATAGTGTCACTCCTAGAGCAACCACTTAAAAGTGCAAAAGGATATTGGTAAATTACCAATAGATAAATAGAATTGATTTCATAAAAGCTCTCAAAAAATAACCCTGTTGGGTTAATGCCTAGAGAGACTGATATCACAGGACTTAATTTCTCCCTCCTTTATATTTTCTGCTTGAATACACCTAATGTCATTAAACTAGCTTTAGAATAGTTGTTTTGAGATAGTATAGCAACATAGAACATATAATGGGAGGTAGGGCGGAAGGCTGGACAGGGGCGTGGCCCAGTGGACAAGAGTTTCTCATGTAGGAGGAAGATTGAAATAAACATCCCCATCATCTTTAAAACTCCTTTAATTCACAGAGGTGTGATGTGCTAACACTGAACCCAGAAGACCTGGGTTCTGGGTCAGCCACTTACTGCTTCTGCGACTTTCAATATTGCACTCGACTTTGAGTTTCCTGTCACTACTGTGAAGTTAATTCACATCTCCCCTGGCACTCTGGGTGACTTTGATAATACAGTGATACTATTTAAAATAGCTGACAGTTTATAAAGTACCACCAGGAAGCACTGAGGGGTCATGGAGCAATTTAGAACTAAACAGCAAGTCCATAGGCTAGAACTTTATTTTGACTAATTGAACACTGCCATCTGCTGCACAGATCTGGGAAATAGGAGGTATTAGATTTCCAGGAGGAAGGTGTTTCCTTCAAAATAACAAAAGTTTGCTTGCTTTATTTCTTGTCCCTTTGACCTCACTTTCCAAGTGAAAAGACGCAGAATATAAAAACAAAAAGGTCAAAATAGCCTTGCAGAGGCCACTCTGACTTATATGAAAGGGTAGAGCTCAACTTTACAGGTCAGGTGGGATTTGAATAAGCCTCATGGTGAAAAGAAGGGATGGTATGAGGAGAACTAATAGTAGGATCATAGTTAGCAGCCCTGGGGGAAACACTGGCCTGGAGGCAACCCTGAGCATGCCCACTTCCTAGCTGGGTGCCGAGGCGAAGTCCCGGCATGTATAACATTGGGATAATAATGGTGGAAACCTCTTAGATTGTTGGGAGATTTAGTGAAATGAGCTATGTCTTGTTTTTAGGACAGTACCTGTTAGTACTTAACAAATATTAGCTGCTGCTTTTGAAACTCAGACTGGGAAGAAATAAAGGAAGTTGATTAAAAATTCACTAGCACCTTTGGAATAAACTCCACATTAGCCCCATTCTCCCAAATAGATTTGAAGCAAGGAAGTGAAAGGAGTCAGGTGATGAGATTTTTCAACTTCAGCAGAGTGTAAACACAGATCAACAACAGTAACAACTACCTTTCAATGAGACTTTATGCACCAGGTGTGGCTCTGTGTGTTACATGTGTTAACTCATTTAATTTTTATATCAACTCCATGAGGTGGGAACTTTTAGTATTCTCATTTTATAGATGAGGAAACAGGCACAGAGAGGGGCTAAGTGTATTCAAGGTCATGTGGCCAATGAATGACAGAACTAGCGTGATGGTTAATTGCTACGGCTAAGAGATGCCCAGGTGGCCAGTTGGATGTTACTTGTAAGATCTTTCTGGAAGAGATTAGCATTTGAACCAGCAGACTGAATAAAGATCATCCTCACCAATGTGGGTTGGCATTATCGAATTTCGTGAGAGCTTGAATAGAACAAAAAGAAGAAAAGCAAATTTGCTCTCTTCTTGTACTGGGATATCCACCTTCTTTGCTTAGTGGCTCCTTTGGTTCTTAGGCTTTTGAACCCAGGCTGAATCACCACTGGCTTTCCTAGGGCTCCAGGCTGCAGATGGCAGATCATGGGACTTCTTGGTCTCTACAATTGTGAGTCAATCTCTCATCTTTCTGTATATGTATTCATATATCTAGCATCCATCTATCTATATTCTATTGGTCCTGTTTCTCTCGGGAACCCTAACATGACTAGAATGTAAATGCATGGGATCTCGTCCCACATTTCCACTGCTTAGGGGTTATATGAACCATAGAAAACCAAACCTATCTTCTTTTGGGGATGGCGGGGGTGAGGAGCTATAACTGTATTATTACAGTTCTTTGCTTGTTAAGCTGTATACCAAATTTGTACAGAATCTGGCAACACACAGTGTAGCAGTGAGGATGAGCAGAAAATTCCAAGCTTTTCAGAGAGTGTCAGTCCAATGTGGTGGTAGAAAATAGGACTTAAGTGAGTTTAGTTCAAGATATGCTAAGGATTGGGAAAAGTGGCTTGCCCTCCCTGATGCAAGCATGGGGGTGAGCGCATTACAGATGTCTTCCAGGGCTTCGACCCTTCACCACACCTAGGGATGAGCAGAGGTCACTCTTGTTGCCATTTTGGTTTTGGTGGGTTTTGGCGGGTTTTGGCGGGTTTTGGCCGGCTTCTTTACTGCAAGCTGTTCTATCAGCGAGGTCTTTATGACCTGTATCTTGTGACAACCTCCTATCTTATCCCGTGACTTAGAATGCCTCAACCTTATCCATCTGGAATGCAGCCAGTAGGTCTCAGCCTTATTTTACCCAGCTCCTATTTAAGATGGAGTTGCTCTGGTTTAAATGCCTCTGACAAAACCGTTTGCTTCAATGTTATTTGTTTGCTTCAATGTTGCCTCAAAACTGTGTGTACTGAAGCCACTCCCAGTTTGGGTTTCTAGAGTTAGCAAATAAAAATACAGATGCTCGGCTGGGCGTGGTGGCTCATGCCTATAATCCCAGAACTTTGGGAGGCCAAGGTGGGTGGATCACGAGGTCAGGAGTTTGAAACCAGCCTGACCAACATGGTGAAACTCCGTCTCTACTAAAAATACAAAAATTAGCCAGGCGTGGTGGTGTGTGCCTGTAATCCCAGTTACTCATGAGGCTGAGGCAGGAGAATCGCTTGAACCCAGGAGGCAGAGGTTGCAGTGAGCAGAGATTGCGCCACTGCACTCCAGCCTGGGCAACAGAGTAAGACTCCATCTCCAAAAAAAAAAAAAAAAAAAAAAAAAAAAAAAAAAAAAAGTAGATGCTCAGGTAAGTCTGAACTTCAGATAAAGAATGGAGTTTTCCTTTGATAGACCATGTCCCATGCAATATTTAGAATGTACTTATTTAGAACATACTAGAAAAAGTAGTTGATCTGAAATTCAGATTTAACTGAACATCCTGTGTTTATCTTGCAGCCAGCCCTACCTTGACTACATCCAGTAGGTGTGGTATGTTGCAAAATTGCCAGATGCATTTCTTACTGAGCACAGCCATGTGCCTTGCTTCTCAAACAATGAGGCTCAAGAGGTGACAGCTGACAGTTCAGGCCAGAATGTCTAAATTGCTTGAGAGAGTTCAGAATTAAAGTCGGTTGTGGGGAAAATTCCAAGCTTTTCAGAGAGTGTCAGTCCAATGTGGTGGTAGAAAATAGGACTTAAGTGAGTTTAGTTCAAGATATGCTAAGGATTGGGAAAAGTGGCTTGCCCTCCCTGATGCAAGCATGGGGATGAGCGCATTACAGATGTCTTCCAGGGCTTCGACCCTTCACCACACCTAGGGATTTCCCTCATCCTGCCTTTGTTCTATTCTTACTTGATTTATTCTCACTTTGAGAAGCACATAGTTAAGTAATTTTCTAGGGAACTCAGATATGCCCCGTGGCCAAGATTGACAGACAGTCCAGGAGGCTGTTCTAGCACCAGGCAGCTTAGTGTTAAGAAGAAGGATAGGTTTTAGGAGTAGGAGGGCCTGGTGGCAGCTTAAACTGTCAGAGGCAAGGTGGACACATGTAGAAATAGGCAACAAGGACAGAATCACAACCAGGAGGCCTCACCTGTAGGAATCTATAGTGATAGTTAACACACCGCCAAGTTGTTAGGGGCAAGGTCAATGGACAGCCAACAAAAAGTACTAATAGATTCACTAATACTCAGACTGACATCAGCCTTCCCAGTGAAAAACCATGATTCTTAATTTCCAGAACAGAGCCATTGATTCAACAGAAGCCTGAATCTCCTTGAGGAAAGACCCTGCAATAGGACATCAAGTATATTCACTAGTTAATTTCCCAGTCCTTCCTCATAGGAACTTACAGCCTTTTATCAACATATCTGTACAATGGGGGAAGGGAAATACCCATATCTTTCAAGGGCAGTTGGATATAGGGACTAAGAGGATGCTAAAACCATGAGGGCTAATATGCCTTCATGCTTCCTTCTTAGATTGGAGGAGGTAAATAGAGGCCAGGTGGCAAACAGAGTCCTGGCCTAAATCCATTTCACAGGGCGTCAGTGTGTTCATGGACTCACCTGTGTTGATTTTCCTGATCCCTGAGTGCATTGATCAGGATGGATATACCTAGTAACTGGCAGAACACTCACACTAAGTCCTTGAACTGTGGAGTACACCTATGTAATCAGAACAGCTACGTGGAACCCTCTGAAGTTACCCAACCTCCAGGCCAAGACAGTAAATATACATCAATATATTATGTAGGGTGGAATGGCAAGGAGTGTCATTGGAGTGCTGAGCTCAAAGATTTTAAGGAGATAAGGTTGCTGTTCCCCGTTACATCTCCATTTCATTTGCCAGTCTGGCTCCTGAAAAAAACCACATGGCTCACGATTGATATAACTACTGTCAACTCCATCACGTGGTAGCCTAATTATAACTATTGTGGTTTCATAATTATCAGATAATTATGACATAGCTTTTGCTACCTAGTATGTGGTCATTGATTTGGTGAATGCGTTCTTTTCAATCCCATCAGAAGGGAGGATCAAAAGCTTTTGCATCTGCCTGGGATAGACAGTGGTACACAATCGGGGTCTTGTCCCAGGAAATTGTACTCTAATGCTTTTTCCAGCAATATACTTTAATGGCTGTTCTATCATCTGGATATGACACAGACTATTATGCTGATCCATTATATTGATGATATCATGAAGATATGAGGTAAAAAGGAGAAAACAGTGAAGAATGGTGGAAGCCTTAAGGTATATGTGCACCAGTGGGCAGAAGAAATCCCTACAGAATTTCAGCAGCCGGCCAAAATGGTGAGTTTTTAGGGGAACAGTGGTTATTGCATCTTACATGTACTTCCTATTGTAAATCAAAGGAACTAGGAAGCCCTTCTGATTTGGAAATATCATATATCATGCTTGGGAATATTGCTGTCACCCACTAACTGGGTTGACTCTGAAGGCTGCCAGTTTTGCGGAGCCAAGAACAAGAAAGCAATGTGCAGCAGATTAAGCTATAGCTCCAAGTGGCTCTGCCACACGACTGGAAAATCTCATGGTGCTACAGCAGGATCAGCATGCATGACCTGTGGGTCAGCTGCCCATTTTTGTAAATAAAGAACTATTTTGTTCTCTAGGTTTTCCTATCTTTGTTCTAGGGCAATGGGTCTCAAATTTCAGTGTGTGTATGCATATGTACGTGTGTGTATTCCTCCTACTCAGAGGGCCTACAAATGCATGAATGGGGAAAAATGAAAGCCCTTTTTTTTTTTAACAATAGAGTAACACCTAATATAGAAGGAATAGAGTTCAAATTCAGCAGTGGTTGCTGGGAATTAAAGTTTGAGATAGTTACACAGTCTCAAAGTGTCCCCTATAAGTTCCTATTGATTATAAAGGGAAAAATAGTAGCTTTAAAAGTGGAGCAACCTAACAGACACCACCTAAACAAATGATCAGCCCACCTGGTGCCCTTATCTTGGTTTCTAAATGTCATTCCCAACTGAAAGGAAGCCTGTAAACTTGGAGAAGAGGTCAATTTCAGGATGAAGACAGGGACAAGATGAGCCTGAGGCCACTTGTCCAGAAAGTAATGAAGTGCTCAAAGAACGACAGGGATATATCAAAAGCACATGCAGGTCATCTTGAGGAAGGTCCCATTGGACAAATCTCTGAACATTTTAATGGCAAAATAAATGATGGCAGTAATGAATAACAGGTGTCTCATGGTTTTTGCGGGGTATTGGTTCTATGACTCCCCATGGATGCCAAAATCCCCCAGATGCCTAAGTCCCCCAGTAGGCCCTCTGTATCCTTGGGTTCCACATCTGTGGACTCAGCCAACCACAGATCAAGTTCCCATGGATATAGAGGACACACTGGGTACATGTTTAAAAAAAAAACACGAATCCATGCATTTCTCTATAAATAATTGAGTAAATACATAAATGGGGAGAAGCTTTTTTTTTTTTTAACAATAGAATAACACCTAAATACAGAAGAAAGGATGGAGTTCAAAAATGAGCATTGGATGCTGTGGACAGAAGTTTGAGATAGTTACACAGTCTCAAAGTGCCCCTTACAAATTGCCTGTTGATTACAACAGGAAAATAGTAACTTTAAAATGGAGAAACCTAAAACACCACCTAAACAAACGATCACAGTTAACGCTAGCAATTTTGGAACAAATGAATGTCATGAGCCTTCTGATCAGAGGCACCAAGAAGGACACACCATCACTTCTGGTAGAATCCTGCCATACATAACCTGAATCAAATCATGAAGAAAACTCAGACAAACCCAAGTGTCCTTTGTTTTTTTTTGTTTTTTTTTTTTTATACTTTGACAGATTTTCTACCAAATAAAAAAAGGTGACCTTCACTCTTCAAAATTATCAAAAGAAGAATGAGGAACTGTTCCAGATTAAAGACATGACAACCAAACAACGTGATTCTGTACTGGATCCTTCACTGAGCTGGGGGTAAGGGGAGCTAGAGCAGACATTGAGACAATTGATGGACATTTGATTAAAAACTATGAATTAGATAATATCAGTATTAACTTCCCTGGGTTTCCTAATTGTACTGTGGTTATATAAGAGAACATTCCTATTCTTCGGTAAAAGGACACCGAGCCATAATTCATTTTCCAAGCTTTCATTAGGAATTGAGTTCTCGACCACCTGGAACATTTTCCCTGGGCATTTGTGGGTGTTTATCTTAGAGGATATGCTGCTTTTGGTGGGTTTGTGGCTTAGGAAAGAACCCACCTGGAACCAGGTCTCCTGGGGCCATAACGCCCTGCTCTGCTTAGCATCCTGTAGCCAGGCTGGATTCTCAACTCTTTGTAAATCTCAGTCATCTTTCTCTGCTACTCTCATTTCCAAAGTGGAGATAAATAATAGCACCCACTGGTCGGGCGCGGTGGCTCACGCCTGTAATAATCCCAGCACTTTGGGAGGCCGAGGCGGGCGGATCACCTGAGGTCAAGAGTTCGAGACCAGCCTGGCCAACATAGTGAAACCCCGTCTCTACTAAAAATACAAAAGTTAGCCGGGCGTGGTGGCAGGCACCTGTAATCCCAGCTACTCTGGAGCCTGAGGCAGGAGAATCGCTTGAACCCTGGAGGCGGAGGTTGCAGTGAGCGGAGATCGCGCCATTGTACTCCAGCCTGGGGGACAAGAGCGAGACTTCGTGGAAAACAAACAAAAACAAAAACAAAAAACACCAAAAAACAGAACCCACTACAGAGTTTTGCTCTAAGGATGAAATGAGATGAATAAATGTAATGCAAGTGGAAAAAAAAAAAAGGAGCTGGGCGTGGGCGGGGCCGCAGGGCCCGGGAGCTGGGTGTGGGTGGGGCGGGAGTGCGTGCCTTGCCTTGCGTGCCAGGCTATGGAGGGAGGCGTGGCAGATGTGGGGCGGAGCCTGAGCGTGCCTGCGTGGCACCACTCGGGGAAGCGGAGGCTATTCCCTGGAGGAAGGATGGGAGACTATCAGGCTGTGGAGGAGACTGCCTTTATTGTTGAAGTGAGCAACACTGTAAAAGAGGCTATAGAAAGTGTAATTGGGGCTGGGCGCGGTGGCTCACGCCTGTAATCCCAGCACTTTGGGAGGCCAAGGCAGGCGGATCACAAGGTCAGGAGTTCAAGACCAGCCTGGCCAACACGGTGAAATCCCATCTCCACTGAAAATACAAAAATTAGCCAGGCGTGGTGGTGGGCACTTGTAGTCCCAGCTACTCGTCGGGAGGCTGAGGCAGGAGAATCGCTTGAACCTGGGAGGCGGAGGTTGCAGTGAGCCGAGATTGCGCCATTGCACTCCAGCCTGGGTGACAGAGCAAGACTGTCTCAAAAAAAAAAAAAAAAAAAAAAAAAATCGCAGTTGGTGGTAATGCTTATCAACACAGCAAAGTGAACCAGTGGACCACAAATGTAGAACAAACTTTAAGCCAACTCCCCAAGCTGGGAAAACCATTTAAATACATTGTGACCTGTGTAATTATTCAAAAGAACGGAGCTGGATCATACATGGCAAGTTCCTGCTTTTGGGACAGCTCTACTGACGGGAGCTACACTGTGCGATGGGAGAATAAGACCATGTACTGCATTGTCGGCGCCTTCGGACTGTCTATTTGACCTCCCAGTCCATCCTATAACCTTTCTGCTTTTGTCTCTAGTTCATCTTCTAACCACTAGCCATGAATTCAATGAACTCCTTTCTCATTTTCTTTAAGTGTGTTTTGTGGCACTCTGAAAAACCAGATGACTGCACTGTGATGTGAACTGCACTGAAGTCAGATGAGTATCCCTGTAGGTCACCTGCAGCCTGCATTGCCACTTGTCTTAACTCTGAATATTTCTTTTCAAAGGTGCTAAAATCTGAAATCTGCTAGTGTGAAACATGCTCTACTCTCTGAAATCGTTCAAATACATGAATTTTCCATACTTTATACTTTTGTTAGAATAAATTGTTCAAATCTTTAAAAAATGAGTTGATTACTTTTAGGTTCTTTCAGCAAAAGCTGTCCAGATCGGGCTGTTGCCACACTCCAAAGGACTCTGACATCACACCCTTCCCTGACTTCTGCCCCTGCCTTGTTCTCTTTCTCAGTTTTGTTTGGGAGCACATCTTTAATAAACAACTTGCACATCCTCATCACAGGCTCTCATTCTGGAAACCCAAACCAAGATCTTCCTAAGCTTATTCTACCCTAGGTGCTCAGCAGATGTGGATTCTCATACCTAAGGCCCTCTCTCCTCCTCCTGGACATGGTGAGGAGTAGAGGGTAGGAAGGCAACAGAGCCCTGGATTTCTGTGCAGTTCCCAACTGCCAACATTGTCAAGTCCACATCTCATATTCCCTGTGCTTGTAAGTGACAGTTTAATATCAATTTTATTTTTCAAGGAATAACTGTTTACAAGAGGTGGAACCCTTGCCGGTCAAAAAATGTATAGGTGATCTTAGGGCAAGAAACCTTTCTTTCAGGCACTTAATAGGATACTTACAGGCAGAAGCTTCCTGAGAGTGTCATGCTCTGGGAACCAAGAGACCTAAGGTCCAGACCTGATTCTATCAAGGCCTCATGGTATGAGCTGGAGGCCCATGGAATATAAATGACTAATCTCCATATCTGCAAAGTGAGGGTACTTGGACTCATACACTTTCGAGAATTCAAAGAATAGAGACTCTTCCCAGAAAAAAAAAATCCATTGTGCACAAATATTTTGCATTCAATTTCAAGGGTTTCTAAATAGATCCCACTGAAGTCCATCACTGGATCCTTTACTAGATTATTTCTAATTATCTTAATAGTGCTCGCATTTTATATTTGTTTTCTCAAGTCTATAACTGAGACCCATGTAATCAAGGACAGACTGAGAATGCTTGAGTAAGTATAAATTCTTCTGAAGCATGAGGATCAGAACTGTTTTTAATTTGGTTTCTTTGTGGAGCAAAGATGCCATTTACTGCCAAGAAGAAAATATGTGTTTTAAAAATAAATTCTCCTACATTCTAGGAGAAAACATCTGGGAACAGCATACATCTTATGTCCTTGGTGGGGAATATGTTATCTTTCTAGTAGAATGAAGTTGGAATCTCACAAGAAAAGATTCCAATCCCAGCTCTATCACTTAGCAGATTTGATGATGAGCAAGAATAATAACTCAGATTCAAAGTAATTTTACCGTTAAAATGGAAAAAAAACCCTTATGCCCTCCTTATAGGGCTATATTGGTGATGAAGTTAAATGAGACAATACTCATACATTCTTTGGCATGTTATTCTCCTCTGTTTCACTCTAGTTTCTGTTCCTCTTCCTGTCTTAAAGGGTGGTATTCTCTGAATTCTTTCATCCTTGACTCAATCTTATCTATACTGTCCTTCAGTTTTAACTTCAAGGGTGGCTGATGACTTCAAGTGTTGACCTTCAACCTTGTCCTGTCCCTCCACGTTCTGCTGTCATATAATCAGATGGGATGTTTTCCCATGGAGTGGGTTTCTGTGCTTTGGCCTATTCACTAGACAAATCTATTTTGGTAATGGAACTGCTCTTCTTTTCAGAGATTTCCCTGACCATACTTCCTCCCACCAGCAGGAAGGACATATAATCCAGAATCACTGTTCAGATTATCTCTTCCCATCCACTCACTAATTTTCCAGGGGGCAGATATATGAGCCCAGTGGGGGCTGTTCAAGTTCCTTCCCAAGAGTTGATGTGGTTGCTAAGAGCCAAGCCTCTTCAGCTTGTCAGATCGGAAGCTTGTTGATCGGAAAATAAAGCATGTCAATTGTTATCACCACCATAAAGAGTGAGCCCAAGGGTGCTACAAAAGGAAATTCAAGCTGAGAGAATGAAAGAAAAATTCTGATTGTAGTTGAGTCCTGGAATCCAGCTGTAACAGGTATAACCATGAGCCATTTCAAAACCAAGTCAAACAAGCTTACATAATTTACATAACAAACTTACAGAAATTAGTTTATGTAATTAAGAATCTGTTGCATTATCTGAACTCAAGCTAAACAGTTCTCCTTGTGCTCTTGTTCCAGGTGGAGGTACTAATGTTCACTTAGTCATTCCAACAGAAAACCTGGAGTCATCCTTAACTCTTCCTCCTCCTCCTCTTCCATCATGCCTACACCCATTATATCCACCAGTCCTACTGTTCTTTAGTATTTCTCAAATTGTCTCACTCTTCTCCATCTGAGCTCCCACCATCCTCATTCATACACTCTCCTTCCTGGGTTACCATTAGATCTTACTAGTCTTTTTGTCTCTGATCTTGTTACTCTCATGTTACTGTGGTGTGAGACCAAAGAGAATAAATTTACA
Organism: Homo sapiens; assembly: GCF_000001405.40. NCBI lineage: Eukaryota > Metazoa > Chordata > Mammalia > Primates > Hominidae > Homo > Homo sapiens. Next base: position 10,414,348 of record NC_000004.12, read on the forward strand.
TAAAACACATCTGGCCATGGCATGTATCTGTTTAAACGTCTTCTGAGATCCTGTTACCCCAGGATAACATTCAGTCTCTTCACATGATACATAAAATGTTTCATGTGGCCTGGCGTGGTGGCTCATGCCTGTAATCCCAGTATTTTGGGAGGCCGAGGCGGGTGGATCGCCTGAGGTCAGGAGTTTGAGACCAGCCTGGCCAACATGGTGAAACCCCGTCTCTACTAAAAATACAAAAATTAGCTGGGTGTAGTGGTGGGCGCCTGTAATCCCAGCTAGAATCACTTGAACCCGGAAGGCAGAGGTTGCAGTGAGCCGAGACTGTGCCATTGCACTCCAGCCTGGGCAACAAGAGCGAAACTCCGTCTCAAAAAAAAAAAAAGTTTCATGTATCTTTAGCTGCTCTCTGCTTCCCACATTACCATCTGGAAACAGCACTCTTTGTAGTCATTACCCACTAGTGATATGCTGTCACCCACATTTGGTACCTTTGCTCATCACTTTGGGAGAGCAGTGTAGCTTGTTGCTATTAAAAAATGAGGCTTTAGAATCATACTGACCTGAGTTCAAATCCTCATTCTGATGTGTACCACCTACTGCTTGGGCAAGCTACTTAACTTTTACAGCCTTATTGTTAGATTTGAAAAATAGGGATGCTGATAGTAGCGGTTTCATTGAGCACAGTATCATCTGAGTTAAGATTGCATGAAAAGCACTTAAGACAGTATCAGAAGGCAGCAAGGCCTGGTAGATGTTGGACATTTTTTTGTTGTTTGTATTTCCTTTGCCTAGAATGCTCTTATTGCTGACTTTGTCCCACTATTCATTTTGCTGGCTCACTGCTGCACAACCTCTGACTTGGCTCAGATATCATCTCTTCCAAAGGCATCCTTGGGTGGGGGAGTCTGCATCTGTTACCCTAGGCTCATCACTCTCATTGCTCTTAGCATATGTATCAGACTTACCTTCTCATCTATTCTGAGTTCCTTGAGGGCCATGTCATAATGTTTGCATCTCCATTTCCTAACAATTTTTGGATTGAATTGAATAGAAATGTTATCTTCCTCCTCAGCCTCCAGTGGGGAGCAGGAGAGAACTAAGCAGCAACCATGTTAATTTCCTTGAATTCTTTTGCATGCTGTTTTTCATTATTTTTCTCAATACACATAATTTAAAGCCATTCTACCTGTCTGCTTTTATCCTGTTAGTCTCTGACAGGTGAGATATTAGGAGAGACAGGATGTGTGAATACAAGTAAGTAGAAACAATTTGACAAACGTTCTCTTCCTTCCAAGAAAAGCATCTCTTTTCCTGTTTTTCTCTGGCCTTGGAATGATGGATTGTAAAAATCGAATCAACATCTCCTTTTATTACAACACATTAGCTAGGCCCAGCCGAAGATTTATAGCTTTCTGTAAAAACAGAGTCTAGGGGAATGTTAAATACTCAGTTTTTACCATCCTTTCTGCTTTTCACCCCCACCCCAATCCTGTGGGAATAGATGGTCAATACATGGTGCTTAGGTAGTTACAAAGTCTAGGAGTTACTGAGTCGGAACTAGATGCCCAGGAGAAAAGGCTGGTTAGCTTAGTTTGTTTCATGAGTCAGACTTCCAAAAGTGGTTTGGTTATTATTCTATCTTTTAAATATGGGGTCTCGTTATATTGCCCAGGCTGGTCTCAAACTCCTGGGCTCAAGTGATTCTTTCACCTCAACCTCATGAGCAGCTGCAATTACAAGTGTGAGCCACTGCACCTGGCTAGCTTGGTTTATATGAAAAAGCAGTGAGTTTGGAAATGGTTGAATCTGTCCTTTTTATAGGCAGAGCAACCAGGACTCAAGAAGTTTAACATTCACTAGCTGGGTGATCCTGGGGAGATTATTTTCCTTAAGTGCTATTGAAAGGAGAAAATCATATAAGGTCCATGTAACACTTATCAGAGTGCTGGCGCACAGGAGCACCTAACACTTTTTTTTGTGTACACCTAGTAACTGAAAAGAGTGGTCCTAACATGTCACTGCCAGTTCCCCTTTTAGGTTTTATTTCCCGTAAGGTTTTATTACCCGCATTCCTCACATTTTTACATGGAGAAGGGACTTTCTGTTCTACTATCCAGAAGTATATGAAGAGCACTTCCAGCTCTCTTCCTTGTGAACTTTGCTTTGGCTCAGAGGAGGAGTAAAGGGGTCCCATCCTGTTTGGGTAATGAGCTGAGCCTGTGTGGCTGCTCACCAGGGTGATCATTCTTTTGTGGGTTCCCCCAACCCACAGGATGTGTGTTGTCTCCTACTCCCTTTTGTGGGGCACTAACAGGGCCCCGCTGATTCTGTAAAGAAGACTTTGATGTCCTGCAGGCTCAGTGACTGGATGGCAGCTATCTATAGCATGTGAAATCTCAAGAGGCTTATTATGACCACATGTGTCAACTGTGTTCTCCAATCTAGTTGCCAGAAATGAAATTAAGGTATTTAACTCCGTCTGACTTCTGTGTTATTCCTTGGTTGATTTCCTAATTTGGGAGTAGACAGAAAAGTTGAAGGCGCTAGGCCCATTGCTCATGCCTGTAATCCCAGCACTTGGGGAGACTGAGATGGCAGGATCACTTGAGCTCAGGAAGTCCAGACCAGCCTAGACAACATAATGTAGACCCCATCTCCACACACACACACACACACACACACACACTCACGTGCACGTGCAAAAAATTGGCCAGGCATGGCTGTGCATGTCTGTAGTCCCAGCTACTCAAAAGGCTGAGGTAGGGGGTTTGCCTGAGCCCAGGAAGTCGAGGCTGCAGTAAGCCATGATCACACCACTGCATTCTAGCCTGGGTGACAGAACACGAGTTAAGAAAAAAAAAAAATGTTGAAGGCTAATGTATTAGTCCATTCTCACGCTGCTATGAAGAAACGAAGAAATACCCAAGACTGGGATAATTTATAAAGGAAAGAGGTTTAATTGACTCACAGTTCTGCAGGGCTAGAGAGGCCTCAGGAAACTTACAATCATGGCAGAAAGGGACACAAACACATCCTTCCTCACATGGCAGCAGCAAAGAGAAGAGACAAGAGGGGTGAAAAGCCCCTTATAAAACCATCAGATCTCATGAGAACTCACTATCATGAGAACAGCATGGCGGTAACTGCCCCCATGATTCAATTACCTCCCACTGGATCCCTCTTATGACACATGAGAATTATGGGAACTATAAGATTAAATTTGGGTGGGGACACAGCCAAACCGTATCAGCTAACTAATGTTAATATCTTGTAAGATCTTGATCCATTGGCCAGATGTGTTGAGAGAGAAATTCTGGTGGCTGGGAACACAACTAATAAGGAGTCAGATCAAGGCTTTGGGCCTTGCCAGGGCCCCAAACCTCAAATATTAGTACAAGAGCAGTTGGTGGATCATGGAAGCATCTTTCTCCATTGCTCATGATGAACAACTGTTTCTACTTGGTCAAGCTGATTAGGACTTAGGAAGCAGGGCCCTGTGATGCTCTAGCACTGACCTGAACTGACTCGGGCATGTGTAGTCATTCCGTTGGCAAAGGACGGCTCAGGCGAAAATAATAGGAAAAGTGTGTTTGAGCTTTGGTTAAGGCTCCATTCCAAAGAGGCAAATCTTTCCAGTGCGGCTGACTTGACTTTGGTGGATGTTGCTATTTTTCTTGTTTCTTAGCCAAATTTGCAGGCCAGGACTTTAATCTGCAAAGACAGCTGTATTTCTTGCGGGGCTCAAGGCATTCCTGTAGGCTTCTTGCAAGTCATATGAAGTTAGCCTCAGACCACCTGCCTCAAATTCAGTTACTACTTGTGCTGTTTACAGATAGCATCCAGAGCCAAGTTAGATAGCTAAGAAAATAAGCAAATGAAATGCAAGTACTTTGTTTAGATCTTAATTTGAACAATACATTTTGAGACAATTAGGGATATTTGAATATAGATTGGGTATTAGACAATAACAAAGAGTTATTCATAATTTTGGGGGTATAATATTTTGATTTATGTAAGAAAAATATCTTTTTTAAAGGGCTGGCTACTGAATTATGTAGGAATGACATGTTTGCCATTAATTTTAAGGAACTAATGCTTTGAGTATCAAATCTCTAAATCAATGTAAAATATTAGGAGGCCCACTAGGAACATGTGTATAAACTATATTTTGTTGGGTATAATAGTATCAATAGTAACAACAGGAATGGTATCAATAATACAATCATTAAATGGAATTCAGGATGGTTCAATGATTTACTTTATTAATAGCCCCAAGGAGGAAAAAACTCCCATATAATCATTACAATGTGAAAGACATTTGAAAAAAAAACTCAACAACCCTTCCCAAAAAGTAATTATCAGATTGTAGATGTTAAAGTTTATTATAAAGTTCAATAATTGAGAATGTAATACAGGAAAAGAAAATAACTGTATAGAATAGTACGTTTACCTGCAGACCTAAGTACATATGGGAATATGGATTTTAATATCTAGCAAGTTATATATGTTTCTAATCAGATTCCTCCACCCAAAGCAATAAGCCTGGATTAGAGTGAAATACCAAAAGTAATCTGATACTTACTAGTACTAACACTAGATTTGATATTAGTAGTGCTATTTTAATTTTTTTTTTTAGAGATGTGTCTTGGTATACTGCCCAGGCCAGTGTCAAACCCCTAGGCTCAAGCAATCCTACCTTCTCAGCCTTCTGAATAACTAGTAGTAGTTAATATTGTTCTGAATGTGCTAGTCAAAGCAGTTAAATAGAAGAAAAAAATAGGTATAAGAAGAACTTGGTATGTTATTTGCAATAATTATTTCTAAATATGTATACTAATTTTCTATGAATTATTTTAGTATCTACTAATACTACATAAATGTGACAAGTTGGAACTTTAATATATAGAAACTAGTAGCATTTTTTAAAAAAAGATCATTGTTTAAAAAAAAACAATGATCAACATATAATGGAAGAAAAGATCATATTTATAGAACTAAGGTAAAACAAACACATAGGAATAAACCTAAGAAATGTGGGGGACCTATACATAACCAAATCTTTTTTTTCTCCTTTTTCACCTTTTAGGTTCGGAGGTGGGCAGGCTGCTTATGAATGATTTAGCATCATCCCTTTGGTGCTGTCCTCACGGTAGTGAGTTAGTTCTCATGAGAACTGGCTGTTTAAAAGTGTGTAGCACCTCCCCCCTCACTCTCTTCCTTCTGCTCTGGCCATGTAAGATGTGCCTTGCTTCCCTTTTGCCTTCCGCCATGATTGAAAGTTTCCTGAGACCTCCCCAGAAGCAGAGGCCAGCATCATGCTTCCTGTGCAGCCTGCAGAACCGTAAGCCAATTAAGCCTTTATTCTTTAGGAATTACCCAGTTTCAGGTATTTATTTATAGCAGTGCGAGAATGGACTAATACAGGCATATACTCAATAATGATTTTGCTGGGTCAAACAGTAGTTCTGAGTTCTTTGAGAAATCTCCAACTGCTTTCTACAGTGGCTGAACTAATTTACATTCCCACCAGAAGTATATAAGCATTCCCTTTTCTCCACAATCTTGCCAGCATCTGTAATTTTCTGACTTTAATAATAGACATTCTGATTGGGGTGGGATATGACACCTCATTGTAGTTTTGATTTGCATTTCTCTAATGATTAGTGATGTTCAGCATTTTTCATGTTTGGCTGTGCATATGTCGTCTTTTGAGAAATGTCATCTTGAGAAATGTCTGTTCATGTCCTTTACCCGTTTTAAGAAGGTTGCTTGTTTTTTGCTTGCTGATTTAAGATTCCCTATAGATTCTGGATATTAGAACTTTGTCAGGTGCATAGTTTGCATATATTTTCTCCCATTCTGGAGGTTGTCTGTTTACTCTGTTGATAGTTTCTTTTGCTGTGCAGAAGTTATTTAATTGGGTCCTACTTATCTATAAATACTCTTTATTGCAATTGCTTCTGAAGACTTTGTCCTGAAATCTTTGCCAAGACCTATGTCCTGAATGGCATTTTCTAGGTTTTCTTCTAAGGTTTTCATAGTTTTAGGTCTTACATTTAAGTCTTTAATCCATCTTAAATTGAGTTTTGTATGTGGTGAAAGGAAGGGGTCCAGTTTCAATCTTCTGCATATGGCTAGCCTGTTATCACAGCACTATTAATTAAGGAGTCCTTTCCCCATTTCTCGTTTTTGTCAATTTTGTCAAAGACCAGATGGATGTAGGTGTGTGGCTTTATTTCTGGGTTTCCTAACCTATTCCATTGGTCTATATATCTGTTTTGGTACCAGTACCATGTTGTTTTGGTTACTGTAGCCTTGTGGTATAGTTTGAAGTCCAGTAGTGTGGTGCTTCTGGCTTTGTTCTTTCAGCTTAGGATTCCTTTGGCTCTTCAGTCTCCTTTTTAGTTCCATATGAATTTTAGAACCATTTTTTTTTCTAATTCTGTGAAAAATGATGTTGCTGGTCTGAGAGAAATAGCACTGAATCTGTAAGTTGCTTTGGGTAATAAGGCCATTTTAACAATGTTGAGTCTAGTCCTTCCTATCCATGAGCATGGAGTGTTTTTACCTTTGTTTGTGTCATCTCTGATTTCTTTTCTTTTCCTTTTTTTTTTTTTTCTTTTTTAGATGGAGTCTTCCTCTGTCGCCCAGGCTGGAGTATAGTGGTGCAATCTCGGCTCACTGCCTCCCAGGTTCAAGCAATTCTCCTGCCTCAGCCTCTCAAGAAGCTGGGATTACAGGCACCTGCCACCTGCCACCATGCCTGGCTAATTTTTGTATTTTTAGTAGAGACAGGGTTTCACCACGTTGGCCAGGCTGGTCTTGAACTCCTGACAGGTGATCTGCCCACCTCAGCATCCCAAAGTGCTGGGATTACAGGCATGAGCCACCATGCTGGCCGTCATCTCTGATTTTTTTTAAGCAGTGTTTTGTAATCCTTTTTGCAGAGATGTTTCACCTCTCTAGTTAGTTGTGTTCCCAGGTATCTTATTTTTGTTTTTTTTTTTTGGCTTTTGTGAATGGGATTGCATTCTAGATTTTGCCCTCAGCTTGGATGTTACTGGTGTATAATTTTTGTATATCAATTTGATATTCTGAAACTTCACTGCAGTTGTTTATCAGTTCTAGGAGGCTTTGGACAGAGACTATGGGGTTTTCTAGATAGAAATATATTGTCTGCAAAGACGTAGTTTGACTTCCTCTCTTTCTATTTGAATAATATTGACTTCCTACGTATGCAAGCACAGGATATGCCTCTGTTGTCTATCATTTTTTTCCCCATGTCAAAAATGGAAATACATCTTTATATATCATAAACAAATTATAATCTCAAGTAATGCCCACCATTCAAAAAAAATTACTTTAAATGTTATTTAACTATTATTTAATTCATCTGGAGAAATAAACATTTAGGAAGATCCCAAGGGAATGGCAAAAAGAGAAGGGAAGTGGTAAAGGGTAGAAGAAAAGAGCTAACACAGCGGGGTCTGAGACTGATCTTTAGAAGGGTCTGCTTGAAGGTTGGCCCCAGGCTGGTAAACAGTTACTCACACTGATAGGAAGTTTCCTCTCAATAAGAGTGTCTCACTGTGTGGTTTGTGCTGAATGCATGCCAGGCAGAGGGTGTCAACAAAACCAGGCCCCAATAAAAACTCTGTTTTTTTATGAGCTCAATAAAAACCTCTAATGAGCTTCCCAGATAGGTACTTTGTCACAACTCCTTGCAGTAGGAATTAAGTGTGCCCTGTGTGACTCCACAATTAGAAGATTCCTGGGGGCTTGCACCTGGTTTATTCTGGACGTGTCTCTATGTACCCTCCCCTTTTGCTCACTATATTTTGTATCCCTTCATTGTGATAAATCTTAGCTACAAGTATGACTATATGATGGGTCCTGAGAGCTCTTGTAGTGGGCCATGAAAACTCGGGGTGGTCTTGGTGGGACCCCTGACACAGATAGATACTTGAAGGAGATGCTTGGAAGGATAGATGACAACTCAGGAAGAAACAATGATTTGGAAAGGCTAGAGAAAGGAAGGTTTTAAGAAAACTAGAATGATTAATTTTCAAATGCTTCAGAGAAACACTAAAATTAAAATGCAAGTCTTAAAGTAGTTTACTAAAAGCTAAATAAGACAACCTGGCGAGAAGCCTAGATGACAAACATTGCCAAATTGAGGCAAGGGGGATGCATATTGTTGTCTGATTGTTTGTCTTAAAGTCTAGACTGTAGACTAAAGGTTAATAGAGAAGCTTCACATATGTGCACTGTTGTGGATTGAATTGTGTTCCCTGAAGTCTAAAGCCCTAAAAGTTATCAATATGACCATTTATAGAAATAGGATCTCTGCGGATATAATTAGGTGGTCATATTGGATTATAGAAAGCTCCACTGATTGTCCCCCCAACAAGACGACCAAGTTAACACCTATCTACACAGAAAAAAACACCTTTATAAGAACTAATAATCATGTGAGCACACACAGTACCTGGTTTTAATTTCATATAGCTGAAAGAGGCACTAAAGAGATAGAAAAAACAGCCCTGAATTGCCAACACCACCCCTCCCTCACCCGTTGCCAGCAGCAGGCAAAGCAGCATGATGCAGAGGGCATCTCTGGGCGCTGAGGGAGAGAGAACACAGCAATTGCGAGGCCTTGAACTCAGTGCTGTCCTGTTAGAGCAGAAAGGAAATCCAGACCAAATTTAGCCAATGTCCACCCAGAGAGGGAGCATTTATTATTTCTTTTTGTAGTGCTAAGTTTTTATTCCCTTTTCTTTATTGTTTGTGTATCTGCTATGGTTTTTTGCTTTGTGTTTACTTAGGACTGAAATAAAACATCTCATAAGTATAATAGACTATTTTACACTGATAACATAAATTCTGTTGCATACAGAAACATTAGACTTGTACCTGCCCCCCACACAATTTTTTCACTTATTTCACTATTTACATTTTTTATATTATATATTTCTTGAAAACCTGTAGCTATTATTATTTTTGACTGTTTTGACTTTTTTAAAATTATACTTTAAGTTCTGGGATATATGTGCAGAATGTGCAGGTTTGTTGTTGTAGATGTGTGGTGCTACTTCTGAGGCCTCTGTTCTGTTCCATTGGTCTATATATCTGTTTTGGTACCACTACCATGCTGTTTTGGTTACTGCAGCCTGGTAATATAGTTTGAAGTCAGGTACTGTAATGACTCCAGCTTTGTTCTTTTTGCTTAGGATTGTCTTAGCTATACAGGCTCTTTTTTGGTTCCGTGTGAAATTTAAAGTAGTTTTTTCTAATTCTGTGAAGAAAGTAAATAGTAGCTTGATGGGTAGCATTGAATCTATAAATTAATTTCAGCAGTATGGCCATTTTCTTGATATCGATTCTTCCTATCCACGAACATGGAATATTTTTCCATTTGTTTGTGTCCTGTCTCATTTCCTTGAGCAGTGGTTTGTCCTTCTCCTTGAACAGGTCCTTCACATCCCTTGTAACTTGTATTCCTAGGTATTTTATTCTCTTTGTAGCAATTGTGAATGGATGTTCACTCATGATTTAGCTCTCTATTATTGGTGTACAGGAATGCTTGTGATTTTTGCACAGTGATTTTGTATCCTGAGACTGTGCTAAAGTTGCTTATCAGCTTAAGGAGATTTTGGGCTGAGACAATGGGGTTTTCTAAATATACAATCATGTCATCTGCAAACAGAGACAATTTGACTTCCTCTCTTCTTATTTGAATACCCTTTATTTGTTTCTCTTGCCTGACTGCCCTGGCCAGAACTTCCAATACTATGTTGAATAGGAGTGGTGAGAGAGGGCATCCTTGTCTTGTGCCGGTTTTCAAAGGAAATGCTTCCAGCTTTTGTCCACTCAGTATGATTTTGGCTGCAAGTTTGTCATAAACAGCTCTTATTATTTTTAGATATGTTCCATCAATACCTAGTTTATTGAGAGTTTTTAGCATGAAGGGGTGTTGAATTTTATTGAAGGCCTTTTCTGCATCTATTGAGATAATCATGTGGTTTTTGTCATTGGTTCTGTTTATGTGATGGATTACATTGATTGATTTGCATATGTTGAACTAGCCTTGCATCCCAGGAATGAAGACTGCTTGATCGTGATGGCTAAGCTTTATGATGTGCTGCTGGATTCAGTTTGCCAGTATTTTATTGAGGATTTTCTCATTGATGTTCATTAGGGACATTGGCCTGAAATTTTCTTTTTTTTGTTGTGTCTCTACCATGTTTTGGTATCAGGATAATACCTCATAAAATGAGTTAGGGAGGAGTCCCTCTTTTTCTATTGTTTGAAATAGTTTCAGAAGGAATGGTACCAGCTCCTCTTTTTACCTCTGGTAGAATTTGGCTGTGAATCCATCTCGTCCTGGGCTTTTTTTTTTTTTTGGTTGGTAGGCTGTTAATTTCTGCCTCAATTTCAGAACTTGTTATTGGTCTATTCAGGGATTCAGCTTCTTCCTGGTTTAGTCTTGAGAGGGTGACTGTGTCCAGGAATTTATCCATTTCTTCTAGATTTTCTAGTTTATTTGCATAGAGGTGTTTATAGTATTCTCTGATGATAGTTTGTATTTCTGTGGGATCAGTGGTGATATCCCCTTTATCATTTTTTATTGTGTCTGTTTGATTCTTCTCTCTTTTCTTCTTTATTAGTCTGGCTAGTGGTCTACCTATTTTGTTAATCCTCAAAAAACTAGCTTCTGGATTCATTGATTTTTTTGAAGGGTTTTTCATTTCTCTATCTCCTTCAGTTCTGCTCTGATCTTAAGTTATTTCTTGTCTTCTGCTAGCTTTTGAATGCATTTGCTCTTGCTTCTCTAGTTCTTTTAATTGTGATGTTAGGGTGTCGATTTTAGATATATCCTGCTTTCTCCTGTGGACATTTAGTGCTACAAACTTCCCTCTAAATACTGCTTAGCTGTGTCCCAGAAATTCTGGCACTTTGTGTCTTTGTTCTCATTGATTTCAAATAACTTATTTATTTCTGCCTTAATTTCGTTATTTACCCAGTAGTCATCCAGGAGTAGGTTGTTCAGTTTCCATGTAGTTGTGCAGTTTTGAGGGAGTTTCTTAATCCTGAGTTCTAATTTGATTGCCTTGTGGTCTGAGAGACTGTTTGTTATGATTTCCATTCTTCTGCATTTGCTGAGGAGTGTTTTACATACAATTATGTGGTCAATTTTACAGTAAGTGTGATGTGGTGCTGAGAAGAATGTATATACTGTTGATTTGGGGTGGCGAGTTCTGTAGAAGTTTATTGGGTCCACTTGGTCCAGAGCTGAGTTCAAGTCCTGAATATCCTTGTTAATTTTCTGTCTCGATCTGTCTAATATTGACAGTGGGGTGTTAAAGTCTCCCACTATTATTGTGTGGGAGTCTGAGTCTCTTTGTAGGTCTCTAAGAACTTGCTTTATGAATCTGGGTGCTCCTGTATTGGGTACATATATATTTAGGATAGTTAGCTCTTCTTGTTGCATTGATCCCTTTACCATTATGTAATGCCCTTGTCTTTTTCGATCTTTGTTGGTTTAAAGTCTGTTTTATCAGAGACTAGGATTGCAAACGCTGTTTTGTTTTTTTGTTTGTTTTGCTTTTCCTTTGCTTGGTAAATATTTGTCCATCCCTTTATTTTGAACCTATGTGTGTTTTTGCATGTGAGTTGGGTCTCTTGCATACAGCACACTGATGGGTCTTGACTCTATCCAATTTGCTAGTCTGTGTCTTTTAATTGGGGCATTTAGCCTATTTACATTTAAGGCTAATATTGTTATGTGTGAATTTGGTCTGTCATTATGATGCTAGCTGGTTATTTTACCCATTAGTTGATGCAGTTTCTTCATGGTGTTGAAGGTCTTTACACTTTGGTATGTTTTTGCAGTGGCTGTCACCGGTTTTTCCTTTCCATATTTAGTGCTTCCTTCAGGAGCTCTTGTAAGGCAGGCCTGGTGGTGACAAAAATCTCTCAGCATTTGCTTATCTGTAAGGGATTTTATTTCTCCTTCGTTTATGAAGCTTAGTTTGGGTGGATATGAAATTCTGGGTTGAAAATTCTTTAAGAATGTTGAATATTGGCCCCCACTCTCTTCTGGCTTGTAGGGTTTCTGCAGAGAGATCTGCTGTTAGTCTGATGGGCTTCCCTTCGTGGGTAATCCGACCTTTCTCTCTGGCTGCCCTTAACATTTTTTCCTTCATTTCAACCTTGGTGAATCTGAAGATTATACATCTTGGGGTTGCTCTTCTCGAGGAGTATCTTTATAGTGTTCTCTGTCTTTCCTGAATTTGAATGTTGGCCTGTCTTGCTAGGTTGGGGAAGTTCTCCTGGATAATATCCTGAAGGGTGTTTTCCAACTTGATTCCATTATCCCTGTCACTTTCAGGTACACCAATCAAAAATAGGTTTGGTCTTTTCATATAGTCCCATATTTCTTGGAGGTTTTGTTCATTCCTTTTCATTCATTTTTCTCCAATCTTGTTTTCACACTTTATTTCATTAAGTTGATCTTCAATATCTGATATCCTTTCTTCTGCTTGATCAATTCGGCTTTTGATACTTGTGTATGCTTCATGAAGTTCTCATATTTTATTTTTCAGCTCCATCAAGTCATCTCTACCAGTCTTCTCTACACTGGTTGTTCTAGTTAGCAATTCCTCTAACCTTTTTTCAAGGTTCTTAGCTTCCTTGCATTGGGTTAGAACATGTTCCTTTAGCTCAGAGGAGTTTATTACCCACCTTCTGAAGCCTACTTCTGTCACTTCATCAAACTTATCCTCCATCCAGTTTTGTTCCCTTGCTGGCAAGGAGTTGTGATCCTTTGGAGGAGAAGAGGCTTTCTGGTTTTTGGAATTTTCAGGCTTTTTGTGCTGTTTTTTCCTCATCTTCGTGGATTTATCTACCTTTGGTCTTTGATGTTGGTGACCTTCAGATGGGGTTTCTGTGTGGATGTCCTTTTTGTTGATGTTGATGCTATTCCTTTCTGTTTGTTAGTTTTCCTTCTATCAGTCAGGCCCGTATGCTGCAGGTCTGGTGGAAGTCCACTCTAGACCCTGTTTGCCTGGGTATCACCAGCAGAGGCTGTAGAACAGCAAAGATTGCTACCTGTTCCTTTGGAAGCTTCATCCCAGAGGGACACCTGCCAGATGCCACCTCCCTGACTGGGAGGTGTCTCCCAGTCAGGAGGCACAGGGGTCAGGGACCCAATTGAGGAGGCAGTCTGTCCCTTAGCAGAGCTCAAGCACTGTGCTGGGAGATCCGCTGTTGTCTTCAGAGCCAGCAGGCAGGAATGTTTAAGTCTGCTGAAGCTGCACCCACAGCTGCCCCTTCCCCCAGGTGCTCTATCTCAGGGAGATGGGAGTTTTATCTATAAGCCCCTGACTGGGGCTGCTGCCTTTCTTTCAGAGATGCCCTGCCCAGAGAGGAGGAATGTAGAGAGGCAGTCTGGGTACAGTGGCTTTGCTGAGCTTCTGTGGGCTCCTCCCAGTTCGAACTTCTTGGTGGCTTTGTTTACACCGTGAGGGAGAAAACCGCCTACTCAAGCCTCAGTAATGCAGATGCCCCTCCCCCAACCAAGCTCGAGTGTCCCAGGTCGACTTCAGACTGCTGTGCTGGTAGCAAGAATTTCAAGTCAGTGGATCTTAGCTTGCTGGGCTCCGTGGGGTGGGATCCACTGAGCTAGACCACTTGACTCGACTCCCTGGCTTCAGCCTCCTTTCCAGGCGAGTGAATGGTTCTGTCTCACTGGCATTCTAGACACCACTGGGGTATGAAAAAATCTCCGGCAGCTAGCTCAGTGTCTGCCCATATGACCGCCTAGTTTTGTGCTTGAAACCCAGGGCCCTGGTGGCATAGGCACCCAAGGGAATCTCCTGGACTGCAGCTTGTGAAAACCGTGGGAAAAGCATAGTATCTGGGCCAGAGTGCACTGTTCCTCACAGCACAGTCCTTCACAGCTTCCCTTGGCTAGGAGAGAGTTCCCCAACCCTTTGTGCTTCCCAGGTGAGGTGACGCCCCCACCCTGCTTTGGCTTGCCCTCTGTGGGCGCACCCACTGTCTAACCAGTCCCAGTGAGATGAGCCGGGTACCTCAGTTGGAAATGCAGAAATCACCTGCCTTCTGCATTGATCTCGCTGGGAGCTGCAAACTGGTTCTGTTCCTATTTGGTCATCTTGCCAGCCCACATTATTATTATTATTATTTTTGAGATGGGTTCTTGCTCTGTCACCCAGGCTGGAGTACAGTGATGCCATCACAGCTCACTGCAGACTCCACCTCCTGGGCTCAAACAATCCTCCCACCTCAGCCTCCTGAGTAGGTCGGACGACAGGCATGCACCACCATGCCCTGCTAATTTTTTCTATTTTTATTTTTATTTTTTTGTAGAAACGAGGTTTAACTATGTTGCCCAGGCTGGTCTTGAACTCCTGAGCTTAAGCAATCCACCCACTGCAGCCTCCCAAAATGCTCAGATTACAGGAGTGAGCCACTGCACCCAGCCAATTTTTTATTATTTGAAGGAGGGTCCAAAATTTGTGTAAATGTCCACCTCACCTCAAAAAACTAGTTCTGCCCCTGGCTGTGGTCTTAAGTAGAGAAATATAAGTACTTCTGAAGGAGATCTTGGCAATGGGGAAACTAGAGGTATACATATACCCTGACCTTTTTATCCTGCTACCTTCTGATCTTCAAACCCAAACAGAAGCCAGAGATTAAGGGAGCCCTTATACTTCAGTCCATAGAGTTCGGCCTCTCTGGACATAAGCAGGTTGGTGAAGAGACAAGCAGAACATATCCAGCATTGTGAAGAACCTCAGTGGTTGCCATGAAAACCTCAATGGTTGCCATGAGAACTTCAGTGGTTGCCATAATGGGTCTTCCACTAGAATGACACCCAGAGACACGCTACCTGTGCCCATCCCCACTCATTCTTCTCCACTGGAAATGGAATGACATGCAAGTACTGCCTCTGGGAGAAGGAAGTGAGTATGGAAGGATCAGCTCCTTCTGAGCTCTCTTCTATTGGTGCCTGACTGTCTGCCTGGCTGCAGAGAGGGCTTGTCCTGTGTGTGCTCAGGCCATATGGCCCATGGTTCTCCAGCTGTGCCAGCAAATGGGATCTTGTCTGCCAATCTAGGGCCAAGACAGAAGAATGCTCGCTTGAGAATCTGGTTTGGATGGACTGAAATAGGGTTCCTTCCAGCTCTACTTGATGGTAGTAATAATGACAGTAATAATAAACAGCATTATTATTATGACCTAGTCCAACCCCTATATTCTACAGGTTAAAAATTTATTTTGCTTTTAAAAATTACTTCATTTAAATATTTATTATGGCTATTTATTTTTAGCTTTCTTACAAGTCTTAGTTTTTACTGTGGTTGAATATATGGATAACTTCCAGTTTTAGAAAGCATTTGTGTAAATTACTAGCAAATACAACTGACAATAATGATCTTCTCATTTTATTTGAGAAACCTGAGTTCTAAATCATAATTTTTTATGGCTTTCCTAGTGAAATTTCTATCAAAATAAATATAGACTGGAAAGAAGAACACTATTTCCTGCTAAATATAATACATAATCCTTTAAAAGACAGGGATTTATATAATATTGGGGCTAGATGAAATGAAGTGACTCATCTAGTATTTAATTTTTTAAAAGTTTTTTGATACATAATATTTGTACATATTTATAGGGTACACGTGATGTTTTGTTACATGCATACAATGCGTAATGAGCAAGTGAAGGTAGTTAAGGTATCTACCACCTTGAGTGTTTACCAGTTCTATGTGTTGGGACCATTTCAAGTCCTGTCTTCTACATATATACATATATATATATATATATATATGTGTGTAGTTTTATATATGTACATATATAACAAATATATATATATAACATATGTTATATATATATATTTTTTGAGATGGAGTTTCTTGTTCCCCAGGCTGGAGTGCAATGGCATGATCTCGGCTCACTGCAACCTCCACCTGCCAGGTTCAAGTAATTCTCCTGCCTCAGCCTTCTGAGTAGCTGGGATTACAGGCATGCGCCACCATGCCCGGCTAATTTTTTTTTTTTCCTTTTTTTTGAGACGGAGTCTTGCTCTGTCGCCCAAGCTGGAGTGCAGTGGTGTGATCCTGGCTCACTGCAACCTCCGCCTCCTGAGTTCAAGCAATTCTCCTGCCTTAGCCTCCCAGGTAGCTGGGACTACAAGCATGTGCCACCACGCCTGCCTAATTTTTTTGTATTTTTTGTAGAGATGGGGTTTCACCATGCTGGGGTCTGAAACTCCTGACCTCAAGTGATCCGCCTGACTCAGCCTCCCAAAGTGCTGGGATTACAGGCATGAGCCACCGTGCCCGGCCCCTTCTACCTATTTTAAAATATATAATACGTCATTAACTAAAGTCATCCTACTCCACTATCAAACATTAGAATTTACTCCTTCCATCTGTTTGTACCAACTAACCAATCTGTCTTCATTCCCCATCCCCACCCACCTGCTTCACACACACACCCTTCCCAGCCTCTGGTGACCATCATTGTTCTCTCTACCTCTATGAGATCAGCTGTTTTAGCTACCGTATATGAGTACGAACATGTGATATTTTTCTTTGCTTGGATTATTTCACTTATAATGACCTGCAGTTCCATCCATGTTGCTGCAAACGTCAGGATTTCATTCTTTTTATGGCTGAATACTATTCATTGTGTATATATACATCACATTTTCTTTATCCACTCATCCACTGATGGACGTTTAGGTTGATTCCTTAGCTTTGCTATTGTGAATAGTGCTGCAATAAACATAGGGGTGCAGGTATCATTTTCCTATACTAATTTCCTTTCCTTTCGAAAAATACCCAGTAATGAGATTGCTAGATTGTATGGTAGTTCTATTTTCAGTTTCTTGAAAAATCTCTACAATGTTTTCCATAATGACTGTATGAATTTACATTCCCACCAACAGTGTATGAACTCCCTTTTCTCTGCATCCTTGCCAACATCTGTTATTTTTTGCCTTTTTGATAATAGTCATTCTAACTGGAGTAAGATGATAGGCTAAATTAGGAGTTCATCAAAGGATCAAATTGCTTCTTTTCCTCAAAACATGTGCAGACAAATTAAAAACAACAATAGCCACAGCAATAACAGGTAAAATTGGAGCTGTTCTGGCTGGGGTGTGGGTGGGGGATGGGGACCCTAGTGGCACCTGCTTAGCCCTGAAGCACCTGCCCATTCTCCCAAGTGATTTTTAAACCATGGGACCAGCTTAGAGATCTCCACGGGCCCACCCACACAATGGCTAGTTATAGGAGTTCATTATAAAGTATTATTCAAAATTCCTAGGTGATAGATGTCCATGGTTCAAACTACCTTATTAAGAGCTTTAAGGGCCCAAATCCTCGAAGATGACATTGGAGAGGAGGGCTGTAGAGGGGTGAGGTATAGCTGTCTTAGGATCAGCCTTGTCTAACTTGCTGAGATGCTGATGGGCAGACTACCCTATAATCTGATGCACTATTTACTGTCTAGTGTTTAAGAGAAGACTGGGAAATTTGTTTTTGAGTATATTAGGCTTGAAAGGGTACATCACCAAGTTAAGGATACAATTGCTTTTTATGTCAGTTCATAGAAATATGTAAAAATGTTTGAATAGCAAAGCTGTAAGCTACTTTCCCCAAAAGCTGTTGCTTATTCTGTTTTTATAAAAGAGAACTTGAGTATTTTCAAGTGTGGTCCCTGGAACAGCGGCATCGGCATCTTCAGACACACTGACTCAGAATCTGCATTTTAATGGGATTCTTAGTCATTTGCATGCACAATAAGCAGGTGCTTCTCAAACTCCGCTGAGACTTTAAATCACAAGCTTATTATGCACAAGGGCCTGGGAAGTCTTGCTCTCAGTCCCAGCAATACAGTAAACTAGCAACAGAAAGCCATAGCAAGCAGGTATTCTACTTTGGAGAGATCAGTGCTGAACAAGTTCTTAATTGAACTGGATAGCAACGGCATCTTCGTTCACTTCCCTTCAACCCTGGATTTCAGGGTCCTGTCCAGTGTGCACAGTGCAAGGACACGGTCTTTCAGTCCCCCATTTCTTCCTCCCTGCTTGCCCCTTCCCCCTGCACCTCTGGTTCACATTACCATTAATTATCGCCTATGGCACTGCTTCCTCTAATAACATAAAGATGCCGTCTTCCCCACTGGACCATAAGCACTTTATAATTCCTTTCATTTTCTAAGAGCAATAGCAATGTCATGGCAACATCTAATCCCTGACTGTGAGATAGGGGTGGTGTTGGTGAGGTAATCAGGACAGGTGTTCTTGAGAAAGAAAACAATTCACTAGATGAAGGGAGAAACTAAGGAGCAGTGTTCTCGTCAGTGTTTCTCCCACTCTCATTTCCATGCAAGCCATCCAGGCATCTGCAGATTCTAATCCAGGAGGTTGGGATGGGGCCAGAAATTCTATAGTTCTTCCAAGATAGCAGGTAATGCTGATGCTATCAGACCAAGGACCACACTTTGAGTAGCAAATTCTAGGCAACATGAGGACAAGAATCTTGCTAGTATACTCACTGTTACATCAAGATGGTCTGTGCCTGCTCCAGAAAAGATGTCAATCAATTAGTAAGTGCTTATTGAATCAACACTATCTGAGATACCATGTTGAGTGTTTGAATTCTCATAATTTGCAAGATATAAAATATGCTAGTTTTAGCTATAAAATTAGAGCTAATACTACATGCATTGGGGCACAGGGAGGCTAAGTTACTTGCGCAGTCAGACAGTTAATGTGGCAAGTTATTTAGCAAATATTCCCCAAGGTCCCCTACATTTCCTGATTTCTCTTGCAGATAGTTGAAACTGTTGAACTAATTCCAGCTAATGGAATGTTGGGGGCATGGCATGTGTCACCTCCTGGCTAAGGCATTAAAGAGCCAGTGTTCCTTTCTCCTGCCCTATCTTCCTTGTTCTGCGTTCTGCCATCTGAAGCATGTGGCCCCCAAGGTGAGGTTGGCAGGAGTGCTGTCCAGCCTGTAGTGGACTTCACATGGGGATGCATAAACCTTTGCTGTATTTAACGTACTTCAAATTTTAGTTTTGTTATATTCTTCTGACTAATATGGGCTCAGTGTTGACATCAGGCAGCCCTTTGTACAATGAATGGCCAATGCTCTGAGGAATATTTGAAGACTTGTAAGGTTTAGCAATAGCAGCAGCAGACACCATTCTTTGCAACTTGGTCAATGTGCATTCTATAACAAGCACCATTTGCTTTCTAGCTGTCTTTTTTACATAAGGACATGTTTCTAAGCACAGTTAGGGTGGGGAAAACCATGCTTTTAGAGATTTCGTGAGCTGCATTCATTAACTGAATAAAACATTATTTTGGAACAGTATTAATGCATACCTACCCAAATATTTCACTTTACAACCTATGTAATATACAACTCAAATAACAGATGGAGGATGTAGGTTATGCACACAATGGCTGCTGTGGTCTGAATGTTTGTGTCCTCTCAAAATGTATATGTTGAAACCTAATCTCCAATGTGATGATATTAACAGGGGATGCCTCTGGGCAGTGATTAAGTCAAGAGGGTAAAGCCCTCATGCATGGGATTAGTGCCCTTATAAAGAGACTTTAGAGAGCTCATTCATTCCTTCTACCATGTGAGAATTCAGTGAGAAGGTGCCTTCTATGAGCCAGAAAGTGGGCCCTCACTAGACACTGAATCTGCCTACGCCTTGATTTTAGACTTTCCAGTCTTAAATTTCTGTTATGAGCTACCCAGTCTATGGTATTTTGTTATTGCAGCTGGAGCAGGAGGCTAAGGTAATGGCATATAGATCTGTGTGTCCCACACAATAATAAAAGGTGCATCATCTGACTTGCATTTATATGCCAAAAGAACACGACTGTTATTTCTGTGTTTCTAGTGATAGTGAACTGAATACAGTAGAAAAATTAAAAATAGAAAACCTGAAAAAAAATCAATATAGCAATCAAATCAGAATTTGAGACTTTCCAAACCCTCCTTCCTGACCCCATTCATGTTTCTCCTTCTCTGTTAAAGACACCCACCCAAGATGTTTCCATTGGTGAGATGGCTTACCACTTCAAGTAGCAGTTAATTTCTATTCTCTGAAACAATTTACATCAAATACAGAAATACAGAAAGTGACCCAACTCACTCAATGGGAGTAGTAACATCTTGATAATGAAACACTGTAAGGACGTACTGAAAGGGGAAATTACAGAGCAATATCACTTACATAAACATTTCTATTAGATCTGCAAACTTAGCAGTACCATTTATACACACAGATCATGACAAGGTAGGGTTGATTCCAGGAGTATAAGGAGAAACATGAGAAAAATCTATTCAAGTATTTTTAAGAGATAAAACTCTTTTAAAAGAAACAAAAGTCACATAAACTTCATGTTAAAATTTTATGAAAAAAATCAAGCAATTTGGGAATAAAGGAAATTGCCTTAAGCTGAGCATCTTCCAAAAACCTATGACAAAAATTATGCTTAAATGAAATGGCAAAACTCTAAGAACCCTTTTGTCTCTTGCAGTATTGACTTATTTTAATCCCTAATCTTTTGTCTACCTAGAAAATACAGGGATACCCCCATCTTTATTTTTAATTTCATATTACATTGGTTAGGGCTTTTCTTAAAGTGTCCAAGAGAAGAGGTGATAGAAACATTCCTACTAGAGCTGTTTCCATTTCTCACGCATAGAAAGCCAATTGATTTTTTTTTAAATAATGAATTTATACTTTGAATGTTGTTGACCTCTCTCATTTGCAAATTATTTAACTCTCTTCCTTCTTCATGGCTTTAATTGATTTTGCAACCTGTAGGTTTTTTTTTTTTTTTTTTTTTGGGGAGACATCGAGTTTTTGCTCTTGTTGCCCAGGCTGGAGTGCAATGGTGCGATCTCAGTTCACGGCAACCTCCAGGGTTCAAGCGATTCTCCTGCCTCAGCCTCCTGAGTAGCTGGGATTACCGGCACGTGCCACCACTCCCAGGTAATTTTTTGTATTTTTAGTGGAGATGGGGTTTCTCCATGTTGGTCAGGCTGGGCTCGAACTCCCGACCTCAGGTGATCCGCCCGCCTCAGCCTCTCAAAGCGCTGGGATTACATGTGTGAGCCACTGTGCCTGCCCTGGTTTTAGTTTTTATTGCAAATGAGATCTTTTCCCCAAAATATAGGAAATAAATTGTAAAATGTTATTGGCCTGGCACAACTTTATTTCTATTACATTTACCAGACTAAATGGTAATAGCATGTTCCTATTGATGACGATTTTCCTCACATGCAACTAAAATGCCAATGTTATTCCAATAAAAATCTCAGCAGGGTTTGACAAGCATTTTAAAATGCATATGGGCTGGGTGCGGTGGCTCACGACTGTAATGCCAGTGCTTTGGGAAGCCGAGACAGGCAGATCACTTGAGGTCAAGAGCTCGAGACCAGCCCAGCCAATTTGGTAAAACCCCGTCTCCACTAAAAACACAAAAATTAGCTAGGTGTGGTGGCACGTGCCTGCTATCCTAGCTACTCGGGAGGCTGAGGCAGGAGAATTGCTTGAACCCGAGGTGCAGAGGTTGCAGTGAGCTGACTGCACCACTGTATTCCAACCTGGGAGACAGAATGAAACTGTCTCAAAAATAATAATAATAAATAAAAAATAAAATGCATATGGAAGAGCAAAGAATCAAGAATAGCCAAGGCCATTACTGCCATTTCTGCATCTTTATAATATCCACTATGGGAAGCCTTTCCATATTTTATATACCTGTAAACTGTAATATTAGAAATCATTTTGAAGAAGAGTCACAACAAACAGCATAATGCCACAGCACAGAGACCCAGGCATAGATCCACACAAATATGAAACCTGGATATACGGATGTAATGTGACAAATAGGAGGAAAAGCCTGGACTAACAGTGGGTTTTAGGACAAGTGAGTGAATAATCCACATGGAATTAACTTTTGTGAGAGTGTGGACTTAATATGACTTTGAAATTTTTTCATATAGAAAAAAAAATCTGGACCTAGATCCTTTTGAAAAAGATTTTTTAAAAAACCTGTAACTGACCACTTGTATAACAATATGGATTCCACTGTTGTATGAAAGTTTATTTTTAATACCAATTTAACATGAAAGACTATTTTCTTAAACTCAGGATAGGGAAAGATTTATTTTAAAAAAAAGTACAAGAAGCCCAATCCTAAAGAAAGTTTTTTTTTCTATGAATTTTTTTTTTTTTTTTTTTTGAGACACAGTCTCGCTCTGTCACCCAGGCTGGAGTGCAATGGCATGATCTCGGCTCACTGCAAGCTCCGCCTCCCGGGTTCACGCCATTCTCCTGCCTCAGCCTCCGTAGTGGCTGGGACTACAGGCACCCGCCACCACGCCCGGATAATTTTTTGTATTTTTAGTAGAGACGGGGTTTTATCGTGTTAGCCAGGATGGTCTTGATCTCCTGACCTCAGGTGATACGCCCGCCTCAGCCTCCCAAAGTGCTGGGATTACAGGCGTGAGCCACCGCACCTGGCCTTTCTATGAATTTTTAAGAGTACCCACATTTTCTTCTAAAAGTTTAAAATGAACAGTTCAATAGTAGACAAAGAATATAGAGTATACACAGAAAATTCAAATACCCAATAAACAGGCTATTCACAGGAAATTTAAATGTCCAATCAATATTTGCAAAGAGGTACTAGCTCATTAATTAGGAAAATGAAAACAAGACATTGTTTCAAGTTTAGTATTGCCAAATATTATCTTGAAATTCCCGTTTCTGCAGATCTTCAACTCCTATCAGGATGTTACCATTTCACAACTATCAGATTGGAAGTTGCTTTCCACATAGATAATTGACATTTATACTTCTCCAGTATGCACCATATGACCCAGTGTGTTTGACATCATTGGTGTTTATCAATACACTGGTTCTCTTGTTTTTCCTATGTGCAAAGATGGTGGTGCTGAATAGCCCTGTTAGGTTCTGTGAGCAGTTCTGGGCAGCTGGTTGTGAGTGGCATGCTGTGTGTTGTTTCTCACCGGTGCAATATCCTCTCCTCGTACTCCTCTCCTGTCTCAGTGATGGAGACACCCGAGTGATCCCGAGGGGCAGCTACAAGATGGGGCCCTCCATCAGCCTAGGTCCCTAACAGACTGTGGGGAGCTGAGCCCCTTATTGACCCATGGCGGACATGTAGCATGAATGAGAAATAAACATTTCTTTGGTTGAACAACTAGAATTGCCAAATAAATGAGTGCCAACCTCAAAAAGTCCCATGTGAACAGTTTCTCTAGGGTACAGACTTAGAAATAGAACTGCCAGGCATTAATACAGAACCTGGCACAGAATTGGCATTGCCTAAATGTGGGAGAGTGAAGTCTAGCCTAGCTTACCCTAGTTTCAGATATATAGAAAATAAAATCCAATGCTTCCCATCAAGGAGCTCAGAGAAGGATATAAATATTCACAATACAGCACAACTCCCCTTCTGCGCTGTTCAGTAGAGCAGCCACTAGGCATGTGAATGCTTGGAATGTGGCCAGGGTGGCTGAGGAACTACAATTTTAAAATTGAAGCAGTGTAAAATATCTTTCCATTAAAAACTTCAGGGTTTTGGTAGGGTTACTTTTGATTACAATAACTGAAAATTTAGCATTAAACTTGAAACATGCTGTATATATAAAATACATACCAGATTTCTGAAACTTGTTTTTTTTTGAAAAAGTGTGTAATGTCGCAGTAAATATTTTGCTGATTGAAGATAATATTCTAGACGTATTGGGACAAATTAAATATTTAATTTCATCTGATCTTTTTACTCTCTTAAAATGTGGCTAAAAATTGGCTTACACTACGTTTCTATTGGACAGCACTACCCTAGACTAAGTCTAGATCCTTAGCATGGCATCTCATCCCAGCAGTCTGATGGATGTGCAAACCTTAAAAAGCAACTCACACTGAGTGTAGCTGTGGCAACAAAAGACTCTACATATTACAAAGCAAAGGGCTTTGCAGATACCAGGGGCTATCAAGGTGCTCCTGCCAAAACACTATCCTACACATTACTTCATTTATCCTGTCACTTATTAACAAAATATAGGCCAGGTGCCATGGCTGACACCTGTAATCCCAGCACTTTGGGAGGCCAAGGTGGGCCAGTCACCTGAGGTTGGGAGTTTGAGACCAGCCTGATCAACATGGAGAAACCCCGTCTCTACTAAAAACACAAAATTAGCTGGGCATGGTGGCGCATGCCTGTAATCCCAGCTACTCAGGAGGCTGAGGCAGGAGAATCGCTTGAACCCAGGACGCAGAGGTTGCGGTGAGCCGAGATCGCGCCATTGTACTCCAGCCTGAGCAACAAGAGTGAAACTCCGTCTCAAAAACAAACAAAAAAATATAGTGATTGGAGGGCCTTCAAAATCAAGGTTAGAACACACAAATACTCAACACAGTTCTGCCCCTACTCCCTCATTTTGTTAGAAATGTATTCATTTCATGACATGTACCTACAAGTTAAGCTATTTTCTAAATGATGTGATAAATGAAGGCTCATAACATTTGAAATGAAAGGGCACCATGTAAACCTGGCCAATCAGGTGTTATTAATTTTCCTGAGCTTCAGTTTTAATATGTTTTCTATTACACAGTATACATTAGTGACAGCCACTTCCTAGCTTTACATGCTTGAAGTCAGTTTCCACCCATGTTTCCTATTTGACTCATCACACTACAGCTACCAGGTCCCTGGTACTCCATGCATAATACAGAGCCCCTTCAGTTTCCTCCTGCCTTATTTGACCTCCACTCTCCCCTAAATAACTACTGCCAAAGGTGACAATTAACGATCCTATAGGATTCAAAGATGACTCATTTTTTAACTCAAAATAAACTGAACAAATTGGTGAACTTAAGCAACTCACCTCCCTTTTCCTCAGATCTGCCAGTATTTGTCACAAGTCCAATTCTCTTCCTTTCCCTTATGACTCCTTGGGCCCTGGGAGTGAGATGAGGAAATTAAGTGCCTCTTTAAATATCCTCATACTCTTGCAACCCAAATATATGTGGACTCGGGTGCAAGAGATCATTTGGAGAGATGACATCAATAGTGCAAGTACACGTGGTCCAGGGGCTCATCACTGACTGGGAACTCTTCTACCCAAGACATGGAAGGCAGGTTAAAGGCCCACATACATTCTCTGCTGAGGCCCCTAACCATGGCAGGAAAATTGCCACTGCTGTCCAAACCAGCACCTCTTGTGAATCTGCAAGCAAAACAAAACAAAAACATAACCTGGCCTCATATTAGGGTCTGCAAGGTTAACCATCCCATCATTGCATCTAATTCAAAACATACCCTGGTAGAATTCAAAACACCTGTTACGTAGAATGACGCCTTGCCTTTGACTCAGAAATGTATAATACAAATAGGCTATGTAATAAAGTCACCTGCATAACGTTTGAAATCAAAGGGCAAAGAAAATTTTTGTTGCTTTATTTAACAAAATTTATGCCAACTCCTGTATCTATATACAAACATGTTTCAAAACCAGAGCAGCAGACACACAAACTGTTAACACAGGAATTACAATAATGCTTAAAACATGTTACACAATGTTTTGTTTCTGCTCATATAGACATTTACAGATTTAAAAATTATTCCAAAGGCCGAGCAACATCACATCTTCAACTTCTGAGATGGATTATATATAACATGTCCTAAAGAAAAAGGGATGGAGCTTGTGAGAAAATATATTTTGTTCAGTCTAGTTCAACAGACAGCAGGTGGCCCTTAATGAAGGCTTACAAGATGTTCTCGACTGGGGATACAAAATTGAATATAATATAGTCTATCAGAGTATACTTTGGGTCAGGTTTTTTTTTTTTAACTTTTACTGTATTTGCCTATATCCTAAATATAACAATCTCTCACTTCTGGTCCACCAAAGTAAGAAAACCTACTTTAAAAAATAAGTTGAAAATGATTTTATTGGCAGTATTAACAAAATGTAGTGATTGGAGGTCCTTCAAAATTAAGAACCCACACAAATACTCAACACAGGTCTGCCCCTACTCCCTTGTATTGTTAGAAATGTGTTTATTTCATAACATGTACCTACAGGTTAAGCTATCTTCTAAAGCTCTTTAGGGAGGACAGCTACTTTTTGCTTTCCCATTTTTGACTTCCAGAAACACTTTTAATTCCTTAAAAAGTATTCTAGTTCTGAAAATCCTAAAAAGCTTTGCTACATATTCTACTCACACAATTAAGCTCCATCAAAGTATGCAAGTTGTGTTTTTACTTATGCTTGAAAGTTGATGCTGCGAAGTGAAAATACTTCATGTTGACAGTTAACACTCTGACCTGATTCAAGGCCAATTCTCAGTCCAGCTTTTCAGGAAAAAGCACTATGTGGTGAGGAATAGGAGATAAAAAAGTGGCAAACAAAACAAAACAAAAAAAAACCACAGCCTTTTCTTCACTCCTCTCCTCTCTATATCTTGGGAGCTATTTTTCATGCCACAGGAGTACAATATATAACATGGATAAAACTTCGAATGCTCTACGTAGTGAAGTGGTACCAAAGATCTACTTCCTAAAAAGCACCAAATAAAAATGCAGTAATAAAATGATCCAAAGGGGTTTCTACTCACTTGTTCACATAAACCAGACCCCATCATTCCTGTGCTTTCATTTTCCAAAAGTGAGATTAGACCCTTATAAAAATGTACTTCCAAAATAAATTTCTAGAATATAAAAACGTTCTACATTTTTCCAGCCCATGTATCATTATAAAATAGGAAATCAGAAAATTAGCTACTGCAATTTTCATATGGTAAAAAATATTTTTATGTGTACACATACACATATATAAAAATGCAAGTTTTAAATTTCAATAAAAATTTACCAATTAACTTGATGATCATGTATTGAATTATACAAAAGAAATGTTGATTATCTGTAATGAGAACAAACTGCAAAGGATTGCAATTCCATCTACTGGAATCTAAGACTTTCCCATGTGAAAAAAAAAAAAAAAAATCAAAGTCTCCAATCGACTACCCAATAAACAATCACTGGTGTCTTTTTCAGGTGCAACAACTCTTTAGTTTCATTCACTGCACCCCACAAATCGCCTAAGACAGGAATAGCCCCTGGAGGGAGGGAAATGCAAGTTGGGGCTGCCTCGGGGTTGTGCCATCTGTGCTCTACCTGGAAGGTCAGCGCCCAGCTGCACAGGCAAGTGAAGACTAGAATCCTGTCTTAAGCACTGACCCAGCCACCTATCTGCCCAAGAGGCTGTGCTTGTGCAGGGGGTGGGCCTTTTTCTAAAGAACACAAATGTGTAGATAAATGACAGTCCTGACATCTGTTGGTAGAGAGGGGAGTGGAAGGAGTGTTCCTGGAGTTGCTTCCCTGAGAAAGCTGAGCAGCAGGGTAAGCATGAATGTGGTTAAGACAAATTAGAAACAGCGTTACTATCAATGAAAACTAGGGATCGTGTTCCTGTAACTTTAGCAAAAACAGTGGGAGGTCTCCATTTTGTTGATTCCTGCCATTTTCTAGTAATCGCATGAGGGAAAACCTTAAGGGGTCTCAAAGGCACAGAAAGGAAGAAACAGTGGGCAAGGAAGTTGTGCTAGTCCACAGGAGGGCCGGTTCAGAAGAAATGGCAAAGGGAGTCTAGTGTCCATGAATCAAAGGGATCAAGAAGAGAGAAGACAGCATCCACCCATGGTCTTTGGATGAATCCCAAATGAAAACTAAAGGGCATATGAAACCCTTTTCACAACTTTATGAGCCTACCTTGAACTGTGTTTGCGAGTTTTACCTATGTTGTAAGCCTGTTCCCTAGCATTTTAAATTGGTCACTTATGTTTCTGGGAGTGGTAAGGGCAAAGAGAAAATAGTTTTAGATATTTTCCTTTTGTAATCTCTTTTTGTCTTTGCAAAAAGGTACGTTCCCTTCCCATATGTCATAAACCAATGTATTTTAAAGAAAGCAAAAGCTAAGTATTTGAAAATGTTATCTTTCTTCTAACACTTGCTGTGAAAGGAGTAAATTCAGGCAAGCAGTTGAAAACATTCTTTAAAATGGCCAGTAAAAGCAAAACTCTTTGTGCTATACGGAACACTCGGGAGTATTACAAAACCAGGGAGGGAGTAAAAGAATGGCCATTTCTCTATAACCAAATTGAAGACAGTAAAGTAGAAAATATAATTTCCATTGTGCACCAAATACTCAGAACACAAATTAAAGCAAAAACAAAATGGATGTGCACACCAAAACAAAGGTTTTTCTGTAGCATTTATATGAAGAGCATGTGTAAAACATTCTCAATCTGCCCCTCTGAATGGATTATGAAAGATCAGTATGTACTCAGAAAACGGGGTGCTAAACAAAGAAAAGTCTCAGATCCCACTGAAAATCTGTTCAGTTTCACAGGCTCTCTCCAGAAAAATGCATATGTACCAATTTGCATGTACAATTTCAGAGCCTTCAAATACATTCTGGGGTCCAATCACATACTTCAGGTTCAGACTCCTAGCTCCCAATATTCCTACAGTTCTGAAGAATTAGCAGTCCTCTCATTTCTACAGTCTGTATTTCTTCTACTGAATCTTGGTGGAGGGACTCCAAACCAGAATAAACTAAAAGATAACTTGCTTTAAAGAGTAACTGTTTACTTATTTGCCCTTGGAGGAAAGAACATCCCAATCTCTAGTTGCTTCTATCAAATGCCGTTGGCCATGACTCATCCACTCTTCCTGGTCTTCATACAGTCGCCCACAAAACCAGCACTTAAATACACACTGTGAAGAATCATCAGGCAAGGAATCCACTACCTGGTAGTTGTTTTTATGAACTTTTTTGAGTTTCATTTTCAACATCATTTGCCTTTTAATTTGACTGGCTTCTTCCGCATTCTGGTAGGTCAGGCGTACATGATGCCGTCTGATGCCTAGCTGACACCTAGTCCTCTCTGATAAAACAACTTTGAGGACATTGCCTTTGTATTTATTTATTACCTTCATCACATTGGTCACTTCTGGCGAGTCCACATCAGGGTGGTTTAACACAATGACTGGCTGGTTCCGACGGGGACACTTAATCAACTGATCTGGCTTAGCTGCTATCAGTCTTAGTTGCCTTGCAACCTGAAAAATTGAAGGATCCTTGAGACAGCGGCTAGGTTCAGCTTGAATTTTGTTTTTCTTCCTGGATAAGTGTACTTGTTTGGTTTTATTTCTACTTATAGAAAGACTTCTGGAAAGCAGTCTCCCTTGCTTATTTAATTCACTGCTTCCTTGCTGTCCATACAAGAGGCCAGTTTTTCTATGGATGGTGCTACAGACAGCACTCTCTTTTCTCAGTTTAGGCCGCAGAGGTGTCTCGATATTTGGGGACATATCTATTGGCCCCCTTTCACTTCTTAAAGGCTGTAAGTCTGAGTCCGCCTGTCTCACAGGGCAAAATGGAACTGGTTTTATTAACTGTCTTTCACTGCAAGGTATGCTGACAGGTGCTTCACATGTAGCCTCTATGATGTGGGCATTCTCAGAGGAATTAAGAACCCTCAACACAGCCCCTTTGGGGATTAACACTGGCGTGGCAACATGAGCCTTCCTGGCCACTCTGCTTTTGGTTTTCCTATTACTGCCATCTGCAAAGTGTGGATATATTTGTTGATGAGTAAGCTGTCTATTACCAGTAATACCACCATCATTCGGAGGTTTCTGAAGAGTACCTGTGGAATGGCCAAGACCAGTGAGTGACACGTTGATTTCTTGAATACCTTCAGAGGTAGCTTTTGAAGTTCCCTTTGATGCCTGCCCTACAGAGCGACGATGTGCACTATTTGAAGCCAAAGATGACGGCTTCCCACAGGACTCAATTAACTGAGCTATCTTTCTGCGCAACAGTTCAATTGACTTTATTTTAGACGTTGAGCTATTCCACTTAATGCCCTCGGGGACATTTTCAGATCCAGAGCTCAGAGAAAATACTGATGAGATGACTGGGCCATCATTAGTGTTGTTAGTCCTTTCAGAATTCTTTAATTCCAAAGGCTTATCCCCAGGCTGTTGAGATCTATCTTCTCCAGTTATGTTTATATGTAAATACTCACTCTTATGTTGAGAGGAAATCTGGCCTACAGTTGAAACTGCCTTGTGTTCCTCTGTCTGGTTATCTTCCTGCTTCCTATTAGAGGAAACCACTTTTACAGGAATATTGACTTTACTTGTAGATTCCAAGTCATTTTCACTTACAGGCAATAAGCCCTTTTCTCCAGAGAAGGAACAGGTTGCAGGTGATGCAGCAAATGGGAGTAACTGCTGTGAGCTACTGTGTAAATTTCTTCCACTTTCAGCAAAACAAACAGCAGCTTTATATGGAAAAGGGTTTGATGCAGCTCCAAGACTACGTAAAACACTGTTTTTAAATACAGATGCTAGAGAATGACCTTTTAAGGCAACGGAAGGAAAAGCAGTTCTATGTGGATACAAATTATTTTTTTTCTGAAAATCCTCAATTGTTTCCGAATTAATGAAGGATTTTCCATTGTTGTGCACACTAGAATTTGGCATAATAAAATCATAAGACCTTACCCATTTCACATTTTTAAGCTGTTTCTGAACTGAAGGTTGAAAACTATCAATGCCTACGAGTTTTCCAACATTCCCGTCAACTGTCAGTGACTTTGTTTTTTCTGCAGAAAGTACTTTTTCTTGTTCATTTGAACCCTTCTCTTTCACCATACGTTCAGAATTACCTCCATTATCCCTCCCAGCTTCAAGGCAATTATTTTCTTCCAGCGGAAACAGTTTCAGAACAAGCTGCTGTGTACCATTGACAACCTTCACATCTATCAACTGGGCTAAACAGTTTGCAGGGACAACTAGTTCTGCTGGTGCAACAACTGTCAATGGCATACCTGGCTGAACAGGTTCTTTTGCAGGGGATAACACTTCTACTTCAACATTTTTGTTCTCAAATAGGTTGACTTCATTTGGCTCAGACAGGGTCATTTTATTTGGAATACAAACTACATCTTTTTGGTATTCCTTTGGTTCAGGTAACAACATGATATTGTGCATTTTGTCTTTATTTGCATGGAGAGAGAAACCTGACAGTTGGTCTGACCACTTATTTTGAAATGTAGTCCGTGGATTGGAAGCTTTTAGAAGCTCTGGGTTTTGTTTTGAAGTTCCGGTTCTTTTTGGCTCCAGCTTGGCAACAGCTTTGACTGGCCGTTTCGCACCTGCCCTTTCATGTACTCTCTTCGTGTGTTTGACAATATAATCATTTCTAATAGCACCATAGTCACAATACTCACACTGATAAGGAAATATGCCTGTGTGTTTCACCAAATGCCTCTGAAACTCTCCTTTCGTATACGAAATGTAGCTGCAGTGAGAACAAATGAATTTAATCTCCTCGTGTTGAAGGGTGTGCTTTTTGTACTGCAGCGGGTCCTTTGTAGAGAATCGACATTTATCACAATAGTATTTGCCTGGCTTAAAGTTCCTTACCTTAAATTTGCTATTGACAGAACTTGAGAAGTTTTCAGTTTTATTTCCAACATGAGTCGCACTGGAATTATTGCTCACAAAATGAAAATTGGGAGGAGCTGCACCGAGGCTGCACTGGAAGCAGACATACATACCGTCCTTCCCTGTACCCTTCTGCAAATCTTGAAGAGAGATCTTGTGAACACTTTTGCACTTTGCACATGTAGCAATGGTCATCATGGCAGCCTCTGCCTCTGAGCCTTGATACAAAAGGGTTTGTGCTTCTTGTCTATTTGGCCGAGGTGCTCCATTAGCATCAGGCTGTTTGGGTGACATGGTCAAGGAATTATGTCCGCCGTTCAAGTGTGTAGTGTATAGCTGCTGTCCAATATCCTTCATCTTATCTGCATTTCTAAAAAGAGCCAACTAAAATTCAGAAAGTTTTCACATGATAAAATCCTTAGGAGATATCCTTCTATACAGTTTGTGATGGGTAGGGGCGCAGCTACTTCTTGGGTGCATACTTAATTATCTTTCTTTATATACTGCCGCAGTAGGTGCATGATCCCAAAATATGACTGCTTTCAGCTCTCTGACATTCCAGGTAACACTAAAGGAAAACAAAATTATAAAGCATGATTAATATAAGAGTTTGGCTAAGCTATTAACAAACTTATCCTATATTTTAATGGCCTTGGACATTTTATGGTAAATCTCAACGTATGATTTTAGACGCATGTTATAACAATAACACAACAGAGTTGGCAAGTAAGCCTAAATTGAAAACATTTTCAAACTCAGCCCCCTATAAATGACCACTTTAGCCAAATCATGAATGAACACAGATATACCAGGAACAAGGACATCATAGCAGCCATTCAGGACAGCCTTTGGTCAGGGAAAGTCATTTTCAAGTGTCAGTGAGCACATCTTTCATAGGTATAATTTCATATTACCTTCACAAAAATGTTATACAGGACACTGTCAGTTCAATTTTTGAACAAGTTAGTTATCAAGTGGTAGAGCTAGGGCTTTGGCCTGGGGTGTTCACATTTGTTTCTACATTATAGCTTATTATCAGCTTGAATACCAACTCTCTCACTTACATGCTTAATTTGCCTTCATGAGTGCTAAGAAGCCCATAATACTGACAATGTTAGCAAGCCTGCTGCAGCATCTTATTGGGAATCTACTATGTGCTGGGCATTATTCAAAAGTGCTGTAAGGTAGTGAATGAAAGCAAATCAGTCCCTCTCCTGGTGATGCACACACTGCACAGGGGGAAACAGATTACATATTTGCCAATGGTGGTAAGATACTTGGGAAAAAAGCAAGGCCAACAGGACAGGGAAGACCACGGTGATGAGGTTGCGGGGCTGGGTGTGGAGGTGAGGAGAGTCAGGAGAGGCCTCATGCTAAGTTCATGTCTGAGCAGAGACCTGGGGGCAACCACAGTGAGCATTGTGGCTGCTGGAAAAGGGGTGTTTCAAGCACAGAAAAGGCAATGATCTGTGGGAAGTGGGCCTGCTGCTCATGAGGAACAGCAAGGAGAATGGGGAACGGGACATGTTCTAGGAAAGACAATAACCCAGTATTGTACGGACATGGCAGAGGAGAGGCTGGAGCAGAAAGGAGATCACGGATGGCCTGGCCTGGGACACAAGAGGTGACGAAGGTTTTCTAGAGCAAGTAAGCACTCCAATATACACAGAGTGACCTTTTTTTTTTTTTTTTTTTGAGACAGTGTTTCACTCTTGTTGCCCAGGCTGGAGTGCAATGGTGCAATCTTGGCTCACTGCAACCTCTGCCTCCAGGGTTCAAGCAATTCTCCTGCCTCAGCCTCCCGAGTAGCTGGGATTACAGGTTTGCACCACCATGCCCAGCTAATTTTGTATTTTTAGTAGAGACAGGGTTTCTCCATGTTGGCCAGGCTGGTCTTTAACCCCTGACCTCAGGTGATCTGCCTGCCTCAGCCTCCCAAAGTGCTGGGATTACAGGCGTGAGCCACCGCACCTGGCCACAGTGACTCTTTTATACAATCTTTAAAGACACTTATTTTCCCAGAATATGGCAAACTAGGAGCATAACAAAATCCATTCTAGTTTGGAATCTGCTAAAAGCCTTTCTTTCATGACTTAAGAAAGTCACTTAGATCTTCTGAACCTCAGTTTTTCATCTAGCAACTAGAATTAGGAACAATTATCCAATTCCTCCCAGAGCCGCCATGATGATTAGAATGCTAGAGTATAAGAACACTAGAGTATAAGAGAAGACTTTTGAAATTTTTGAGTCCTTCTCCAAGTGTCAAGAGGCACCCAGAGGGACTCAGTCAGTGTTTGTTCAATGACAATGATGGGTGGCAACACAGGTAGCTTCCTTCTGGCACAATGCTAACAGGCCAAGAGCCATATAAAGGTAGTCTGAAAGACCGACGTCGGGGAGTTTAAAAAAGCCCCTCCACAGGGGCTCAAGAGATGCAACAGTAACGCACTCAGATCTGGTGTAAAACCTGCCCTTTGGAAAGCACCAAAATAACACATCATATCTGATGACAAGCTGTATTTTCTTTGGCAGTGTCGTCTTTTCCTACTCTACTTTTGCGAAAGATAGTCACCTTCTTCAAAAGCAATTTCCAGCATGAAATCAAGCCCTCAGTCAGACTTGCTCTATCTTAAGTATGCATACAACACTTAGACATCAAGCAGATGGAGGCCTGCAGGGTTGCAGTGGGGGGCTGGAGAAACATCTGTCCCCTCAATGTTCAAACACATACCTGTGTAAGGGGACCATGATTTTGCACAGGACACATGAATGCCTCAAGCTGGCAAACAATACATGGGCAAAGATAAGGCCTTTTACATTACACTGCATTTCTGGAAGAGACAACACAACTTTCAGAGGAGTCATTATGAGAAGCTGGCACACACTTAAATTTCCAAATTTGCAGAGGCTTTAGTGAAGGAAGACAGAAGTAACTCCCAGGATTTCTGCTGCTCATCAAGTGACCTCAAGCAAGAACTTACCTGCATCTCTATTATCTATTAAAAAAAGGCCCATGACTTCTATGCCCAGTCCGACACTGCTGATCCTCGAAATCACACACTTTATCATCTAAAGAATGCTACCATCATCAATATAGTCATGTCAACATTGTTATCCAGATAAAACGGAAAAGCTGCAGCAGCAGCCAGAACCCAAGAAAACCAAAGCCTAAGGAATGAAAAGGCTTAAGACTGGTGATAAGGGGGATCTGGTCCAGCGTTCTCAACTTGGAAAAGCCTCAGAATCAGAGCAAAAATGGACAATTTCCCAGGCTTCATCTCAAAGCGAGTGAATCTAAGTCTCAGGAGAGAAGAAAGGAAAGGAGATTTTTGTGGCTTGTAAAGGCACCCTAGGTAATCCTGATGAAAAGCCAGCATTCCAAATTACTGGCTGAAGCTTCTGAGAATATTTAAATCCTTAAAACATCTTCTCCAATTGACCATGCAGCTGATAGTTTAATATCGCCATAAACAAAAAACCACTTCCCTCTATAGGCAGCCAATTTTATATTCACATAGTTCTCATTACCAACAATTTACCCTTAAATGAAACAGAAATCAGCTTTCCTATAAATTTCCTTGTTCTGCCTTGACTCTGGAGCAACAAAAATAAACTTAATTCCTCTTGGTCAACCAGTTACCAATCTGCACCTCTCTCATCCTCAGTTCTCAATTCTCTTCCAAAGATTTGCATATAAGTTGATATCTGTTTATGCTCTGATCTACCAGTCTTGTAATACTAGTGTGTGAGAAAGAAACCTGCCTGCCACAATTTGCTTACCAACTATTTGAACATAACACCCTCTATATTAGCCCTAAGAAATTCTCAACTAAGTCATGTGACAAGATTCCTCTATTTGAACAATCATCCAAACCAGGATTCCACTGGCTCATTTTCAGTGTTTCAGCCTCTTGCTCAGCCCCCAGGAGT
Source organism: Homo sapiens (assembly GCF_000001405.40). NCBI lineage: Eukaryota > Metazoa > Chordata > Mammalia > Primates > Hominidae > Homo > Homo sapiens. Next base: position 10,449,902 of record NC_000004.12, read on the forward strand.
CTTCAAAAATCCCAGAAGGCACTTTTGCCATTTTTCTCTCTAAGTCCTTTCAAAAGTTGGGGGCGGGAAGGTATCATTTATTCTAAAACTAAATACTTGAAAATCTGAGACAGACTGGGCAGTAAGATCACGTCCATCAGCAAGGAATGGAGAGCATCCCAGCCAAGGAAAGTCCCCAGAGAATACACAAGCCAGCCAGAACGCATGAGGAAGGCAGAGTCTTGGAGAGGCCTCTGCAAAACTTTCTCAGCAGTTATTTTGAATTAAGAATCCATAGGAGCAAGTGCCAATATGAAGCATGCAGCCATGATTATTAGCAAATGCAGTGTGATGGGGAAGGCAGGACATCTGGGCCATAAATGAATTATGTCACCTGTTTGAAAGTATCTTCTTGGCTTCTGAACTATGCTCAAGATAATGCAATGTTACTACATTGCCACATCCCTCTGTGCAAGTGAAAAAGATGTGAGGTTTCTTCATAACAAGTAGATGGGAGTTCTCTTTGGCCTTTGTAACCTGTGTCTAGTAACAGAGGGAAATGCATCTCAGATGTAATACTCCAAGACAAGGTAAATGGACACAGCCACATGGAAGAATGAAGATGGTTCTGATGTTGGTATTTACACGTGGACACTCCTGAGGGACAGCAGGCATATCTGTGTAAAAGCCTCTCAGCCCGTCCCTTCCACACAACGTCCTCCATGGTTCACATCCAAGTATACACACCTGTGAAGCTGAGTCCTCTTGGCAAGTTATGACTCTCTGGATGGATGACCAAGGAGTACAAAAAGACACCGGAGACAAAGCTGTGCATGGGTATGCTGGCACTGAAAGGGTACTCAATAAATTACTATTAACAGCAGGGTCAGTGTTTGCCTACCGTGCAAACTCTCAACATCTGTTGCAAAAGCCTCTGCATTTGGCGTCTTAGGACTTTCAGATAGCTTAGGAAAGGTCTCGAAAACACAGAAAAGAATACCATTAATTTTATGGTGCAATAAATAAGATGTCCATTTATTAATCTGCCTGTTTTCAAAAAATTATTTAGCAACATACAGTGAGTTTTCTAATGTAGAATAAGGTACAGCATGAGCCAAAGATGACTGCCACGCACCAAAGGCAAGAGGCACGGTGTGTCACAGATGTGCTCTCTGGACTGAGTCTTATCTTTCTTCAAAAGAAAGACCTGGAAATAGCCCTGAATGCATTCACTGTTGGTGGGTTTTCTTTTGATTTTGAGCTCACTTGCCCTGTTTTCTTAAAGACTTATTATGGGGACATAAAAACAAACAAAGTATCGAGTTTGGGAGAATCCACATCAGTGACATTGAGGGCTATAAAAAAACATAAAAGACTGTGTAAGTTCCTATTAAAAACGAAGCATTTGACTTCTAAATACTGGAAACATCTAATGCTCAATAAAATTTGAAGAGAAGTAAGTGGTAACATAGTGTTTAAAGGTAGAGATTCTGGAATCAGATTATAAAGTTTAAAATCCCAGCTCTATCACTTTCTAGATATACAACCTGGGTATACCCACTGTTTTGATTCCTTACCTGTAAAATGAGATAGAAACAGTACCTACCTACCCCACAGAGTTACTGTGAGGATTAAATGACTGACATATCATAACCTGTTAAAAATATTATTTTCCATTTTTTAATTTAAAAAAATACCAATCACATAGTCAGAGGGGCTAAAATACAGTTTTCTTAGCTGCCTAATTAACTGCTGTATTCAGAACATGCCCTGAATCTCACTTTATATTTTATTTGTTTGGTTATACCGCCCGAAAGATAATTTACCTCTGTGGCAAAACCACCCACCTAGCTTTAGTGCAAAGGGGCTAACAGCCATTTATAATTACCATAGAAAAGATGCTCCACTTACAAGAGTACTCACTACAATTTAGGTTTATATATAAACTAGTTACGAAACTACCTTTTCCTCACCCACTTCTCTCAAAGTTCAGCCAAATTGTGAAATATCCCTGTAGCAAATGAATGTGTTTCTGTGATAAATGTTAATGTGAAAAGGAAAGGTGGGTGGCCAATTATATCGCATACATGCTACATGGACCACCACATACATTTCTGTTCAGGAGATGCCCAGCAAGCTCAGTGTTAGTTGACTGTGACTGCATCGTTTTTGGATGTAGAAGCAAACTTAAGCAGCTCTTTTCAGGAATGCTGACCCCAAAGTCCGCCTTTGAATGTGGCTCTACCATACTCATTGCTGGGGCAGGGTATAGCTGCTGTACCCATGAAGATCACATGAAATGGAGTGGCAGGGTTTACAGTTCCAACTCTGATCCTGTCCCTCATTTGCAGGGTCCTTCAGCAAATAATTTTTCTCTGTGCATTGCCAAGCAAGGAATAATGCTTTACCGTAAGCAAACTTAAAGGGCGATCAGGAGATGCAAACTAGATAATGTATGCAAAGCATTAAGCCCAATGGCATAACCACTTACAAATTATATCTATATTCCTTCTGTCTCTTTCACCATAGCAAAGGCTTGTCTAGCTTTCCCAGTAACCAAATTTTTAAAACAATTCTACCCCAAAGTGCCCAGTGAACAATTAAAATCAATCAGGAAAAAAAAATCAACATTAGACATCAACTGCCAAAATTTCCCCAGTAGGATGATATTGAGGAAGAAACTGTTGCCTCAGAAACAGCTTTCTAAGACCATTAATATGAATGTGTGATGGGGAAGGCAGGACATCTGGGCCATAACTGAATTATGTCAGCTGTTTGAAAGCATCTTCTTGGCTTCTAAACTATGCTCAAAATAATGCAATGTTATTACATTGCATTATACTACAAAATGCTGGGTAAACAGATTTAAAAGAGGAAAAAAATCCATTAAGTGTCATAATCTTTTTGCCAAACTACCTTGCACTGAGATGACTGAATTGCAAATTGACTGCCATCCTGATGACGAAAAATACTTCCAAATGCTGCCGACAAATGTACCCATGCTTGGGATCCTAGATTTCCATCTGAAACCAAGTGTACTGCTTGGGCAGCAGAATGGACCAAGACAGCTGCAGGAGACAGCCTGATTCCTCTGCTTTTCCAGGTGAAAGCAGCTGAGTGTAACACAGTAGAGAATAATGACCTTGGGACAAGAAGAACAAGGTTCAAAACCTAGGTGTTTGGTTTACTAGCACATGATTTCAAACTTGTTAACCTATCTGAGCCTGAATGTTCTCACTTATAAAATGTGAATATTTCTCATTTATACAGCTGATGTGAGGACAAATGAGAAAAGGGTGTATGCAAGTGGGAGGTAACTTTATGCTTGGCAAAGAGTAGATGTTTCGTTAAGAAATCAGTCAATATATTTTTTTAAGATGGCTTCACAGGTAGAAGAGTCCAGTAATGTCCAGAGAAGCAGACACTGGTTAGCTTAACAAATGAATCTGATGAGGCAAAGGTCTGTATCAACATGAGTTCATTAGTCGGCAGGAAGTGAGGGTCTTCTCCCCACCCTGTCTACAGGGAGTATTTTGGAGATTGACTTGACACTGCTGTGCACATCAACTGAGTCTACATCAGGAAACAAAGGAAGTGATATTATAGGCTTTTTCTTAACATTTTAAGAAAAAAATATTTGTAAAAAAGAATTTAGAGTGCTTGATGTCTAAAACTTTGTATGTGAAAAAAAAATGTGAAAGAGCAAATATGCTCTTGTTAAGCATTAAAAATACATATATGGTAAAAATAAGGTAGTATCACACGGCATATTACAAAATTTTATGTCATGAAGCACATCAAATGACTCCGGGTCTCTGAAGGTGCTAAAAATGAGACGTATATTTTCACATTTCTTTTTTGCCTTAAAAATTTGCAGAAAGAAATGGATTCAGAGTTTAATAAAACAGTATAATCAAGCACAGAAAAAATATCTCCCATTAAACCAGTAGTTCTTAACCTTGGTTGCATTAGGGCAATTGGCCTGTCATGTGCCCGGGATATTATTTTTTAAAGGAGGTCCCTGGGACAGCTGGTCACCCCACTGCACACCAGAATTACTTGGAAGCTTCAAAAATAATGATGTCCCCCACCACCCGCAAGACTCCACTGTAACTGGGGAAGAGGTGGGGATACTGGGATCTTTAAAAGCTTCCCAGGTGATTCTCATATGCAGCTATGCAGCCAAGGCTGCAAACCACCTGATACTACAGGTGCAGGTGCACTTGGGAATGGCAATAGTAATATCGACATCCTTGTACAAGATTTTATATTCTTGTGGGTGCCTGGAGGTGGGGTGAGGCCACCACCCCTGGGCTGTCATGGGGCAAACAGACAAGCAGACTCAGGGTTCCACCCTTGCCTAGCCCTGTGACCTTGGAAACACCAATGATGCTCTCTGTAAGATGTATAATGAGGTATCTACTTTGTAGATTCTTAGAAATTTGAATGTTCCTGGCACAGTGCCTGGCATAGTGTGAGTACAATGAGCACTGCCCAGGACTGTTTTATCCCCACACCTGCTGTGGGCTGCTGTTTTTAAGGAGTCTAACAGAAGATGGAGATAAGTAAATGGGTATGATAAGTAGAGTAGTGAATGTTCTATCAATGATCTGATCAGAGTGCTCTCCCAGAGGCTGGCTGCTTGTCAATCACGGAGCACCTTGGCCCAAGTCAGATGGAAAGAGTGCCTGCATGAGCAGGTTCCTATGTTACCTCGAAACTTCTCAAAGCCAGCCTTCAGTTATCTGCTTCTTCCCTGATTAACAGGTCTGGAGAAGCTATATGGCTTTTTGAAGATCACAGAGTTGGTGAACAGCTGCAACTGGGTCCAATCTTACATTCTTTGTTTTCTGCTACCCTGCTGTGTGAAGCTGTGAAATGAAGCCATAGTCAGTATCTGCTGCCACTTGAGCACTGTTCTTACTTCCTGCCTGTAGCCTTGGAGTTGCAGATGTAAGTCAAAACCGTGGCAAGTCCCATGGGCTCTTCCTTCTCTTTCAGGCCTTCTCTTCTCAGGCGTGGACTGCCATGAGTTTCACAACCTCAGGCCCTGGTGTAGGCTTCTACATCAGAACCCTGGGCGTCAGCAAGGCGCTGCACAAAGAGGCCTGCAACAGAAGCCAAACACTTGGGTTTAAGTCCTGGACCGGCACAGCCTTGGTTTCTCAGAGTGTTGAAGATAAGGGGAATGAGCCCCAGAAGTGGTTCTCAAGCAGGGGTGTATGGCAAAGTCACCCACGGAACTTAAAAAGGATTCCCAGGACTCACATGCAACCTAGCAGATCAGGTTACCATTTCCTAGGGTGGGGCTCAGGCATATGGTTTAAAATTCTCCCTAGTTGATTTTGATGCCTCCCCACCCTCACCCTATGATGACAATGTTTAGACTGGCTGATCTGTAGCTGCTTTCACTCCAAGGATGAATCCTGGAAATTGCAGTTAGCTGAGTTTGCATAACAAAGAAAATGCAGTAGACAGCAGGCAGTTTGAGAACAATCATGATTGGGGAAACCCTCCCTGGTAAGGATCTTGTTTATCATGATCAATAGCGAAGGGTTTGGCCAAGGAAGGCACTCAATAAGGTTCGTACTGGTTGAAAGAATGAGTGAATGAATGAATGAAAGAGCAGGCTTCACAGAGACAAAAATAAAATGTTCTTTGTTCTTCCTTTTGCACAAAAACTGGCCCCGATGCCCTTACTTAAAGGCAAATAAATCTCTAGAGATCTAAATGGATTTTTTTAATTGCCATTTTGCATTTTTAAGATCTTCAGATCGGGTATAATACATCAGAAAGGAGTCCCAATAAATAAAGGAATGCCATCCTTTGTCTGCTCTTTTCAAATTGCATTTGCAATGAATGTTATCAGCATAGCAAACTGTCTACGCAAAAAAGTGTTATTTTTGAAGGCTAAATTTGATCCAAGATGAAAGTAACTTTTAAAAATTGCATCCTAGTTAAAGATATCAATATCACACAATTTTAAAAAAGAACTATTTGTATTCTACTCAAAGAGACAACAGTATATAACATTGGTTTCTAAAACAATATTTTCTGAACCCTTGGCTGTGTACTGACATCATATGCTGGGCTGAACTTTGCATATGTGACTCAAGAGAGAGAAAAGAGATGTATTCCCATCCTCAGTCTCTGCTCTACTGTAGAAGAGTACTGCAAGCTTCTAGAGACCCAGGTTTGTCTTAATTCTTGGTGATTTCAAGTCTAAACTTAAGATGGTTTAAAGAGTCTAACACAACATTAGAGTTTAGCTACGTAGATTTGTACTTTTAAATAGGACATAATGCTCTGTAGTTTTTTTTTTTAATGTTACGTTGATAAATCGTTCATTATTACAATTTTTAAAGTCAGAGGTATTGTAACGGGATACATTAACTACCCAACTTATAAAGACTTAAGTGTTTTCTCCCGTTCGCTCTTTTGGCTTTTCCTTTCTGGTTAAGAAACTTTCATTCTTTTGAACCCTGCAATTTCTTGGCTTTACAGAGCCCCAAACCCCAAAGACACCAAGATAAGACGGGCAGGCCGGTATGGGGAGGTCCCACAATGACATCAGCATTTGGAACAATTCAAACCTTCACCATCTCTTCTCAACCTCCTATGTCCTCGCCCCCCGTAAAAGATGCGCAGGACCTCGATGGACGAGCCCACCCCTGACCCTCTCAAGGAAAGACAATGCCAGGCTGGTTTTCGAGTTTATTGTCGGCACGCTCCCCCGATGGCAGGCAGCATCCGAGGCGAGCGCGCCTGAGCCTGGGCGCTCGGAGGACGAGGCCAGGTGCATCGGGCGCATCGTCGTCTCCCAGGCGCGTCCCGCTCGCCGCGAGGGAAGGCCGGGGTTCTTCCAACCGAAGAAAACCAAAACCGTCAACGCTCAGCTCCGAGGCCCGCAGGAGGCTTTAAAAATGGCCTCCTGACGACACTTCCTGCTCGGCGCGGACGGTAGGAGCCCTCGGAGGAGGCATCCTTCATAACGCTGGGGGCGGGGAGCGCAGGCCGGGCCAGCGGCGCCACACGAACGGCCCCGCGGGACGCTGCCACCCCCGCCTCGGTCGCCCCGGCGCGTCGGCCGAGTCCGCGGGGTCGCGGCGCACAAAGGCGAGCTGGGGGCGCCGGGCCGGACCCCGACCCTAGGCCAGGCCCGCGTACCTGCTCAACGCGCGCCAAGCCGCGGCCCGGGCCCCCACCCCAGCCGGTGCCCCACGCCCACCAGCCGGAGCCCGCGTTCGGCCTACCCGGTGCCACTTGCCACGACGCCAGCCCTCAGCGCGGGCACGCGGGGCCGCGGCCGCTCGACCCGCCCCGGCCTGGCCCCGTCAGGCCCCCGCCCCGCGCGCCCCCACGACCCGGCCGCAGCTGGCGCTTCGGTCACGTACACGCGGATCCGGGGGCCCTCGCCCTCCCGCTCAGCTACTTACCCGGCAGGCCGGATTCGGGTGCCAGGTCCCGGCGAAGGGGCGTCTACACCGCCGGCCGCAGACCGCCGGCGCCGCGCCCGCTGTAGGTCCCTACCCGGGGGGCGGAGCCCGCGCCAGCCCCGCGCGTGCGCAATGTGAAGCGGCGGCGCGGCTCCAGCGAGGCCGGCGCCTGAGGTCTCTAAGGCTGCGCCCGCCCCCGCCGGGCTTCTAAGCTGTCCAGAGCGGGGAGCCTCAGACCCAGCCGAGCCCCACTTCTGGGCTTAGAGCTTGACCCAACACGTTCGCACCGTAGCGAGCGAGGTCCACATTTAGCCATGCCGCAGGCAAAAGAAGGATTCGGCTTCGGTCCTGGCCCAGTCTGCCATCCCGGGGCGCCTGCCTTGTACCGGGTCCCGCGGAGGGCGGCCTTGGCGCCTGCCTCCCTGGAGCCTGCAGTCCTGCAGTGGGTGAGTGAAAGCGAGAGAAGAGGAGCTCAGGTCCTCAGCCTCCAAACTCGTCTTCTTGGAGAGCTTCAGTGAAGGAGATGGCCTTGAAGTCCTGGGTACAAATCCTGACTCTCCCTACTCCTTTACATCTTAGCTGCTGGACCTTGGCGAGAAAGTCCCCTGACCTCTCTCAGTGTCTTCATTTCTGAAGACGGGGAAGGTCGTATGTGAGGCGCAAAGCCTCCTCTAGCAGTTGGGCGTTGCGAGGGTCAGAGGGGACAATGACTGTGGGAGTCTGGAGAGGGTGTGAGCTCATTTAATGCCAGAGTTTCTTTCCTGCCTCCTGGACTTCGGTGCTATTTTGGGCGAGCCAACTGCCCTCTAGATACACCTGCATCTACGGTCCGGAAGGAAGACATATTTAGAATAGAGCCTCTAAGAGGAAAGAAGAAGACCATATTGCCAGGTCCCGCACAATCAGTGACTCCCCACAAAGTGAAACAGCTCTCCAGCAGGGGCAGGTTGAGGCATGGGAGCAGCGTCACTGGGAAGTACAGTTTCTTCGGGATGAACAGCTAAAGTTTATTTCAAAGCTCTGGAGGCGGGGGCGGGGCAAGGCTGGTTTCCATCACCTTCCTGTTGGCGGCCAAAGGTCGGCGTGCACGGACAGCGGCCAGTATGCTGCACGGAGGAGATGTGGGCCTGGGCAGTACTGCCACACGGAGAAGCGGAGTTGAAGAAGACAGGCTCAGCCACAAGTCCAGCAGCTGGGCAAAACCTCCACCACTAAAGTATCAGGAGCTGGGCAGAGAAAATAGCAGCCCAGAGAGCAAATCCTTCTTCCTGCCCTAGGCTGCAGTGCTCCTAACCTCGGTCCTGATCAGGGAGCTGCTAGGGTCCTGGTTTTCTATCTCCTAGGGCTCAGAAAAGCTAAGGAACCTCTTCTCAGAAAAACACATTTATGTGCAGATAGCACCTATCAGAGAGAATATGCCAGAGAGTTCAAAGTCTCCCTCAAGAGTAGGGTCAAGTTGGGAAAGGCATTGAGAATCCAAACTAGGAGCCACTGCCTGAAAATCTCTAGTGGCAAACAGAGCCACATCAGGAAAAACTATTAATTCTAAGTATTGGAGAATCTGAGGTCTAGACATTAGAAAATTGTCCTAAACTTTATAAGGAGAGGCAACTCTCCTTATAACTTCTACTCATGCATCACAGTTCTGCCCTCTTAAGTCACACAGAATTGATGTAAGGTACCTGTGGGTCTCCTGGGAGTTTTTCTGAAGTGAGAACTGGTTATAAATCCCAGTTCGGCCACATAGAAGTTGTGAGCCTGTCTGAACCTCAGTTTCTCATGTAAAATTCAGTGAAAAATAGGTCCTTCCTCCCAAGGGGGTTGTCAACATTAAACAAGAGAAAGCAAGTCAGGACTTATCACAGTCCCTGGCAGATAGAAGTGACTGTTAACTTACTCTTCAGTAGCCCAAATTCAGGGAGATGAAATGCTTTGTGGAGTGTCTGGAAATGGAGTGTTTACAGCCTGAAAAAGGGTCAAGGAAAAATAGAAACTACTTCAGCAGAAACCTTTAAGGCTGATGTCCCTAAAAGTCTTTTGATGCTTGCAAATGTGAATCATCACACGTTCCCTACACGTCTGCCCTTCATGTCTTCTTCTCCACCCCCCAGCTTAGTTTGCCTAAATTCCGTGGATCACTTCTGTCACGAGTTGAATTATGTTTCCCAGAAAAATACGTTGAAGCGCTAATATCCCCCACCCCCAACTTATGGATATGACCTTATTTGGAAACACGGTCTTTACAGATGTAAGACAAGGTCATTAGGGTGGGCCCTTATCCAATGTGAATGGTGTCCTTACAAGGGACACCATTCTGTGTCTCTGTGAAGAGACGCAGAGAAGAAAATGCCATGAGAAGACATGGAGACACACAGGGAGAAGAAGCCATGGACAGAGGCCGAGATTGGAGTACACAGCCACAAACCAACGGCTGTTGGAAGATGGAAAAGGCAGGGAGGATCCTCCCCTAGAGGGTTCAGAGGGAGCATGGCCCTGTGGACCCCTTGATTTCAGACTTCTGAGCCGACAGAACTGTGAGACAATACATGTTTGTTTGGTACAGCCACCCTAAGAAATCAATGCACCCTCCTAGTTATGACTACCTAATGTAGGAGAGAAGAAGGAAGACATGAACCAGTCCTTGAGTATAAGATTTGGGAGCCAACGTTCATTCATTCACTCATGCATTCAACAAAACATGTATTGGGCTGGGCGCAGTAGCTCATGCCTGTAATCCTAGCACTTTGGGAGGCCGAGGCGGGCAGATCACCTGAGGTCAGGAGTTCAAGAACAGCCTGGCCAACATGGTGAAGCCCCGCCTCTACTAAAAATACAAAAATTAACTGGGCGTGGTGGCGGGCGCCTGTAATCCCAGCTACTCAGGAGGCTGAGGCACGAGAATTGCTTGAACCCAAGAGACGGAGGGTGTAGTGAGCCAAGAACGAGCCACTGCACTCCAGCATGGGCAACAGGGCAAGACTCTGTCTCAAAAAAAAAAAAAAAAAAACCAAAAAAAAAAAAACCGACCATGTATGAATGCCCATTCAGTGCAGGCACAGGCTGGTGCTGAGGCTAGAGGAATGACGAACAGGGTAAGGCTCAGCCCTCAGGGAACATTCATTTCTGGACCACGAGCCTTACAAATGCAATGACGGGGACTTGGGAGATGAGCTGTAAGCCACGAGTAGGAAGCTGCCACAAGAAGATGGAGAACAGGGGAGAGGAGAGCATGTACAAAGGCCCTGAGGTGGGCGCTTTTGAGGAAGAAAAGGAAAGGCAGTGTGGATTTAGATCATTCTAGGCGTCTACAGACTCTGATCTTAGAGAGCCCTTCATCAAATTCTGCCAGTGGGGAGCTTGGGGCTCAGAGGAAGGCCTCCACGAGCTTTCCATGATCATCCTTTCTCTTGCTCTGAACTTCCTTCCATGCTTCATTACCCACTTTTATATTCTCTCTGGCCTCTACCGCTCCCGAATATTATATGACTTGACAAAAACAGCACTGTCCATTGGAAAAGGGCCAGGTCTTTAACACCCAGGTCAGAGCACAGACATGTCAATCTCAGACACTTCAAAACTTTATGCATGGACAGGAGATCCCAGAAAGTGGCTTTTTTTTCTTCTAAAACATTTCAGAAGTTTTTAGTAACTTCCTTGAGCCACAGTTTGCACATCTGTAAAGGAGGGATAAAGGCCCCCCAAGCTCTGATAAGACAACCCCGGTTCTCAAGCTTACCTCGCCTCACAGTCCTGGGGTGCAGGAGGTTAAGGATGTAGAGCCCGAATCCCGAACTCATTTGCCATCCTTCCAGCTGTGTGGCCTTGGCCAAGTTACTGCCAGTCTCTGAGACGTTTTCTCAACTGCAAAACAGGAGTAACTGGAGCAACCTTTCGTGGAGGGTGCCAGGCGCTGGAGCGTGGCTAAGGCAGGGACCACGTCCCAGCCGCCCTTTCCCGCCCTGCGGCGCAGGCCCACTCTCTTGGCTCTCCTGGCCCGCACACTCAGCTCGGCCGCCGCGGCTGCCGCGGAAGCGCGCAGTGAGGCTAGTGGGGCCACGAGCGGCGCGCTGAGCATGCGCGCCCGATAGAGCCTCGAGATGCGCCGGGCCGCGCTGCGCTGCAGTACCGCCCGCGGCCTGCAGTGTCGCTGCGAGCCCGGCTGGCCCAGCTCGGCGTGTAGAGCTCTACCCCGCGCGGCGGGCGGTGCAGCCCCGCGCTCACCTGGGCGTCTTCGCTCCCGCTCGCCCCGCGCTTCCGAAAATCGGGAATGTAATGTTTTGTTTTTACATTCCAATTTGCTCCCTCCCCAGGCTGGCGTGGAATCCGAGGGTTCCTGATGACTGCAGCTCCTCGCCCCTCCCGCTGTGTTCCCGCCGCCTCTGGGCTGAAAGCGCCATCAGGACCCGTGGCGCGTGGGCTTTGTTAAGTCATTAACTGCTTGGGACATAGCAGGAGCATGGTGCGCGGCACAGAACAGGCTTGGCTTCCACGGCCCATCCAGGCGGAGCCGTCAGCGTCCCTTGCCTAGACCAGAGCTCTGGAAAGCGGAGAGGCGGACAGGGGCCGTTCCCCAGATCTGTTCCGGAGGATGCAGATCAGAACCAGAGAGGGTGCATTTAGAAACTCATTGCAACCTGACAAAGTTGCAGCGTTGTAGCGCGGGGTCAGCAACAGGAATTCGGGTTGGGTGGAGTCGGACTCAGGGAGTGGTCGCTTGTGCGCAGAACTGCGTAGACTCGAGTAGGTTCGAAAAGGATAGGCCTGGGGGCAAGACCTAGTCCTTCACCACAGGTAAATCTAGGCGTCCGCGAGGGTCTCCTGGCTCATTTTCCTGCATCCACTGGCCTCCCACCACACTGCGACATCCAGAGTGGTCGTTACACAAAGCAAACTGAATTAAGTCATTCCCCTGCTCCAGAGTCCTTGCAGCCTCCGGCCCTACAGGATGCGCCCCTGCCTGCCTGCCAGGTCGTCTTATACCCTCTCCGCATGGTCTTGCAAAACTGACTCCGCTATGCACCGCTGATGCACCAGGCTTCTCCCGGGAAAGACCTTTGCACGAATTATGCCTGCCTGGGGTATCTCTTTCCCCTCTCAACTCAAAAATCACCTTCTCAGAGGCCTTTCTAACCATTTCAGTACTCCTCATTCTGTCACATCCCTGTGTTTTATGTTCTTCATAATGAACTGAAACTGTTTGTTGTATGTTTTGTTGGGTCTTTTCATTTTCCCCTACTTGGAAGTAAGCTACTGTCTTGTTCACCCTTAGATTCCCAGCGCCTAAGGCGGAGGCCTGACACTTATAAGCACCCATTATAGTTGAGTTCCCATTTATTAATTCAAGCAAAAACTGTGGTTTGGGTCACCAAAGCATGAAACCCCACTTGGAATCTTGGGGTTTGGATATTAGCACTTAACTATTCATCCACTCCTTCATCTCTAAGTTTTCTTCTCAGAGAAAATCATGGAAATAATGATAGTATCTGCCTCATGAGGTTTCCATGAGGATGAGATGAGTTACTTTTTGTAGAAGACTCTCATGTTGAGAGACATTTATGATTGCATCAGTTAGGATGGGCTGGGTTACACTACAGTAATAAAAAATCTCCCAAATCTCAGTAGCTTAGAAAGACAAAGGTTTCTTTTCACTTACACTAGATCTCCATCAGGGATTGGTTGAGTACTCCTTGCTATCTTTAGCCCAGAAACCAGACTTACCAAGCAGACACCAACTGATGTGTGGTCAGTTGTCAAGGCAGAGGGAAGAAGAGCTTCGCTTAACAGAGCACTGATTCTTAAGACTTCCGACCAGACGTGCAAATGACTTCCACTCTCGTTTAACTAGCCAAAGCAAGTCACATGCCCCCTCATAATTGCAAAGAACAGAGGAGTGCCATCCTACCATGTGCCTTGGAGAACTGGACATATTTTCTAGATGGTAACAGCTATTGTTACTATTCATTCTAGAAGTCTTCCAGTATACTGTGATGTCCACAAACATCATGAACAACAGAACTCAGGGAAGGCTGAGCTTATGTGGATATTCAGCATGGATTTTTTTTTTCCTGTTCTTGGACAGAGCCCAACATTCTTGCTTTATGTTGAAGGAGTGTGTTAGTGACAGGTCTCTTGGGGTTCACTTGTTCTCTCTTCACAAAATCTGGATGGCACTAGGTAGTACTAGATAGATGGTAAGGCCCATTGGAAGAAAAGTAGTCTATGTTGCTCTCCTTTTGTATACTGAGATTCTACTTCAATGACTGGCACAATATTTACTGAATCAATGACTATTTGGTAAGTATATCTTTTTTTTTTTTTTTTTTTTGAGATGGAGTCTTGCACTGTTGCCCAGACTGGAGTGCAGTGATGCGCTTTTGGCTCACTGCAACCTCTGCCTCCCAGGTTCAAATGATTCTCCTGCCTCAGTCTTCCGAGTAGCTGGGATTACAGGCGTCTGCCACCACACCCAGCTAATTGTTTTGTATTTTTAGTAGAGATGGGGTTTCACTATGTTGGCCAGGCTGGTCTCGAACTCCTGACCTCGTGATCTGCCCACCTTGGCCTCCCAAAGTGCTGGGATTATAGGCATGAGCCACCGCACCCGGCCGCAAGTATATTTTATCTTACTAGTAAGGGGATGACAGCCCTGAAAATTTATCTTTCCAGTTTATCCAGGAACCCTGTAAAGAAAAATGTAAATGATTCATTTATTTAGCAAATAAGCAGGTTGAGAACATTGTTACATCAACATCTGCCACTGGAATTTCTCTTGGGGAGAAACCATTTTTATTAAGAAAAATGAAATTCCAGAGCTTGCCTTGGAGACCTCACTTCCCAGACCTAAAGCAGAGTTTACTCCTTATTCAGAACAGCATAAGGAGAACAGCATTAGGAGAACAGCATAGCTCCCAGGAATTTTTCTTTTCTTTTCTTCAACTTTCACTTTAAGTTCTGGGGTACATGTGCAGGATGTGCAGGTTTGTTACACAGGTAAACGTGTACCATGGTGGTTTGCTGCACAGATCATCCCATCACCTAGGTGTTAAGCCCAGCATCCATTAACTATTCTTGCTGCTCTCCCTACCCCCATTGACAGACCCCAGTGTTTATTGTTCCCCACCATGTGTCCATGTGTTCCCATTATTCAGCTCCCACTTACAAGTGAGAATATGCGGTGTTTCGTTTTCGTTCCTGTGTTAGTTTGCTGAGGATAATGGCTTCCAACTCCATTCAAGTCCGTACAAAGGACATGATCTCATTTCTTTTTATGGCTGCATAGTATTCCATGTGTACATGTACCGCATTTTTTTTATGCAGCCTATCATTGATGGGCATTTGGGTTGATTCCATGTCTTTGCTATTGTGAAGAGTGCTGCAGTGAACATATGCCTGCATGTATCTTTATAACAGGATAATTTATATTCCTTTGGGTACATACCCAGTAATGGGATTGCTGGGTCAAATGACATTTCTGCCTCTAGGTCTTTGAGGAATCGCCACATTGTCTTCCACAATGGTTGAATTAATTTACACGCCCACCAACAGTGTAAAAGTGTTCCTATTTCTCCGCGATCTCACCAGCATCTGTTCTTTTTTGACTTTTTAATAATAGCCATTCTGACTGCCGTGAAATGGTTTCTCCTTGTGGTTTTGATTTGCATTTCTGTAATAATTAATGATGTTGAGCTTTTTTTCAGGTTTGTTGGCTAAGTGTATGTCTTCTTTTGAGAAGTGTCTTTTCTCGTCCTTTGCCCACTTTTTAATAAGGTTGTTTTCTTCTTGTAAATTTGTTTAAGTTCCTTGTAGATTCTGGATGATAGACCTTTGTCAGATGGATAGATCAGAAAAATTTTTTCCCCTTCTGTAGGTTGTCTGTTCACACTGATGATAATTTCTTTTGCTGTGCAGAAGCTCATTAGTTTAATTAGATCCCATTTGTCAATTTTTGCTTTCATTGCAATTGCTTTTGGCATTTTCGTCATGACATCTTTGCCTGTGCCTCTGTCCTGAATGGTATTGCCTAGATTTTCTTCTAGAGTTTTTATAGTTTTGGCTCCCTGGAATTTGAGGTTAGGAAAACTTGAGAGAAAAGTTCAGAGTAGAGAAAGCACCCTAAGGTGAAAGGTGTTCTAGATAAATTTCCAGAAGTTAGGTGGTCACAGACTTTTAAGAATGAGCAATATAATAAATTGTTTTTTCACTGTTTCTGTGACTCTTTAGGAAAAGTCTGATACATACAATGTAGTGATCGTAGTTATGTTGGAAGCTGCCAGGTTTTACCCAATATGCTTTCTCTTTTTTCTTAATGGAACCCCACTTTTAGCTAGATATATGGACGCCATGGGCCTTTAAGCCCCTTTTAGAAATACTCTGTGAAACGTTGCTAGACAACCCACCAAAACATATAATTAGTTTAAGGTTGCAGTAGTAGCCCAGTCTGGTAGTTGTTACCCTAAATCTGTCTCTCCTCTTTTTTCCTTAATTATGACCTTCCTACAATTTCTTACTGGGCACATAGCTGCTCAGAAAGAAAGACTGGGCAGGGCTGGGTGACTCACACCTGTAATCCCAACACTTTGGGAGGCTGAGGCAGGCGGATCACTTGAGGCCAGGAGTTCGAGACGAGCCTGGCCAACATGATGAAACCCCGACTCTACTAAAAATACGAAAATTAGCCGGGCATGGTGGCGCATGCCTGTAATCCCAGCTACCTGGGAGGCTGAGGCAGGAGAATTTCTTGAACCCAGGAGGTGGAGGTCCAAGCAATTCTCCTGCCTCAGCCTCCCAAGTAGCTGGGATTACAGGTGGGCACCACAACACCTGGCTAATTTTTGTATTTTTGGTAGAGGCGGGGATTCACCGTGTTGGCCAGGCTGGTCTTGAACTCCTGACCTCAAGTGATCTGCCTGTCTTGGCCTCCCAAAGTGCTAGGATTACAGGCATGAGTCACCACACCCGGCCTAGAAAATCTTAATAACAGAAAAATATAAGAAAAAGAATGCTATGCCCAAAATATGTCAAATATGTTATCTTTAGTTAAGACTGAGTACGTAAGTGACAGGGCCCCATGCAAAATGAATATGTGGAGTTCTTTTTTCGAAATATCATTAATCTTGTAAAGACATAGAGCATTAAACCAACCATGAGGTCCCTGTAAGTGTGGGGACTTGTGTGACTGCACAGATCACATGCCCTTGAAGCCAGCCCTGTCTTCAGTTAAGTCTTCTTATTGGAAAGCCAACTGCATTATTTCCTATGGCTGCTATAACAAATTACCACAAACGTGGTGGCTTTAAACAACACACATTTATTATCTTATAGATCTGGAGGCCAGAAGTCAAAATGAGCTAAAATCAAGGCGTTAGCGTAGTTGGCTCCTTCTGCAGGCTCTAGGGATGAGCCCATTCCTTGTGCCTTCCAGGTTCCCAAGGGAGCTGGCGTTCCTTGTCTCCTGGCTCCACATTGCATAGCCTTTTTTCCTTTGCTTTCTTTGTCGCATTGCCTTCTCTCTGACTCTGACTCCTGTACTCCTCTGTGTTAGTCCATTCTTGCATTGCTGTAAGGGAATACCTGAGGCTGGGTAATTTGTAAAGAAAATAGGTTTATTTGGCTCATAGTTCTGTAGGCTGTACAGGAAGCATGGCACCAGCATCGGCTTCTGGTGAGGCCTCAGGAAGTTTCCAATCATGGTGGAAGGCAAAGGGGAGTCAGCATGTCACATGGCAAGAGCTGGGGCAAGAGAGAGAGGAAGAGGTGCCAGGTTCCTTTAAACAATCAGATCTCATGTGAACTAACAGAGTGAGAACTCACTCATCACGGAGAGGATGGCACTAAACCATTGCTGAGGGATCTGCTCCCATGATCCAATACCTCCCACCAGGCCCCACCTCCAGCATTGGGGATTACATTTCAACATGAGATTTGGAGGAGACAAACATCCAAACTATATCACTCTTTTATGAAAACCCTCGTGATGACCTTAGGCCCACGTGGATAATGCAGATAATCTCCCCATTTTGACATCCTTAGCTTGATTACATCTGCAAAGTTCTTTTTGCTACATAAAATTCCAGAGATTAGGGCATGGAACTCTTTGGAGGGTCATTATTCAGCCTGCTATACCAATAGAACCCTCTTTTTAAATGCCCAACGTGCTTTTGCTTACCAAAGCAGCCAAGAGAGATAGCTCCATGAAATCATAGAGTTGGAAAGTACTTTAACTTCTCTAGACACGGGAAATTTCCGACTGAATAGCTCATGGTCATACAAACTATAAACTTGTTTCTAAAATGGAACTTTTTTTTCTGCCCACCCCACTAGTCCAGTCAACACTTGTGAATGCCCTATATCGGGATGTGTTTCAAAGATCTATTTATTTATGCAAGGCAGAAACTTAAGAGTCATCTTAAATTATTTCCTCTCCCTCATGTGCCACTTCCATTCTCACCCCTACTTCTGACGAATCACCAAGTATTATGTATAACCTCAAAAAATTTCTGTGATCTCTTTCATCCCACCATTGTCAAGTTTAGGTCTTCGTTATCTCTTCTACCAGTAGCCCTTCCTCTATTATCTCTCCATTCCAATACATCTTCTAAAGATCTGTAATGGAATATTCCTTACAGCACTGACTAAACACCAGAAAATTGGAAATACCTTAAATATCCAGAAATAGAGAACCATACTCATGGTATAGTCATAAAATGGAATCTCACACAGCACAGAAATGAATTAGATTATGCACCTCAAAACAGATATCAAAAATATGATGTTGAGTGAAAAGCAGGTTGCAGAATATGCATGCATTATAATTATAATTTTTTTGTTTTATCTTTTTTTGTTCTTCTCAAAAAAAATTTTTATTTTTTATTTTCTGCATGTATTATAATTATATATAGATTGATAGATACAATTATATATTGTTTGTTGTATTATATAATGTGTATGTATAATTAGAGTACTATTTTATGTGTTCAACTTTATACACACATATGTATATGTCTGTAATCACATACATGTATGTATATGTCTGTAATCACATATATGTATGTGATTATATATGTATGTGATATATACTTAAATAAGAGTACTATTTTCCTGTAATCCCAGCACTTTGGGAGACCGAGGCGGGTGGATCATCTGTGGTCAGGAGTTCGAGACCAGCCTAGCCAACATGGTGAAACCCCGCCTCTACTAAAAATACAAAAATTAGCTGGGCGTGGTAGCATGCGCCTGTAGTCCCAGCTACTCGGGAGGCTGAGGCAGGAGAATTGCTTGAACCTGGGAAGCAGGGGTTGCAGTGAGCTGAGATTGTGCCACTGCACTCCAGCCTGGGGGACAGAGAGAGACTCTGTCTCAAAAAAAAAAAAAAAGTACTATTTTACATTTCGCTATATGCACACATATCACATGTATATACTTATGTGTGTATGAAATTAACCACATAAAATAGTACTCTAAGGATAATACATATGTAGTAAAATACACAAATATTCATCAAAATGGTCATCACAAAATTCAGCATTGTGGTGTTCTCTAGGAAAGAAGGAGGACAATGTGGCCTAGCAGAAAGGCAGAGGTGACTTTAAGTATATCTTCATGTTTCTGTTTTATTTTGGAAGAAAAGGAGGAGATTTAAAGCAATATGGTAAGACATTCACATTATCTAAAGCTGGGTAAAGACTATGTGGATAATTGTTAAATGCTGTGACGATATTTTGAAATGCCTTATAGTCAAAAAGGGAATAGAGTGCCTCAAGAAGCATGAAATCCACATGCAGACTTTCAGGGATCTCTCAACATAAGTAGTGACTCCACCAAATCAACCCAAAGCAAAGCTTGCCAGTCATCGGGCGCTGCTATGTACCCTAATCTCCCACTGGCTTTTGATGTTCTCATTATACTATGCAGAAGTCAACCAAGGATCACCAGACATTTGAGGAAACACTCCCATTTGAAAGCCAGAGAACAAATGACCTCAGATGAAAAAGAAATCCTAAGTGGCATCCTCAGAAAGATTAGAGAATACAATGCATTCATAAAGTGCAAGATTCTATAGTAAAGGGACAACCAGAAGACAATGAGATAAAGAGTCATGGAAAGTATGTACATTTTGGAAGATAAAGTCAAAGAAATCTTCCAGAAAGTAAATAGAAATGGAAGAAAGGTAGAAAATATGAGAGAAGAGACTGAATGATGGAGAAGATAAATCCAGAAGTTTCAATACCTGAATAATAATATAGTCATGATGATGGTGATAGAAACAGATAGTGTAAAAAAAAAAGAACAAAAAGATTACAAAAACAAAGTCCAGAATTGAAGAGCATGAATCTCTGCATTGAAAGGCTGCATTTATTGCACAGAACAATAAATATGTATATATCCATATCTAGATACAGCATCACAAATGATAAAGACAAACTCTATAACAGTTTACTTATAAAGGAAAGAGAAACAGGCATCAGAATTTTCACCCACACTGAGCTAAGAAGACAACAGAGCTCTTCATTCAAAGGTTTGGAGAAATATTATTTTCAACCTAGAATAACCCACTGACCTAGTGTGATGAATGAAAAAGACATTTTCAGGCTGTAAGGCTTCAGAAAGCTTACCTCCTACACTACTATTTCTTAGTAAATTATTTGAGGTATTTTCTGGCAAAAATAAAGTAAGTAAATAAGCCAAGGGATTCTAGTATCCAGGATTTTAATACAGGAAAGAGAAAAGGCATGAGGGAAAATCATAGGATGACCCCTGGGGAGCAGGTATAGATACCCATGCCGATGACCACTGGAGGAAGAACATGTCTGCTGGTAATTTGCCGGTTGTGAGAGAACAAGAGGAGCCTTTTAGAATACTCTGTTTAATAAAGACATTGGAAAAATTTGAAAATATATTTCTGTTTAGTAATTAAGAAAAACCTGTATGTAGAAACTCCCCATGAAAATTAGAAATTCAACAATAGTTTCATATGCTTATGTTTGTTTATTTATTTATTTTTTGAGACAGAGTCTCGCTCTTGTCACCCAGGCTGGAATGCAATGGCGTGATCTCAACTCACTGCAACCTCTGCCTCCCGAGTTCAAGCGATTCTCCTGCCTCAGCCTCCCGAGTAGCTGGGACTACAGGCGCCTGCCACCATACCTGGCTAATTTTTTGTATTTTTAGTGGAGACTGGGTTTCGCCGTGTTGGCCAGGCTGGTCTCGAACTCCTGCCCTCAGATGATCTGTCCACCTCGGCCTCCCAAAGTGCTGGGATTACAGGCCTGAGCCACTGCACCCGGCCAGTTTCACATGCTTATAATCAAAATAATGTAACTACTTTGACTTCCACTTTTATAATCCACATAATGAAACAAGAGGCAATGATTCACTTATGCTAAAGAGCAGAATATGCATGTTCAGCCTTGAAGATGTAAAAGTAGAGAATACAGAGGCAAGAGATGGAAGGGAAGACGACTGAAGGAAAGGCACTGGGCGGAGGATTATCTTACAAAGCCAGGAGCAAAAGATGCTGTGTCTATAATGAAAAAAAGAAGTTAAAGTTTGAATATCTTATTTCAACTTGCAAAGGCAACCAAAAGAGAAAAACAAAGAGAAATAATTGTACAAAATAATTTCATGGAGGGGAAGTGATGATTCACATAAAAGAAGCAATTCTTTGTCTATTATAGCAGAATGGAGAATTTCTAAAATTGATAAATCAAAAAAAGAACATAAGAAAAAGATAGAGATAAGAAAAAGTGGTTTCTTATCTCTAGTTTTCATGACTTTATTTCTAAATGATAAAAAAGAATTTCATGCAGAGGTATTTGCAAACACTTCTCTGCAAATAAAACACTCTTGGTGTAGAGAGTCTTTACTTCCAAAAACCTCAAAGCCAAATTGGATAAAATGATAATATAGGATATAATTTCTCTTTGTATTTTTTAATTGCTGGAGAAATCTTGATCTGCTACATATGAATTTGGATCACATACCTGGAACTCCGGTAGCTAGAAAAGTTCACCTTGATGCTTGAAAATGCTGTAAATTGTCATTTTTTTACTTCCATTTTCTTGCATCAGTAATATCTTTGCCGTTTCATTTTGTCTGTTAGTCAGTATGGATATTCATTAAAAATAACTATAAAGAAGTAGTTCAAAACTCCATGCTGATCAACATGATGGTGGGGAGTAAATAGCACACCAGGTTAAGTGTCTGATTCTGCATATGCTTGTCTAATCACCACGAACCATGATATGCATGCAGAGCACTCAAAGCTTTTTTTTTTTTTTTTTTTTTGAGATAGTGTTTCGCTTTTGTTGCCCAGTCTGGAGTGCAGTGGCACCATCTCGGCTCACCGTAACCTCTGCCTCCCAGGTTCAAGCGATTCTCCTGCCTCAGCCTCCCAAGTAGCTAGGATTACAGGTGCCTGCCACCACACTCGGCTAATTTTTTGTATTTTTAGTAGAGTCGGGGTTTCATCGTATTGGCCAGGCTGGTCTCGAACTCCTGACCTTAGGTGATCCACCCGCCTCAGTCTCCCAAAGTGTTGGGATTACAGGCATGAGCCACCACAGCCGGCCTCAAAGCTCTTTTAAAGACAGCAAGAGGAGAAGATACATCACTCTTTACTCTGAGATTCAAATAAAAATCGTGAGAGCATCCCACTTGTAGTAGGAGATGCAATGGCCATCACTTTTTTTCTGGGAATTTTTGAAGGGGTTGGGTTGGGAGAGATAGAGTAATTCTTTTTCTTCTATAGACTTCTCACTGCAAATTTTTGCTTCTGCTAAATTATTTGAATTTGCAAGCCATCCAAAACATGCTGTTCTTTTTTTTTTTTGATGCGGAGTCTCACTGTGTCACCCAGACTGGATTGCAATGGTGTGGTCTCTGCTCACTGCAACCTCTGCTTCCCAGGTTCAAGCAACTCTCCCGCCTCAGCCTCCCGAGCAGCTGGGACTACAGGCACGTGCCACCACACCCAGCTAATTTTTGTATTTTTAGTACAGACAGGGTTTCACTATGTTGGCCAGGCTTGTCTCGGACTCCTGACCTTGTGATCCACCCTCCTCACCCTCCCAAAGTACTGGGATTATAGGCGTGAGCCACTGTGCCCGGCTGTGCTGTTCATTTTTCATACCATGTTAGCTCATGCTTTGCCTACTCCCATCCTTTTCATTCCCAAACAGTACTTCATCAGATCATGTTGAGTTTGGCTGTGAATAATATAAAACACAAAATAGCAGTGTATTTTCCTCTTCAATACATTAAGTTAGGGGTAAGGAAGGCAAGTGGGTATGGCAGCTCCATGATGAGGAAGACCCCAGGCTCCTTCTGCCTTGTTGCTCCACCATCCTCAGGAAGTGACCTGCACTTCATGGTCCATGATGGCTGTTCCAGCTCCACCTCCAGCTCCAGCCATGGCCCCTCATCCCTTTATTCCAGTCAATAGAATGGGGAAATGAGCAAAGAATTGCATGCCTTTTCTGATAAGGGCATTTTTGGATGCCATATGTACTCTAGATCTACTCATTTCCCGTTGACTAGAACATGGTCACATGATCACACTGAGCTACAAGCAAGACTAGACAATTCAGTTTCTCTCTTTTTTCTTTGTTTTTCTTTCTTTCTTTCTTTCTTTCTTTCTTTCTTTCTTTCTTTTTTTTTTTTTTTTTGGACAGAGTCTTTGCTCTGTAGCACTCTACCCTGGGCAACAGAGTGAGACTCCCTCTCAAAAAAAAAAAAAAAAAAGATTTTCTATATCAATGGGGAAATCTTTTTTTCTTTTTTATTTTTTGAGATGGAGTCTTGCTCTGTCGTCCAGGCTGGAGTGCAGTGGCATGATCTCTGCTTACTGCAACCTCTGCCTCCAAGGGGGAAATCTTTTTGAAAAACCTACGTCCCCACGCAGCTGAAGAAATTGCTTAGCTTCTCATATTGTATTGGATTTGGGCTCTGCCTTCATACTGGGAGGTATAAAGTGTGGGGAGTTAGAAACCACAGTCTTTAGAGCAGGGCTGCCACACTGCACAAGTCCAGGGGCTACCATTCATATGGGATGACAGGCATCACGTGGCAGAGCTGGGACTAATTTCTAGGTTTATCAAGTATGCTTTAGGACTTAGAAGCAAGGCAGTCTCCCTGTATTTTCGTGTCCACATCTCTAGAATGGAAAATAATCGTAGCTATTTTGCAAAGCCTTTGTATGAGTTGAAATGAATGGTTTCACTTCTAATGAATAGAAAACTCCACATTGGTTTAAACACTAAGGAAATGTATAGTCTCATCTCTCATGAGGTCCAGTGGAAAGGGAAACCTCAGGGTTGGTTAATCAGACACTTCAGACCACCATAAAAGTACAGCTCCTCTTGTCTGTGCTTGCCACCTTCTATGGTGGAACACTATTGTCCTCTGGCTAATGGCAGCAGCCCAGCCCTCCAGACAGTGCAACCCTCAAAAGGAAAAGAGCCTGACTTTGCCTGTGTGTAGTGAGAAACTTTCTGGAAGCTTAATATTTTTCTTCCTGTGCCTCTCTGTTTTTTTTTTTTTTTTTTTTGAGACAAGTCTCGGTTTGTCACCCAGGCTGGACTGCAACGGCACCATCTCGGCTCACTGCAACCTCTGCCTCCCAGGTTCAAGTGATTCTCCTAACTCAGTCTCCCGAGTAGCTGGGACCACAGGCATGCACCAACATGCCCAGCTAATTTTTGTATTTTTAATGGAGATAGGGTTTTACCATCTTGGCCAGGCTGGTCGCAGACTCCTGACCTCAGGTGATCCACCCACCTCAGCCTCCCAAAGTGCTGGGATTACAGGAGTGAGCCACCGCACCTGGCCTCTTTCCGTCTCTTTATAAAGAATGACAGCCTATGGTGGTGCTTCAGTCAGGCCCAGAACTGGCACCGTGTGCTGATGACCTGTGCAGTCACATGGATCCCGTGCTTGGAAGGATCTTGCACTTGGTTTAATGCTGCCGTCACTATCTTGACCTTCTTAATACCTTTCGAGCACAGGGCCCCCATTTTTATTTTGCACTGGACCTTGCAAATTCTATAGCTGGTCCTCGTCTGGACTTGCCCTTTGGGCCTGAGGATTGAGCCACCCTTTGAAGAACGTGACTCCATGAGGATACCTGAGAGGGTACCTGACTACAATGACAGCCATTTTCCTACACCTGTTGTGAGAATGGACATGGTCAGTTTCAACACAAGTTAGTTGACTTAAAGTTCAATGTTCAAGGGAGTCACTAGAGTGGGAGCATTGGGCAATTGAAAGGACTCACAAGACCCCAGAGGGTGTGCTCATTTAGAGCTTTAATATAGGCAAAAGATGGTAGAGCAGGACAAGGAAAGTGCAGAGAACTTGGAAACGTCCAGAAGCTTTACCTTTATTATTATTTTACTTTATCTTTAGATTGTGAACCGCCAAAGTCTGTGTGAGGTGCCTCGGTCTCAGGGTCAGTAAAATTTTCATTGAATATTTCCCCTGTGAGTCTAGAGAACCTAGCTAGAGGGTGGTGGTATTTCTAAAGATAAAGCTCTCTTAATTGTTCATATTTGGCCATGTGCAGGTGAGGAGCCGTAATCACAAAATCCAAATCAGGAATAATAAAGTCCACTTCCCAGGTATTCCATGAAAAGTAAAGAAAGATGACACAGCATCTCACTTATTGATTAAATAAGGTGATTAAGCTATTGATACATAACAGGTCCTCAATATGTGTGATTTTAATTTATTAAAGATGAATAATACTTATTTTTGTCATATGAATTTCAATTTTAACTACCATTTTAAATCTGATCATTTTTGTTACAGGGATTTGGATAATATTTTGAAACTGAAGTTTTTCCAAACTCTTAACGGTTATTTATTTATTTGTTTATTTTTTTTGAGACGGAGTCTCGCTCTGTCACCCAGGCTGGAGTGCAGTGGCGCGATCTTAGCTCACTGCAAGCTCCGCCTCCCGGGTTCACGCCATTCTCCTGCCTCAGCCTCCCAAGTAGCTGGGACTACAGGCGCCCGCCAACACGCCCGGCTAATTTTTTGTATTTTTAGTAAAGACGGGGTTTCACCATGTTAGCCAGGATGGTCTCAATCTCCTGACCTCGTGATCCGCCCGTCTCGGCCTCCCAAAGTGCTGGGATTACAGGCATGAGCCACCGCGCCCGGCCTCTTAAAGGTTACTCTTTAAAAATGTAGGATATGTTGCCAAAAGACAGCAGAAAAAAAATGAGCAGGCCAGTCGCCGTGACTCAGGCCTGTAATCCCAGTGCTTTGGGAGGCCAGGGAGGACGGATCATTTGAGGTCAGGAGTTCAAGACCAGCCTGGCCAACATGGTGAAACCCTGTCTCTATTAAATACAAAAGAAAAAAAAAAAAGAAAAAATGAGCCGGGCATGGTGGTGGGCTCCTGTAATCCCAGCTACTCGGGAGGCTGAGGCAGGAGAATAGCTTGAACTCAGGAGGCAGAGGTCGCGGTGAACCAGGGTCACACCACTGCACTCCAGCCTGAGTGAAAGAGGGAGACCCTGCTTCAAAAAAAAAAAAAAGTTTCAGTTTTTTTTTTCTTTTTAATGGAAGATATAATGGGGAATTTGAGTTGTGTATATGTTTAGAAAGGGACTCGAGTAAAAAATGGTAATTGCTTGCAAATATCATGAGAGACTGCAGAAATGTGTTGACTGCTAGTAAATTAGTAGTAAATTGAGTTTTATAGATAACATCATTTTAGATGGGTGCATTATAAGGCTTGGTAACAAAGAATGACATTTTAAAAAATAACCAATTAAGATAATGTTCCAAGGTACGCCATTACATAGTTTTACACATTTGCAATTCTATTAACAGAATTTTCTAGTTTACTCTTCCTGTCACACAATGCCAGAGTATGTTTCATGTTGTACGATCATTTTCTCTCTTATGTATCCCCAAATCATTTGTCCTTTCTCAAACATATCCCCATACCACCTTTAACAAATTTTAATTATTTAGTGTATTCTTATATAACTAATTTTTTTAAAAGTCATCGACATTTTTTAAAAAGTCACAGTACAGAGTTGTTTTTACAAACATAGACTAATTCTACATGCATCTTTCTGTAAGGTTCTTTAATCACTCAACATTCTATAATGTATATTCCAATAGGAAAATTGATGCAGCCCCAAAGCTTTTTTTTTTTTTTTTTTTTGAGACGGAGTTTTGCTCTTGTTGCCCAGGCTGGAGTGCAATGGTGCAATCTCGGCTCACCGCAGCAACCTCCTTCTCCCGGGTTCAAGTGATTCTTCTGCCTCAGCCTCCCGAGTAGCTGGGATTACAGGCATGCGCCACCATGCCCAGCTAATTTTGTATTTTTAGTAGAGACGGGGGTTTCTCCATGTTGGTCAGGCTGGTCCCGAACTCCCAACCTCAGATGATCTGCCCGTCTTGGCCTCCCAAAGTGCTTAGATCACAGGCGTGAGCCACCGCGCCCGGCCCCCAAAGCATTTTTTTAAACAGTTACATAATATTCCACAGCAAGGGTATATTCAAGTTAATTTAACCATTGATTTGTTAACAACTTTTTTTTATTTTTTTGTCTTATCACTTGGCGAATGATGCTTCAATAAACACACTTTACCAATATACTCCCTACTTCAGTAAATATGCTTTTAATTCTATAGGATTTAATTCTAAAGGATAAATTTCCAGAACTAGAATTGGTAAACAAAAGGATACATATTTTTTTATTTTAAAAGAGTTTGCCAGATTAATTTTCACAAAGTTGCTGTCATTTTAGTGTTCATTGTTTTGAAAACATTATGGAACCTACTGTCTTGCCC
Organism: Homo sapiens; assembly: GCF_000001405.40. NCBI lineage: Eukaryota > Metazoa > Chordata > Mammalia > Primates > Hominidae > Homo > Homo sapiens. Next base: position 10,477,122 of record NC_000004.12, read on the forward strand.
TCCCATCATTCCCCAACTATCACTGGGTTCAACAAGTCTTTTGAACGTTTTTCCATGTATTGAGGGAAAAACATCTTAACCCACTGTTAAACTCGGCATTTCCCCGATTATTATGGAGTTGAGCTTATTTCATAGGTCTGTGAGCATCAGGATTTCCTCTTCGGTAAAATGACTATTTTTATCCTTTGACTATTTTTCAGCTGGGTTATTTGTCCTTATATTATGAATTTATGGGAGTTATTTATGTATAATATGTAGGAATCCTTTATTGGACATATGTGCTTCCAATATTTTTTGCAGCCCGTTCTTTGTCTTCTGACTTCATGTACTGCCGCCTGTCAAATTGTAGATATTTGCATAGTAAAATGTTTCTTTATTTCCTTTCATTTTTTTGAGTTTCCTGTCTTGCTTAAGAAGTCCCCCCAACACACATACCACTGCCACCAATGCCAGAGGCATATAAACATTGTCCTAGATCTTCTACCTTTTTTTATATTTTTATATTTAAACATTTAATTGTCATGGACATTATTTTTATATAGTCAAAAGGAAAGCTCTACCTCCCCCGCTGCTGCTCCCATTTGATAAGCCGTTGTTCTAGAAATGTTTACTTAAACAAACCACCCTTCTCACACCTGTAATCCCAGCACTTTGGGAGGCCAGGGCAGGCAGATCATTTGAGGTCAGGAGTTCGAGACCAGCCTGGCCAACATGGTGAAACCCCGTCTCTACTAAAAATACAAAAATTAGCCAGGTGTGCTGGTACATGCCTATAATCCCAGCTACTTGGGAGGCTGAGGCAGGAGAATCGTTTGAACCTGGGAGGTGGAGGTTGCAGTGAGCTGAGATCATGCCACTGCATTCCAGGCTGGGTGACAAAGTGAGACTCTGTCAAAAAAAGAAAAAAAGAAAAAAGAAAGAAAGAAAAGAAAAGTATTGTCTATATGAATTTTTGGTCTATTTTCCTCTCTTTGACCATTACCATTAAATACTTTAATTTTATTCAAGTAAAAGCGGAATCATATATTTGACATGAGAACTAAGTATTTCATATCGTTAAATTAGTTTGAATTAGATATGCTTTTTATTATGTATCAGGAATAACTTACTTTCTTTAACATTTATTTGTCTTTACATTTATTTGAATAACTATGTAATGAGTATCTGTTTCCTACATTTGGTAATATAGGTATACATTAATAATATCAGTAACTGGATTCTTGATCTAATCTCTAATTTATGTTGAACTGTCCCTGTTATATAGTATTTCCATAATAACTTCAGGCATTTTAGTCAAACCTTACACTTTCATCAATTGTAAAAATTAAGATGTTAATTAAGATGTTACATTAGTTGTAAAAATTAAGATTAAACGTTCCAGACGAAACAACACTGGGTCCACTTACAGTCATGCTGTTGTGAGAGGTCCTTGGACAGCTACTGCTTCCATTTCAATTCAGACTCCTTTGGCCAAAGTAACAACCTGGTAAGCAGCTCTACCTGGAAAATTAGTCCTGAAGTACTGTTTGTAAATTACACTGACAGTACTGAAGTCATTTATGTCCACCAGCAAAATTGTTTACCACATTAGTGAAGTCACAGCCTGCAGTCTTCAGAACTTCACCCATTTTTGTAAGAGCTTGTTTAGCTGCTTTGGCTACCTCTCCTGCCACAAGCTGTGCATTTGAAGAGTCCATGACTAGCTGTCCTGAAATGTAAATGGTCCTGTTGACTAACACACCTTGGCCATATGGCCCAAGGACCCTGGGGGCTTTTGCAGTCCTGATCACCTTTTTAATCAAGGATGACATAGCTAACCCTTCTCTTGAGGCCTCTCTGGGAGAAGAAGCCACCACACCACCCCTGCTTGCTTCTCACCTGAGTTGATATTATTTTCTAAAAATGTCTGATAGGATTCATTTTGGTCCAGAGCTTTTTTTTTTTGTGAAAAAGCTTCTCATTTGTCTTAAAGTTGAGGGGCCATTCAGATTTTCTATTTCCTCTTGTATTGACCTTCATCTGTAAAGTTATCTTTGTCAGCTTCACTGGAATAAAAGTGCTTCTGATATTTCTTTAATATCCCTTCAATGTCTGTAGTATCTGTTGTGTTGTCTTTTATTTTTTATTATTGGTTAGTGTGTTCTTATGTTTTGATTATTTTAGCTAGCTGTTTCTTAATTTTCTTAATTGTTTTAAAGAACCAACTTTTAAGCCATAAATGCTTACACTGAGTCTTTGTATTTCAAGGGCAGCTGCATTCCTCAAATTTTGGTAAATGGCATTTCATTATCATTCATTATGAAATATTAATTGTTTTGCTTTCTTCTTTGACCATGTAATTAAAAATGTGTTACTTTCAAATATTTGAAGATTTTTCTAAATATCTTACTGTTATTATTTTTTATTTAATTATTTTTTAAAATGCATATATTGGCCAGGCGTGGTGGCTCATGCCTGTAATCCTAGCACTTTGGGAGGCCGAGGCAGGCGGATTGCCCAAGCCGAGGAGTTTGAGACCAGCCTGGGCAATATGGAAAAACCCCATCTCTAATAAAATACAAAAAAATTAGCCTGGCGTGATGGCACATACCTGCAGTCCCAGCTACTTGGGAGGCTGAGAATCACTTCAACACCTGGGAGGCAGAGATAGCAGTGAGCCAAGATCGCACCACCGCACTACAGCCTGGGTGACAGAGCAAGACTCTGTCTCATTAAAAAAAAAAAAAATATATATATATATATATATATATATATATATATATATATATATATTGGCTCACAGAATATAACCTTTATATTTTTTCAGTTCCTTAACATTTATTGCGATATGTTTTAGGCCCCGGGAGATGGCTCTTCTTGAATATTCTATGTGGACTAGGAAAAGAATGTGTATCTATACTTGTTTTGTGTTGTTTTGTGAACTAGTCTGTAAATGACGATTAAGTCTAGTTGGTTGATAGTGGTGTTAAAATTTTCTATATATCCTTATTCATTTTTATTTGCTTACTTTATCAGTTTCTGTGAGTTGTGTGTTAAAATTTCCAAATATACTTAGTTTTCCCTTTCAGTGCTCTCAGTTTTTGCTTCTGAATATGTATTTATTTAAATAGTATTCTATTCATATTGTGTGGTTTCAATGGCTTATCTCTCCATGAAATTAACTATATTTCTCCTGGTAGTTTTTTTTTTTTTTTCAGCATCCCATATTATCTCCCTTGAGTTTTCCTTTTTTTTTTTTTTTTTTTCTTCTGGTTTGTAGCATTTTAAAACATGTCTTGGCCAGGCACTGTGGCTCACACCTGCAATCCCAGCACTTTGGGAGGCTGAGGCAGGTGAATCACCTGAGGTCAGTAGTTCGAGACTAGCCTGGCCAACATGGTGAAACCCCGTCTCTACTAAAAATACAAAAATTAGCCGAGGGTGGTAGCAGGCGGCTGTAATCCCAGCTACTTGGGAGGCTGAGGCAGGAGAATCGCTTGAACCCAGGAGGCAGAGGTTGCAGTGAGCCAAGATGGAACCACTGCACTCCAGCCTGGGCAACAGAGCAAGACTCTGTCTCAAAAACAAAAAACAAACAAACAAACAAACATGTCTTTCCCATTAGAAGCTTTCCTTCAAGCTTCTCAGTGTTCACATTTAAGAGTGAGGCACGAACATGTGAATCGAAACTTGTACGTGCATGGATGAGCTCCACTGCAGCACGAGACAGTGGGAATCTGCTCTTTTATGAAGGAGTCTATTCTTTGATGTCCTTTAGGAAGGATCAGCATTTGTAGCAGAACTGCTCTGTTCTCTTGTTTTAGGGTTATAATTCTATCAGTTCTTCCTTGGAATCAAATGTTTAAAAGGGGTTGGGGTTCTAAACTTTCGTAATGAAACTTTCACTTAAACTCCATTTTTCAGCACAGCACCCATTTCCCACTTTCAACTGTATCTTACATGCCTATTTCAAAATATTTCCTGGAGATGCATTGTCTTGATGGCTGCCAGGGTTGGGGAAGGCTGACATCCTGACTAAGTAAACCTCTGGTTCCTGGGTGAGGGATGTGTTGATTATAATGGATTCTTACAATGACTGCTGATAAATAACTCTTCGTTTCGCCCCAGGCCCTTTACCAGTTTTTAAGGTTAAATAGTGACTCCAATTTCCAAGCCTTTCAAAGTTTTCATAATGAGAATCAGTTTGGTTCTTATTGAACTTCCTGATTATAATTGAGTTTCTACAGGGATCAAAATTATGTCCTTATTTAGCTATATTTTGTTGTTGTTGTTGAGACAGAGTCTCACTCTGTCACCCAGGCTGGAGTGCAGTGGCAAAATCAATAAAGGAATTGAAAAGATAAGAGCACTGAGGCAGGAGAATCGCTTGAACCTGGGAGGCAGAGGTTGCCGTGAGCTGAGATCATGCCACTGCACTCCAGCCTGGGCAACAAGATCAAAACTCCGTCTCAAAAAAAAAAAAAAAAAAGTAAGAATGTAGGATAAAGGAAATGGAAGAAGAAGACAGATGTCAACAAAATTTTGGATGAGGGGAAATTAAATGGACAAATGATAACTGAGTTAACAAAATAGAGGAAGCTAAAATAGTAAATAAGAAGTAGGAGGAAGTTTAATAAGAAAGAAGCTGATTCCCATTATGAAAACTTGGAAAGGCTTGGAAATTGGAGTCACTATTTACCCTTAAACTTAGCTGAGTGTGATGGCTCACACCAGTAGTCCCGGCTACTTAGGAGTCTGAGGCACAAGAACTGCTTGAACCCAGGAGGTGCAGCTAATTCTTGTATTTTTAGTAGAGATAGGATTTCACCATATTGGTCAGCCTGGTCTTAAACTCCTAACCTCAAGTGATCTGCTTGCCTCGGCCTCCCAAAGTGCTGGGATTACAGGTGTGAGCCACTCTGGCCTCTTATTTAGCTATGTTTTAATTGGAAGCCTTATTACAGTGGGTGCATACATTTTGTATTTTACTAAATACTGCTAAATTGCTTTCCAAAATGCTATACCGATTGATGTTCCAACTAGTAGATGAAAATTTTATTTTGTACATCCTCATCAGCTTTTGACATTATCTGAATGTTTAATTTCACCCAGTGTGATGGGTGAAAGTGCTATGTAGTTGCTATTTTAATTAACGTTTCTCTGGCTGCTATTGTAGAAGTAGCTGTCAGAACCACATGAAGCCTGGAAATGCTGGGGAGTCTTCTGGGTAATCATCCTTTGCCAGGCCTCCCAATAAGCACTGAGGAATGTTCTAGGGTTCATTTGCTCATTTTACTTTCATCTTATGGACTGCCAGTACCAAAATCTGTATTAGTCCCAGTTCTCTAGAGGGACAGAACTAATGGAATAAATGTGTATACACACACACACAAATATATATATATATAAAGGGGAGTTTATTAAGTATTAACTCACATGATCACAAGGTCCTACAATAGGCTGTCTACAGGCTGAGGAGCAAGGGGAGCCAGTCCAAGTTCCAAAACTGAAGAACTTGGAGTCTGATGTTTGAGGGCAGGAAGCATCCAGCACGGGAGAAAGATGTAGGCTGGGAGGCTAGGTCAGTCTCTCTTTTCCTATTTTTCTGCCTGTTTATATTCTAGCCATGCTGGCAACTGATTAGATGGTGCCCACCCAAATTAACGGCGGTCCTGTCTTCCCCAGCCCACTGACTCAAATGTTAATCTCCTTTGGCCACACCCTCACAGACACACCCAGGATCAATACTTTGTATCCTTCAATCCAATCAAGTTGACACTCAGTATTAACCATCACAAATAGGTAGCCAGGAAGCCCATTTGCCATTCTCATGGGGGTTGCTCACTCTTCAGGCCTCTCAGCATTCAGGCTGAAATTCCCTCTGTGTGGGTCCGTTGTCTAGTGCTGAGGGGTTAGGGACCAGGGAAGCCAGACCCCATCTCCCACTCTGCTCCATTAGGCTCTATGTCATCCACTCCATTAGGCTCCATGTCATTCGCTCCATGACAGTGGCTATTGGCATCCCCTGTTAATTGCATCACCGACCAGCTGTAATAGAAACACAATAGCAAAGCTGGATATCTTAACTTACAGGCCTGTGTGATCTTTCTAATCAAGGATGCCATCGCTAACCCTTCTCTCTTGAGGCCCCTCTGGGAGAAGAAGCCTCTACACCAGCTCTGCTTGCTTCTCACCTGACTCGATATTAGTTTCTAAAAAGGTTTGCTAGGATTCATTTTGGTCTAGAGACTTTTTCGTGGGAAAGCTTCTCGTTTCTTTTAACAATGAAGGGCCATTCAAATTTTCTATTTCTTCTTGTATTGATTTTCATCTGTAAAGTTATCTATTTCGACTCCGCTGGAATAAAAGCACTTCTGATAGTTCTTTAATATCCCTTCAATGTCTGTAGTATCTGTTGTTTTGTCTTTTTTGTTAGTAATGTGTCCTTCTACTTAAGTTTTTGATTATTTTAGCTAGCTGTTTATTAATTTTCTTTTGTTTTGTTTTCTTTTTTTTTTTTTTAATGGAGTCTCGCTCTGTCACCCAGGCTGGAGTGGCGTGATCTCGGCTCACTGCAGCCTCCACCTCCAGGGATCAAGCAATTGTCCTGCCTCAGCCTCCCAAGTAGCTGGGACTACAGGCACGTGCCACCATGCCCGGCTAATTTTTGTATTTTTAGTAGAGACGGGGTTTCACCAAGTTGGCCAGGCTGGTCTTGATCTCCTGAACTCATGTTCCGCCCGCCTTGGCCTCCCAAAGTGCCGGGATTACAATCGTGAGCCACTGCTCCCGGCCTATTAATTTTCTTAATTGTACTTAATTGTTATTAATTTTCTTAACTTACAGGAGTGCATAAGTTAAGACATTCCAGCTTTGTGAGTGTGTATGAATTACTTGTTTACAGCCTTTGCTCATACATATTAGGTTGTTTAATTGCCTTTTGACTTTGTCTAACTTTTGTAAACATTTTAAATTTTGGTGTAATGAATCTATCAATCCTTCCCTTGATGATTTAAGTTTTTGTCTTAAGAACTCTTTCCCTATCTCAAAGTCTTAAAAATTATTAGACAAAGATGTAAGACTCAATTTAATAGTTGCTTTTTGCTCTTAAGTATTTGATTCATGTAAAATATATTTTATATGATTTGAGGTAGAGACATAATTGTATTTTTTCTATATGGTGAGCCAGTTTAACCAGAACCACTTAATAAATTATCTGTCCTTTCTCTACAGATGCTGCTTCTATTGTATTCACTTACCCTTCAAACAGGTAGTCACTGCTTCATTCCCCATGGCCTAGAATAGTGCCCCTAAAACAGGAGTACCCAATAATGGGCAACATGCCTGTACTCCTGAAGTAGAGTGTTCAATCTTTTGGCTTACCTGGGCCACACTGGAAGAATCATCTTAGGCCACACGTAAAATACACTAATACTAATGATAGCTGATGAGCTTTAAAAAAAAATGGCAGGGCACGGTGGCTCATGCCTGTAATCCCAGCACTTTGGGAGGCCAAGGCGGGTGGATCACGAGGTCAAGAGATTGAGACCATCCTGGCCAACATGGTGAAACCCTGTCTCTACTAAAAATACAAAAAAAATTAGCTGGGCACGGTGGTGGGCACCTGTAGTCCCAGCTACTTGGGAGCCTGAGGCAGGAGAATGGCGTGAACCCGGGATGCGGAGCTTGCAGTGAGCCGAGATCGCGCCACTGTACTCTAGCCTGGGTGACAGAGCGAGACTCAGTCTCACAAAAAATAAATAAAAATAAAAATAAAACAGCTTCATTGAGGTATAATTGGTATATTAAAAAACTGGACATATTTAATGTATCTAATTTAATGAGTTTCGAGATACACATACATCCATAACACCATCATCACACTCAAGGCAATAAACATATCTATCACCTCCAAACATTTCCTGCTGCCCCATCTCCCTTTTTGTGGTAAGAACACTTAACATGATTAACATGAAATCTACATTCTTAAAAAAATTTTAAGTAGGTAATACATTTTCGTTGACCATAGGCACAATGCTATACAGCAGCTCTCTAGTACTTATTCACCTAGTATAACTGAAACTTTATACCCATTGAACAACAACTCTCCATTTCCCTCTCCCCACAGCTCCTGGCAACAACTATTCTATTCTCTGTCCCTGTGAGTTTATTTCAGATTTCTCATATAAGTGGAGTCATGCAGTATTTGTCATTCTGTGCCTGGCTATGTCACTTAGCATGATGTCCTCCAGATTCATCCACCTTGTCACATATGCCAAGATTTCCTTCTTTATTGAGGCTGAATAATACTCCGTTGTATGTATATAACATATTTTGTTCATTCATTGATTCATTCATTTTTTTTTTCTTTTTTGAGACAGTGTCTTGCTCTGTCTCCCAGGCTGGGGTACAGTGGCATGATCTCAGTTCACTGCAACCTCCACCTCCCGAGCTCAAGTGATTCTCCTGTGTCGTCCTCCCGAGCAGCTGGGATCACAAGCACCCACCACCATGCCCAGCTGATTTTTTTTTTGTATTTTTAGTAGAGACGGGGTTTCACCATGTTGGCCAGGCTGGTTTCGAACTCCTGACCTCAAGTGATCTGCCCACCTTGGCCTCCCAAAGTGCTAGGATTACAGACCTGAGCCACCATCCCTGGCCCATTTATTCATTTTTGATGGACATTTAGGTTGTTTCCATATCTTGGAATAATTGTGAATAATGCTGCAATGAATATGGGTGTGCAGATATCTTTTCAAGATCCTGATTTCATTTATTTTGGATACATATACAGAAGTGGGATTGCTGAATATAATAGTTCCATTTTTAATTTTTTAAGGAAACCCAGTACTGTTTTCCATAGTGGCTGCACCATTTGGCATTCCCACCAACAATGTACAGGGTTTCCATTGGTCCACATTCTTGCCAACATTTGTTATCTTTTGTTTTTTGATAATGGCCAACAGGCATATGAAAAGGTGCTCAATTTCACTAATCATTGGGAAAAAGCAAATCAAAACCACAATGAGATATTAACTTACACATATTAAGATGGTTATTACATGTGTATCTTTCCGGCCAGGCTCTGAGCTCACAATCACAGGGATTGTGTCTTTTTTGTCTTTATCTCCAAAGTCTAGCATAATGCTCATATGTCAATAATTGTTCTGGTAATTTTATCCTAAATTTGCCCTAAATATAATTTCAAAAGAGCTTTAGGGGTAATAGGGCATGAAACAAAATTAAACTATGTTTTGAATTTCTTTCTTCAATACTCAGAGACAGAGAAAATTATAACATTCAATTACATATTTACTTTTATTTACATTAGTAAGGCTGTAAATTATGAATGTAAATGTGCTTAGCTAGAACAAATATTGCTCAGAATAAAAAAGATATACAAATATAATGCTAATATACAATATAGGCTATCATAAAAATTTGTATTTGTGTACACACATACATAATTGGCTACATTCGACAATGGGGTTCATTTGATTCCTCCGTAGTAATTAGAACAGGAGACTTAACTGATTACAGCCATGATGCGGTTACTTAAAAACACACACACACACACGCACACAGGCACAGGCACACACATGCACACCCCACATAAATAAGTTTGGGAAAATTTTAAATTTTCTCACTTAGGACTTTTCAAAGCCATCTCAAAGGAGCTTCCTCAAAACATTTAATGTTGGCATCACCCCACAAGTACTCAGAAATAAGTGTTAAAATAGAAATCCAATCCAGTAATGGGAAACTGACTTAGATTATCTTATTTGTTTGTATATTTATTTGTCATCTATCTCTCTTATTCACTGCTCTATTTTCAACATCTACAATAGTGCTTAGTAATGAATACACATGCAGTACACAAAGGTGCTAACACAATATATGACTAATGATGAGGGCTATGCACATTTATACAGAATGAGAATTATTTAGTCCAAAAAATATCTGGAAAGCATAAATGCTGTAATTGGATAAAGCTAAAATTCTATTACTCTATTGAAATCAGATATCAAGTGATACTTTTAAACTAAACGTGAGGTAATGGTTGAAAAGGGATTAAAACACTGGAATTTGGGCATGCCAAATCCAAATCATTGAATATTCAATTACAGATCTAATAAAGCAGGTAGACCATGAATAGGATAATTGCATATGGAGACCTTGGTTCCAGTCGCGACTATGTCACTGTGAGATTTTGGCCAATGAGGTACAATTTCCTCAATTATAAAATGCATTAGAAATAGCTGCCCTCTCTTCTTTACAGAAGTGTTGTAAGAAACAAATACAATCGAATTTATATACTCTTATTATTTAATCATCCATTACAAGCAAAATGTAAATGTGATTGTCCTTACTACAATCAACACTGAAAACAGTGAATTCAGGATGTTGCTGTGGCAGGCCAGAGGTGGGTCTCTTGAGTCTCCATTGAAATAACTTGCTGGCCAGCAAGTTAGTGGACAGCGTCCAGCTGCGCCTTCTGGATTGGCCACAGCATTTGCAGGTCTTTTTTTTTTGTTGTTTTTCTTTTTCCCAGGATAGCCCCAGACAATGACTTAACAGGATGGGGCACTAAGACCCAGACATTACTGCCCAGCATAACACTGTCTCCTCTCTGGGCAAACTTTGCTTTGGGCCTCACTATGAGCTGGCCAAAACTCTCCCAGAGCTGTGTCTGAATCTCATGCTTTTTCTCCTCACTCCCCACACCTCCCCTCTTCCCTCTCACAGGTGGGAGCCTGAAAGCCCACCCCATACCCATACTTCTGTTTCTTCTCCCTTTTATCTTTCTCAAACATTAACCTCCAATCAGTGTTTGCACTTCTAACTTTGTCCTGGTGTCTGAGTTCTAGAAAACCCGACACCCAATCCCTCAAACCCCAATCACCAGAAGCAGCCCATGTCAGTATTTTCCATTTTATATTTTTTACAGAAGTGTTCAAATACACAAAAATATTGTAAGCTTTTTATTGCAAGATGTTTAATTTCTTTTTTTTCTTCCTTTTCCCCTCATTCTTGCTGTCATCTTAAGGATGCTGAATTTCTACTTCTTTTTTCTTCTTGGAATTATATGTTGTATTTGTGAACAAGAGACGATAAAATATTATTTCAAACGTACACCTTATCAAATGCTAACCCCCACTTGACATTCACCTATTTTATCAACAGCAATGGTTGAGAGGACTCATAGACATTTCTTGAGAACATAGCATTGAATGGCATGGCCTCAATGAATCAGTGAGTTGGAGGTATCAGTAATCTCCCAATAGCTTTTTAGGGTGAGGGTCAGATTCCTTCTTAATGTGAGCCTGGAGCTCTTCTGTAAAGTCCTTGTTTCCATACTGTCCCTGGCTTGTTGAATTCCAGTAGAGAATGACCAGCAACCATACAGCTTTTAGCTTTGACCGGACCAGTGAGTTCTTTCGTATCCAAGCTCCAATTTAAACACTCTTGTCTCTTGGTTCTATGTAATCCTCTGCAGGCATACTCTACGATAGGCTCAGCTGGGTCTCAAAAGTTCCAGCTTTACAAATAGCTTCTTCATTAAATGCTCCTGATGTAACTTATAGGCATCACTTCACATTGACCTTGTGAAAGGAGAACACCTGAGCAGGTATTTGGATAGTGGGTAGATGCTAAGAGCTTTTCCCAGAGAGCTCATTGTCTGCTGTCTTACAAAAGAGATAATCCTGCACATTGTTTTTATTGTTTTCATTTGCTTCTATTGCCTTTTAATTATTTTTGGTTTTCTTTCTGCATCAATGCTACAATTACATAAATACTCTATGAATTTCCTTTGTAAGCTTTGGTAGCATTTGACATCATGATATACTGTTATTTTCGACAGACAGTATGTTTTTTAAAAAAGCTTATTCCCACTAGAAGAGTTTATTTATTTTAAGGTGGTAAATCTGTATTTTCAAATTGTTTCTATCTTTCTCTCTCTCTCTCTCTTTTTTTTTAAATTAGCTTTTCAACTTGATTGTAAAATGTCACAGCGCAGAGAATGTACCTGGGAAGATGAGCTTGCATGGAGCCAGGCAAAGCAGATTACAATCTGGGCTCTCTTCTCATATTGAGTAAGATCAATAGCTACTTCGAGCCTCTGTTTCCTCATCTTTATTGTAAAACAATAATAAAATTAAATCCTCTTAACCTCTACAGGGAATAATATCATGGCCTGTGCAACGTTACTGCAAGAATTAGCACTAATTTGAGGACAGTTTTTCTCTGTCTTTGAATGGAAGTCCATAATTGGAATTGTTAATACAATTTTTAGTTTCCCTCAGACATATGCTTGCCTGAAGGCTAGTGTAGGATATAATCTGAGCTCTGTACTATGAATGTGTTAATTCCATTTGACTTAAAGCTACTTGAAGCAGATGATGCTGGAGGCTGGTCCCATGACCGTTTCACACCCTAGTCAGAGGATTTTCAGTTTCTGTCTTCAAGGTGACATTCACAATTGCTGGTTTTCCATACCACATTTCTTCCCTATACTTGAATTTCTAGGATTACAATAAAAGAGAGCTAATATTCACCAACCCAACACCTTTTTTTTTTTTTGAGACGGAGTCTCTCTGTCCCCAGGCTGGATTGGAGTGCAGTGGCGCGATTTCGGCTCACTGCAAGCTCCGCCTCCCGGGTTCACACCATTCTCCTGCCTCAGCCTCCCGAGTAGCTGGGACTACAGGCACCCACCACCACGCCCAGCTGATTTTTTGTATTTTTAGTAGACATGGGGTTTCACCATGTTAGCCAGGATGGTCTTGATCTCCTGACCTCGTGATCTGTCCACCTCAGCCTCCCAAAGTGCTGGGATTACAGGCATGAGGCACCGCACCCAGCCCAGCATCTTTAGTGTAAGAAATCATCCACACATTGTATATATGTAAGGCCCAACAACTGACATAAAGGCAGCGCAGTGTCCTGTAAAGAGCACAGATTTGGGAATTTCCCATAGACTTGTCTTGCACTGACTGCAAACATTTAAGCAACAGCTTCTGGTGCCCTTTGCTGCTCGCCTGTATCATGAGCATAATGGCTATGTTTATAGTATTTTTTGTTGTTGTTTTTTAGAAGATACTTTTAAAACCCTAGTTTTTATTTTTATTTATTTTCCAGTGGCCAGTTACTAGAATGTTTTTATTTTTTGCATGTTATAAATATTTTCTCTGTGGTTTGAACTTTCAAAACCGTGAGTGATTTTCCACTCTCTGTTATAGAGTGTTTTTCTTTTCTCCAAAGTTAAAAAAGTTGTCCCTTGAAGGCACAGAAAATAAACTTTTGAAATCAATGAAAACAATGGAAGCGCTGAATCCAGTAAACCAAAGATAACACAAAGACCAGGCTACAGAGGCAAGAGGTGTCTGGTGAGAGGGAGTGGCTGAGTGAGGTGACACTGTTTCCTGTGGACCCCAGTTTTATCTTTCCCATCAATTAGTATAATGGGAAAATTCTTGTAGTGTTCGATGATGTCTTCTACTGAATCAAACTTCTGAAACACAGAAAAGAAAGTTAATGACTTTTAAAATATCTTTTGTGTCTGTAGGTTAAAGTATAGCCAAGGTGCTTCATTTTGCATGGGGAAGAGGTGAACCAATTTAACAATGTTTGTATGGTAAAGGTGTTTCAGGAAGTGGTTTTTGGTTTGTTTGTTTTTTTCTGAGACGTTGTTTTGCTCTGTCACCCAGGCTGGAATGCAGTGCCACAATCTCGGCTCACTGCAACCTCCGCCTCCCGTGTTCAAGTGATTCTCCTGTCTCAGCCTCCCAAGTAGCTGGGATTACAAGCATGCGCCACCACGCCCAGCTAATTTTTGTATTTTTAGTAGAGACAGGGTTTCGCCATGTTGGCCAGACTGGTCTCGAACTCCTGACCTCAGGTGATCCACCCGCCTCGGCATCCCAAAGTGCTGGGATTACAGGCATGAGCCACCACGCCTGACCGGAAGTAGTTTTTAAAAAGAATATGGCAAGCTTGAAGGATGAGTGATAAGAATGATAACAAGAGAGAAAAAAATTCTTGAGAGAACCAAAAGTGAGCCCTATGGCAGCTCTTTAAACTTCCTATACAGGGAGTTTCCCCTCTCTGGAATCAGATCACACTGGTCAAGTTCCATTCTATTGTTATCACAACCTTTCTATCCTAAGGACTCAGATGGGTTAATTACACAGCAATCAAGCCTTGGAATCTCTGTTGCCTCCCAAACCTCAACCTTAGCTCTGACCAGCAAAAATATAGAAGATGTAGGCTCGAATGTAGTAAATTGGTGGGCAATGCCTGCAGTGAGCTTGCCCTCCAGTAACGAAGTCTAAGGAATTCTAGTATACATAGAAAGAACAGGGACAACCACGGGGCTGCTTAGCTAATTTAGCTGCCCTCCTTAAGCTTCTTGTGAAATAATGAGGTAGCTGCAGATTTCAGTGTTTCTAGATACACAGATAAAATGTTATGACAATTTAACGGAAAGTAAGATTATTTCAGGTTTAGGGAAATGGGGAAGTGCTTTGTCAAGGACACAGACTTGAAATGGGCTATGTTATGGGTCATTCCAGATAAGTAGACAGGAGGGTTTAAAGACATTAAAAGCAGAGAATGTACAGGACCATGCATAAGGACAGGTATTGAGAAGACTTGAGCATATATAGTAATTTTTTTTTTTAATTTCAACAGCTTTAGAGGTATAAGTGGCTTTTGGTTACATGGATGAATTGTATAATGGTGAAGTTTGGGCTTTAGTGTACCCATCACCCAGATAATATACATTGTATGTACCCAGTAGGTGATTTTTCATCCCTTAGCCCCCTTCTCACCCTCTCCCTCTCTGAGCCTTCAATGTCCATTCTGCATACACAGTAATTCTGATCAGGTGAGTTTGGATAAGTTCCTGAAGGAGTATATTGGGAGATAATTAGGAAGAGCTTGCTCAACCTGCCTCCCATGTTTCAAGACAACTTAGATCCTCCTTAGCAAGCCTGTGAGGTGAACAGGGCAGGGGGAATGATCTTCCCTAAAGAGCGAAGGGAATTTCAGCTCAGAGAAGTGGACCGCCTTACTCAGAGTCTCCCATGGCTAGGGAGGATGAGACCAGGAATGAAGGCTCACTTTTCTGGATACTTCTTTTTATTTTTCAGCTTTGCCTATAGCTTGTGACCTCTGATGCTCCAACAAACCAGGGTAGAGATGACATAGCCTGAAGAAAGGGAGCCGTGTGGGGGCTACTCTGCCTCTGATTTGGTTTTGTCCACTCCTTCCTCTGTCCGGGGCATCCTAGGTGCAGCAATGTTGCAAGGCCTCAGGAATAGCCAATGGAGAATGAGATTGGCCAGTTAGGACCTCACAGGGATGACGTTCTGTTGGGAGCAGGCAGAAAATAATTTCCTATGCAAACAAATAATTTCATTTAGAGCTATGTGCTGTGAAAATTGTCCGTTGAGGCTTAAGAACTTCACCAGGTCGCTCAGAGGCTTCCCTCGGGGCTGTTGGGAGGGAACGTTCTTTTCTGTTAGAGGCGCACTGAATAGAAAGCAATTAAAACGCTATAAACCTGTGACTTCCAGGGTCATCTCCTCCTTCCCACCGTCATGTGGGATGGGGGGAGGGGGTGTGTGAAGAGCAAACAGACACCACGCTGGGGATAAAAACGTGGGGAAAGAAATGTAGAGTGGGAATGTCTTGATGTTAACTAGTCCCTGGATCGAGTCCATTTCTGTCCTTTCTGGTTACATTACAACACATTTCCTTCTCTCCCGCCTGAGCTCATTTGAATTGGGGTTTGTCTTTTCACACCCAAAGAGTCCTGGTTCAATCTGTAAGTCCCTTGTCCTTCTGAAACCTTTACTGGATCTGCAGCAGTTTCCAATGAGATAACCTATGTGTCAGTCTGACTTAGTGTGTTCAGCCTGTTAAAATACTAGGCCAGGCGTGGTGGCTCACGCCTGTAATCCCAGCACTTTGGGATGCCAAGGTGGGCAGAACACTTAAGGTCAGGAGTTCGAGGCCAGCCTGGCCAACATAGTGAAATCCCCTCTCTACCAAAAATATAAAAAATTAGCCGGGCATGGTGGCATGTGCCTGTAATCCCAGCTACTTGGGAGGCTGAGGCAGGAGAATCGCTTGAACCTGGGAGGCGGAGGTTGCAGTGAGCTGTGATGGCGGCACTGCACTCCAGCCTGGGAGACAGAAGAGACTTCATCTCAAAAAACAAACAACAACAAAAAGTACTATAAACCTGGCAGCTTAGAAACAGCAGAAATGTATGTCTCACTTTCTGGAGTCTGGGGAGTCCAAGATCGAGGCACTGGCAGATTCAGGGTCTGGAGAGGCCCATTTTCTTGCCTTAATGCTGTGTCCTCACATGGTCCAAAGAGCAATGCACTCTTTTACAAGGGAACGAATCTCATCTGTGAGGGCTCCACCTTCAAGACCAAATCACTTTCCAAAGTCCTCACCTCCTAACACCATCACCTTAGGGCTTAGGATTTCAACACATACATTTTGGAGGAATACAAACATTCAGACTACACCACCACCCATATTACGTATACAATAAATATGAGTTTCTACCTGATGCTAAGGTAAGGTACTTTCCCCATTGTCCAATGGGGAGATTAATCTCTACTACAGCAGGGTAATTGTAACCAGAGGGCCTGTGGAGCCTAAATGCCTGAGTTCAAAGCCTGGCTCTCCCAACCACTAGCAGTGTGACTGTCAGCAAGTTTCTTGCATTCTCTGTGCCTCAGTTATTCTATGAACAGTGATGGTAACGATAGGACCTAACTTTGAGATTCATTGTGAGAATGGAATTGATGCATATGCAGTACAGCATTCAGAAGAAAGTGTGACACACAGTGAGTGCTCAGCACATGCCAGGCCTTATGATTAACTCCTCCCTTCTAGCTTTGCCAAGAACATCATGAGAGAGCAATGCAATCACCAAGAAGTTTGTAGACCATTACTGTAAGCCTTTAGGAAGAGAAGAATTTTCTGTATTTCATTTCCAATTTTAAACCAAGCACAAAGTTTTCTTTCTCTGTCTTCATGCTTGCTAAAACAAAAAGTGAATAACAACCACACACAAAAAAACTTTTTATGCAGAACTCTTTCACAAAATTGGTTAAATCCACATCACAAAAAAGGAAATCTTTCCTAGTTTCAGTCTTCAGAGGGAAGATGATTTCTTTGTCCTAGTATCATTCCTGTTTTAAGATTGTCCCAAAATAATACATTTGCTATTAATTGTTTTAATAATCTGCTACATGGATGACATTTCATATGAAATTGTAACTTTAACAGGTAGTAGGCAGCAAGACAGGTGCAACTAGTCACACAGTATTTCCTATTTTTTTTTTTTTTTTGAGATGGAGTCTCACTCTGTCACCCAGGCTGGATTGCAGTGGCACAATCTTGGCTCACTGCAACCTCTGCCTCCTAGATTCAAGCAATTCTCCTGCCTCAGCCTCCCAAGTAGCTGGGATTACAGGCATGTGCCATGGCGCGCAGCTAACTTTTCGTGTTTTTAGTAGAGACAGGGTTTCATCATATTGACCAGGTTGGTCTTGAACTCTTGACCTCAAGTGATCCACCCGCCTTGGCCTCCTAAAGTGCTGGGATTACAGGCGTGAGCCCCCGCGCCCAGCCTGGTCCTTTCTTATTATTGGTTTCTAATGATGGGGTCAAAATTGAAATATTGCCCTGAAGAGACTTTTTAAAAAGATTATATTCAAGCTCTCTTACATATTGAATAATCTTTTCCAGGGGGACAACCAATGTTATGCTATTATTAGATCTTAAAATCTGTTTAAACCTTTTGTGTTTATTCTATATATGAACTGTGGGCGATGTTTCCTTGCCAGAAAAGTAAAGAAATCTGTTTGGGTACACACATGAGAGTGAAAGAAGGAAAGGGGGAGAAAAGAGAAAGAGAGATAAATGCCAAGCAAGCAGGAGGAGAAGGAAGGAGACAGAGAAGGTGTGAAAAAAACCCATGGGTTAATTATTTGTCTCTGTTCTTTAGTCTTTAACGTTTAGTTTATCATGTAAATATCTACGGTGGTTTTTAGAAACTTATAAACATTTGTAGAACAAAAGGAGAGATCTGGAAATTGAAATTGAAATGTCCCTTCTCTGAGATTTCACAGAAATGTTGACAAACATGACTTATAAAACTGAGATGCAGGGCTGATGTTTGGCAGCACTTAAGCTCCGCAGGTTGTTTAAGGCAGGTGCCTCCTTGGCTGGCTAGGGCTGATGTTCTACCAATCTCATTCTTGCTTAGGTGCCTACAGAGATCGGCACAGGTGCACAGGGTATTCCCTGGATGGCAGGGACTTGACATGACTCTTTCTGTGTTCCCAGAATGCAACACTGAGTCTAACATACTGTAGGCTTACAATTAATGCTTGGACAATAAATAAGTAAAGGAGCAGTGGGTGCTAAATGATTCCCCCCAATATGTCCATGTCCTAATCCCAGAATCTGGAATATGACCTTACATTGTAGAAGAGCTAATACTATTTTACATGGTATAATACAGGATAAAGTTAAGGATCCTGAGAAGGGGTGCTTATCCGAGGTTATCCCAGTAGGCCCTAAAAGCAATCATGTGTTTCTTCATAAGATAGGAGCAGTGGAAGATTTTGATGAGAGAAGAGGAGAAGGTCACGTGACCATAGAGAGAGCGATGAGGAGAAGGTCACGTGACCATAGAGAGAGAGAGATGAGGAGAAGGTCACGTGATCATAGAGGCAGAGACTGGAGCGACGTGGCCATAAACCAAGGAAGACAAGGATTGCTGGCAGCCACGGAAAGCTGGAAGAGGCCAGGAGTGATTCTCCCCTGGA
Organism: Homo sapiens; assembly: GCF_000001405.40. Lineage (NCBI taxonomy): Eukaryota > Metazoa > Chordata > Mammalia > Primates > Hominidae > Homo > Homo sapiens. The sequence continues at coordinate 10,495,961 of NC_000004.12, forward strand.
GCCTCCAGAAGGAGTGTGGCCCTGCTGATACCATGATATTGGACTCCTGGCCTCCAGCACTGTGAAACAAGAAATTTCAGTTGTTTTAAACTGCAAAGTTTCTGGGGAAGGGAATACTTATTAAGCACATGCCTCTATGTGTCTGCCACTATTTACATCAACTCATGTCACACTCAAAATAACTCCCAAGAGTTAGGCATTGCTGCATCATCTGTGTGGTTAAATTCAAAAGTTGCAAGATAGCTACAAAACTACATGAAATTAAAATAATCTTTGAAGATGCTGTTTCTCATTATGTTTTTCCTGCTGAGTTGGGTGAAGATGCTTTCTTTAATTGAACCGTGGCTAAAGTAGCTAGTTGTTGGCTTGCATTTAGCAGAGCCTTGCTATGTAAAATGCCTTTATCTTGTTTTAAAGAGGCGTGATTCTTCCTCAGCAAGACAAAAGGCTCACGCTGTGAAAAGCATGAGGGAACTGAGTGAAATCCAGACCGTCTTCCTCTTACACAGGGCACAGCTCCCTCAGAGGGAAGGCAGGAAGAACCACCTGTGAATTGTCATTTTTTACCCACTGCCTGGAACACAGTAAGCTCCAAGTAAGTGTTAACTATTCTTTAACTGTGATTCAACCTGCAATGTTTTCAAACGGGTGAGGGATTGCTTGTATTTGCCATGGTGTTATTTGAGTCTGTTTGTGGAAGCGAGGCATGAGAACAGGGTCTGGAGGCAGGGAATCTAAGGACTTCCTAGAACCAAATCAAATGGAAACACTTCAGTTATGACAGGAAGTATCCTTTCTATTTACATAGGGCCTACACTGAGTAAATGACTTTGTAACTTTACTTCATCCTCTTGGTTTACATAGGGCGAACACCAAGTAACCAATGGAAACCTCTAGCAGATATTTAAACCGCAGAAAATTCTTTAAGGGTGCTCTTGAGCCCCTATGCCGGGGCCCGCTCCCACCCTATGGAGTGCACTTTCATTTTCGATAAATCTCTGTTTTTGTTGCTTCATTCTTTCCTTGCTTTGTTTGTGTGTTTTGTCCAATTCTTTGTTCAAGATGCCAAGAATCTGGATACCTTCAACTGGTAATGGAAGTCAATGTTTTGCAAACTATACCGCATCCCAGAATTGCCGTTTACTAGCTGTGACTTTGGGCCAGATACTTAGTATTTCTGTGCCTCAGTTTCACAGTTTGTTAAATTGAAATATTGATAGCACCTACCCCAGAGGTTGGCTATGAGGATTCAATAGATCAAATTAGTCATTAATGGCTAACTGCACAGAATAGTTCCAGTGCATATAAAACCCCACCAAAACTCAGGATTCTGCCTTGGATTTCTTTCTCATTGCTTGCTTTATGTATATATATATTTATATTATTAGTGAATGCTTTAATTGATTCATTCTTTCACCTGTGGAAATGTATGTTCAACACATGTATGGGAAAAAAATAAGGAACGCAAAGGAGGAGAAAATTCCAGATGAACACAGAAAGGAGCTTCTTAAAACAGACATTTGGTTCTCTCAGGGTTCCTTGGTGACAGTAATTAGAGCAGCTCATCTGGAGGCGGAGGGTCTAATCTATGGCCTGCCATAGGAGATGCTCCTTATTTGCCAAGATAGTCAGTGAACCGGCTGACAGTCTGATTAAGCTGTTAGGATATTATCACAGAGTCACTCTACTTCCTCTTCTTTATTAGCAGACCAAAGTGGGGCATGTTGGAAAAAAAGCAGTAACTATCTCAGGTCTCAGTTTCCTTGCCAGTAAATGATGTTCATTAATATGTCCTTTCCAGAGCTTTTTCAAGAACTCCATGTGAGAGCAAATTAAACAGCATTTGGCCCAAGGCCCTGGCACATGCAAAGGCACACCATGTCCACGTCCTCTATTCTCTAAGGAAAAAGAACCCTTAAACCCAAGCATTTAAGAATTATATAATGCTTTCCTGGCCGGGCGCAGTGGCTCATGCCTGTAATCCCAGCACTTTGGGAGGCCAAGGTGGGCAGATCACCTGAGGTCGGGAGTTCCAGACCAGCCTGACCAACATGGAGCAACCCTGTCTCTATTAAAAATACAAAATTAGCTGGGCATGGTGGCGTATGCCTGTAATCCCAGCTACTCGGGAGGCTGAGGCAGGAGAATCGCTTGAACCCGGGAGGCAGAGGTTGTGGTGAGCCAAGATCACGCCATTGCATTCCAGCCTGGGCAACAAGAACGAGACTCCGTCTTAGAATAAATAAATAAGCTGGGTGCTGTGGCTCACGCCTGTAATCCCAGCACTCTGGGAGGCTGAGGCGGGCGAATCACGAGGTCAGGAGATCGAGACCATCCTGGCTAACACTGAAACCCCGTCTCTACTAAAAAAATACAAAAAAATTAGCCGGGCGTGGTGGTGGGCGCCTGTAGTCCCCGCTACTCGGGAGGCTGAGGCAGGAGGATGGCGTGAACCCTGCAGGCGGAGTTTGCAGTGAGCCGAGATCGCGCCACTGCACTCCAGCCTGGGTGACAGAGCAAGACTCCGTCTCAAAATAAAATAAAATAAATAAATAAGAATTATATAATGCTTTCCTAAAGATGAGAAATTCTATAAGCTGAGAGAAGATATAGAAGGATAAAGGGACACTGAACTGGAAAGTCCATTACCATAGGCATCTTAGGGCTACTATATCCTACTTATTAAAATGACTCAGGAATAGTAATGAAAATATAACTAAAATTTATTGTGGGCTTGATAGGTCCCAGGCACTGTTCTAAGTGTTTTACATTTATTAACTTGCCAATCCTCTCCACAAAATGAAGAACTGACCACTTCTGTCTTTCGTGTTAACGTAGCACTTTCTTAATGTGGTTGTACCTGGTAGATTTATGTATTAATCTATGGATTCACTCATGCACTTGTTCATGTCACAGTGTTCCCGGGCTGTAGCAAATGGTGGTGTGGGATATGATGAAGATTCTCTTCAAATAATCCGATCAAACTTTTATTCTTTAATTCATTGTACCCCCCCCCCCCCAACCCTTGTCCTTTTTCTCCTGTTTTCCTTTTTGCCTTTGTTAGATGCCCAGGCACGCCACAGTACCAGGCATTATCAGTACCAGCTCACATTCCTTTCCTTATTTGGAAAGAGGACTAACTTTTTAGCTCATTACAGACACCCCTTCCCCTTCCTCTCCACTTTCTTTTATATGCCTACTTTATCTAAAAAAAATCAAATGTTTAGCCAACTGGGATTAGTTTAGATTGTAAGACCTGACCCCAGCCAATGGGGAAAGGGGACAGGGGCAGGACTTGTGTCAGGAATAAAGGCTCTCGTGCCCCTTTGTTCAGGTATGCTCTCATTGCGACTGTCCAAGGAGGCACCCCTCTGTGCAGAACTAAAATTGCTTTGCTAAGAATCCTTTGTTCGAGTGTTCAATTTCCTTAGGATTTTGAGCGTTATTCCTAACAGTGGTGAACTGACCTCATGGTCGCCTCACAGGTGCTGACTATTCCTCTCCGAGTCTCAAAAAAGTGCTCTGGTCAGACACGGGATTTAAGCTGGAATCTTTATGCAGCCTGCGCATCGATTTCACACGTGTGCCTACCTGAAGCCTGTTGGCAGCCCTAGCAATGTGCCCTATTTTGTTATCTGTTGAAGAACAATCGGTATCTGTGTGAAAGTTCTGGTTTTATCCTGTATTAGTTTGTCAAGGCTACCGTAACTAAGCACTACAGACAAGGTGGCTTAAACAACAGAAATGTCTTTCTTCGCAGTTCTCGAGGCTGAAGTCCCAAGGTCAAGGTGTTGGAAGGCTGCTTTCTCCCACGACCCCTCTCCTTGGTTTGCAGATGGTCGACCCTTCCCAGTGTCCTCACATGGTCGCCCCTCTGTGTGTGCCTGTGTCCTAATCTCCTCTTGTCATAAGAACATCTCTCATATTGGATTAGGACTCATCCCAATAACCTTGTTTAACCTTAATTACCTCTTTCAAAGCCCTATCTTCAAATACAGTCACATTCTGGGCTACTGAGGGTTAGGACTTCAACGTGTGGGTTTTTTGGAATGAGGGAGGCACGATTCAGCCTATAACAATGCACACCCCCAGATAAAACTGAGACCTGGAGATGTTAAACAGGAATCATTAAATTATTGAAGTCTAGGCTTTAAAAGAACATTTACATTTGAGGAAATTGAAGCCCAGAGAAGTTAAGTCACTGGACTGAGCTCACATCCTTAGAAATGGTGGCTCATAACTAACTTCGTTCCTTCCTTCCTTTACCCCTTCCTTCATCAACAGAAGAGTTGCAAGAGAAGCCTCTCCTTCCCCCTTCCGTTACTGCCTGTGTGTCTTTGGCCATTTATTTAATTTTCTGAGCCCCAGTTTTCCTACATCTAAGATAGGAAAAATCATGACACCAAAGAGTTGTTGAGGATCAAAATAAGATACTGCTGGCTGGGCACAGTGGCTCACGCCTGTAATCCCAGCACTTTGGGAGGCCAAGGCAGGCAGATCATCTGAAGTCAGTAGTTCGAGACCAGCCTGACCAACATGGTGAAACCCCATCACTACTAAAATATAAAAATTAGCCGGGTTTGGTGGGGCATGCCTGTAATTCCCGCTACTCAGGAGGCTGAGGCAGGAGAATCACTTGAACCTGGGAGGAGGAGGTTGCAGTGAGCCGAGATCTGTACTCTGGCCTGGGTGACAGAGTGCGTCTCTGTCTCAAAAAAAAAAAAAATGCAGATAGACTAGGCCTGGCATATACATAGTCAGTGAAAATTTATCCTTTCTTGTGGATTGATTTATGTTATTCACGAATATTTTAATTGATTCACTCTTTCGCCTCCATCAGCAGATCTGTACTGAGGACAGGCATGCCCAACATAGCCCTAATGCTGTGGCTGGGTTCACATTCATTTTGGGGACACGAGTCTATAGATAAGGAATTCTGACAGACATCAGAAATGTCTGCAGTGGCATTTCAGTGCTGAGGAGGGAAAGGAATTTGGCATTAGTGTATGCTCCGCTGGAAGCTTCCTGGGAGGCAGAGTTTAGATGTGTCTTGTAGAATGAGTTTTCTTTAACAGGCAACGCAGGGAATGGGGGTGCATGAAATGGTCAGAACTGGTCGCTGGCCTGGTAGGCCAAAGTGTAAGATGTGCAGATATTTGTGGAAGGGGTGGGGAGGTCAGACTGCATCCCTCTCCTTCAGGGCGGCATCCTCTTCCTCCAGGGTGACATCCCCCAAACTCTTCCTTTATTTGTTGCGCTTAGCCTGGAACAGGGAGGCTGTTAAGTTATACCCACCTCATCTCCTCTGAGTCCTGTCCCCAGGGCAAACTGCTGATTCCTCTCCAGGAAGCGTATTTTTACATTGTAGACTTTGTTCTCATAAAACACAGCCAAAACATAGGGCTCTTCCTTGGATTTTGTGGAACAATCTCGGACCAAGAAACTACCATCCTGAAGCAAAAAGAGTAACAGTCATCTTTTCAGACACGCCAGCATTCTGCCCTTGTAATGGTGGCAACAATGATGTCTGCATGCATGAGATTCCCAGATGGATTTAGTTTTTGGTAAACCACTTTAATTCAGTAAGTTTTTACTGAGTGTCTGTATGCCTAAGGGTTCTTGTCACTTTCTGAGATGTGTACCAGTTGGATCTTGACACTCTCTTCTTGAAAGTCTTTCATTGAGGCCAGGTGCGGTGGCTCACCCCTGTAATCCCAGCACTTTGGGAGGCCAAGGCAGGCGGATCACCGGAGGTCAGGAGTTTGAAACCAGGCCTGCCAACACAGAAAAACCCCGTCTCTACTAAAATTACAAGAATTAGCCGGGCATGGTGGCGGGCGCCTGTAATCCCAGCTACTCAGGAGGCTGAGGCAGGAGAATCACTTGAACCCAGGAGGCAGAGATTGCAGTGAGCCAAGATCGTGCCACTGCACTTCAGCCTGGGCAACAGAGCAGGACTCTGGTTCCAAAACAAAAACAAAAAGAAAAAAGAAAATCTTTCATCATTTCCTACTGACCTGGGCATAGTGCTCATGAACTTAGCATGACCAACCTATCTTGCAGTTTGATCTCTCATTGCTCCTGCAGCTTTCTGCCTCTGGCTCCTGGCTCCAGCCAAGCCACCATTTCCCAAAGGCACCATCTGCTTTGGGGCTCCCAGATTTTGCATGATGTATTAGTCTGTTTTCACACTTCTATAAAGAAATACCTGAGACTGGGTAATTTATAAAGGAAAGAGGTTTAATTGACTCAGTTCCACATGGCTGGGGAAGCCTCAGGAAACTTATAATCAGGCGGAAGGCGAAGGGGAAGCAAGCTTGGACCTTCTCACATGGCAGCAGGAGAGAGCAGAGTGAGGAGTGAAGGGAGAGGAGCCCCTTATAAAACCATCCTATCTCATGAGAACTCACTCACTAGAACAGCATGGGGGAAACTGCCCCCAAGATCCAGGTCTCTCCCTAGACACGTGGGGATTATGGGGATTACAATTCAAGATGAGATCTGTGTAGGGTCACAGACAAACCATGCCACATGTGCTACTCCTTCCTCATGGAAAAGCTCTTCTCCTGCCCCCTTCTTGATGTATTCATCTCTCAATGTTCACATATTTCCTCTTCTGCTTGATGCTCGGGTATTATTCTAGAGATAGTGGGAGCCACAGCAGGCTTTGAGCAGAAAAAACTTTTACCTAATAAATTGGACTTCTGTGTGGAAAGATGTCTATGCAGAATTAGGGTTCCTGAAAGAGACATGGGGCTTTTAAGTCATGGATATCAAACTGAATGGAGAGGCCCTTTACGGGAGGAGGAATTGTAGCCTATGTTGAGGTGAGGGCCAGTATAGGGCAAGGAAGCAAAGACAGAAAAGGCCCGGAGATGCCTGAAAGATGACGGAAGACCAGGAGATTCAGAGTGACAGAAGCCAAGAGGTGGAGACTGAGGGTTTCCAAAAGCGGGTCAACAGCATTGAATGGTCCAAGAGCTGAGAACAGGACAATGATTAGAAATAATTTGTACACTCCAGAGAATAATTCAGAATGATACTAAGATCTGGTTGTAAAAGATTGAGAAATGGAGCAGTCCTCCTGAACGTGAACACATCTACCAGGCTTAGTTTTGTGGTTACATTGTGTTATTTATATAATGAAAAACACTGAAAAATCTGTAAGTGTAATTGTGTGTATTGTATAGATGGTTATAAGTGATCTATGAAGAATAGAGGCCGGGTGTGGTGCCTGACACCTGTAATCCCAACACTTGGGAGGCCGACGCGGGTGGATCACTTGAGGTCAGGAGTTCGAGACTTAGCCCGGCTGACATGGGGAAACCTCATCTCTACTAAAAATACAAAAATTAGCCAGGCATGGTATCATGTCCCTGTTATCCTAGCTACTCCAGAGGCTGAGGCAGGAGAATCGCTTGGACCCAGGAGGCGGAGGTTGCAGTGAGCCGAGATCATGCCACTGCACTCCAGCCTGGGTGACAGAGTGAGACCCTGTCTCAAAAAAAAAAAAGTATGATAAATATAGATTATATATATAATGATTTATAGCTATAATAATAAATTATGATATATAATTCTTTATATAGATTTTATAATAGCTATATATAATTATATACTTCAATAATGAATATTTATAAATATAGATATATAATAATGGTAATAATACTATATAATATAACATAACAATACTTTAAGTATACAAAATTTAGAAATAATACTGTAACATGATAGTGATGTTATGATGATACTGGTAGCTAAGGTGCATTGAGATTTGCCAAGCACTTTACACACATTGTTTCATTTAGAGACTTTTTTTTTTTTTTTTTTTTTTTTTTTTGAGATGGAGTCTCCCTCTGTTGCCCAGGCTGGAATGCAGTGGCACAATCTCAGCTCACTGCAACCTCCGCCTCCAGGGTTAAAGTGATTCTCCTGCCTCAGCCTCCTGAGTAGCTGGGATAACAGGCACCCAACACCACGCCTAGCTAATTTTTGTCTTCTTTGTAGAGACGGGGTTTCACCATGTTGGCCAGGCTGGTCTCAAACTCCTGACCTCGTGATCTGTCCACCTCAGCCGCCCGAAGTGCTGGGATTATACGTGTGAGCCATCGCGCCCGGCTCATTTGCAGGGTCTTTACATAAACATCTTTGGGTTCTTTTTTTTTTTTTTTTTTTTTTGAGATGGAGTCATGCTCTGTCGCCCAGGTTGGAGTGCAGTGGCTCAATCTCGGCTCACTGCAAGCTCCGCCTCCTGGGTTCACGCCGTTCTCCTGCCTCAGCCTCCTGAGTGGCTGGGACTACAGGCGCCCGCCACCACGCCCGGCTAACTTTTTGTATTTTTAGTAGAGATGAGGTTTCACCGTGTTAGCCAGGATGGTCTCGATCTCCTGACCTCGAGATTCGCCCGCCTCGGGCTCCCAAAGTGCTGGGATTACAGGCGTGAGCCACTGCGTGCCCCGCCATAAACGTTGGGTTCTTTACATAAATATTGTTGGAAAAATTTTAGTCTCATTTTACAGGTAAAGGAATAAAGGTCGAAAGGCTTAAGTGAATACCCTAAAGCATCACGGTTACTAAATGGAATACCGAAAAGCCAAACCAAATTCTCACCCTTTAAATACACAAGCCTCTGACTATATAAAATAGGATGGCGGAATTTTCTGGAACTTGTTCTACCTAAAATGTTTAGTCATAATTGAAGCCTTAATGTTCAAGCACAGAGCACTGCCAAAGATCAGAAGGAGAGAAGAGGCCAAAACTCATGGCCAAGTTTTGGGTTTGTCCTCTTAAACTCTGAAACGATTTGTCAAAATAAATCTGAGTAATGCTGAAATTTAAAATAAATTATCTTTCATAAATGAGAAACACATTTTGACAGAACTGAGACAAACAGAAAAGGAAAATATGAAAAGGAAAATGTGAAGTCATTTAACTGAGATTTTATTTTCTTAATGTTTCTTGGGAAGAGGCAGAAGCAGGCACACAGAAAGAGAGGAAGGGAATATTTGCTGAGCGCCCAAATGCTGCTGGAAGAGCATCAGGTGACATGCATATTGCTTTTCCAGCACAATCCACACATGGGCTTCTGGAAGGAGGTCTACTAAGAGTAGTTCTTCCGACGGAAAACAGGCTCTGTGAGTGCAATGGTGTACTGGGCACTGATTAGCCAAGATGGACAGCCAGGGTTGGAATCTACCATCACCAGGTTTGCCACTCTACCAAGGCATGGCCAGATTCCCTGGAAAGAGGATAGGAAGGTCCTCAAGGAGCTGCATCAGCCAACCACCCACGGCTCTCCACCCGGGCTGTGAAAAGAACTGTGAGGGCTACTAGAGTCAGCTGGAATTTTGTGAAAAGAGCACTGATCTTGAATACATGTTCTGTCAGTTTCTCTGCTTTATGACCAACACATTGGCTTAGCCTCAGTTTCCTCATCTGGGAAATGGGATGTTCCATTTATTCTGTGTATGTTCAAGATACTTTGATAGCAATGGTATCATTTCCTACCACTGCTATAACAAATTACCATGAAATTAGTGATGTAAAACAGAAGCGTATTCTCTTATAGTTCTGGAGGTCAAAAGTCTAACATGAATCTTGCTGGGCTAAAATCAATAGGAGAGACTTTGTTTCCATGACTTTTCCAGTTTCTGGAGGCCAACAAGATCCCTGGCTTGTGGTTCTCCCATTCATCTGACCTCACTTTCATTATCACGTCCCTCCTCTGACTCTGACACTCCTGGTTCCCTCTTACAAGGACCTTTGTGATTATACTGAGCCCCCCCAGATAATGATGCATGATAACTTCCCCATCTCAACATCCTTACCTTCACATCTGCAAAGTCCCCTTTTCTATGAAGGTGACATATTCATAGGTTCTGGGGATTAGAATGTGAACATCTTTGGGGGGGCATGATTCTGTTTATCATAGCAACTTATACATATAATTTATTTAATTTTACAACATCAATTCTGAGAGCTAAGTTTTATTAAAATTTATTGTAGATCTATCATTTATTCACTAACTAATTCATTCATTTTTAGGTTACCTCCTTCAACAGTGACCATTGTACTGGTTAGCTGGGGATAGGTTTTGATGTTGCATCAGTCTTGAGACACTTTCTATAACTTCTAAGCAATCTCGTATAGTTCTCTGCACATAGTCATCATTCGATAATCATTTGCTCTTTGGGATGTTGGTTGTGGTAGTCATTTGACCTGATGACAAGTATTCCAGTTCTTTTCTCCTTTTGGCCACATGTAGGTTTGTACTTCCTCACCTTCTTCGAAGTTAAGTTTGGTCATGTGACTTCCTTTGGTTAAAGATGTGAAAGCAGAAGTAAAATATGTTACTTCTGAGAGGATGTATTAAGAGTCAGAGTGTGAAGGTAGAAGCACACCAGTGAGATGCAGCCCCTGGCAGCCTGGGTTTATCCACCCAAACCCGTCCTGAACATGGTATGCAAGCAAAAAATAAAGTTTCATTATGTTAAGCAACTGAGATCTTGGGGTTGTTGCTGCAGCATAACCTACCATATCCTGACTATTGCAGCCTTCACAATCTCTGCTCCTTTCTCGAAGAAGTGAGACATAAAGACCCAACAGTACTTTGGGCAAACCTTGATTAAGGAGATAAACCTTGAGGAAAGCAGAAGGAAGCCCCTTCTATTGTGACCTCTATAGTCCAGTTTCCAGATTTCATCTTCAAAATAGTTCCTTGGGTTGATTTTACTGTTTCATTTTACAAATAAATAAATCTACATGGGAAGTTATTTAGAAACCTGAGAAAGCCACACAGCTGATAATTAGCATGACCAAGCCTCAGGCCTGAAACTCTCCATGTTTTTTATTTTTTTTGAGAAAGAGTCTCGCTCTGTCGCCCAGGCTGGAGTGCGGTGGCGCGATCTCAGCTCACTGCAAGCTCTGCCTCCCGGGTTCACGCCATTCTCCTGCCTCAGCCTCCCGAGTAGCTGGGACTACAGGCGCCTGCCACCATGCCCGGCCAATTTTTTTTTTTGGTATTTTTAGTAGAGACGGGTTTTCACCGTGTTAGCCAGGATGGTCTCGATCTCCTGACCTCGTGAGCCGCCTGCCTCGGCCTCCAAAAGTGCTGGGATTACAGGCATGAGCCACCGCGTCCGGCTGAAACTCTCCATGTTTTTTGTTTTTGAGACGAAGTCTTGCTCTGTGGCCCAGGCTGGAGTGCAGTGGCACAATCTCGGCTCACAGCAACCTCTGCCTCCCGGCTTCAAGCGATTCTCTTGTCTCAGCCTCCCGAGTAGCTGAGATTATAGGCACCCACCACCACGCCTGGCTAATTTTTGTATTTTTAGTAGAGATGAGGTTTCACCATGTTGGCCAGGCTGGTCTTGAACTCCTGACCTCAGGTGATCCACCCGCCTCATCCTGCAAAGTGCTGGGATTACAGGCGTGAACTGCCGCATCCGGTCCTCTCCATGTTTTTTTGTTTTCTGTTTTTATTTATTTATTTATTTATTTATTTATTTATTTATTTATTTTTGAGACAGCATCTCACTCTGTTGCCCAGGCTGGAGTGCAGTGGCACAGTCTTGGCTCACTGCAACCTCCGCCTCCCAGGTTCAAGTGATTCTCGTGTCTCAGCCTCCTGAGTAGCTTGGATTACAGATGCGTGCCACCATGCCTGGCTAATTTTATTTTTTATTTTTTATTTTTTATTTTTAGTAGAAACGGGGTTTCACCATGTTGTTCAGGCTGGTCTCAAACTCCTCACCTCAAATGAGCCACCTACCTCGGCCTCCCAAGGTGCTAGGATTACAGGTGTGAGCCACTGCGCCCGGCCTGAAACTCTCCATGTTAAATGCCCTTTTCGACTACAGCCTCCCAGCACTGAGAAATGCAGGGTGATGCAGGAAATAATACATGAAAGCAAGCTGCTTGTTACGTCTTGTGACACATAAGCAGAGAACCTTAAGATGCCTATAGAAACAATAATGATGGGCCACGTAGAAGGCATTACCTTGTTCTCCTTCATGAATGCCTCTTCCACTGCCTGGCGGCTGTATTCTCCAATGTACCATTCATTGTGCTGGACATCCTGCAGAACAGAATCAATGATAAATATTTTAGGGTCAATGGGAAGTATGAATTATTGATTAATTAATTCAAAATTTACTTTTGCTCCACCAGTGCCTAATCATAGTGTAATCTGTAGTAGATATTCAGTACCTAACATTTAGTCCCTGAACTTGGAGAAGCCCACAGATGCTTGGGGCAGAGAGACAGAAAAAGTTACTGCAGCTGGGGAATTCTGAAGTCTATGGGAATCTGTTGAGAAAGGTCCTTCAGCACCACCTTCAGAATGGATAATAAGCCTGCTATCTATCAGTGCTTTCTGAATCTTCAGCTGCTGAGGCTTGTTGAGGTGGAAATGTATACTGTTTGTGAAGCCTACACTGCCCTAGTCACATGCAAACAGCAGGGAGGGAGAAAGAGGTGCGGAAGGAGCCCATCTCTGCCACTTCCCCAGAGGCACAGATGCCGCTGAGCTATGATTCGGATCCTAGTTTATCTAGCTTTCTCCCTGGGCCGCACTGCTTTATTTATATCAATGTTAAATGATTCTAAATTCTTTTGATGATAAAATCCAGACTAACTGGGAGAAGGAAGGGCAGTCAGGGAGATGCATCATGGACTTGCAATTCCTTCACAGGGTTCCGAGAATCATAATATTAAATAACCCCCCTTGTGAGTCCAGCATCTATAAGGTCCTTCCTCATTTAGTAGCATGTCAATCCATCCCTACAGCACATCTTTGAAGTAGGCATGTCATGTAGTATAGACCCTAGTGAAGATGGACAGTGAAGTTTCAGAAAGTCAAAATCTGGGCTGGGTGTGGTGGCTCAATGCCTGTAATCCCAGCACTTTGGGAGGCCAAGGCGGGCGGATCACAAGGTCAGGAGATCGAGACCATCCTGGCCAACATGGTGAAACCCCGTCTCTACTAAAACTACAAAAATTAGCCGGGTGTAGTGACGTGTGCCTATAGTCCTAGCTACTTGGGAGGCTGAGGCAGGAGAATCGCTTGAACCTGGGAGGCGGCGGTTGCAGTGAGCCGAGATCGTGCCACTGCACTCCAGCCTGGTGACAGAGTGAGACTCGGTCTCAAAAAAAAAAAAAAAAAAAGGAAGTCTAAACCTGTCACATGGTTGGCAAGAGTTAGGTACGTGACATCAGGTCTTTGGTCTCTCATTCATTTGGAGTCTGTGGTCCACTGGAAAGTAAACCTGATATATTAAATACTGAGATTCTGATTCTGTTCACATGATGTGATGGACACCACATGATCTGATGTGAACACCATCTGGAATGGTATGAGCTAGCTCTAACTCAACCCTGCAGCCTCACTTCCTGACACCCCATTTCAGCCATGGGCCTGGCCAGACAAAAGTGCTTGTACTCTGGACACACACAGCTTTAGGGATAGACCAGAACTGGCCCTACTGCCTGGAATCCCTCCTGGTCCTCACCTCTGCCTACCCAGCTCAGGCATTCTTTTGCATCAAGATTGGGACCAAAAGTCACCTCTTTTTTTTTTTTTTTGAGATGGAATTTTGCTCTTGTTGCCCTGGCTTGAGTGCAATGGCACGATCTCAGCTCAATGCAACCTCTGCCTCTTGGGTTCCAGAAGTTCGCCTACCCCAGCCTCCCAAGTGGCTGGGATTACAGGCATGTGGCCACCATGCCCGGCTAATTTTTGTATTTTTAGTAGAGACAGGGTTTCACCGTGTTGCTCAGGCTGGTCTCAAACTCCTGACCTCAGGTGATCCACATGCCTCAGCCTCCCATAGTGCTGGGGTTACAGGTGTGAGTCACTGCACCTGGCCAAAAAGTCACCTCTTATTTGACCTAGTCCCTACCCCCAGGGGAGAGGTAGTGCTGAAAAGGTCCATGGCAGAACCGGCTCTGCCTCACTCCAGCAAAGCCACGTGACAGGCTCTAGAGACAAAGGAAGCCTTGGAGCCCCATCTCCTGACTGAAGCATGAGCTGTCTGAGCTTGAGGTGGTCTACTGCTTCCAGGGGACCTCTTGGCCAGTCCAGGGACTTGGAAGAACTCAGTCATGGTGCATTTCATCAAGTCGGTTTTTATTTATTTGTCCAAGTTGGAAGACATTTAGAGATTAGTCCTGTGTTTCTCCAGGTGTGATCATGAGGGATGGCTGGTGAGTGTGGCTGGTGAGTGTAGCTGGTGCTCAGAAACTGAACTACGTATCTCAGAATCACTTGCGGGGGGAGGGGGGAAGTCCCCTTCTAATTCTCTTTCTAGCCCCCCTGAATAATTCAAAAGGAATGTTTCATTTTGGCCAAATATGTCGTTAATATCTCTCTGCCATTTCTAATCTCTTCTTTAACAGAAGAAGAGCAGTCCTTATGCTGACAGCCATTAGCAGGTGATGGGATCCTGCTACAATTTAATAGCGTGTTTTGTTTGCGTTGCAATGACTTTTTAAAAAAATTAGGGAAAAATATTGTAAATCAAAAATAAAATTCTAAGGTCCCCCAACCATCTGAATGGACTTCCTCCTCTGCCAGGGCACTGTTAACATTTAACCTGAAAGACTAGTTTGGGTCATGATGGGAAGTAGGGGTCAGACACGCCTCATAGCTCTTCGGCACTAACATCTATCCAGACCTTAAGTCTGAGAAGAAGCATTTACAATCTATTCTCTCTGAAGCCTGCTACCTGAAGGCTTCATCTGTACAATGAGAACTTTGGTCTCCACAAGGCCTTATCTTCACCGATAATAAGCCCTCTATCTATCAGTGATATTCCCTTTCTATTGATCCCAGGTCTTTAGATAAACTCAACCTATTGCTAAAATTTACCTATAACCTGGAAGGCCCCACTTCAAGCTGTCCCACCTTTCTGGACTGAAACAATGTATTTGTTAAATGTAATCCCAACACTTTGGGAGGCCAAGGCAGGTGGATCACCTGAGGTCAGGAGTTCAAGATCAGCCTGGCCAACGTGGTGAAACCCCGTCTGTACTGAAAATACAAAATTAGCCGTGAGTGGTGGCAACATGCCTGTAATCCCAGATACTTGGGAGGCTGAGGCAGGAGAATCACTTGAAGCCGGGAGGTGGGGCGGGGGTTGCAGTGAACTGAGATTGCCCCATGGCACTCCAGCCTGGGCAAAAAGAGCGGAAACTCTGTCTCAAAAAAAATTAAAAAAAAAAAAAGCATATTTGATTGAAGTCTCCTATCTCCCTAAAAAGTATAAAACCAAGCTGCACCCTGACCCCCTTGGGCACATGTTCTCAGGATCTCTGGAGAGCTGTGTCACGGGCCATGGTCACTCATATTTGGCTCAGAATAAATCTCTTCAAATATTTTCCAGAATTTGACTCTTTTCGGCAATAATATAATAAGATTTACCATTTTAACCATTTTTAGGTGTATAATTCAGTGGCATTAAGTACATTCACATTGCTTTACAGCCATTTCCGCTATCCATCTCCAAGTTTCTAATGACTCCAAACTGAAACTCTGTATCCATTAAAGAATAACTCTCCATTACCTCCACCTCCTTCCTCAGGGCCCAGTTACCACCATCCTACCTTCCGTCTCTATGAATTTGCCTATTCTAGGTACCTTGTATTCCTGGAATCATATATTTGTCCTCCATGTCTGACTTATTTCACTCAGCATAATGTTTTCAAGGTTCTTGTATATTGTATCACGTTAGAATTTTATTCCTTTTTAGAGCTGTAAACTGTTTCATTGTGTGTGTGTGTATACCATTCTGTTTATCCATTCATCTGTCAATGGACATATAGGTTATTTCCGTCTTTTGTCTATTGTAAATAATGTTATGAACATGGGTGTACAAATATCTGAGTCTCTGCTTTCAATTCTTTTGGGCATAGACTAAGGAATGGAATACTTCTAAAGTCACTTTCTACAATATATAATACTAGTTAAAAAAATTAACCAGAGTAGTGATATAAAGTGAAAACAGGTCACCTTAAAGAATATTATTAACTAAATGTTATTATTGACAGGACATAGATATGCCACAAATCATAAAGGTATACTCAAATAGCTGAAATCAGGGAAATCCTGATGTGGTCCAAGCCTGTCTCATGCCTATGAGGAATCTGGGATCTGGGAGGGAGCGTAATCTTGTGTGGACCTCTAGTTAGAACCAAGTGATCCCCATGTTTACGAAGAAGATGAAAGAGCAAAAGGAAGCCGAGTGCATGACAAGGGACAATAAAAGAAGGATATGCATTTTTTTTTTTTTTTGTGATGAAGTCTAGCTCTGTTGCCCAGGCTGGAGTGCAGTAGTGAGATCTTGGCTCACTGCAACCTCCATCTCCCAGGTTCAAGCGATTCTTCTGCCTCAGCCTCCCAAGTAGCTGGGATTACAGGCATGTGCCACCACGCCTGGCTAATTTTTTTATTTTTGGTAGAGATAGAGTTTCTCCATGTTGGTCAAGCTGGTCTCGAACTCCTGACCTCAGGTGACCTACCCACCTTGGCCTCCCAAAGTGCTGAGATTACAGGCATGAGCCACCGTGCCTGGCCAGGATGTGAAAATATTTTCCAAAGTCTAATTTAAGATTATGAGACCCTTTTAGAATTAGGTAGAAATTAATATGAATATAAGGATAACAAAAGAGCTTTAGGATACTGTAGGAATTCACCAGAGATATTCTATACATTTGCTTCTGCTTAGAAATCTTCACGAACTCTGTAGCAGGACAGTGAGTAATAGCAGGATATGGGATGGAGACCTGGAAGAGGCACATCCTCTGGGGCTTTACAGTGAAAGACTTTAGTAAGTAACATCCAATGTGATGGAGAGAAAGCATACAAGATACAGTGAAACTTTATCCCCCCCACCATAGGGTAATGTAAGTAAAAAATGGTCCAAAAATAACCAATTGTAGTGAATGAGCATATTTTAGAAAGAGACCACAAAATAGATGACAGACACACAAGAACACAGTTAGTATCCATTTGCATCTCCCCACTCTTTACATCTCCATTAGGGTGGGGATCATAACCTCTAGCACATTGTCTGGCACATAATAACTGCTCAACTAATGGTCGCTGGACTGTTCAACTGAAATGAGTGTGTAATACATGGATCTTTTGCTGGAAAAAAATTGCAACCTGTATATCCTAGTTAACCCCCCACAAGATTATTGGACAGCTGGTAAATATAAAACACGTGTCTAAATATCTGTATTTTTTGGATTAATTTTTAAAAAAACACTTTAGAATCTGGAAACATGCCAGTCAAAGAATCTGGTGAGAGACCAATGTAATATGTTATATAGCAACATATTTAAAAATATTAAAATACTTTAAAAATATTAAAACCCAGTAACATATAGCCAGAAGGGAAAAAGTTAAAGTCAAACATAAATAATCTCCTTTTGGGCATTGTTCAGGAAAGCTCTATTTAGATGCCAAGTACATCTAGAAGGACTTGGCAGAGAAGTGTCTGCTTACCTTTCTATCAGACCTTTTGGGGAAAGGTGGTCTCCAGCTTGTGTATTTATAGGGCAGTATATTTTCGTGAGGGCTGCAGCTGGCTGGAGGCTGGCATCTCTGAGGAGAACAGGGCTGCATGCCTCCTCTATGATCTGGAAAGGTTAAATTCACATTTCAGTGTGATTTTGTGACTGGTGCAGTCTGTCCCCCACCTCCAGAAAGGAGCTGAAACCCTTTGCTCCTTCCTATATCTGTGAGGACCTTCTTGGTCAACACCATATCAGCTCACTCAGTGACCTTAATTCTCTCTGTTTTGTTCTCTACCTGTAGCTTTGCCCTTCCTCCTCTCTTTCCTTAGGGCTCCCAGAGTCATCTTTTTTTTTTTAAATTATTATTATTATTATTATTATTTTATTTTTTTTTAAATTATACTTTAAATTTTAGGGTACATGTGCACATTGTGCAGGTTAGTTACATATGTATACATGTGCCATGCTGGTGCGCTGCACCCACTAACTCGTCATCTAGCATTAGGTATATCTCCCAATGCTATCCCTCCCCCCTCCCCCCTCCCCACCACAGTCCCCAGAGTGTGATATTCCCCTTCCTGTGTCCATGTGATCTTATTGTTCAATTCCCACCTATGAGTGAGAATATGCGGTGTTTGGTTTTTTGTTCTTGCGATAGTTTACTGAGAATGATGGTTTCCAATTTCATCCATGTCCCTACAAAGGACATGAACTCATCATTTTTTATGGCTGCATAGTATTCCATGGTGTATATGTGCCACATTTTCTTAATCCAGTCTATCATTGTTGGACATTTGGGTTGGTTCCAAGTCTTTGCTATTGTGAATAATGCCGCAATAAACATACGTGTGCCTGTGTCTTTATAGCAGCATAATTTATAGTCATTTGGGTATATACCCAGTAATGGGATGGCCGGACCAAAACAGAGATATAGATCAATGGAACAGAACAGAGCCCTCAGAAATAACGCTGCATACCTACAACTATCTGATCTTTGACAAACCTGAGAAAAACAAGCAATGGGGAAAGGATTCCCTATTTAATAAATGGTGCTGGGAAAACTGGCTAGCCATATGTAGAAAGCTGAAACTGGATCCCTTCCTTACACCTTATACAAAAATCAATTCAAGATGGATTAAAGATTTAAACGTTAGACCAAAAACCATAAAAACCCTAGAAGAAAACCTAGGCATTACCATTCAGGACATAGGCGTGGGCAAGGACTTCATGTCCAAAACACCAAAAGCAATGGCAACCAAAGCCAAAATTGACAAATGGGATCTAATTAAACTAAAGAGCTTCTGCACAGCAAAAGAAACTACCATCAGAGTGAACAGGCAACCTACAACATGGGAGAAAATTTTCGCAACCTGCTACTCATCTGACAAAGGGCTAATATCCAGAATCTACAATGAACTCAAACAAATTTACAAGAAAAAAACAAACAATCCCAGAGTCATCTTTTAAGAATGTAATTCTGGGCCGGGTGTGGTGGCTCATGCCTGTAATCCCAGCACTTCGGGAGGCCGAGGCGGGTCGGATCACCTGAGGTCAGGAGTTTGAGACCAGCCTGGCTTACATGGTGAAACCCCGTCTCTACTAAAAATACAAAAATTATCCGGGCATGGTGGCGTGCTCCTGTAATCCCAGCTACTAGGGAGGCTGAGGCAGGAGAATCGCTTGAGCCTGGGAAGCGGAGGTTGCAATGAGCCGAGATCATGCCATTGCACTCCAGCCTGGGCAACAGAGCAAGACTCCATCTCAAAAAAAAAGAATTCTGATATGATTTCCTTTCCACCTAGAAAAAAATGTAAATGATTTCCTTCTGTCCATAAGGCTCTGAATGGACTGTCTACTCATATTTCTCCATCCTCATCCTGATTTCTCTCCCAATTGTCTACTCTGTTCTGTGTGTAATGAACTCTGTTCCTTTTCTTAAACATGACAAGTTCATTCTCTACTTTGGAAACACCATTTTTTTTTTTTCAACTTGAAAGAATAACTTCAAAAAATGAAACATCATCTTTTTTAACCCAAAGAATGACTGACAAACTACTGTTATTCCGACTTGGATATTTGACAGATATGTTACTAAAAATGAACAAAGTGAGCCTGACACCTCATGGAAAACAAGCGGCAGTATCTGTTACTGATCACAAAATCAGACTTTGCAAGTGCAAACTGGAATTTGAGGAATCTTGTATCTGCCACTGTAACATAACAGAAACCCAACATTTACACTTTTCTACTGTGGTGGGTGGTGCAAATGTGATTTTAAAAAGATATTACATAATAGCATATATCAACAGTGGCAGACCTGTTTATGTCTATTATCTATTATTTTCCAAGTGATCAATGCATGATGCTGCACAGTCCTGCCTGGATAAAAGGTAAATTCAAGTACAAGACAGACCAAGGGATTTTACAGTAGCAGAATATAAAAAGTTCATTGATAGGGCTTTGATTTCACATGACACCTAAGCTTTAAGATGCTACCACTTGTCAAATGTTAATGTGGTATTTTCTCTATATACCTCAATCAAAATAACATATTATCATTGCATGTCTTTCCAGTCAATAATAATAAAAATTTTTTTTTTTGAAATTTAGAACACAAACATGGAGTGAAGTATAAGGAGGAATACCAAGCAAAACATCTGTGAATGTTTTGGTAATTTTAAGCAAGGAGTAACTATTTTAAAAACATAAAATCTTTAGGATATATAAACATTATGTAAGTAAAATACTAGGCAAAAATAACATGAAATGGAAAAGAGGTAATCAGTGTGAATACAGAATTATAAGCTTTTTAGTTGTAATTAATTCTAAAAAACATAACCAAAGTTACAGTTATGGTTAGTAACTTAACAAGAACTTTGAAAGGATGGGTTGCTTTTGATCCACTAAATTTTTGAGATGAAATATTAATTAAACATTAGCAAATACATGCCATTTTCCATAACATTTAGATTATATAGGCGCTAATCAAAAAGCCAAATTTATCTCTAAGTTTACTAAGAAGAACACTACTTCTGATACACTGGCAATTTTATTCTAATGAGACCAAGGATTGTAGCTTTTTTTTTTTTTTTTCTGAGATGGAGTTTTGCTTTTGTTGCCCAGGCTGGAGTGCAATGGCACAATCTTGGCTCACTGCAACGTCTGCCTCCTGGGTTCAAGCAACTCTCCTGCCTCAGCCTCCCGAGTAGCTGGAATTACAGGCGCCCGCCACCATGCCCAGCTAATTTTTGTGTTTAGTAGAGTCAGGGTTTTGCAATGCTAGCCAGTCTGGTCTTGAACTTCTGATCTCAGGCGATCCGCCCACCTCGGCCTCCCAAAGTGCTGGGATTATAGGCGTGAGCCACCACGCCTGGCCAGGATTGTAGCTTTTAATGTTGAGCCTAAGGATGTTTGTTGTGAGGGCTTATTTGTATCAAAATATTTGTTGCAGAAAACTGTTTGATCACTTACAGTTTAAATTACCTTAATTATGGTTAGTTATTTTCAGCCATCAATTTATATCTTCAAAAATAGGAATAAAACTAGAGCCATTCCTAGTTTTAAAATGTTATTTTATAAATAAAAGTTTAACTTTCAAACACAATGAAGAATCTGCACCTTCAGAAATAAAGCATTCTAAGTTTTTTGTATTGTTTGAAAAGAAAATATGAATTTCAGATAGTTAAAATTTTAGCATGCCATTATTAAAAATATTTAGGATAATCAAAAGAAGACTGATACTGGAATGTACAACTTCCAAGAAAAAGAAAGAAAGGAAAATAAAGGAGAGATGAATCCAGTATACAGCAGGACAAAAAAAAAGTCAATACAAAGTAGGACAAATAGGAGGCACAACATAATATAAAAACAGACCCCAAAATATCAGTAATCAAGATAAATATCAAAGGTGCAAACTTACCTTTTAAAATCAGTTACAGATTGATTTAAAAATTCCAGTTATGTACTGATTGCACTTCTAACATATAATGACAGAGAGAGTAAAAGGATGGAGACCTGTATACCAGGAAGATCCTAACCAAGCGAAAGCAAACAGAGCTGTACTAATACACAATAAAATTGACTTGAGACTTATTTAAATGGCCATAATTAACTTTCAACGTCGATTGAAGAAGTAGGAACATACTCAAGAAGGGAAAATAACCATTTTCGGTATTTCCTATCACTTAGATGGTGTTGCATACATAATAATGTTCAGTGATTATGAATTTTTCATGATATTGTGGCAACTGATTTATTCTTTTTTAACCTTCAGTGCCTTGCTTGGATATTTTAAAAGTCCTCCTTGAAAAAGAGCATTTGGAAACAGCTATGCATTTGTAGTTTGTTCAGAGAATGACTTAAAACAAAACAGAGCAAAGAAACAAGAAGAACAAGTTTGCCAAGTAAATTTTCCCTGAAAGCCTGGTTGTATCTTTGTTGAATGAATGAATGAAAGAAATTCTGACTATGTAACTCACTATAAGTATTTAGTTGATTTTGTTTTAAAATAATCAAAGCAGTTAATCTTTGGAATTTTTTTTTTTTTCTGAAAGAAAACATTACATTCAAGTTTTATAACCCCATGAAATAGGACTCTCCTAACATGGAGAATGGAGGGTCAAGGAAATGAAGCCACAAGACAAGGAGAGGAACATTGGGACTAGCATAGTGGAGGTGCACAATAAATTTGAGGGAGAGTAGCCTAATAGAAAAGGCATGGGTTGAAAAACCAAACTGATATCAATAATTACTAATATTTAAAATTCTTATGCATTATAGATTAAGCTCTTAGCACAGTGTCTGATCATATAACCACTCCATCAAGACTAGCTGTTGAGTGTTGCTAATATTGCTAGAGAAACACAGTTCTAGACCTCCCTGTTGTAACTTAAAATAAAGCATTTTATTTTAAGCAGGTAGTCAATAAATATTTATTAGAAAAATTTAATTTACCCTTATACACAATTTAAAACATAATTTTATAGGAAAAAGAGCCATCTATTTTAAAGCAAAAAGAAAGCATTGGTGAACAAACACTAAAAATGAAAACAGATGATCTACAATCCCAGACTTAGAGAATAACGTTGTTACTACTTTGGAATATAACCAAAACTGGGGCCTCTTCCAACATGTCAAAATATTTTTTTCTCTCCTGAGATCCACTTGCTTGGGATCCTAATAGTTTAACTTGAATGCATTTATCAAAGAATTGAGCCAAATCTGTTTATCAGGCAGTCACTGAACAAGAATAACTGAACTTCCCCAAAATTATTTTCTCATTTGTCAAATAAGTATAATAACGTACAACTATGGAGGTGTAAATTTCACTCTGCTGCATGAATGCCCATACCTGATGCATTAGAGAGCTCATCAGACTTATAATTCTAGGAGTGTAGAGACTGCGTGTTGTTTTCTGCCTACTTAACATCACCAAGTACTGGTGATCCAGGCATGAATTCATACCCAGTAGAATGAGTATCGGTTCAGTAGCTGATGGAGGAACATTGCAGGGGTGCTTAAGCACTGGTTAAGAGAAGGTGGGGTGGTCTTCACTCTGCATTCTTGGGGCCCAGCCCAATTTTTGGTACAAACCATGTTCTTGTGGGTGTTTGTTTACGAAAACAGGAACTAATGAAGCCTCAAACATTTCCCCATCCATCCCAGGCTTCTTTCAGCAA
Source organism: Homo sapiens (assembly GCF_000001405.40). Taxonomy (NCBI): domain Eukaryota; kingdom Metazoa; phylum Chordata; class Mammalia; order Primates; family Hominidae; genus Homo; species Homo sapiens. Next base: position 10,519,153 of record NC_000004.12, read on the forward strand.
CCTTGTTTCCTCTGAGATGAAGTGAGATGAGCTGAGAGGAACCTAAGCAACCCCAGTACAGATGATCTACTTACAGCCCTGGGGTGCTTGACTGGACTCATATCTGTGAAGGCCATTTCCATCACTCCATTCCATTCTTCAGTTGCTCTTTATTTTTTATTTGTGCATGATTTTATATTTCAAGTTAAGATTCTGGATTTCTCTCTAAGCTATGATTCTGCTTCCCCATCCCTGCAACAAAACCTCCATAAGTAAGACCTCTTCTGGGCCCAGTCAGCCCCTGGACTTTCCTCCTGGATGCTCCAAGTCTTTCATCTTCATCCACCCAGATCTGACCTTTAGGACTCCCATTCCTGACATTTGATGACTAGGGATTGATTTCGTTGGGTTTATTTTAGCCCTCTTTGGGCACCTTTTAAATAAAGGAATCTTCTGTTGGGAAACGCATTAGCAATGTGTATGTGAGGGGAAGCGAATTTATCAGCTTGGTTTTCCAGCCTCAGGCCCAGATGGCATATGGCAGAAGTGACTTGAAGTCATGATGGAAGCCAGCGAGACAACCCATAGGCCTACTGAGGCCATTTGGGTGGGAAGAAGAAAAGAGAATGCAGAAAAGCAAAAAAGGACATTAAAATGTATCAGTTGCCTACTACATGGCAGGCAGAGGGCTGTGTGTGTGTGTGTGTGTGCAAATATTATATTAATATGAATATGTCAGTTAACATTACTACTTGAATTTTATGAAAAGGGAAAGGTAAAGCTCAAAGAATTAATTTGTTCCAAGTGATCTTACTATAAAGAGAGAGATAGAATTAGGAGCAGGATCAGTGGAGAACCTCATCCTCTCCACAATACCCTGTGGGCTTTGCTTCCTCCAGGCTTAAGCCCCCTTTTTTTTTTTTGGCTCAACAAAGAGAGATTCCAGTGCTAGATGTCAACACAGAATCTTCATGGCACACAGAGTGAAAAAAGGAAAGACAAATGAATATGATGGCTCTAGTTTGCACAGAATAACTAATAGTATCAACACCCACCACTAACAGTCATAGAACTCTGTATTTATATGCCACTTCAGACATCGCCGCAGATGTGATATCCTTCTGATTTTTACTTTACAAACAGTTACTAAGAGGTGTCAGTTTTATTTTCTTCATTTCACAGATTTTTTTCTTGAGACAAATTTGTTTTGCACCCAATGGATTGGGAAAAATTAAAAGTTTGTCAAAAACAACTGTTGGAGAGGATGGGGAACAATGGGGACTCACACACTGTTGGTGAGACTAATTAATGTCTACTTCGGAAAACACATCTAGGGCAGTTGAAGAGATGTGCATATCCTAAGACAGAGCAATTTCAGTCTTATGAAGGGAAATGATCACATTTTATACATGGGACAACATCTATACTAGTGTTGATAGCATAATAATATTCACAAGAGGAAAAACTAGAAACCACCTAAGTGATCATATTTAATCATGGAATAAAATTATTGTCATAGTAACGCAATGGAAATGAGCTAATTACATCTGTACACATCAGCTCAGTGGCTCTGGGGTTCACAACAGCTAAGTCACAGTGCCACAATATCACAGTATCGTGACTTACCTGTTTATTTTATAATTCTGAAAGTGCTCTTACCTCTGTTTTGCACACTGTGGTTGCTTGTCGTGAATGAAGAACTATAAGAAAATATGTTAAAATTCAAAGAATGTTAGTATTTCCCCTTGGTGGTAAAATTCCACTCAGAGGCAAGGTCAATGATAATAGCCTGAAGTCACAGTTATAAAGCACTTTATATTTTACTGGATATGCTAGAAGAATCATTTGTTTTGAAAAGCACTAGGAGGCATGTTATCCTCCTTTCTCAAGCTGGCTATATTAGACGTGGAACAAACTGACCATATAAGTTCTTCTCATGTCTTTTCAGTGAGCACGTATCATTATTCTTTACTTTTTGAAGCCATGAGTTTAAACTTGCTTTGTAGCTACAGTCACTATGGAAAAGAACATTTTGCTGGTGGGGGCTCATAATCTATAGAAACTATTTACCAATTGAAAGTCAACCATAAAGTGGAAGAAGAATATAGAAATTATTGTATTCCTTCTAGAAATTTGTGCTGAGTAAGAAAACTTAGTGGATTATGATAAGAAAAACCCCAAAGAAAAAGAGATTATAAAACTATAAGACAAACAAAATAACAATATGCATTTCTAAATACAAAAATGATATTATCAAGACTGTTCATCAGTGGCTTTTCTTAGCACTCTACTTAATACTTAGCTCTAATTTTCTGGTTCATTTTGTATTGTGGTCAGTATCATCAACATAAGCTCCAGGTGCTACCACAGTTAAATCTAATTACATGAGTGATGCTCTATTCCAAGGACTGTGCTATTGACTAAAGCCTCTGGGTTAATTAAATGAAACCTGATCCATTTCTAGTGCCAATGAAATCACCTGAGCATATATCTGGTTTATGTTGTCACCATAAAAGCCTGAGGTCATATGTCTTGCTTTGTGGATAAAAACGCAAGCAGTTCATCCAGCCACCATACTATGCTGTCACCGCCAGTCAGACTGCTACTGAAATTCAAGATTTGACTCCGTTAAAACCAGAATCCTTTTACTAGCAGCCAGTGTACAATTCTGTTAAATGTCTGGGAAAAAATAGGGAATAGCAAAATTTCTCTGCGCTAATAGTATAGGATTTTTAGAAAATGTTGAAAAGAATAGAAATATCCTCTTGAGGATATTCTAGAAGTACATAGTTGATATGAATATAAGGGGAAAAAATAAAAACAAAATAATGAAAATGAAAATTAAGTCTGGGCGTGTTGGCTCACGCGTGTAATCCCAGAACTTTGGGAGGCTGAGGCAGGCGGATCACAAGGTCAGGAGATCGAGACCATCCTGGCTAACACGGTGAAATCCCGTCTCTACTAAAAATATAAAAAATTAGCCGGGCATGGTGGTGGGCACCTGTAGTCCCAGCCACTAGGGAGGCTGAGGCAGGAGAATGGTGTGAACCTGGGAGGCGGAGGTTGCAGTGAGCCGAGATCGCGCCATGGCACTCCAGCCTGGGCAACAGAGTGAGACTCTGTCTCAAAAAAAAAAAAAAAAAGAAAAAGGAAAATTAAAGGCCTGGCACGGTGGCTTACACCTGTAATCCCAACACTTTGGGAGGCCGAGGTGAGCAGATCACCTGAGGTCAGGAGTTCAAGACCAGCCTTGATAACATGGTGAAACCCTGTCTCTACTAAAAATACAAAAATCAGCTGGGCGTGGTGGCATCTGCCTGTAGTCCCAGCTACTTGGGAGGCTGAGGCGGGAGAATTGCTTAAACCCAGGAGGTGGAGGTTGCAGTGAGCCGAGATCGTACCACTGCACCCCAGCCTGGGCAACAAGAGTGAAACTCTCTCAAAAAAAAAAAAAAAAAAGAAAGAAAGAAAATAAAAATGATGACTCTTTTGTTTAACAAACGTGTTGAACACTTACTAGGCACATGGTATGTTCTGGGGAATAGACAATAAAGAAGACATGGCCTCTGCCTGAATGAAGCTTAGTTTATAAAAGAAACACATCCTTGTATCATAATTATAATGTAGAATAAATGTTATGGTAAAGGTGTGCACAGCATAAGTTTCTGTAGTAGTAAAAGGTCATGTAAATGAAACAAAATTGCTTTCGTTCTCAGGAAAGGCTCTGTGGGAGAAAGATGAACCGAGCTGACCCCTGAAGCATGAATAGGAGTAAGGGTGTATTCCAGGCAGGTAGAGCAGCATGTGCAAAGGCCCAGAGGCAAGGAGCCATGGCCTTTTCTGCAAGAGACCAGAAAGCAGTTCCTTCTAGAGGAAAGGGAGGGTGTGGAGATGATCAATATTATTAGAAGGCTAGTGCAATAGTCCAGGTAAAAGTTGATAGTGGCTGGGCCATGCAAGGAGCTAGTCAAATGGGGGAGAAATAGACACATTCAACACATGTTTTAGAGATATAATTTTGGGAACTGAAAATGGGTGGGATAGGAAGAGTGACGATGGGAAAGAGAGCTTACTGAGTTTACCGGGATGAAAAGCTTTGCAGAGGATATTATGGGTTTCAGAATGGGACTAGAAATGAAGAGTTCGATTTCCACCATTGTGAGTCTGTGCTGCCTGGGACTGAGCTAAGGAAAACTGCTCACTGGGTCATTAGATACACAGGTCTGGAGCTGAGAGAGGTGATTTGCAGAAGATAGGGATTTGGGAATTATCAACATGGGGTTGAAGTTTGATGCTGGGGATGGATGTGATTACGCAGGCCTTAGAGATAGTAAAGAGACCTTGGATGAACTCTGACGAATACCAACATTTGGAGGTCAGTTTGGGAAAAAGTCCAAGATGAGGAATTAGAAGAAGCAGCAGCCAGTTAAGAGAGGGAGAAAAATCAAGGGTCTTTATGTAATAAATGAAACAAACAAACAAATAAACAAAAGAAGTGAAACCACATCAAATAACTATTACAGAAATGAGGCCAACTGGAGAGCTTGTTATTTTTTCACTATAATATAATGTGTACATTTTTTACTTTTAGAAAATTACATTAAGAAAGGGGGCCAGGCATGGTGGCTCATGCCTGTAATCCCAGCACATTTGGGGGCCAAGGTGGGTGAATCACTTGAGCCCAGGAGTTCGAGACTAGCCTGGGCAACATGGTGAGACCCCTTCTCTACAAAGAGTACAAAAATTAGCTGGGCATGGTGGCATGTGCCTATAGTTCCAGCTACTCTGGGGGATGATGTGGGAGGATCACTTGAGCCCGGGAGGTCAAGGCTGCATTGAGATGTGATTGTGCCACTACAAGACAGAATAAAACCCTGTCTCAAAGAAAAAGAAAGAAAGAAAGGAAGAAAGGAAGGAAGGAAGAAAAAACAAAAGAAAGAAAGAAAGAAAAGAGAAGAGGAGGAGGAGGAGGAGGAGGAGGAGGAGGATGATATTGTGGTATGGGGAAGAGTTTTGTATTTAAGCTGTTTGGGACTTAAACACCAGACAGTCCCCAAAGCACAATGAAGCTACATGTCCTAGTACCCACAGGCCAAGAAATGAGAATAAAATTACTGAAGGTGCCAAATGGGACCAGAGAAGAAAGTAAAGGAGCAGAAAGGCATAGGGTATGGTGATCATGCCCCGATATACAGGGCCTGGCAATAGCAATGAGAGTGAATGTTCGTTGGGCTCTTGCAACATGCCTGACTCTGCCCTAAGTTTCTCATGTAATACAGTGAGGTCGCCCAAGTCACATGGTTCACTGCTGAAAAAGTCAGGCAGCCTGGCTTCAGTGGATCCTGCTTAACCACTATTCTGTTCCACCACAAACATAGTACATTCCCAGTAAATAATTATTGAATCAATTAAAGGGAGCTTTTTAGCAGGCACCAGGGATAGTCAGGATTTATGGGCTGCATTTTTAGACTCAAGTCCTTATGGGCAACACTGGCTACTGAACAGTGCTTGGGCTTTGAGGTTGGGCTTGGCTTCAGTGGTAAAGGGCTCGGTCTTTCCCAGCTTCATGTTTTTCATCTGAAGAATGGAGGCAAATTATCTCCTGGATTCATTAAGCTTTAAGCTGGGGTTCCATGGAGGAATAGGAGTGTTCCAATAGGGAGAGGGTGGAGAGGAGCAAATACGGGGGGAGGGGCTACAGGCAGGAGAGTGGTGTGTGCCAGTGCCATGCATTAAGTGGCATTGTGGTTGCTGGCAGGCATCTGACGAGGCTGCAGTGCCGAGAGTGAGAGGAAAGTGGCTTGAACTGAGGTCAGAGCCACTGGCCGGAGTGAGATCATGAGGGCCTTACAGCACTAATACTGGAGGCCCTGGATTTTGTTTTAGGGCAGTCACTACTAATTTAGTGACTTTGGTCAATAAATATCCTGACTGAGCCTTGGCTTCTTTTCTTTATAGAGTGTCACTCTGTCGCCCAGGCTGGAGTGCAGTGGCGCCATCTTGGCTCACTGCTAGCTCTGCCTCCCGGGTTCACGCCATTCTCCTGCCTCAGCCTCCCGAGTAGCTGGGACTACAGGCACCCGCCACCACACTCGGCTAATTTTTTTGTATTTTTAGTAGAGACGGGGTTTCACTGTTTTGGCCAGGATGGTCTCGATCTCCTGACCTCATGATCCACCTGCCTCGGCCTCCCAAAGTGCTGGGATTACAGGCGTGAGCCACCGCGCCCGGCCAAGCCTTGGCTTCTTTAACTCTTCAGTTGGATTGACAGTTGTCACAATAAGCGGAGCAGGCAGGTATCTAATCTGATGATGGCATTTTCAACAACACTTGGTCTTCTAGCCATAAATTGCTGTTCAGAAGTAACTAAAGCTTTGGTGTGGTCATCAACCCTGAATAGTTTGAAACAACAAACTTTTCCTCCCAGGTTGATTAGCATCTTTTCCCGTTAATCCTATCTGGTTAATATTTAATCCTTAAAATTTCCCAAACTTCTTTAACACTCAATCAATCATTTATAAATTTCCAAAAGAACAACATTATTAACATCAATAACAGCTGTGATTCACAAGTTTCTCTTGAGCCTCATTATTGGGCTTCAGAAACAAAGACTTTCGTTTCTCAGAAAGTCTTTGTGATCATTTATCTGAGACAGCACATGGCCTGACCCCTCAGCCTCAGACCTGAGAAAGGATTCCTGGCTCCTTACCTGCTAATGGCAAGTGGAATCTCTTGAGTATTTTGGTTTTCTAACAGATGAGTTGATTCAGGCTTCCTCTGGTTATGAGGAACTATATAAAACAGTGACATAATTTGGTCAGGTTGCAAAAGAAAAATAATTGAGAACCATTAGAAGCCCACTGGAACTACTATAATTTCCTCCAAGTAATCTCTGATTATTAGAAGGGGGCTCTTGATGGTCGGTGGAAACTATAACTCATGTATTCTACGGCTCTTCTGGCTCCTCAGAATGACTTTTGCTCTGAGGTTATAAAAATCACTTTTAATATTTACAAGCTAGAACACATCATTGAACCTCCCAAAAATACAGAATATTACATTGGAAGGTATTTAGGGATTATTCTGGACCCGTGATTTTAAAAGATTTTTAGCTTCCTCCTCATTCATTCATTCATTTATATCATTCGACAAACATTTACTGAATAGCTACTATGGGACAAGTACTCTGCCAGAGTCTGGGAATACAGTGGAGAAAAAGACAGACATGGTTCGTACATTCTAATGAAAGGAAACAGAAAATAAGCATGCAAGTAAGTCGATAAGAACATTTCTATTAGGCAGTACCGATGATATAAAGGAAATAAAGTACTACTTTGGGATACAGAGTGACTATACGTATGGCTAAAAAAGACCTTTCTGAGAGATGGCATTTGAGCTGAGATCTTAAGAAGAAGAAAGTTAAACAAAAGGACTGTTCTGGCAGATGGAGGAGATTGGGGTGCACAGCTCGTCATGGCGCTTGTATTCTCACGCCCTCTTGTGACAGGGCAGGTGAGCTCCTAGGGTTCTCACGTAGACCAGCAGTCCCTAGCTAGGTTCCGACCAGGGATACAGTTTCTCAATTTTTTCCCCCCTCGATCATCAAGTTTTTAAAAGTTCTGCCAACCATACAATCTGGAGTTATTTAGTAATTACATATGCAATTTATGTTCCTGCTTTTTATTTTCTTTTCATCACAGATAGATTTAACTAGCCATCCAGAATTGCCAAGGGCACATCATAATACTATGATATAAAATCTCATAAAACACTCTCCCAGCTGTGACCGTAAGTAATAAAGCTAAGGGTGCATACAGGCACCAACATGTTTTAATTGTGCTTGTTGCTCTGTACTCTGCCCAAGGTTCATCACAAACTGGATACCTTTGATCGAAGGACCGTGATTACTTGAAATGTGAGTCAGTGACTGGTCCATGAATCATGCATCCCATAAAATCATTTCATGTCATCAATAGCGACCCAGAGTATCTGCCCCTCTTGAGCTGAACAATGCCACATTGTTGTGTTAATAATCATTGTTGTGTTGCCTGATGAAACAGTACCTGAACATTTTAGTTAGGAGGTTGAGCTGTATTGTCGGAAAGGGCATGGTTTCAGTTAGGTTTTTGAATTATTTAGGCCTGCCAACAACTCCTACTCCTCCATCAGGGACCCATGGGGAATCCATAAACCCAAGTTAGGCCTCACTTCAAGTTTAGCTTTGTCAATATGCAGAGAAGAGCAGACCTGAGCCTCACAAATGAAATACAACTTGACCAAAACCACTCAGTGATTTGGTGGCAGGCCTCTGAAATCCTAACCTAATGTTGCTCTGTTGAACGATGCTGTCTTTTGTGAACTCTTTGGGCTGTGATGCAGGCCCTTTGGCTCTGGACATAATTCATCATTCTAGAAGAATGGAGAACAGTATTTCACAGGTGAATATGAAAGTACTACCTGCTTAGCATCCTGCCATTTAGGATATGAGTGACTGTTGGATTGCATGCTTGCATAATGACACCAACACTTTAGAGGTATGGGCACGTGTGTACATGTATGTGTGTGTGTGCATGAAAGAGCCACGTGTGTGTGCATGGGTGACATCAGAGGCAGAGATCCCAAGAGCTTTTTTGGAGCAGGGGACTAGTTATGTCTTTCCAAAGTGGCAGAGGGTGACAGTGTAATGCCTTTTGGACAGTAGCATATGGCTAAAGAAAGACATCTGGCCTATCCTGGATTTAAATCACCCTGTTTAGACTAGAGGACTCTGAGGTCCTGGGGATGTATGTGTGTGCATCAGGATCACGTCATCGTTCACACACATACATCCCCATCCCAGGCTTCCAAACAATCAATCCTTTTTAATAACCATGAGCACTGTAGATCTAGAAAGAGAACCTAGTCTATTAGTATTAGGGTAAGAAAACAAATGTAAACAATTCACCTTTTTCTGCTTCAAGGACCTGTATTGAATTAAAAAAAATAAAATTTACTGACTCTTGATGACAGAGAATTTAATATAACACCATGTGTGTTTTTAGAGCATTTGGTTGGCAGACTTTTGGTAAAACTTTTGTTAGCATAGTTCGTAGTTTTAAAAAAATCTACAAATAATTCTTCATAAAACTAAACAAAAATCAAAATTTTGTAATCAATGTGCGAAGGAACAGACAAGTCCACAGTCGGCTGATGGGACTATCAATTGCTTTTACGCTTTTAGAAAGGAATTTACCATAATTATCAAAAACCTTAGAAATACTCTTATTCTTATCTCAATAATTCCATTGATGAGACTCCTTTTCTAAGATACAACCTGAAATCTGAGCCAAGTTCTATGCACAAAGATGTTCATTGCATCATTACTTTTACAGAGTTAAATCACTGGAAACAATCTATGTGCCCAGATAACTGAAAATTAATTTTGGTGCTATACTCACTTATTGGAATATTATAAAGACATTGTAAGTATTTATGTAGAGAATGAAATAAGATTATACTGTAAGTAGGCACCCATGTTACATTAAAAGTTTGGAATAAAAACTGGACCCATGATATATTTTTATGCAATTATATTTTATATCCATGTATATTTGTGTGTATGCAGAAAAAATGATTTGAAGTGATATGATAAACTATTAAAGGTTGTACTTAAGCAATAAGGCTACGGTTAATTTTTTCTTTATACTTGCTCTGAAATTTCTATTTTTAAAAATAAGCATGGAAATATTCACATTATCCTTTTTAAATGTAGCCATTTATCTTCCCAAACATTTTCTTTCTCTTTCTTCCTTATGGTGGTAGAATTCTTGATCATCCTTCATTATGGAAATGTTCATGCTTATTGGGCTTGTATCTTTGGGCCCTATTCTACTCTACCCTTGAAGAAGCAAAAAGCATTACAGTAGATACAGTGTTTGCTGTAGTATTTATTTAACTGCAAATAATTTTATGAAGTCCATTTATATATTGCATCAGTTGAAGAAGACCTCAGGTATCATTTAGATAAGAACTGCTTTAACCAGGGGGATGAAAGAGATCATTGAATGGCCTGATGGGGTCCATGAACCTTCTGCAATGAAAAGCTAAATTTTTTTCTCTATAAGTATGTGCATATATTTTTTCTTTTTCTGGGGAGATAAAGGTTTATTATACCTTTCATCAAATTTTCAAAGTAGTGTGAGGTCCATTAAATGTTAAAAACAGTTGGTTTACAGATGAGGTCCCAAAGGGTCATGCCATTCTCCTAGATTCCTGCAGTCATCTGAAGGCTAAACTAACCCTGAGCCCAGCTCTCCTGACTCATAGTTGCTTCATAGATAAGAAACTTTTGGCAACAAATTGCTTAGAGAGGCATTGTATGCCTCCCTCTGAAGCTAGCCAACAGAGAAGGCTTTTTGTTTCAAAGACTTTGGCATTCCCTAGGATTCTGGAAAGAGGACATACATTTCATTATGGACAGAAAATCAAAGAAAATCTATAGGCTAAGTAAAAAGAGTAATGAATCCATTCTAGTGGGTGGTTTGAAAGTATCCCTACTGAGTCTCCCCCAGGACTTTGAACCTGGCTGTTCAAAGTGCTCAATCGGATGCAGTGATTGCTCTCAGGCTTGTCAAAGGGGAGAGGAAGAGGAGATGAGAACAGTGCAGAGAAGCCCTCTATCTGGGGGAGCAGTTGTTTTATTTAATTGAGACCAACCAACTTTTGGTTTGAGGGCTCTGAATTTAAAATCAAATGTAGTTAGAAAAGTAGCATGAAATTGCTCATTTTTCTTCTGTAACTTTTTTATTGTTAGAAAATAAACATAGTCAAGTTAAATAGTAGTATCTCTTTTATTACCTCTCTCCCTCTTTCTCCTTCCTTTTTTCTTTTCCTTTTTCCTCCCTCCTTCCCTTTTCCTTCCTCCCTTTCTTTCACCTTCTCTGCCCCCTCCTTTCATTCCTTCCTTCCGTATTCTTTTTAGTTATTTTAGTTCAGAGCTAATTCTGTATTTTTTTTAAGGCAGAGAGACACGGCGGTGGGGAAGACACCTAGACTTCGGGATTTCCAGGACTGGCCCTATCTCCTGCTGGGTGTGAGGACTCTGGCCAAGTTTGCCACCTCTCCGGGGTTTCATTTTTCTCTTAGGGCTTTGTGAGTACAAAATGAGACAATGAGTCTTTCCTTTCTGTGAAAACTATAAAATGCCATATGAATTTGAGCAGAGGGAGGTAGCACATAAAAGATTCTAGTCCACAAGACAGTGTTCAAGCAAGCACTGAGCGCAGGCACAAGCACAGCTTGCCCTGATGGGCTTTTGTTATGAAGAAATGGTCTTGAATCTCAGCCTAAACAAACAATGGGGAAGCGTCTTGGCAAAAGATAAGGAGCAAGAATGTGTTTTTGCACTAGACCTTCTTGTTCTTTAGATGATATCAACTTCTAGCAGAATGCCAACTAAAGTTGCAAAGAAAACAAACAGTTCTGCACATTTCCTGCCATCTAAGGCTGACCCCCCATCTCCCAATTCTTTTTTGCCTGTTTGTGATTGGAGGGCCTACTGTCCTCTCAGACTGACCAAAGGGTTATGATTTGCGGTCATCGTCATCGTGAGCAGCACCCAACTACTACTCGAGATACCCAGGCCTAGCTTACAGGAAGCAGGGGACGGAGTCCTGTATTCAGGCACCTTGGATGTGTGGGTTCCCCCAGCAGCTGAGCATCACCCCAGCCTGCTCCTTCCAGGTGACACTAAGGAAGTGCAACCCCTCCCAGAAGAGCATGAGCCTGGTGAAGTCCTCAGTGGAACCAGAACTGTTCTTCTCGTCAAGCAGTTATCTATGTTATCTTTCTTGGCACGATTGTCTTATGGATTAGGGAGATTAGGGGTAATAAATGTCTCGTTTGAGTGACAAGCTGGAAATGTGACTTTTTGATTTTAACATTCTCATAAAACCAACAAATGAAAAAGAAAGCAAGGAAAGACATTCACGTCTACTATATAGATAAGAGCATAGGTCAAACACAAAGACAAGAACAAAATTCCTTAGAGTCCAGTGGGAGTGAGGTGAGGCCACTTGTGTTGTTGGACAGTCTTCATCAGTCATGGTGACCCCACTATCCTCGTAGGGAACTTTGTCTTTGGGCACTGAAGGGAGTCAATACCCTTGGAAGGCTCTACTATAGGTTTATCTCACATGACTTTTATGCCATTTATTTAGCCTCCACTGATCACCTGGCCATTTGTGCACTACTTACTTTTGACTTTATCACATCAACTTTGCACAGAAATGTACCCATCCCTATTTTATTTTATTTTTATTTATTTAATTAATTTATTTATTTTGAGATGGAGCTTCGCTCTTGTTGCCCAAGCTGGAGTACAATGGCATGATCTTGGCTCACCGTAACCTCTGCCTCCTGGGTTCAAGCGATTCTCCTTCCTCAGCCTCCCGAGTAGCGTGGCTGGGATTACAGGCATGCGCCACCACACCTGGCTAATTTTGTATTTTTTGTAGAGATGGGGTTTCTTCATGTTGGTCAGGCTGATCTTGAACCCCTGACCTCAGGTGATCCGCCCACCTCGGCCTCCCAAAGTGCTGGGATTACAGGCGTGAGCCACTGCACCTGGCCCCCATCCCTATTTTATGGCTGAGGAAACAGAAACTGGGATGAGTAAGAGCATTTTCTGAAGTTCACAAAGCGAGTAGGTGGCACGGCAGGATTCCTACCCAGGTCTTGTGCAACTTTGGATCTCATATTCCTTCTACTTTGCATTCCTGTATTTCTTATGAAGGACAAATAGCAAAGTGCAATACCATTTCTAACACTTGATTTCTGTAATGCTGAAGGCTGGAAGCCATCAGTCGATACTGTATATCTTCCATGTGGAACTGGGCACGTTCTTCCTATAACAAATGAACCCTGAATGACCATGGTGGCCAAACAGGATCTTGGTTTAAAATCTGGAGCTAAGCTTGTTTTACTTTGGCTTTCTTATCTTTAAAATAGAGATACTAATGCATTTTGAGCATAGCTATTGTGAGAACTAAGTGTAAGTATCTGAAGCAAATAGAATCTTGCCTATTGCAGACATTTAATGCCTCAAAATTCCCTTCTTTGCTTCCAAGGATAAAATTGCTACTTACCTCACTTAAGTCCCTTAAGCTTATCTGACTGCAAGAAAAAGAAATACGGTGTTACATAAAACACAGTTCATAATGACCAAGATAAAATCATTCTGAGCCTTACAAACCTTTCATTACATTTTCATTGCCAAATTAACAGCCCATAGTCCAGTGAGATATTTATCACTCTTCCATAAAACTAAAGCCAGGTTATTTTTCTCATAATTTTCTAAGGAAAAGACAAAGTTAAGAGCCAAAATAAAAGGTGGTGATAGAAAGGACATGAATAAACGTGCATCTTATTTTGGGAGAAATTAAAAAATCATCATTTCTCCTGACATTTGATTTCCTACGTCAAGTTTCATTGGCACAGTCAGACCTATTATTAACTTGGTTTTAAAGCTCTTAGTTTTTCACTTTGAGGGAACATAAAGAGTTTTCAATATGAAGCTGTCAGGTGCAGTGGGGTCTCAGGAAAGCAAGTGTAAGAGAGAATGCTGATAAAGAACGAAGATCTGAGACAGGAGAAAAACATAAAATTGAATGGTAGAGAAAAAATCCAACATGGAATTGAATAATATGAATTTTGGAAAGGTCTCTGACTAAACTTCAAGCTTTTCATTTTATCAGCAAGTCAATTAACTTCTCTAAACCTCACTTTTTTTCATCTGCAAAATGGCAACAAGAGTGCTCATGAGTGTTAATGTGAGAATTGCTAGAAATAAAAAGTAACAAAGTTGGGGCCTGGTGCAGTGGCTCATGCCTGTGATCCCAGCACTTTGGGAGGCTGAGGCAGGCTGATCACTTGAGCTCAGGAGTTCCAGACCAGCCTGGCCAACATGGTGAAACCCTGTCTCTACTAAAAATACAAAGATTAGCCGGGTGTGATGACACATGCCTGTAGTCCCAGCTACTCGGGAGGCTGAGGCAGGAGAGTAGCTTGAGCCCAGGAGGTGGAGAGATTGCTGTGAGCTGAGATCATCCACTGCACTCCAGCCTGGGTGACAGAGCGTGACTCCATTTCAAAACAAACAAACAAACAAACAAAAAACAATGTTGGGCATTCAGTGTGCATCGTTGTCAGAATGTGGTCAAAGTTTGGTGAAGAAACTATGAAGGGAGTGGAGTGAGGGTATATGTTCCACTTCCCCAGTTCTGTCAGTGAAAACACTGGATCTGAAGAATATGGGAGTATTAAGTGTGCAACACTGATCACAGTTGAAGGCTATTGATCTAGAGTTTTAGGAGTCAGGCTATATCAGGATTCCAGAAACACACAGTACTCAGATGCTAGATCCCAGTGTCGGATCTGCAAGCAACAGGCAACTGTACCAAGGTTCCACGGTTTTAGCCTCTTACATCTTACCCCCTGCCTCCCGCTTTTAGTTGGAAACCTGAGAAGACAAAAGAGATCTGAATAGAGGTAATGAAGTAGAACAAACACCCAGAGTATTAATTATTTTGGGGTTAAAATGTGGCTAATCTCAGTATTTAATGTTTAAGAAGCCAGTGTATTAAAGATACTGAAAGATTGGCTGTAGGGCTTCAATTTAAAATGTAGATTTGAAGTTACAAGTGTCAAGATGTGTTTGTCTCCATTTTAAAGAGTTTGAAGTGTTTAAGATAAATTAAAATTTTCTATATTTATACATTTACTTTCTTGGATTTACAGAAATTGTTAAAGTTTTGCTGGCTAGCATTTAAACCTACCCTGTCAACATTAGAAGTACTTAAAAATCAAAGAAATTAAATTTATAAATATATTTCAAATATTTAAGGAGATTTAAATGAGTTTGTTAAACAGTTTTACTAAGATTCTTTAACCTATTTGACTTGAGTTGGTTGAACATTTGTTGAAGACTAAGCAGAGTGATTGTCTTTCTGTTTGGATAAAATCACCTGATTTATAAATAGAGCAGTGCACTTTATAGATGGAAATCTGAGGCTTCAGGAAAGCTCGGGTTTGGAATTTGCAGCTTTAATCAATGGAATTTTCACTGAGAACCCAAGTGATTGTAAGAAGGCATTTCTGTGTAGACCAGAGTTTCTTACTCTTTGAGAGCTTTGAACACATGTGTGTCCAAGTTCTGTCTGCTGAAGATGGCGAAAAAAACCATGGTCATTAATTTTTTTCACATTTTTTCCTATGCATAAGAGGTCCTCATTATAAATGTAAAGATATTACCTTTTACTATAAATATAGGTCTCTCCAGGAATGCCTTAGTTTTTGGCTTAGTTTTAAATGAATTGAATTTGATTCTTGCTCTGTCATCTGTGGGCTCTGTCACCCTGGATAAGTTAAATTCTCTCTCTGAAGCTTAGTTTTCCCACCTGTAAAACTGATAAATCTAGACAGTAGTGAAGAGAATTGCTGAAGATTCTAATGAAAGAATGTGACGTGAAAGCTATTTGGAGTGAAATAACACTCTACATTTGCAGAACATTTTAATGTTCACATTTGCTTTGAAATTAAACTTTTTATCCTGAGATAAAATTATGGATTTTTTATCCTTAGATAGAATTATGGATTCCCATGCAGTTGTAAGAAATAATACAGACAGTTCCTATGTGCCCTATACCCAGTTTCCCCCAATAGCAACAACTTGGAAAACAATAATAATGATGTTTATACTTTAAAATCAATACTTTCCATTCATAAATACAAATGTGTATATCTCTATAACCATACTTTCTCTTTTAAAAGACCACGGTTTCTCGATATCTATAAAGACTTTTTGTTTTCACTTCCCAAATCATCAGAGCATACATTTTTGCGACAGAGATTGTTTGAATTGATGTGATGCCAGCATTGCTGGTTGTAAAGAGAAAACTGGCTGGCCGTGTTGCTTCACACCTGTAAATCCAGCACTTTGAGAGGATAAGGCGGGCGGACTGCCTGAGGCCAGGAGTTTGAGACCAGCCTGGACAGGAGTGTTAGAGAGACCCCTGTCTCTACTTAAAAAAAAGAAAGAAAGAAAGAGAAAGAAAGAAAGAAAGAAAGAAAGAAAGAAAGAAAGAAAGAAAGAAAGAAAAAATGGAAAGCCATAGTTAGGCAAGTGGGTGTTTTGTTTCTTAAATATTGGGTGCTTCATTTAAATTATATTTTGGCTGAACCCTGCACCTTTGGCCATTGAGTGTACTGAAGCTTAAAGGACATATGGGACAATGAACCCTCGATTTCTTAATTTTTATCAGTAAATTGGAGATAGTAATTTTTTTACAGTGCTGTTGTGTGACTAAATGAATTAATACATATAAGATCCCAAACCGGGCCTGGTGTGTAGTTACGACTCAGAAAATGTTGTTGATTACTCTTGCTGTTACTCAGGATGATTTTATTTGGTGCATGGACCACGGTATTAAAATTACAATGGATTCGTAGTAGAAAAGTTATTCCCTTTTTAATTGTCTTTCAGATTATGTCAAAGAGAAAGGCTCAGTGCAGTGGTTAGTAGATATGAAACACTGTTCTAATATTTGCTTACCTTCCCTTTTATCAGAGGTAAAATTCCCCAGAGCTCAAAGTTTTGTTTTGAAGCTATCTGTATTGAAGTTATTTATAATAATTATATGTCTTTCTTTTAAGTAAATTTATTTAAGTTGAAAAAAATGAGCAGAGCAGAAAAAATAATTAAGTACATGGATATTGTAAAAATCATAATAATGGTACATAAGTGGCTGAGAATGTCCAACCAACATTCTCCAAACTTCGAAGTTCTCTTCTGGTTTTGAGTTGTCAATGAATGACTGGGGTGACGTTTTCCTTTACTGAAGTGCTTCAATTCAGTAATTGTTTCGTGAAACCAAGGCTTAGCTTTAAAAAAGAGAATAGCAGAGCTGGCAGAGACAAATGGGGCCTGAAACACAATAGCTGGAACCACAAAGACCATCCAGGGTGAGCACAGCCCACTGCAAAAGGCTGCAGCTGTCTAACTGCCTACCATTGATACAGTTGATTGCCAGATGTAAATCATGGCTTCTGCCTTAGGGAAGGCAACTCATCTCACTCACAGTGCCTTACCAACAGCTGGCAGAGACGGAGCAGGCACTCTCCTGCATGGTTCGGCTGCAGAAGCTCTGATTGCCAATGTTCCTTCTGTTTTCAGAGCAATATCCTTCTGTGGTTGATTACATGGGACTTGGGCATCACTAATGATGATATTACCACCCATGTGGGCCCTGCTAAAAATGAATTTGAAAGCACATCTCTCTTTCAGAGGCAAAGCCATGTCATTTATCGTGGTATCCCCAGTGTCTCCTATGGGGCTGTGCAGGTTTTTGCCCCATCAATAGTCAAATGTCAACCCTGTGACTTTAAGTTACCTAACTTCTCTGAAGCGTGGTGACCTTAGGTGCCCAGTGAGTATGGAAGTACTATTTATTGGGCACATGTGCCATCCACTGGGCTTGGTACTTTACTCTTCTGAGGCTTAGGAAACATACTTTACAGGGCTGCTGGAAAAATTCAATAAGAGAAAATATAATTACTCTCTTGAGGTGTTTTGGTGAAGAGATCCAGCACAATTCTCATCACATCTAAAAATGATTAAATAAAAGTAAACTGTAACTACAGGAACCCCAGAGATATCAAATGCCAACTTCTAAAGATGTCAACACCACCAAGACAGTAACCCAATAGACCTGTGTGGTTTGTGCCCGCAGAGGGACGCATTTGGCAATTGAGTGAGCATTATGTTAGACTCTGGAAACTCAGGCATAGATAAGGCTTAAATACCTTCAAAGCTTTTGTGGTGGATGTATTCCTCGAACTTGGTTCCCTCTGGGTTCTTAGCCCTGTCTGCATATTAGCTTCACCTGGGGGAGCCTTAAAAATTCTGATGCCCAGGTCTCACTTCAGAGCAATTAAAATAGATACTGGGGATAGTGCTTTAAAATAAGCTTTCCAATTATTTTAGTGTAAAGCCAGGATGATAACCACTGTATTAGAAAATACAGCCTCTGGCTGGGCACGGTGGCTCACGTCTGTAATCCCAGCACTTTGGGAGGCCAAGGCGGGTGGATCACCTGAGGTCAGGAGTTCGAGACCAGCCTGACCAACATGGTAAAACCTCATCTCTACTAAAAATATAAAAATTAGCTGAGTGTGGTGCCACACAGCTGTAATCCCAGCTACTCAGGAGGTTGAGTCAGGAGAATCAATTGAACCCGGGAGGCAGAGGTTGCAGTGAGCTGAGATCACATCACTGCACTCCAGCCTGGGCAATAGAGCGAGATTCCATCTCAAAAAAATATATACAGCCTCTATTTCTAGAAAAATACAGAGTTATGGATTCTGGATACCTAATTCTGCCGAGAACAGATGGGAGAAGCTGGTTTCCTTCCTCTCTTCATCCCTCCCTCCCTGTCTTTCTCCCTTTCTCTCTCTCTTTCTTTCTTTCTTTCTCTTTCTTTCTTTCTTTCTTTCTTTCTTTCTTTCTTTCTTTCTTCCTTCCTTCCTTCCTTCCTTCCTTCCTTTCTTTCTTTCTTTCTTTCTTTCTTTCTTCCTTTCTTTTTCTTTCTTTCTTTCTCTCTCTCTTCCTTCCTTCCTTCCTTCTCTTGTTTGTTCTTTCTTTTCTTTTCTTCTTCTTTTCCTGTGCTGTGACGGATATTATCCTAGGCACTTTACAGGAATGGCATACCTTATCATCATCATTTTATCATACGAAGATGGTTATTTTCTTCTTATAAATAAGAAAAGAAAACTCAGAGATGTTAAAGAGCTTTTCTGAAGTCATACTGCCAAAAGTGGCTCACCTGGGATCCAAACTCATTGCTACTGGGTCCCAAGATACTGTTCTTTCCAGCATGAGGAAACAGAAAGAAGATAAAATGCTTTTTTCTCCACACTGAACAACCTCATCATCTTCAATATTTTATTTTAGTTTATATATTTATTTTTTTGAGACAGTCTCTCTCTGTTGCCCTCTGTCGCCCTCTGTCGCTGGAGTGCAGTGGTGCAATCTTGGCTCACTGCAACCCTTGCCTCCTAGGTTAAAGCGATTCTCATGTCTCAGTCTCCAGAGTAGCTGGGATTACAGACATACTCCACCCCACCCAGCTAGTTTCTGTATTTTTGTAGAGATGGGGTTTCACCATGTTGGCCAGGCTGGTCTTGAACTCCTTGCCACATGTGAGCCGCCTGCCTCGGTCTCCCAAAGTGTTAGGATTAGAGGCGTAAGCCATTATGCCTAGTCTCAATATTTTATTAATCCTATTTTCTGTCTTCTTACTTCTCTGAGGTTTGATCAGTCCTTTACGTATTAGACTATTTGGCCAGGAGTTTTAGGAATGCTGCATTTTACATTTCCAACTCTGATAACACAGCTTCATGGGTTGGATGGTCTGTTATTATTGTTGCCTCCCAGTTTCTCACTCTTTGAAAATGGAAATCAAAACAGAGCAAATCTGCTTACTCCTAGTCTGATTAGGTTCCTTTGAAAGCTGCAGAAGGAAATTTATATTTATCCATCATCTACTATATTTCAGGTACTGTGCCAGGTTATATGGGTACTGAAATGAGTCAGTTCCTCTTCCATCCCTTCCTGGGCTGGAAGAAACAGACTTGTCAATTTGTTATATTCTATGGGGCAACATAGGTACCAATGGAGAAGGGCCCAAGGTAATAAAAGTGCAATAAGTGTTGGTTAAAAATAGGTTGGTTAAAAATAGTGTTGGTTAAAAATAGGTTGGTAAGAAAGTGCAATAATTGTTGGTTAAAAATAGGTACTGTTTCCCCTTTGCCTTCTGCCATGATTGTAAGTTTCCTGAGGTCTCTCCAGAAGCCGAGCAGATGCCAGAATCATGCTTCCTGTGCAGCCCATGGAATTGTAAGCCAATCAAACCTCTTTTCATTATAGCTTACCCAGTCTGAGATATTTCTTTATAGCAATGTGAGAACTAATACAAACACAGACCATTTGAATCGAGACTTGAGAGCCTCTATTCCTTCCCATGCTGCCATGGCAGTTGAAAGGGGGACAGAAAAGGAGGGCATTCCATGGGAGAGACAACAAAGAAGGTGTTTCTTGGAAAACTTATGCTTGTGTGGGGCTGTAATGGAGGAAATGGTGAAGAGACATTCGCCACAGAAGGAGGAATGACATTTTAGGCTATTTAATGTTCCCCATTAGAATCAGTGATGAATGAGTTTCCCATAGAAGCTCAAAATGAGCCTATCCTGAGTTTTTGTATCCATGAGAAATGCTTTCTCACTAAATAATGCCTGTGCCCCAAACTGCTGATGCAAGCTTGAAGAAGGATGAAAAATAAGAGAGCATCCTTCATTCTATGCAGAAACAAGGAGGAAATGCTGATCACTTTTCTGACTTTCAAAATAAGGTAATTTTGGAAATTTAAACTCTTTTGGGAAAATGAAATATGCTCACTCGAGTTTGTCACATTCTGTGATTAGCACCAGCTGCCAAATGTCCCACACGTTTGGGAATGAAGAGCCATCATCAGTACTTAATATCAGAGGGATGGTTTTATAATATTTATTTTTCATAAAGGCAATAATGTTTTTGACAAAAGAGTTTTCAAGCATGGTTATATTTCTCCAGCCTGGGTGATGGGAAGCTGGGGGCCAATATTGGTCCTGGAATAATCTGAATCCCCTTTCAGTTCTTACATAAAATATGCTGATTCTGTTCTGGCATTTGACATTTTCTTTATTAACTAATTCAGGCCACAAGTGAGCAATTCTTTCAATAATAACTCATTTTGTTACAGAGAAGCTATATTTCCTGCAAAGAATCAAAACACAGGTTTCTAGAATTATTTTCTTCTAGGTATAACTGGTTAGGCTTTTGTGTCCCCACCCAAAGCTCATCTTTAATTGTAATCCCCAGGTGTTGAGGCAGAGGCCTGGTGGGAGATGATTGGGTCATGGAGCAGTTTCCCCTATGCTGTTCCCATGTTACTGCATGCACTGTCATGAGATCTGATGGTTTTATACAGGGCTCTTCGCCATTTGCTTTGGACACAGGTTCTCTCACCTGCTGCCATGTAAGACATGCTTGCTTCCCCCTCCACCATGATTGTAAGTTTCGTGAGGCTTCCCCAGCCATGTGAAACTGTGGGTCAATTAAACCTCTTTTCTTTATAAATTACCCAGTCTTGGTTATGTCTTTGAATGGACCAATACACTCCCCACCCATTAGGGAGCCTGCTCTGAAAGGTACTTTGTTTGGTTTCCCTTGTCCCCCTCCCCCACACCCACACTCTTGCTGGTCATTTCACCATTGATGATGAATCTCTCACCTGGGCATTCTCTGGACTTCTGGAAAGGTGTGTCTCTGAGATAAAGGTGGCCTGCTGCTCTCCGGCTCAGGGGGCAAGGGTTGGTACTTCTTCGGAAGTGTTATGAGAGGCCTGTGTGGAGAGTCGCAGTAGGGTCCTGAGAAAGTTTGCTGCAGCAGTGATGCCTCAGGCCCTGAATCCACACTGCTCTGCCCTCCGTGTCCCCAGCTTTGGGTTGAAAATGCTAGTTTTTGGATGCTAACTGCGGAGCAGACCGATCTGGTCTGGCACTGTTTTCTAAAGGGCGTGACATAATTTTCTATGGGGAGTCAATGTGCTCCTCCATAGTGCACCTGTTTTGGCTTTAGGAGGCCTGTGGAGAAAATGATAACAGCCTTCCATTCATCCCAGACTGGCAGACCTGAGTTTTTAGAACTACCCAAATAAATATAAAAAAAGTGGCCAGGCATGGTGGCTCACGCCTGTAATCCCAGCACTTTGGGAGGCTGAGGTGGGCGTATCACCTGAGGTCAGGAATTCAAGACCAGCCTGGCCAACATGGTAAACCCCGTTTCTACTAAAAATACAAAAATTAGCCAGTCATGGTGGCATGCACCTGTAATCCCAGCTACTCACAAAGCTGAGGCAGAAGCATCACTTGAGCCCAGGAGGCAAATGTTGCAGTGAGCTGAGATTGCACCACCTCACTCCAGCCTGGGCGACAGAGCCAGACTGTCTCAAAAAAAAAACAAAAAAAAAAAAACCCAATAAGAAATATAAAAATGTTTGAAAGTCAGTGAATGTCTCACTCACTCATATGTTATTCACCCATTCACTCATTTATTCATAAGTTTATCAGGTACTTTAGTAGATGCTGGAGATATAGAGAGGAAAAAGATACAGTTTTTGGTTCAAGCTGCTTCCCTCTAGCAGGGAAGAGAGAGAGATGAAGAAATGATTGCCAGAGAATGTAATGCATACTATGGCAGAGGTGCTCACAGGTCCCAGATAGAGCAACAAGAGTGGCCAGTCACTCAGAGCCTCTGCAGCTGTCTGTTGCTCTTTTCTCCATAGAGATGTATAAATGTAATAGTATTTATATTTATATATGTGTCATATATATATGTATATATATATATCTCACATGAATATATACTTAATATATTGTTCCCTGAGGGCATATCCCATTTTCATATGAATCTAAGCCTGCCAGAAGTATACGCAGCAATACCATCCAGCAGATTTCTGTACTGAAAGAAAGGAGAGGAACAGAAAAAAACGGGAGGAATACATTCATTGAGAAATGAGTGAAGGTATATTGAATAGATAACTGTGAATGAATGAATAAATGATTAAATAGATGAATGAAGGCTTGTTTAATCTTGTTCATTGAACATCTCATATTAGTTTTTTTTTTTTCCACATCCGTCTCTCACTCTGAAATCATATTAGATTTTCAATGTCAAATGTTTGTGTTTCTCTTTTTCAGATGCTGGCACAAATTATTTCATTGTATAGCGAAAAAAAATGCTATTTTAAAGTGTTTTACCGAGGAGGTGGTAAAGGAATCTGAAAAAGAAAAGAGAAACCTAAATTAAGTTTATTGTTCTGTGAGCAGGGCCAATGGCTAACAGTTTTTTGGTTTACAAATAGAAATTACAAATTGTGATCAGACTTATAAGACATATTTTTCTAGAGATATCTGAGTTTTTGCATCATCTATATCTCTAGGCTTCTAAAGTAAATAATGAATAACAAATGCATTTTATTGATTTCTCTTACCTTGTTCTTTCTTACGGATGCATCTCCTAAAACATAAGAGGGAATAGCAGTGAATTTATGGAAAATGTCATCAAGCATTGATTTTATACACGCTTACATGAAAATCATTTTTATTTGTAATAATATTGGTGATAACGTCAGTTAATATTTGCTGAGATCATATGAGATACCCAGAATAATGCTAAACTCTTTAGTTACGTGGTCTTATTAAATCCTCACCCTTGTTCGGTTAATGAAGAAACTGACACACGGGGAAGTTAAATATCTCACCTACACTCACCCAGCGAGTAAATGGTACAATGAAGATTTCATTGCACATCGTGTGACTCTTAAGACCCCTTTGAAACCACGGATTCCTGTTTACGCTTAATGTGCATGTGTATATGTGTGTGTGTGTGTGTATGTGTGTGTGTGTGTGTGTGTGTGTGTATATATATATATATACAATTCAATTTCCTGCCTACCACCTTCATGGGGTATTTCCAAGCAGAGGAAAATAGCATCACAGATTTTTCAAAATAGAATAATTTCTGAAGACCCCCAGAATCCAACTTCTTTATTTTATGGATGAAAAAAAAAACTAAGGACAAACTAGGTGGGATAATTTCTCAAGGACAATTAACCTTAGAAAAATCCCAAGTAGAGCCTGGAACAGATTTGTCTGAACTCTAGGTAGTTCTATTTCCATAATTCAACTCAATGTAATTATCGAGCTTCTACTCTGAGCTAAACACAGTACCAGGCACTGGGGAAAAAAGACAAATACAATGCGATCCTTCCTGTCAAGGTGCTCCTAGCTGGGGTGTTCACAGGCCAAGCTTCTGGCTCTGGGGATGTGACACTGTGAAGATGGCTGTCACCGAACATGTTGCCATAGGCTTTATACCTTAGTGGGTAGACCGGCATTGAAGGCATCATGAACAATCTGATAAGGATGTCAAGTAGAGAAGGACAAAGTATTAAATGAATATGTGGGACACTTAAGTTACTCTGGGTTGTCAGAAGAAGGCTCCTTGGAAAAGCAATGTTTGATTATCTCTAAAAATGGGCGTGGTGTAATAAATGCTATTTTATATGGCTGTTGGGGAATCAGTGAGAAAATGTCTATCTTTTGTTATAGGAGACTTAAACCTCCACTGAACACCGGCTGGGTGGCTTCACACTGAGCATCCTTTGCTTTCCTCATTTGTGAGACAAGGAGGTTGGACTAAATCAGTGATTTTTAACCATGTGCTGAAGAGCTTCCTGCACTGTCCCCTGGAAGTCCCGTGGTGCCTGGGCGCAGGGGGACTGGTTACTGGTTCACCACCCCATGTCATTAAGGGCTTAATTTCAGCCCGCTCTCCACTGCACCGCCTGTTTAGATTCCCCTTGGTGAAAGGTCCAACTGGCACAATACAACACAACACAATGCAACACAGCACAAACTGGTCTGTATAATTTTAATGGCTCTTCTATGTCTAAAACAATTACTTCAAAGAATAAGAATAAAATTACCATTCTTCCTTTCTGTTTTCATTTTTGAAAAACACTTTTGAAATAGGTAGGATTCACTTCTTTATATGAATTCCAAACACTGATTGCACACAGAAATAACTGATGTCCTTGGCATTGTGAAAACACAAAATATGACCCAGGATCTACTTCAACAACAGCAGCAATCTGGTTAACATTAGATCTTTGACTATTTCAAGGAAATCACAAAAAAGCTTAGGCCACATAATGCTTGCTTAAGGGACAAAATTATAAAACATAAAATTAATTTCCTTTCATCTTATTGTTTATTGGCTTCACCTCCAGAGCTCCCTGGTGGACCATCTTGCTGCCTGTGTTGATGACTTTCCCTGCAAAACTAGATGTTGGCTTTCCAAGAGGTCTTTTTTCACTCTATCTATTGGGGATCAATTCAATTCACTGGAAAAAGAATTCAATAAAGAGACTGAGTTCCTGTAATTTAATAGGAAAATTCCCTTTGTGGTTTTCAAGATATCTACCCAGTTTTCTTCAGGGGTTGTGAGTTTAGAATAGGACATCTATCTTCTTTTATTTCATTGATTTATTATTGAGCACATAGTATGTGTTAGGTATGGACTCATTTTTAATATATGCATTGATGTAGGTGTTGGGGGGTATAACACCAACAAATAAAGTTGCTATTCCCATGAAGCTTACATTCAGTGGCAGGAGTTAGGAGATACATAAACAAAAGTATAAATAAACGTTCATGGGTGATGACAAGCACTATGCAGAAAATAAAGCAGATTGGAGGACAGCACGGTGCGGAGAGTAGGAGCTGGGGCTACTGTGTTTTAGGCTGGTCTGAGGAGGCATCTGTGGTTAGGGGATGAAATCAGAGGCCTGAGGACAGCGAGGGAGCATGTCCTGTGGATATCTTGGGAAGGGGATTCCTGACAGAGGAAACAGCAAGGGCAAAAGTCCTCAGGTGGTGTCAGTTCATTTTTCTGTTGCTTAAAACAGAATACTTGAAATTAGGTGATTTTCTAGAAATTAAGTAAGTCCAGGAACAAAGAGGGGCATGTGGTGAGAGCCTTCTTGCGGGTGGTGACTCTGAGGTGTACTAAGACGGTGCAGGACAGCACATGGCGAGGAGGCTGACTGTGCTAATGTGCTAGCTCAGGTCCCTCTTCCTTTCCTCATAAAGCCACCGGTTTTCCTTCCATCAGAACTCAATAACCCATTAATTCATTAATCTGTGAATGGATTGATCTATTTATGAGGACAGAGTCCTCATCATACAATCACCTCTTAAAGGTCTCACCTCTCAATACTGCCACACTGGGGATGAAGTTTCAGCATGAGTTTTGGAGGGGACATTCAAACCAGCATTCCACCCCTGGTTCACCGAAATGCATGTCCTCACATACAAATATATTCATTCCTCCTTGTAGCCCCAAATTCTTAACTCATTCCACTACCAACTCAAAAGTCCAAAGTTCAGAGTCTCCTCTGTGAGCCTGTGAAATCAAAACAAATTATCTACTTCCAAGATGCAATTGTGGGGCAAGCATAAGGTACACATTCCTATTCTAAAAGGGAGAAAGAGGCAAGAAGAAAGGGATAACAGGCCCCACCCAAGACTGAAACCCAAGAAAGAAGAATTTGGGTCCTAAGGTTCCAGAATAATTTTTTTTTGATTCCACGTCTGGCATTCTGTGCACACTGGAGCAAGAGTTAGGGCCTCCAAGGCCTCGGGACACCCCACCCCTATAGCTTGGTTGTGCTTAGTCCACCCAGCTCTCCCAGGTTGGCAATGCACACCAGTAGCTGTACAGCTCAAGGGTCTTGGTGGCAGGCTCACTCCCATTACCATAGTGGGGATTTTCTGCAGTGGCCTTGCTCCTATGGCTCCATTAGGCATTGCCCTGGTGGGGACTCCATTAGCTTCAACACCACATATCTGCTTTGTATAGCTTTAGTGGGGGCTTTTTGCATGTCTCCACTCCTGTGACAAGTCTCTGATTGGGTCCTCAGGCCTTTGACGTCTTTTGAAATCTGGTTGGAGGTTGCTGAGCCTCCACAGCTCTTGCTTTCTGCAAGCCTGCAGAATTAGCACCACACAGATACTGCCAAGGTTTAAAACTTGTACCTTGCAGAGCTTCAGTACAAGGGCCTCAACTGGGGTTGCTTGAGCCGGGCAGCCATGAAGTGCTGTGCTGCAGTGTAGGAAGCAGAGTCCCAGGGTAGCTGTGGGCAGTGAGCTGGTAGACAGCGCCCCAGTCCTATCCCCTGAAACCTTTCTTCCATCCTAGAACTCTAGGCCTGTGATAAGAGGGCAGCCTCAAGATCTGTGAAACACCTTTGGGGTCCTTCCTCCATTGTCTTGAGGGATAGCATCTAGCCCACTTCTATCCCTGTTAATCTCTTTAGCAAATGGTCACTGGGATATACCCTTGGTTTTCTCCTCTGAAGACTTTTTCTCTATGTGGCCAGGCTGAGTTTTCCAAATTTATCCACTCTACTTCTCTTTTAATTAAAAATTCTGTAAATTATTTCTCTGCTCTGAAATATCAATGTAAGTTGCCAAAATAACCCTGCAGCTCCTTCTATATTTTGCTTAGAATTTTCTTCTGCTAGATATCCTAGTTTATCACTCTCAAGTTTGGCCTTCCTCAAAACCCTCAGGCATAGAGACAATTCATTCAAGTTCTTTGCCAATTTATAACAAGAATGGTCTTTATTCCAGTTTTCAATATCTTGCTCCTCAGTTCTACCTCAAACCTCATCAGAATGGCCTTTACTGTCTATATTTCTATCAGCATTCTTGTCACAACCACCTATCTAATCACTAAGAAGTTCCAAACTTTACTTAGCCTTCTTGTCTTCTAAGCTTTCGCCAGAATTTAAACATTTTCTATCCTGCTCCTACAAATTCTTCTACTTTTGCCCATTACTCAGTTCCAAAGCTGCTTTCCACATTTTCAGGTATTCATTATCAGCAACACTCCACTTCTTGACACCAATTTTCTGTGTTAGTCTGTTTTTTTTTGTTGCTTAAGACAGAATAATGGAAACTAGGTGATGATTTATATGCAAAAGGAATTTATTTCTTTCAGTTGTGGAGGCTAAGAAAACCAAGGTTTAGGGGATGCATCTGGTGAGAGCCTTCTTGCTGAAGGGGACTTACTGCAGAGTCCTGAGGCAGTGCAGGGGATCAGATGGTAAGGCGACTGAGTATGCTGGCTCAGGTGTCTTTTCTTATAAAGCCACCAGTTCCCCTTCCATGACAATCCATTCATCTATTAACCCATTAACCCATTAATCCATTAATGGACTAATTCATCCATGAGGGCAGAGCACTCATGATCCAATTACCCCTTTATGCCTCACCTGTCAATACTGCTATATTGGGGACAAAGTTTCAACATGAGATTTGGAAGGGACACTTGAATTATAGCAGGTGGGATGAGCACGAGGAGGAGGTAAGCCCAGATAGGTGATGGCAGAGGTGGGAGAGTGCCCAGATCACATGGGGTCTTGTACAATGGCGCAAAAACTTTGCCTTAACTGTGGTGAATCTTTTTTAAACCACCTCATTAAGGTATCACTGACATAGAAGAGCTTTACATATTTACTGTACACATTAAGATTGAATTTGGGGATAAGTACATATCCATGAAATCAACACCACCGTCAAGGCCATAAACATATCTGTCACTTACCAAAGTTGACTCCTGCCCTTTTTGTTATTGTTACTTTATTTTATTTTCTTTTTTTGGTAAGAACACTTAGCATAATATCTATCCTCTTAGCAAACTTTAAGTACACAGTACAGTGTCATCAGCTGTAGGCACTATGTGGTAGAGTGGGTCTCCAGAATTTATTTGTGCACCATAACTGAAACTTTGTCCCCTTTAAGCATCACCTTCCTATGTCTCCCTCCTCCTTGCTCCTGGCAGCCACCATTCTACTCTTTGCTTCTATGAGTTTGACTGTGTTAGGTTCCACAAGTAAGTGAGATTCTACAGCATCATTTTTCTGCGTCTGACTTGTTTTGGCCCAACATAATGCCCTCCAAGTCCATCAGTATTGTCATAAATGGAAAAATTTCCTTCCCCTTAAGGCTGAAAAATACTCCATTGTGTGTATATACCACAATTTTTTGATCCATTCATCTGTCTATGGACCCTTATGCTGTTTCCATATCTTGGCTACTGTGAATAATGCTGCCATGAACAGAGTGCTGAGAGCTCTTCAAGATCCTGTTTTCAATTCTTTGGGTATATACTCAAAAGTTGGATTCGTGAACCATAAGGTATGTCTATTTTTAATTTTTTAGAGGAAACTCCATTCTGTTTTCAATAATGGCTGTACCAATTTACATTCTCACCAACTGTGTGCAAGGGATCGCTTTTCTCCATATTCTTGCCAACACTTGCCATCTTTTGTTTTTTGTGTGTGTTTTTTAAGTAATAGTCATCCTAAGAGGTGTGAGGTGATATTTCACTGTGGCTCTGAGTTGCATTTCCTTCATGACCAGTGATGCTGAGAACCACTTCCTATATATGTGTTGGCTACCTGTATTTCCTCCCTGGAGAAATGTCCACCCAGATCCTTTGGACATCTTCCAATAAGGTCACTCATTTTTTAGCTCTTCAGTTGTATCAGTTCCTTGTCTATATTGAACATTAACCCTTATCAGGTATATAGTTTGCAAATATTTTCTCCCATTTTGTAGTTTGCCTTTCTACTCCGTTGATTCTTTCCTTTGCTGTGGAGAAGCTTTTTAGTTTGATGTAGCCCTACTTGTTTATTTGTGCTTTTGCTGCCTGTCCTTTTGGTCTCATACCCAAAAAGTCATTGGCAAGATACAATGCCAAGGATCTTTTCCCTATGTTTTCTTCTAGGAGTTCTGTAGTTTTGGGTATACCCCAAGTTGATTTAATCCACCCCAAATTGATTTCCTTGCATGGTGTGAGGAACGTGGTCCTGCCCTGTGCAGAGGAACAGGTCCTGCCCTGTTCTTCTGCACATTAATATCTAGTCTCTCCACTATTTGAAGAGACCATCTTGTCTCCATTGTGTATTCCTGATGCCTTCATCAAAAATTAGTTTAATCAATGCATGCATTTATTTCTGGGCTCTGCACTCTGCCTTACTTGTGTGCATGTTTGGTGTACCACTGACCACGACAGCCCTGTCATGTAATTTGAAATCAGGAAGTGTGATGGCTCCAGCCTTGTTCCTTTTACTCAAGATTGCCTTGGCCACTCAGGGTCTTTTGTGTTACTCAGGGTGAATCTTTATGATACACTGTCCATGTGTCCTGTGTCTTCATTATAATGTAGGATTATTTTTTCTAGCCTCACTTAGTATTCCTCCCTCCCTTTTAAGATTTTTGTGTAGTATAATATCGGCAATAGTTACAAAAATCCACGGGGATTTCAGCCGCATCAAATATGCCGACTGGCAAGTGCTGATACCATGAGCTTCACTTAATCATTGCTTAGCTAACCAAAATCCTTCAAAGTAAGAGGTTAAGGTGAACTTAAGGAACTTTGCAGGTGAAAAAAACTGGATTGAACAAGCAAAGTAACTTGTCTACCATTATACAGCTTTGATGGTAATTCAGATAAATTCCAGAAAGCTTCTTAAAATTTGGGGGCCTTATTTAATAAAGCAATAATAAATCAAGTATTTGTGATATTTAAAGGAGGGTGAGCTTTGGAACTGAATTTGTTAAGATTGAATCTTGATCCTGTTCATACTATGGGCAGGATCATGGCACGTGCTTAATGAATGTTTATGAAATAAACAAATGGATTGAGGAGTGAATGAATTTCCCCATCTGGAGAAGTAAGGAGTGCTTATTTATACTTCATGGAAATTCATGTGTGGAATAAATGAATTGATGCACTTCAAGGCATGGTTCTTAATGCACAGCTGCAGTTACTACTATTATTATAGTATGAAAAATTAGAGGGAAAACGGGAATTTACCTCCCTAATGAAGTACACAAATATTCTAAAATGCTAGGAAAAGTTCTCTGTCAAACAAGAGGACCCAAACAGTTGTTCAAAGTCTTTCCCATCTCCAGTTTTCTCTTGGAGAAGCCAGGCATGCTCTCCACCTGGTGGTCATAACGTGTAATTAGCACCATTTGCCCAGAGACTCATTGGCTTTGCAGTCTCAGGACAGATCTCACAAAGTTACTGCTTTTGGGTAGGTAATGTACTGAGGTGGGCATAGCATGGTTGCAGAATCCGATGGACCTTGGTTTGACTGTTTCCACCACAACTTATTATGGTGAAACCATGAAGACATTGTCAATATCACCGTGTTCTGGGAGGGTTAAAGTAAGACCTCTTGAAGAAGGAAAAAGAGTTAAGGGATTGTTCTTTGGAGTGGCTGCTGCCAGCTTGCAATGGATGGTTGTTAAACTTTCAGAAATTCTGTGAACTGGCTTTACATACAGCCATTATTAAAAATACATTACATAGGCCAGGCGCGGTGGCTCAAGCCTGTAATCCCAGCACTTTGGGAGGCCGAGGCGGGCGGATGACGAGGTCGGGAGATCGAGACCATCCTGGCTAACATGGTGAAACCCTGTCTCTACTAAAAAATACAACACAATTAGCCGGGCGTGGTGGCGGGCGCCTGTAGTCCCAGCTACTCGGGAGGCTGAGGCAGGAGAATGGTGTGAACCCGGGAGGCGGAGCTTGCAGTGAGCCAAGATCGCGCCACTGCACTCCAGCCTGGGCGGCACAGGGAGACTCTGTCTCAAAAAAAATAAATAAATAAAAAATTACATAAACATACACTTAAGTTACAGCAGCCCTCCACTTATCCTAAGGCAAAATGTTCCAAGACTCACGATGGATGTCTGAAACTGAGGATAGTAATAAACCCTATATATCCTATGCTTTTCCTAAATATACAGACCTATGATAAAGGTGATATGTGACAGCAAAACAAGCACACTTTTTTTTCCTTCTTCCCAATTTCACGGATAGAAGATTCATTTTTATTGTCGATCCCAGTAACCTCAGCATACAATATTTTTTCTTTCCTTTTCAAGTTGAGAACTTCCACCTTTTCACTTAAAGGAATCACTTTACATCTTCTCTTTGGCAAATCAGAACTGTCAGCATCACTGCTCTTGCGCTTTTGGACCATTATTAGGTAAAATAAGGGTGACTTGAACCTAAGCACTGAGATTCCACGCAGCGAATCTGGTGGGCGAGATGACTGCTCAGCAATTAACCGGTGGATAATGGACACAGCGCAACAGAAACACTGGACAAAGAAATGATTCGAGTGAGACTGCTCAGGATTTCATCGTGCCGCTCAGAAACAGCATGCGAGTTAACATTTATGAATTATGTATTTCTGGAATTTTCCACTTGATATTTTCAGACCTTGGTTGAGCATGGGTAACTGAAACTGTGGAAAGTGAAACTGAGGATAAGGAGGACTTCTGTATTTGTTTTTCACTTAGCTACTGTTCAATTTGTGGTAAATATATGCAAGACCACCCCCCCACTTTTTTTGAGACCAAGTCTCGCTCCGTTGCCCACGCTGGAGTGCAGTGGTGTGGTCTTGGCTCACTGCAACCTCTGCCTCCTTGGTTCCAGCGATTTTCCTGCCTCAGTCTCCCAAGTAGCTGGGATTACAGGTGTGCACCACCATGCCCGGCTAATTTTTTTGTATATATATATATTTTTTTTTAGTAGAGTTGGGGTTTTACCATGTTGCCCAGGCTCCTGAGTTGTCTCGAAACTCCTGGGCTCAAGTGATCCACTGGCCTCAGCCTCCAAAAGTGCTGGGGTTACAGGCATGAGCCACCACCCCCTCCTGTAATACCCTTTAACTATGAAATACAATCATGCAATAACACTATGAAATACAATCAGAAATAACTATGAAATACAATCAGAAATAAAACATAAGTATAATGTTCTGTTCAGAGAGCTTATTATGGGGCTTACGGGCTTATTGAACAACTAAATAGCCAGCCCTAGTGTTGAGCACATAGGAGGTACTAAATATTATTGGTTGAATTATGATGAAATAAGCTATATTTCCCCTCTATGTAAAACTGCCTTTGCAAAGATTATATCAGTGAGAGAATTGTAATTTTTTTTTTTTTTTTTGAGACTGAGTCTCACTCTGTCGTCCAGGCTGGAGTGTAGGGGCATGATGTCGTCTCACTGCAACCTCTGCCTCCCAGGTTCAAGCAATTCTCTTGCCTCATCCTCCCAAGTAGCTGGGATTACAGGTGCGCGTCAGAACGCTGGGCTAATTTTTTGTGCTTTTTTATTTTTTAGTAGAGATGGAGTTTCACCGTGTTAGCCAGGATGGTCTCGATCTCCTGACCTCCTGATCTGCCCACCTCAGCCTCCCAAAGTGTTGGGATTACAGGTGTGAGCCACCACGCCCGGCCGAGAATTATAATATTAATAGTAAGCCAAGCTAACTCACTCCCCATCTTATCTTTTCCTTAATTACTCCTGGGCTATTGGGCAAAGCTACCTTTGGAACACATTCAGGCTATAGTTTAAATGATAATAGGACTTGCCCCAAACTCAACCACTTTTGTAAAGCTAATGGGAAGCCATCAGGCTGGGGGGACAAGAACAGCCTGAGTCCAGCTAAGGCGCAGACATAAACGATTGTCAGCCACTATTGCCAAGGTTATAAGACATGCAACTTCCCCAGTTATTCCTGCAGATAACACCACTATTGTAGATCGGCCTTTGGAGATATCTTTCCCAGTTTTTTGCATGCGTGTCTGACACCCATGGTTCCACCTAAACCCAATGCCTCCACCTTAGTGCCAACCTCTCTCCTGTAGCCTCACCCAGAAGTAACTCATCTGCTTGAAGACAGCTTCAAACCCCTATAATTTCATCTCCACCCCAATCAATCAGCAGCAAGCACCTGTTACCTGCCCTCCCATCCCTTCCCCCAAACTGCCTTTGGAAACCGCTGACCTATGAGCTTTGAATGAGACGATTTGTGTATGAACATCTCCCACGTGGTGTGGCCAGCCTCGTGTCTATTAAACTCTTTCTCTACGGCAGTGCCCTGGTCTCTCTTTATGCAGTGGGCAGGAAGAACCCCTCGGGCGGTTACATGTGTACCCATTTTCATCCTGCATTATAATCTTCTCTGTCCCTTCCATACAAGCAGCTTTTACTATACCAATTTCATGTTTATTATTAATGGCCTTTTCTTCACATTGTGATGTAGGATATGGAATTAGAAAAACTAAGTAGAAAAGAGAGAGGGCAAACTTATCACTGTTCATCGCTCCCCCAGGGACTGGCAGGAAGAGGAGGGGGGGGCATGCAGGGGCGGAAGCATTTACGTTCACAAGCTGTCTGTAGATGTGGCTTTCATAGATTAAGGAATATCCGCCCCAAACAATGGATCATTTATAACACCCGATAAACTACTCAGAATAGGAAATGTACTGTGAACCCAGAATTGAAACTAATATATGAGTCGATCTAGGTTTTTCTAAAATGTGTTCTAAGGAGCATGGGCCAAAGAATGTGATCCCAGAAAAAGCAGGTTCCATGGACACTTAAGTTACAAATGCTCCGTGCCATATCCCCCTCTTGGAGATCCACAATGCTCTTAAAAACTTGGTCAGTAAAAAGATCTGTTTATTTTTGTTTAACTCAGTGTTTCTCAAGGTTACTGCATCCAGAGTTTCCCATTTATTTATTTTTTTATTTTATTTTTTTTTTCTGATACAGAGTCTTGCTCTGTCACCCAGGCTGGAGTGCAGTGGCGCAATCTTGGCTCGCTGCAACCTCCGCCTCCCAGGCTCAAGCAATTCTCCTGCCTCAGCCTCCCCCGTAGCTGGGACTACATGTGGACACCATCACGCCCAGCTAATTTTTTTATATTTTTAGTAGAGACAGGGTGTCACCACGTTGGCCGGGCTGGTCTGAAGCTCCTAACCTCACGTGATCCGCCTGCCTCGACCTCCCGAAATGCTGGGATTACAGGCGTGAGCCACCGCGCTTGGCCTTCTCTTTTATTTAATATGATTCTCAACATCTCACACAATTAGTTTCAGATAACTGTACTTTGAGCTACTTAGAGCTTCATTCATTGTGTCTTACAGCAAGGACCAATGGGAGGAAGTTGTAGGAAGACATTGCTGTTCCTTATACTTAGCTGAAAGTAAAGAGCTGGGGCTGCTTAAAGGTAGGGTGTGCTTCCTGGGAAGGTGGTGAGGCTCTTGGGCCACTCAATTATCTGTAAGGGATGCTGTGCCTTAGTTACAAGGAGGGGCTGGATCGTGGAGATTCTGCTATTTTAAAACTTAACAAAATAACTCTTCCATTCTGCTGGCTTGCATGTAAGACATGCAGGTATAGAGGCCGCTAGTCCCAGTTTACCCCAGATGTCTCTGTTTTTAATTTAGAATGTCCTGCTTCTGAAGAACCCCTCCATCCAGAGCAAACTGGGATGGTTGATTCCAGTGAACACCCCAACATTACAAGGAAAAGAAAAAGTGCTTTTCATTATGCGTGTATTTCAAGTCATTTTGAAATGGTTTCATGGGGAAGGCCGTACTTTGCTTATGTAAAAGGCAGTTCTTGTACATTGCAATTCTATGGGGAACTGAAACTTCATTAGGGAATTATTATTTGGGGGATAGAAATTTTCTGGAGCTTCTTTTATTAAATACCTTGTTTTTCAGTCTCTTGTTTCTGGCTACTTCATATTTCTGTATCAGAAAATAAATTTGTTATATCAAACAGTTACATATTCCTTTCCTTTTCTCTGAGGCCTATTATTTTTCTTGTTTGGTAGTGAGAAAAAATACTGTTCTGTAGTTCAATTAATGAGTGATTTCATGAAGTTAATAACGTTAACTTTGAATGAGCATTATATCAATGTCTCTGTTGCTTTTGAGCCATGGGTTGTGGCTGAAACACATTTACATCTAAAATGGTAGAAGAATAATATTACATTTATTTCTGATCAATTCTGCAACCTCGGGCGTGTTTTTTCTGCAAAGGATAGAAGATAACCAATCTCATCATTATTGCAAAGTTGTGTGTTGCCAAGTTCTGCCACTAGGGAGCAGTATCATCTATCAATTCACTCTGGCACTGCGCTTTGTATAGTCTGGATGAATGGGATGTTCGTTACGAAATGAGAGGGAGAATACATTTTATACACTAGCAAACACAGAAAACCCTGGCAACATTACCATAGTGGAATAAACCTTGGCTCTGGTCTTGTGACTACTTGCTGATGGCCTTGAGCAAGCCACTTCCCTTCCTTATGTAAAATGAGAGAATTGACCCAGATTAAACTCATTTCTGATTCTAATTTCTTCAGCATCTAAACTCGTCTAAAAGCAAACTAGTATAAAGGTCTTTTGATGGCATTTTGTGGAATTCTACTTTGCTTCTTTTCAATCAGCTCGTGTTTCTGGATATACATGTTCACTAGCCTAGGCATAATTTTTTTTTTCTTTTCTTGGAGGCTTATTGTAGTTCTTTATAAATTCATTCTTGTATATGGTATGCTTGTCACCTCAAAGGAAATTGGCTTAGAGTTTGTGTTTGGTTCACATCTACGGCAAAGAGAAAATGCAATTTAGCTTCCTTTATTCTCAGCTTTGGTTTCTCTAGAAAAATAAACCACGCTGTATTTGAAAATTATAGCTATTCCTATCTGAAAATAAGATTATTTCTTCTAGATCTATGGTTAATGCTAGTGGTTCGTCACACATAACTTGTATTGTAAATACTTTGCCTCCAAATAAACTTTTACCTATTTTTAGGAATGAAAAACAAAAAGTCAAGCTTTAGGGAAGATGATAAGTTCTTGAAATCTGACAGTTTACAGATAAATGTAAGAATATGATTGCAAGAAAAATGACATAAAATGTACATTAACATAAATCTATAACTGCTCAACTTGATGAAAAATATCACCATAAAATCTGCCATTACTGAACCAACCAATATGTTTTATTCTATGATATTTTTGTGAGAGTGAATAAATTATCTGAGAATGTGTTTGCATCAAAAATACAGAATTTTGTAATAAACACATAAATCATGCAAGCATTTTTAAGCAAGATGCCTGATCCTAAAATGGGGGGGGCATTCATATTAATTTCCCCCCTTCCAGCCTTGTTCTAGATATGGTACCTTAGAGCTCTGGATGGTAATGGGGAACCATCAATTATGGAAATATAGAAAAGGATGATGTAAAGAAAATAACTCTTATTGGAGAAGTCTTCTATACAACCTGCCCCACCCCCAAAAGCCTCAACCTCTCTGAGCCTTGCTTTCACTGAAGTCCTCTTTGCAGTTGTGGCCTCAGTTTACACTGGAGTCTGCTTTACAAAACGCTCATATTTTTGTAGTCATGGGACCCATATATCAGCCAACATTCGCTACAAAACAGAGCACTAACTTAATCCTACAAGATGTGTTTTTCTTGCTGTCTCTGAGGAACTGGTTTGTTTCTTGTAATGGGAAATTCATACCACATAAGGAAGCTTGATTCCCTTTTTGCTTAGACTACCAGGTAGCTCAGAGGCAAAATAACAGTTTAATTATAGAATTTAGTGATGTGTGCCTAAGGATCTTACATTTTATCTTTATTTTAATTATGTCATCTATGTAGATTTTCTTCTATTTTATTGTTCAAGTTTTTATTAACTAATATCTTTGTGAACTGAGGCAAAGGGTAGATAAACATACAGATAGAGAGGTAAACAGACATACTGATATGTGGAATAATGGTCGAAGAAATTTCTGCAGCCGAAGAAGTGAGAGTGGATGCCCATAGTGAACTATAAATCAGATGGCAATTATGAAGTTCATTTCTCATCTGATTTCTCTCCAGGACTCATTTCTTCATGAGTGCCTACAAAGCATATTATTATGACTGAGGCCATTTTTGTAACAGATGATTGTGGTCTGGTCTGTGATCCCTCAATGCTTCCCAACCCTTTCTCTGTTAAGAGGAGTGAAAATACTTTCTCTACATAATTCACCAGGTGGTGAATTAATGTGCTGGTTAAAGAAAAGGAGAAGGGCCGGGTGTGGTGGCTCACAGCTGTTAATCTCAGCACTTTGGGAGGCCGAGGTGGGCAGATCACGAGGTCAGGAGTTCGCGACCAGCCTGACCAACATGGTGAAACCCCGTCTCTACTAAAAATACAAAAATTAGCCAGGCATGGTGGAATGCATCTGTAATCCCAGCTACTCAGGAAGCTGAGGCAGGAGAATTGCTTGAGCCAGGGAGGCGGAGGTTGCAGTGAGCCAAGATCACGCCACTGCACTCCAGCCTGGGCAACAGAGCGAGACTCTGTCTCAAAATAAATAAATAAATAAATAAATAAATAAATAAATAAATAAATGGAGAACTCAGGTTAGGGGTCTTACTTAAGGTCACACAGCCAGGGAGTGTGCCTTAGGTTTTGGCTACTCTCTGTCCCCTTTTCACTGCGCTGGCACTTCCTGCTGTGAGTGTACTCCATTTGCCCTCCAGAACCTCCCTCCACCTTCACCCTTCTCTACCCTGCTCTCCGCCTGGGGACACTGACCAGTAGGGACACACAGGGACTGCCCTATCCTCTCATTTCTAGTTAGGTTTAGCCATTGGGAAGCCCCAACAGGAGGTCACAGGGAGGTTGGAGAGAGAGATGGGGCATTTACTCCCTTGGTCCCCTCCCCAAGAAGTCTGCCTGGGCTAGTGGTGTCCCGGGACCAGTGATCACTGCTCCTCTCCAGGCGGTGTGCTCCTTGTAGTTTTCAGTAACTGTCCCCTCATCCCTCTGCATCTAGGGGTAGGGCCAGCCCCGCTGCTGTCAGCCATGGTTCTTGTGCCATTCTTTGTTCTTCCCCCTATACCACAATCACCTGGTAAGTAGTTTCTTTGCCATAAATTTCCTTAAATTATCCTAATTTGAGTGTGCTGTCTATTCCCTCTTGGGACTCTAACTGGTACACTTTCCCATTAAAGAAAAGATGGCGCTAGTAATACATTATAGATGATAGCATTAGACACATGAAAGGTGAATTTGATGTGTTTCAATTATTGGGCAAAGTGAATCTTGGCATTGTCATCTTTTCCAGTCAAGCATTGTAAGAGGAGATAGGGGCACGGGGGAAAATGATGAGAGAAGCTATAATGGATACAATACCATTAAATGTCTTGGGCTTATCTTCCATTTATGCTTCTAGCACTACTGAAATTGATTATTTGCTTTTAGGCTCGTACCTGTATTTTCGTCTTCAAATTGAGTTGTTTTGCCTAAAGCCTTAAAATCTGTTTTCATATTAATTAATCAATGTTTTAAAATTAGATTTCTATCTTGTGGCTTTTCTGGGGGTATGCTTGGAGAGATAACATGATTATATATTTAATGCAATCCATATGTTTCAAAATAATTCATTTCCAAAATTGCACAACAAAGAATACGAATTTTTACAATCAATTTCTTCATCAATAAGGTAAGGCAATAAATAGGCATAAAGTATGTGAGACTCTGTCTAAAATTAGATAGTTATTTCCTGAAGTGTAATTCAATAGATCACCTTGTGTAAGATCACCCATGACCACAAACAGTAATGCGAGAGGATCTTAGAAGCAAAATAGATGTTTTCATACTTACATTTTAAACTTCGATTAACATGACTTTACCTTTAATGTTTTGGCTTCTGACGTCCTTGGAAATGGGTTTGTCCACCTGTACAAGACAATGAGGCACCATTATCTCTTCAGTTGTGACTATGACACTATCTGATGTCTTGACACTCTCTGTGGTTAGGTTCCCAAGGATAAAGCCGTAAGTCCCTGGGCTCTCTGGTTTTCAATGTATGGTTGGCTGTCAACAAACATGTATAAATACATGCACCTCTGCCAATGAAGGGTGCAGTGGCTTGAGTGGTGTTTGGTATAAAAACACGTGGGATTGAGAACCAATCCTGCCTCTATTGCTGGCTTTGGAAAAGACACTGAGTATATTATTAACTTCAGATTTTTCATCTTTATCATAGGAAAAATGCTCATCATTCATGTCCCTGAGTTAACATGAAGATCCATCTATGGGATCAGGTACATGAAAGCAATGAGGCAGGCAGGTCAGGGTATGGCCTCATGGGAAGGCCTGGGTTAGGATTCCACCTCCAGCTCGTGCTGACTGTGAGAACATGACAAATTACTTAGCCTCAGTTTCCTGAGGCTTAGTTTCCTTATCTGTGAAATGGAGGTAACAAAAGCACTGATACCTTTTGAGGACGGGACGACAACACGGAACACAAGCACTGTGCCGAGAACACAGGTGTCGCTAACCACACTGAATTCATGTATCACTATTAATATTATTAAAGGCATTAGTGAACTATTAAGGGGTACACAACTGGAAGACATAAAGGTGAAGAAGATGAAGATCATAAAGGGGTCCCTACGTCTTTGAAAACCTTTAAGCCTAGGTTAATATTAGGGTCTTAGTATTAGTCTTTATTGGCACCAGGTTGAGTTGGGCATGGTGGGTCAGGGGCCCATTGAATCCCCCATTACTCTTATCCTCTGTGGAACATTGAACCACAGTATTTATGCCTGGAAAGGGCGTGGCCCTTCTTCTTTTGGTTATATCTAATTAGGGGTTGAGTGTTGGTTGGATTATTTTTTTTTATCGTGGCTATTGACTTCTTCATTACACCATCAGCTTTCAATTTCTCCAGGGTTACCTTGTGGGGACTGGGGTGCCAGAGGGTTTTTTCAATGTTCTTGTGCACGCTCATCTTTTAATCTTCCCTGTGTGCCTGCCCCACAGAGGGAGTCTCTCTCAATGCTCATGCCCCATGCTGCATTGCTAGCCTGGTCATGGAGGCAGGAGAGGTTCCCATTGTCTCCGTCTTAGGTGGGATTTGCAATCTCAGGGTCTTAGGATGGGGCTCCAAGTAGTCCCAAGCAGCAGAATTAGTACAGGATTCCCCGGCCCAGGAATATTTCCTGTCCCTCCCCTGGGGCAATTCCCAACTTCTGTCAAATAAATATTTACTAGTACCTACTAATGTGTCTGTGGCAATGCTAGATTATGAGGGAACAAAGAAAAATACCAGCTTGGATTCACAGGTACATTGTAACAGATTTTTCAGTTTGGGTACTACTGAGAATTGAGATTTGGGGTTGGAAAATTCTTGTGCCTTGTAGGATGCTTAGTAACATCTCTGTCTTCTACCTACTAGATGTCAGTAGAACTCAGTTGTGACAACCAAAAATGTGACCAGACTTTGTCAAAAGTCCCCTGGGGGGCAAAAACTTTCCATGGAGAACCACTGATCACAATGAAACATGTGCCAGTTGTGGAAGACTGCATCATATGGCTTCCTTCATCAGACCCCTCCAATGGCACTGGCTACTCTCGGAGATGCAGGTCTGCGTGCGTTTGCACACTGTGTTTACCTCCATCTGACCACTTCCTAGAACATGGAAACTGCCCATCTGGGTCACTGCCTCCTCCCTTAGACTGTGGGCACTGGCTCACCTTTCAACCCCTATTGCTAAGCACAGAGCTTGGTACACAGTACATGCTCAATAAATAGAAGGATGGGCAGTGGTTTAGGGCAAGACAGTTGTCAAGACCCACCTAAGGGGTCTAGACAAGAACTGGCCTTTGTAAAAATTATTGAAGATCCATTTCTTTTTTTCTTTCTTTTTATTTTCTTTGAGACAGGGTCTCACTCTGTCGCTCCGGCTGGAGTTCACTCTGTCACCCAGGCTGGAATGCAGTGGCATGATTTCAGCTCACCGCAACCTTGACCTCCCGGGCTCAAGCGATCCTCCCACTTCAGCCTCCCAAGTAGCTGGGACTACAGGCGTGCGTCACCATGCCCAGCTAATTTTTGTACTTTTTGTAGAGATGGAGTTTCACAATGTTACCCAGGCTGGTCTTGAACTCCTGGGCTCAAGCAATCCCCCTGTCTTGGCCTCCCAAAACGTGGGGACTACAAGTGTGAGCCATCACACCTGGCTGGAGATCCATTTCACAGATAGTTTAATCTCAACATAAATGTGCAGAACTAGTAAGAATCAACTCCTAGGAATGAGATTGTCATAAAAAAGATAATCTGCTTGCCATAAATACTTGATTTTTACAACACTGATTACAAATGTGAAACTCCTCCCCCACCTCTTTTTTTTTCTGAGACAAGGTCTTGTTCTGTCACCCAGACTAGAGTGAAGTGGCATGATCACGGCTCACTGCAGCCTTGACCTCCCAGGCTCAGGTGATCCTCCCACCTCAGCCCCCAGAGTAGCTGGGACTACAGGCATGCTCCACCACGACCAGCTATTTTTTTTTTAATTTTTTTTTAGAGATGAGATGTTACTATGTTACTCAGGCTGCTACTGAGCTCCTGGGCTGAAGCAATTCACCTACCTCGGCCTCCCAAAATGTTGGGATTACAGGCATGAACTACTGCACCTGGCTAAAACTCCCTCTTCATCTGAATTGAGGCCAAACTCTTGTTGAATTTATGAGACAACTCCCCTCTGAAATTTTGCTCACCTTGCCCTATCCTTTTTCCTCACATAATTTCATTTGACTTAATGTGCTGAGATTGTAGTTCCACCTGCAAAGTGATCTAGCCAAAGGAAGAAACTTGTTTTTAACAGGAAGCTACAAAGATGATATGAAGGAATAGAAAGTGTAAGAGTAAAGGCTTAAATCCTGGCATAGTTGTTTTTTAAAAAATCAAATGAGAATTATTCTTTGTAAAAAAAAATTGTATTCATGAAGGCTTACCTATGTGAAAAGGGATTGCCAGTCATTTACAGGGAAAGTTCAGCTCAAATTTTTTAGTTCAGCGTTCTCTACTTCTTTATAACCGGACCAGAACTGTGTCTTCAGCCACTGGTCCAATCTCTCTGGAATTCTCATTTCCTGGCCACGCTTTATGCTCTGGTGATGAGTGCCCTGAAATGCTCTCCTCCCTCTCAGACAGCCCCTGGGGGACTACCCTAGATGCAGATCTTGATGATAGCAGCAAATAGTAGCAGGAAAATAGAAGAATTTTGAAGGCCAGACCGAGAAAGTCTTTTTTGTGAACAGAAGATGAACTGGGGAAAGACTCGGTCTCTTTCCCTACTAAACAGGTATTTATTTTTAAAGCTTGAGTTCAAATGATTGAAAGTTTGTTATTTTTCATTCATTTAACCAATATCTATGGAGAACCTCTTACAAAGGCACCATGGTAGGTGTTGGGGCTAAAATAGCACCTGACCTCATGGAGATGTCCTCTGTGGACTGATTGCTTTGTGCTTCAGGCTGGAAGCACAAAGACGCATTTCTTGGATCTTATTGAAGATTCATTTCTTTTCTTTTTCTTTTCTTTTTTTTTTTTTTTTTGAGACAGGGTCTCACTCTGTTGCCCAGGCTGAAGTGCAGTGGTGCTATCTCAGCTCACTGCAGCCTCGACCTCCCAGGCTCAAATAATCCTCCCACCTCAGCCTATGTGCTGGAAGCACATAGAAATACTGTGTTTTCTATGTATTACTACAACAGTGATGGATTTTATAGGTAAGATCATGAAGGCTCAGAGAGGTTGAGTAACAGACCCAAAGGCACAGAGCTTATAAAATTGCAGCTATTAAAATGGAAGTGATGATGTTCATCTTTTGAGATTTTTGTTTGTTTGTTTTTGTTTTTGTTTTTCAGATGCAGTCTCGCTTGGTCACCAGGCTGGAGTGCAGTGGTGCAATCTCGGCTCACTGCAACCTCTGACTCCTGGGTTCAAGCAATTCTCTTGCCTCAGCCTCCTGAGTAGCTGGGACTACAAGCACCCACCACCACACCCGGCTAATTTTTCTATTTTTAGTAGAGATGGAGTTTTACCATGTTGGCCAGGCTGGTCTCGAACTCCTGACCTTGTGATCTGCCTACTTCAGACTCCCAAAGTGCTGAGATTACAGACGTGAGCCCCCACGTCCGGTCACAAGAATGTTTTAAGGATTAAATATCATTCATTCTTTCAGTTCGATCTCTACTGAGAATTTTTTTCCTTGACCTTCCTTGTCCTGCATTATCATTATTTTTCAAAGTACACTTGCTTATCTATTGTCTGTCTATTGTGCATTTATTTATCACTGGTCTCCTACCATTAGCATATATGTTTCATAAGCACAGGGAATTGGTGGTTCACGGATATGTCTTTAGAGTCTATAATTGTGTCTGATCCTAGCAGGCACCGATGACATAGTTCTTGAATGAATTTGTTGAGTGAATGATTGAAGTGTTTAGCTTCAATCACTGCTGTGCCCGTGTAAAAAGGAAGTGTTTGATTTTTCATCACTCGTCTTGCTCCTTCAGTCTCTATCAGATATCTTCTGTGTAAATGGTCGGTGTTGCTTGATAAGATTTGTAGTTTCATTTTTCTGTCCAAATTAACAGAAGCCCTCAAGTTAAACAGACAATGAATATAAAATATGTGAGGAATATTCAAAAGCAGGTTAATACTCACTAATAACTGTGGTGCAAACTAAAAAAGAATAGTGAAATCCCTTTTTAAAAAATACAACTGAAAAACTAATAGCCAGTATTGGTGATATTTCTAAGGGGTGGATATTCCTATACAGAGTTTCTGGGATGGTAAATGGAAACAATTTTTTAGAAAGGAAATTTTACAATACATACTGAAAGCCTTTAAAATGTCTTCACTCAATGGTTTAGTAAAATAATTGAAAATCCCATAGTGGGTTATGCTTTGTCTACAAAAATTATACTTATGAATGCTTGTTTATCACATGAGAAATTGTTTTATACCAGAATTTAATGTGAGAAGAAAAATAAAGCAGGTATATACTAAACAATGAGGCTTCCCCTGTTTGACAGATATCTGCATAGAAAATACTGACAATGGCCCGGCGCGGTGGCTCACGACCATAATCCCAGCACTTTGGGAGGCTAAGGTGGGTGGATCACGAGGTCAGGATTTTGAGACCAGCCTGACCAACATGGTGAA
This sequence comes from Homo sapiens, assembly GCF_000001405.40. Taxonomy (NCBI): domain Eukaryota; kingdom Metazoa; phylum Chordata; class Mammalia; order Primates; family Hominidae; genus Homo; species Homo sapiens. The sequence continues at coordinate 10,563,731 of NC_000004.12, forward strand.
ATCCCATCTCTACTAAAAATACAAAAATTAGCCGGGCATGGTGACGTGCACCTGTAATCCCAGCTATTCAGAAGGCCGAAGCAGGAGAACCACTTGAACCCGGGAGGTGGAGGTTGCAGTGAACTGAGATTGTGCCATTGCACTCCAGCCTGGGCAACAGAGCAAAACTCCATCTCAAAAAAAGAAAAGAAAAGAAAAGAAAATACTGATAATGAAGTGCACGAAAATGTTATGACCAATAACTGCAATCCCAGGGGGTGATCATTTGTATTTTATGCCTTTCTGGATTAAGAAAATTAAGTGTTAGCAAATGTTTTATTAAAAATAAAATTCTATGTATGCATTTAGGGCATTTGCATTTACTAGATTTTTTCTTTTTTTTTTTTTTTGAGACGGAGTCCCACTCTGTCACCCAGGCTGGAGTGCAGTGGTGCAAAATTATCTTTTGTAGCTTCCAAACAGCATTTTGAAATAAGCATGGTAGGATTTTCTGTTTTTCCCTCTTTGGTAGATAAAGTTACTAGGAGGCTTAGAGAGGTTTCATGACTTACTTATTACCTCCCAGCTCATAATTTACCATGTTGGGCCGAGACTCTGGGCAAAATCTTATATTATGATCAGAAAGATTTGAGTTCATGTTCTTTCTCTGGAGAATGCGATGAGCATTAGATGAGATGCATGTCAAAGTCCTTAGCGTGATCTCTGGCTCACAATCTTCCACACATCTGAATTATCCTTCTTTCTAGAGGTAGGGCCATGATGCTACCAGTCATAAGAGTCACCTCCTACCAGTCATAAGAGTCACCTCCCATCCACCTCAGTGAGCTTGACCTGCTCTTTCCCTAATAAGATGGCCTGGGGGACAGGAGATGGGGCAGTTTCTAGCTGGTTAGGAAGAGCCCTACACATGTTTGTGTCACAATGTCCAGTCTTTACTCACTCTTTCCAACCTCGTCTGTGTGTTCCAGGTCGGCTGTCCAATGGAGATAGAGGTCCTGGTGTCTAACGGAAGGGGAGTGTCCATTGCAACCTTGAAATAGTGTGTATCTATGCAAACAGAAAAATATGAAAGTCATACCTTACGTGGACTCAGCACATTACAATTTACAAAGTATTTGCACATCTACAAACTCATTGGATCATTACAACGTAAGTAAGAGCAAGCAATTCTGCTTTCATTTAACAGAGTAGGAGACTGACGTATGCAGAGAAGAAATTGCTCATCTCAGTGCACACAAAAAAATGCCAAAGTTTGAACCTGAATATTCTTCATTTTCTCATTCACCTTAGAAATTCTATAAATCTTACAAAATTTTGGCTATGCCATGCCCTTTAAAAATCTTACTAGATCCCACCCAGTCACACCCCATGCCAGCTCTCCTTTCTATATTACACACTTAGCATATTCTATCACATTCATCGGTTGAGCTGCTGGTTTCTGCCACTAGATTGCACCTTCCTGAGGGTATGGATCCTGCATTGTTTGTCTTTGTGTCCCCCAGTCAATCCCAACATGGAAACTGGCACGTAGTAGATGCTCAATGAATGCTTACTGAATGAATGAACAAGAAAAGTCATCATCATTTACAAGATGACTTTCTCCAAATACACTTCTATAGATTCACTTTAGTGGTTCAGGCCCTCAGAAATTGTGAATACTTCCTCTTTCCCCTTACAATAGGGTGCTTTATCTCAAGGAACTTGCTGAAGCTGCCCTTTGTGCCACAGTTAGAGACAGAGGTGGGTGTGAAATTAGGTCCTCTTATTCTTAACAATTGCAGCTTTGCTGCCATGCCCTGCTGACGCTCTTAGGCTGGCTGGCTGCACAATGAATTAACCAAGTTAAAAAGTCTTTTTTTTTTCATTCTACTCCCCTCTATGCAGACCTCATTTAACATTTCCCATGCTGCTGCATCCCTGCTTGTCCACCCTCCGTTATGCTCATCATTGTTCCTAGGGCTCAAGGAGAGCATCGTGATAATAACAGCTGAGAGTTACAGATCTCTGGCTTGGTACCAGGTCCTCTGGTGAGAACTCAACATGCGTCATTCACATAATCTTCAAAAGAGCCCTCTGGGTCAACTTCTATTATTATGAACCCTGTTTTCAGAAAGAGAAAGTGGATTGGAGAGACTTTCTCAAGGTCACACAGCTAGTAAGTCATGGGGGCAGACGTTAACCTAGGGTTGTTTAATTCAGAAACCGCACCTTTAAATAGTGTGCAATATGGTGGCATGTACATGCATCTTCTTATTTCAGGCAGACCCCCAAACGTTACCTGCATATTCAGATTCCTTTATAGGCCGGGCTGGTAAAATTTTAATCGACTGCCATGTCTCTTCCATCCGAAGCTCAGGGTCATCATAGTCATCATCACTGTGGCCTTTTGCTCCATCCAGGACTGCAGCAAAGTTTCTTTCCTAAGCAGGTGGTAACATTCCAGTGAGTCAAAGGAAGGTACAATGTTGACAAAGACAGGCTACAGTGCTGGCTAGAGAAATGGGGTAGACCTTCTTAGCTGCAAGTTAAATATTTAAGAATCTAGGGTCTGGGATCTTAAATAGAAGTTTAATTCTTGTGCTAGTGAGAATTCTAAAGATATCTCCCAATATTCTCATCTCTGGTTACTGAATCAATACTAATCTAGGTACTGCTGTGAAGGGACAGTGCAGATGTAATGAAGGTCACTAATCAGCTGACCTTAAAATAGGCAGATTGTCCTGGATTACCTGGGTGGGCCCAATGTAATCACATGAACCCTTAGAAGCAGAAAGAGGACTTACTTGCAAATAAGATAATCTTGTATTTGAAGAATTCACTAAAAAATTATTAGAACTAATAAATAATTCCTCAAGGTGGCAGGATACAGGATTAATATACCAAATTCAGTTGTATTTCTATATGCTAGTAATGACAATTTATATTTCTATAAATTAGTAATAACAAATTGAAAATAGAAATTAAGAAAATGGGCTAGGTGCGGTGGCTCATGCTTGTAATCCCAGCGCTTTGGGAGGCTGAGGTAGGAGGATTGCTGGAGGCTAGGAGTTTGAGAACAGCCTGGGCAACAGAGTGAGACCTCATCTGTACAAAAATGTTTTAAAAAAGAAAACGATTATATTAGCAATAGCATCAAGGAGAATAAAATATATGGAAATACATTTAACAAAAGAAGTGCAAAATTTGTACACTGAAAACTGCAAAAACACTGTTGATAGTAATTTCAGAAGACCTAAATAAATGGAAAGATGACTAATGATCATGGATTGGGAGACTTAATCTTGTTAAAATAGAAATACTTTGCAAATTAACACACTGATTTATTTTGCAGAAATTGACAAGATAATCCTAAAATTCTTAAGAAAATAAGAAGAACCAAGAATAGCCAAAACAATCTTGGGAAAAAAAAAAAAAAAAAAAAGATAAAGTTGGAGGACTAACACTTATTTCAAAAGTTACTACATAGATGCAGTAATCAAGACAATGTGGTATTGGTAGTAAGATAGATGTGCGGATAATTGGAATATAATTGAGGGTCCAGAAATAAACCTTCACACTGAGGGTTAATTGATTTTTAAGAAGTGTACTAAGACAATACAATGGGTGGAAAGAATAGTCTTTCAACAGATAGTCCTAGGACAACTGGATATCCACATGCATGGCAGTGAGGCTGAACCTCTTTTTTATATCATATGCAAAAATTAAGTGCAAATGGGCCTTGAATATAAATTTAACAGCTAAAACTATAAAACCCTTAAAATATTGGAGTAAATCTTCATTTCTTGGCTTAGGCAATGATTACTTAGATAGAACAAAAAAATACAAGCAATAAAAGAAATAGATAAATTGGACTTAATTAAAATGAAAATCTTGTGTGCTTCAAAAGACCACAAAAAATAAAAAGGCAACTGTGGAATGAAGAAAATATTTGCAAATCATGTATCTGATAAGGAGCTTAAATCCAGAGTATATGAAAAACTCTTACAATGCAATGATCTAAGGATAAATAACCAAATTTTAAAGTGGGAAAAGGATATGAATGGATGTTTCTTCAAAGAAGATATGCAAACCATCAATAATCCCATGGAGAGATGCTCAATATCATTAGCCATTAGGAAAATGCAACTCAAAAGCACAATGAGATGTCAGCCATACAACACCAAGATGATTTAAAAAAAGACAGAAAATAATCAGGGCTGACAAGAATGTGGAGAATTTGAGGATCTCATGCATTGCTGATGGGAATGTAACAGGGTACAGCTGCTGCAGAAAATGCTTTGGCAGTTCCTCAAAAGGTTAAACACAGAGCTACCATATAATCCAGCAACTCCACATTCACACAAAAACTAGCACATGTTTATAGCAGTATTTTTCTTAATAGTAAAAAAGTGGAAATAACCCAAGTATCCATGAACTACTGCATAGGTAATAAAGTGTTGTATAGTCACACAATGGAATATTATTCAGCAATGAAAACGAGTAAAGTACTGATATATGCTATAACATGGATAAGCCTTGATAATATTACGTTAAATGAAAGAAGGGAGTCATATACAAAATGGAATGTTGCATGATTCTGTTTATATGAAATGTCTGGAAGAGGAGGATCTATAGATAAAGAGTAGATTAATATTTGCCAAGGTCTGGGGGAAGGGGGGACTGGGTTTCATTTTGAGATGATAAAAATATATTGATTGGAGTGATGGTTATGCAACTCTGTGAATATACAAAAAAACCATTAAATTGTACTCATAAAATGCGTAAATTGAATGGCAGGTAGATTTTATCTCAGAAAAACCTGTTTTAAAAAGCAGAAGAGGAAGTCAGAGAAAGGAAGTAGACAAGAAAGAAAGAGAGATCTGGCAGAAGGACAATTTAGATAGAGGAGTCCAAGAGTAGAAGGATTTGACAACAGCCAGCCAGCAGGGACATGGGGACCACAGTCCTACAACAGAAAGGAACTGGATTCTATGAAACAACCCGAAAGAATCTGGAAGCAAGTTCCTCTTCAGAGCCCCTGGAGGAGAATGCAGCCCTGCCAGCATGTTGCTTTCAGTCTTGTGAGACCCAGAACAGGGGAACTAGTTGAGCCATGCTGTGCCCAGACTTCTGATTGCATCCACTGTGCGATAATAAATGGTCAAGCTGCCAAATCTGTGGGGATGTGACATCACAGCAATGGAAAACAAATGCAATTATTTGGGTCTTTACTGTGAAGGGTGGGGCCTCAAGAAGTGACACCACTCTCTGTATATTGTCTTAAAATGTGACACTATCACAGTAAAAGCAACTGCAATGTGAAATTTTGTGCTAAAGCTGACACCATCATTTTTGAAATTCTAGTTCATTCGATCAGGTTTAGGTGTGAGAATTTAGGTAAAATGTATAGTCAAGAAAATTCTGTGGGTTCATATTCCCCCAGCCACCTCCTCCCCAAGTGAATTGGCCAAGACTGCCCTTTTTTTTTTTTTTTTTTGGTCATTTTTCCATTCCTGAAATGGAGCCAGGAGACCAGGTTACAGACCATTGGTACTGCACAACATTTGAGGGTGGGGTTCTTATCTGATAGGATTAGTGTTCTTATAAGAAGAGACACCAGAGAGTTCTCTCTCTCTCTTTCTCTGGGTTTCTCCCTCTCTCTCCCCACCCGTCCCCAAATGCACACACTGAGGAAAGGCCATGTGAGCACACAGGGAGAGGGTAGTCATTTGCATCCCAAGGGGATAGTTCTCGCCAACCCTACTGGCACTTTGGTCTTGGACTTCTGGTCTTCAGAGTCATGAGAAAATAAACCTCTGTTGTTTGAGCCATCCAGTTTATGGCATATTGTTATGGCAACACTAGAAGACTAACACAGGCACCTATCAAAGGCTCTGGGTCTGAACACTAGACTGGCAGGAATGGACACCAGTCTGCAACAGATGCACTCACACACAATGGTCATTATAGGAATTCTGGAATGTGCTCCTCCGCATTAAAATCTGCAGCCGGCATCATGTTATGTGTAAGCACAGACATGACTCTTGATCTTGCATTCTTGGAAAGGTTACTTAAGCTCCCTGACTGAGATGTTCAATCTGTAAATTGGAGATGACTAAACCCACCTTATCTTGTTGTTGTTCATTGAGAAAATGTATCTCAAGTCTCTACTTTGGTATCTATTCCACAGCAGGAACTCAGTACCTGTTGGATCTTTTTTCTCTAGGTGATGTGCTGAGCCATAGGTAGAGCCCAGTACCCAGGACAAAGCAAAGCAAAGCTGCTAGTATGTGTACTCCAGGAAGTTTCACCATTGACACAGTAAAGGGAGAGAAGGTGTCTCGGTTCTGGAACTGTACACCCAGTGAGCTCTCAGCTGGAGCTCGGGCAGGAGAATCCTTTGGGGATTTGACAGATGGGTATTTGTGCAAAGGTGCCATTTACATACTGTTACGGCCATCACCAAGGCTCTCTAGGGCATAGCCTCTTGGGGGAAGTCTTGGACCTGCTGGAAGAACTGGGATGTGAGCCTGAACCCATTTTCCAACTTTCCACCCAATACCTTTGCTAGACTTGGTAGAGTCAGGACATGATAAGAAGGCTGGGAAGAACAACCATCACTCCAGGTAAGAAGAGACTTTTGCCCCCAGGAGTAAATGTAAGTGTTTTGGTGTACTTCTTTAGAGAGAGAGAGAGGAAGAGAGAGAAAGAGACATTTGTTTTAAATATAGAGTTATATCTATTTATCTATTAATGTATTATCTATTTTCTAACAATTTCAAGGAGTCTTAACTAGAGGTTCAATATTCTTTACCCATGAACCTTTTAATTTTTACAATTTTTGTGTGTGCATGTGTGTGTATGTATATGTGTGTTTGTATGTTTCTGGGTAAGGGTCCATAAGCTTTAGTTAGATTCTTAAAGAGCTACCTCAAACAGTAAAGAGTCAATGAGTTTATGAACAGAATCAATCAGTCAATCAATCAATCATACATCTGCCTATCTAATCTATAGATATGCAAGTGAAAACTATTTAAATTATATACCTATACATTTGCTTGTAATAAAATATATTGAATTAATGTTATAAATTTTAATCTTTTTCTCTAGTTGTTAAAATTATTTGTAAATATTGCAAATGATTTCATAAAATGGATGTATCAAGATGCAGTTACTTTTGTATTACTGAATACTTAGCATAATTCAAATGTGCTGCCATTTAAAATATATTATAAAATCTGTGAATATGTTTAAGTATCAGTACATATTTTAGATTAGCTTTTTAAACTCCCAAGAATGGAATTATTGGGCTAAAAATGGGTATTTTAATGTTGCTTACTTGATATTATGAAATTGCTCTCTGGAAAGTTTATTTCAATTTAAAATTTTACTATGAGTGTTAGGAAGTGTGCTTCTCATAACGCACTTGCCGGCACAGTGTATTGGTATTTTCACTTTATTCAGCCTTCACAATGACCATGTTAATTAATTTTTATTTCCATTTTATAGCTGAGGAATTGGAATATAGTTTTACACCCAAGAATTAAAATGCAGTTTTTCTTGCCAGGAAAGTATGCCACTTGGAAAAGTATTTTTTGTTGTTGTTGTTGCTGTTGCTTTTTTTTTTTTTTTTTTTTTTTTTGAGACAGAGTTTCGCTCTTGCCGCCCAGGCTGAAGTGCAAGGGTGCTATCTCGGCTCACTGCAGCCTCTGCCTCCTGGGTTCAAGCGATTCTCCTGCCTCAGCCTCGTGAGTAGCTGGGATTACAGGCTCACACCACCATGCCTGGCTAATTTTTTGTATTTTTAGTAGAAACGGGGTTTCCTCATGTTAGCCAGGTTGGTCTTGAACTCCTGGCCTCAGGTGATCTGCCCGCCTTGGCCTCCCAAAGTGCTGGGATTACAGGTGTGAACCACTGCACGCAGCCTGTTACTGTTGATTTTTAAACATTTTACCCAGTATCTTGAATCAAATTCACCTGCTTTGCAATATTAAAGACGTATAAAATAGATAAGGGAAGCAGCTGACTTACCCAGTCTAGAAGAGGCTTGTTCATCCTCTGGTACTGGCCTGCCAACACAAACAGACCGAGTGTTATTTTAATCACTGTGGTAGCTCCAAACATCAAAAAGACTGGGCCCTTGTTTTTCTCCAGAAATCTTTTGTCAGTTTTAATTAACTTACCTTGATTGTGATTTTTCAAAACTAAAGTGCATTTTTCTTTATTTCCCATTCTACCTGTTGCTCTTGCAAAACAGGACAAAGAAACAGGAGAAAAGGAAGCAGAATTCAAATCAAACAGTGACTTGGAGGTAAGAAACTTTATCTCTACTGTAGCAGGTCAAAATTCCTGTTGCTAGAGAAACATAATATGAGAAGATCTCTCACAGCAATTGCTCCCGAAGTCTTGAGTCAGCAGCAGCTCAGCTAATGATGAGTTTTATTTTCCCTTCTCTTCCCCCACAAGGCACAGCATGTTGCAATTGCAATAATCTGTCCATACATCTGTCTCCTGAATAGACTATAAGTATTTTGAGGACAGAAGTCATAGCTATTCATTCATCTATTTCTAGCACCTGGCATAAGACCCCGTATTGAACAATTGAGTTATGGACCAGGTGTTTGTTGAATGAAAACACAGCAGTTGCCTTTTCTCAGCACTCAACACTCTTATTTGGGCTTGTTTTATGAAAGATTGCCTGGGGTCATTGAGCCCACTCAGTATTCTATGTTTAAAATTTTACCCTCAGATTATGCAAAATCACTGCAGATTTTTTCATTCTTCATAAACTTTATTTTCCTAAATTGTATTGTAGTTTCCTGCTATTAGCCTGCATCAGGGAGCATTTGAAACAATTTTTTAAAAATTTCCTTTTTTAAATTAAATTCTCTTTATTAGCACATATGTGAGAAGTTTCAGGTCTCAGGAGCAGAAGCTGCATGCTTCCTAGCAACTGGTTTGCTTTGATTTAAGGATATTTCCCTTCTTCCTTTGGCTGCCAAGAAATTCAGGATAAATTTCTGAATTTCATCTAAGTATTGTGGAGGACCACGATGTGATAAGCATTTCTACTTCTTGCTCTGGCTTTATCATTTTCCCATTTTGTTTTGTTTTGTTTTGTTTTTTCTTGTTTTTTTGAGACACAGTCTTGTTCTGTCACCCAGGCTGGAGTGCAGTGGTGCAATCTCAGCTCACTGCAACCTCCAC